>NC_000023.11:5887488-6512488 GCF_000001405.40 Homo sapiens | reverse complement strand
GGAAAAGCATCTGAAATTTTTGAAAAACTGTCACCCCCATTATTTTCATAAGACTTAGATACTGCTAACTCTACAAGGCTGCCTTAGTTGAAGCAAGTTAAATAAATTTGGGGAGGAAGTCATCGCAAGATTACAAATACACCCACAGAGAAACGATGGGATAAGGGATGGTGTGGTTTGGCTGTGTTCCCACCCAAATCTCATCTTGAATTGTAGCTCCCATAATTCCCACGTGTGGTGGGAGGGACCCGGTGGGAGATAATTAAATCATGGGGGCCGTTTTCCCTGCACTGTTCTCGTGGAAGTGAGTAAGTCTCATGAGATCTGATGGTTTTATAAGGGGAAACCCCTTTCACTTGGCTCTCATTCTCTCTAGCCGCTGCCATGTAAGACGTGCCTTTCACCTTCTGCCATGATTGTGAGGCCTCCCCAGCCATGTGGGACTGTAAGTCCATTAAACCCCTTTTGCTTTATAAATTACAGTCTCTGTTATGTCTTTATCATATGTCTTTTATCCTTTTGTCTTTTATGTCTTTATCAGCAGCGTGAAAACGGACTAATACAAGGGGTTTTGCTGTCATCTACACCAACTCTCTAAACTCTTGAATCTGAGAAGAGATATGCACCCAGGACAAAGAATAACGGATTTCACAAGAGGAAGTTTAAAGTAACAAACTAAATGAGAGCTGTAGAACAGATCCCTTCAATTTTAGTCTGCGCATTGCCGATGATCTGTTCTAAGACAAGTAAACGTCAAAATAGCCACCAGAAAACTCTTGCTTAAAAACTGCAAAGAAGGCAGGTGGGGTGGGGTGGCAAGATAAACAGTCAAAAAGAAAATTAAAAATATGCTTCACATAAGCAAATAGTGATTTCAGAAAATTCTTCAAGTATCATTTTTCATACTCCCACAATACATTTTCAACACATGATTTTTCTGTCAACATGAGTTGAAAGAAATACATGTCTTTAAGAAAAAAAGAGAGATTACAAAACAACAGAAGCAACAGATTACTTGATTCAAATTAAGTTGGGAAAGCTCATAAGAGCGGAAAAATAAGAACAAGAAAGTTGACAATGCTATTTAGATTACAATAAAATAGAATTTAAAAGACTGAAATACTGCCAGAAACACAGTGGATAGATTTTAGGAAATCACTCCAAATGACACAAAGAAAGATAAGCATGTTTAGCATTGGATTAGATAGCAATAAAAGACAAAGAGGATACAATGTTTGCATAACTGACATTCCCTTTTTTAAACTTTTATTTTAGGCTCGGGGTATATGTGCAGGTTTGTTACATTGGGAAACTCGTGTCATGAGTGTTTGTTGTACAGATTATTTCATCACCCAGGTATTAAGCCTAGTACCCATTAGTTGTTTTTCCTCATTCTCTCCCTCCTCCCACTCTCTACCCTCCAACATGCCCCAGTGTGTGTTGTTCCCCTCTATGTGTCCATGTGTTCTCATCATTAGGCTCCCACTTATAAGTAAGAACATGTGGTATTTGAGGCCGTGCGTGGTGGCTCACGCCTGTAATCCCAGCACTTTGGGAGGCCAATGCGGGTGGATCACAAGGTCAGGAGATCGAGACCATCCTGGCTAACATGGTGAAACCCCGTCTCTACTAAACAAAATACAAAAAATTAGCCAGGCGTGGTGGCGGGCGCCTGTAGTCCCGGCTACTCGGGAGGCTGAGGCAGGAGAATCGCGTGAACTCGGGAGGTGGAGCTTGCAGTGAGCTGAGACTGTGCCACTGCACTCCAGCCTGGGCGACAGTGACTCCGTCTCAAAAAAAAAAAAAAAAAAGAACGTGGTATTTGATTTTCTGTTCCCACATTAGTTTGCTAAAGATAATGGCCTCCTCCTCCATCCTTGTTCCTGCAATGAACATGATCTGGTTCTTTTTTATGGCTGCATAGTATTCCATGGTGTATATGAGCCATGTTTTCTTTATCCAGTCCACACTGATAGGCATTTAGGTGGATTCCATGTCTTTGCTATTGCGAATAATGCTGCAAAGAACATACACATACACGTATCTTTATGGTAGGATTTATATTCCTTTGGGTATATACCCAGCAAGGGGATTGCTGGGTCAAATGGTAGTTCTGTGTTTAGCTCTTTGAGGAATAACCATACTGTTTTCCACAATGGCTGAACAAATTTACTCTCCCACCAACAGTGTATAAGTATTCCCTTTTCTCTGCAACCTTGCCATCATCTGTTATTTTTTGACATTTAATAATAGCCATTCTGACTGTTATGAGATGGTATCTTACTGCGGTTTTGATTTGGATTTCTCTAATAATCAGTGATGTTCAACTTTTTTCTAGATGCTTGTTGGACATTCCTGAAGACAAGAACAGAAGGAAAAAATAAAGATATAACATAAGAGGAATTTTAAAAAATAAATCAGACTTCACTCTAGTGGTTCAAAGTTGATTTTCAGAAAACTGCTACACAATAAATTTCTCACCAAAACATCACTTAGAGATGCTACCAAACATTGAAAATAAAGATGAGGGCATTAACGAAGAAAAGGAAGTCCAGTAGAACATGGAGAAAAAGCAGGCTGGCCTTAGATGCTCTATGTCAGAATGGAATGGGGCAACAGCTGTAAAGATTGAAACAAATATGTTCTTCACAATTGTCCTTGAAGTATGAAGACATATGACAGCAACCAAGGTTTCTTCTTGAAGAAGAGCTACTTAAGGGTGAAACCCATTGAAACAGATGGTGGGAAAATTACTCTGAAATTTAGAAGGCTTGATCTCATGAGTGCTAGTATGAAACAAATCCATCCCAATTTAGTTGTAAGATAAAATTATGAAAGGAATTTTGGAAACTGAATTTAACTGTTACAAAATTTGGCCTTTTGAAAAATGACAATATAACAACAACAACAACAAAAAACTGGTAAGTTGGAGAGAGTGTAGGTGCCAGGAAGATATCTGTAGAAAGTGTTTCATCTTTCATGGTAGATAGTCAATGGATGCCCTTAAAGCTAAAACATGCCATTAACAAAACATAATGTCTCCAACCTTTTTACAGACTTTTTAATTAGAAGACTCTTTTTTTTCTCACAAGACATTTTACTATTTATTTTCATGTTAATACCTGTAGATTCTAGTTCATTTATTTTAATTGCCTGATGCAATTTTATGTTATGAGGATGTAACATTTAATCAATTCATTTCATCTCTATGGAAAAATACTAATGTGCCTTCCACTCATTAGCTATGACAAGTAGCATGGGAACTTCTATACACACATTTTCTTTTTTAATTAAAAAAACCTTCTATTTTAAGTTCAGGGATAAATGTGCAGGTTTGTTACATAGGTAAGTTTGTATCTTGGGGGTTTGTTGTATAGATTATTTTATCACCCAGATACCAAGCCTATTACCCCTGAGTTATTTTTTCTGACCCTCTCCCTCTTTCCACATTCCCCCCTCTAATAATCCCCAGTGTGTGTTGTTCTCCTCTATGTGTTCATGTGTCCTCATTGTTCAGCTCCTACTTATAAGTGAGAACCTGTGATACTTGGTTTTCTGTTCCTGCATCAGTTTGCTAAACATAATGGCCTCCTGCTCCATCCTTGTTCCTGCAAAGGACATGATCTTATTCTTTTTTTATGTCTGAATAGTATTCCCTGGTGTATATATACCATATTTTCTTTATCCAATCTGCCATTAATAAGCATTTAGGTTGATTCCATGTCTTTGTTTTTGTGAATAGTGCTGCAATGAACATTCGTGTGCATGTGTCTTTATGGTAGAATGATTCATATTCCTCTGGGCATATATACCCAGTAATGGGATAGCTGGGTCAAATGGTAGTTCTGCTTTTAGTTCTTTGAGGAATTGCCACACTACTTTCCACAGTGGTTGAATTAACTTACACTCCCACCAGCAGCATGTAAGTGTCCTCTTTTCTTTGCAACCTCGCCAGTATCTATTATTTTTTGACTTTTAAATAACAGCCATTCTGAGTGGTGTGAGACAGTGTCTCATTGTGGTTTTGATTTGCATTCCTCTAATGATCAGTGATATCAAACTTTTTTTCACATGCTTGTTGGCCGTGTATATGTCCTTTATAAAAAAGTGTCCGTTCCTGTCCTTTGCCTACTTTTTAATGGGGTTGTTTTTTGGCATGCAAATTTGTTTAAGTTACCTATAGATGCTTTAGTTTTTAAAAATCCCTAAGTTATAGCATGTTTACTGTAGAGAGCAAAGGTGTTTTACTTTATTGCATTGACATTTGCCTACTCTTCTTTGTCTCTCTGTGGGGTCAGTGTCATCCATTTGACATTATACTTATATCTGTCTATATTAAGTAAGAAGCAAAACCGGCCTTGTTAGTTGTCTTTCTGTTATATACAGAGCTGTGGCCTAACTCCTAGAAAACAGCAACAAAACAGCTTTTGATACTATATGGCTAGTGGCAGTTGAATTTAACCTCTGAGACCATTCTGCTCAAGGGCCTTATTAAATAAGGACAAAATCCAACGTCCATAAAGTTTGGAATCTTACCCAATCAGCACACCTGGGGACAAAACCCAAACCTTTCTACCAGCCTACTTTTGAGAATCCAGTGGTTTTGTATGCCTATTGTTACTGCCCATCTCTGAAAGTGAGAACAAACCAGGCCCGTTCTCTTTGTGTACAGTAATCCAACCACTGTGATGATGGGTTTTGCAAGAGAGAAAGAGTTTATTCTCATGAGGCTGCCAAGCAAGAAGGTGGCAAAACAGCTCTCAGATCTACCTTTCTGAAGATGGGGTTTTAGGGATGTTTATGGGAGAAAGAGGACAACAGTCTGCGGCATGGGGAAAGGTGACTGGAGGAAAGAAAAAGTGAGGGAGTCCACAGTCTGCACATGCATAGTCAAGCTTCATGGCTCTTCATGGGACACATGTGAAGAAAATGAGGGCATTTGTATGATTTGAGGGAGGAGTTTTTGGCCCTCTGACATCAAACGATCACTTCTCTTGCATGCACACAGGCCCAGATGAAGGGTCATGGTCTCAATTTGGCTTGAACTGGACAAGACCTGACCTCAAGTTCCTGATAAACAACTTGAAGCAACTGTTAGCATGGTGACCCATGTGTCAGAGATATTATCTATAGGAAACTAGGGGATTGATTAGCTATGTGACTTTCAGCTCTGTAAGTTTTAAGACTAACTAGACATAGACAGTTAAAAGCAAGGAAGGCAGGTGATGTTTGGCAGGCTTAATCAGGTTAGCCCTCAGTTTCAGAGGGTAGCATTATAGCATAATGGAAAGAAAATGATCCATTCCAAACCAAGCCAACTTGAGTAGAAACCACTTTCTCTTTCCAAGAACCCATTTCCCTCTTCATAGACTTTTCTTGAAGACCAAATCTGGTAAAATATTTAAAATGTCTCACACATTGCTTAACATAGGTGGTTAAGTCTATTCAGTTGTTTTTTTCTCACTCCTTTTCCCACTCTTCGTTTTCCACCCGCATCCCACGATTGAAAGAAAACATCACCTATCTTTAATAGGTGGGTGATGATATTTTTCTTTATTTCTCCTGGCTTTACTTTTCATGGACAGCGAAAATTGGAACTGCAATTTATGTGTACTCATAAGTATTCAGTCCACATAGAGGGGTGTTCATTAAGGTAAAATGAATGCTGTATAAATTAATTAAATTCAAGCTGAAGCTGTATATTTTCATTTGACGCGGGCGTTTTAAGGGGCTGTGATTGATACATCATTAAAAGAATTAGGTTTGAGGTTAAATTAGTTATTGAACCACCTCCAGGCCAACGCTCTCTATTGTGTATGTGAGACTGGACAGGCCACTAACTGCCCAGCATAAATCAGGGAATCACACCAGGCCTGCTCCACTTACTTCTATCATGCAGAGAATAGAAAGAGATTTGACACCTTAGCAGATGAAATAGTCATTGAAAAAAATTGCAAGCAAGTTAATTTCCACCACAAAGGAATCTCTGTAATAGCTTAAGCAAATGTATGTCCCCAGTAACTGCACATCCAGGGAGTACAATCCTATGTCTTTTACCCTTTTGAACACTTGGATGTCCATGTGATGAAGCTATCTAGTATCAATTTTAGTGATGGAAGTTCAAACAACACCTTAACAGTAAAAAGTTTTATTTTAATGAAATCCTATGCACCATTTTTAAAAAGCTAATCTTGAAATGAAATCTAACTTGGAAGGGGAAAATGATGACTGCAACTTAGATTGGGTGACTTATTAATCACTGTAGCTCCACTGTGATTTAGGCTGCAACATGAGAATGGTTCACATGAGGACACTAACCACTTAATGAGTGCCTGGGGCTCAGCAAACAATACCCCTACACGCAGGCCTCAGCAACAGCCTCAGAAGCAAAAGTTTTCTCTCTGACCTTCTCCTGCCTCCTGTCTCTCAGTTCTATTCTCCCCTGAGGTGCCATAGAAACTAGAATCCCTCTTCCCAAAGGCGTGCCCTAGAAACCAGAATCCCTTTTCCCCAAAGCCAGCCATAAAACCTAAACAAATGAGTCTACTCACACCTACCTTTCTGTGTAAAAACAGGCCATGAAGATATGACCTGATGTACCTTGTTTGACTGTAGGTCCTAAGACCCTGTTCCAGAGAGGGTCCTGCCCCACACCTGAAAGAAAGGCAGCACTGCTCAGAGACCCCAAGAAGAATCTAGACAGACAGGCCCGGCTGGGTTTCTGCCCTCAGTCCATTAGCGTAAGATCAGGCCCTTTTTATCCAATCCTATTTATACATAGCTGTCCGTACTTTGTTGAACCTAAATATAAAATGGACAGTTTCCCTGTATCTTTGGGTTTTCATTCTGAATGATCTTGTGTACATGTTAACAAAATTTGTATACCTTTCCTCCAATTAATCTGCCTTTTGAGAGCTGATTATTCAGCAAAACTTCAGAGGAGAAGGGGAAGTTTTGCCTTAGCCCTTGCATGAGGAAACCCTGAAGAATCAAACAGCATTCGTCTACATTACCTAGACATCAGTGATGTCTCAATACACATTCAACTGATTTAGCAGAGTGATACCATGTTTTATATGTGTATTCAGATAAATGTTTCATGCACCCAAATGGGACAATAGCAATTAAATGGAGTCTACGTGAAGTAAAAATTATTTCAACAATTATTCACTGCACGTCCCCACCCAAGCTCCAAGCATCCTTCTAGGTAATGAGATAAAATGATGAGAAAACAGAGGACATCTCTAGTTTCACAGATCTTATATGTTACCAAATGTGGAGTTATCTAGCAAGAGATGAACAGACAAGTACGTGATCAAGCTTCTTTTAGATGGGCTGAATGTAGTTAAAGAAAATAAACCGGCCGGGTGCGGTGACTCACACCTGTAATCCCAGCACTTTGGGAGGCCAAGGCTGGCGGATCATAAGGTCAGGAGATCAAGACCATCCTGGCCAACATGGTGAAACCCCATCTCTACTAAAAATACCAAAATGAGCTGGGCGTGGTGGCATGTGCCTGTAATCCCAGCTACTCCAGAGGCTGAGGCAGGAGAATCACTTGAACCAGGGAGTAGGAGGTTGCAGTGAGCCAAGATTGTGCCACTGTACTCCAGCCTGGCTACAGAGCGAGGCTCCGTCTCAAAAGAAAAAAAATAAAAAGAAAGAAAAAAAAAAAGAAAGAAAGGAAACCCAGGTAAGGAGAGAGAAGGCGAAATATCCTAGGGGAAATTTAGGTCAAGAAGTCATTGAAGATGGTACCAGAAACCCAGTGGTAAAGAGATGCCATCCCAGGAAGATCTGAGGGCTGTGATGTCCAGCCAGTGGCTGGAGTAATCAAAGGCCCTGAGATATCCATGAGCTTTATGGTTTCAGGAAAGAGGGAGAGAAGATCGGTGTTGCAGGATCACGGGGAAGAAAGAGGCATGGTTAGACTTAGGGTGAAAGGTAAGAAGGAAGCCAGTCACACAGTCCTCATAGACTCCAAAGTGGAGCTTAGCTTGCATCCTACATGCTACGCTGAGCCTTGTTAAGCAGGGGATTCATAATAGTTTAATGCTGATAACTCCTGGAACTGCTTGGAAATAGCCCTGCTATGGCCACCTAGGACTCCCTGTAAGACATAATGGCAGCTTGGATGAAAATGGCAGCATCTGGGCATGTGAGTAGGTCTGGGGTGTTTTGGGGATTTCATGCCAATACAATGAATCACTTCCAGGTTTTTTGCTTTGTGTCAAGCACATGAATGTGTTATTTACTCAGTGGGAAAGACTGACAAAATACCTAGTTTGTTTGTGGTGCAAAAGTGAGTCTAACTGAGCCATGTGTTAAATTTAGCCTGGCCAGGAGTGGCAGCTTATGCCTATAATACCAGCACTTTGGGAGGTCAAGGCTGGCAGATCACTTCAGCCCAGGAGTTCAAGACCAGCCTGAGCAACATGGTAAGACCCGGTCTGTACAAAAAATACAAAAATCAGTAAGCTGTGGTGATGCACACCTGTATTCCCAGCTACTTGGGAGACTGAGGCAGGAGGATAGCTTGAGCCCAGGAGGTCGAGCCTGCAATGAGCTGTGATCATGCCACTGCACTCCAGCCTGGGTGACAGAGTGAGACCCTGTCTCAAAAAAGAAAAACAAGTTAAGAAATTATGTCCCCGTTTTCTCTTTTTTCTTTTTTCTCCTTCCTTCCTTCCTTCCTTCCTTCCTTCCTTCCTTCCTTCCTTCCTTCCTTCCTTCCTTCCTTCTGTATGTTTGGTTCCCTCCAGGAAAAAAAGACAAAGAAAAGAAAGAAAAAGAAAATAAATATTGAAAGTTTGCCATTCATTGTTTCCCCTTAATTACAGTATCTTTAACAACTAGAGATCACATAAAGCTCCAAAGAATGGAAAAACAATTAACAAATTCATTAACTGTTTGCTTATGCTTTTAGTCTTAAGGATAATTGGTTGTCTTAGATGAAGACTTCTGCTCTTATTAATGCCTTTTGCATGAAAGCAGCCTATACTTCACAAGTATTTTGCAAAATATATCAAGAGCAGCCAGCCTTGTAAATGGGATAATGTGATGGCATCGTTGAGTCAAGCAAAGACCATATTGACGCAGCTAAATTTGAGTGCTGGGGTGGAAACAGAAACACATCTCATGAATTTGCTAATGTTTGAGTTTCTGCGGGGTTGATCTGAAGTACGTAATTTCATCATTGGGGAGAGAGGCCTTGCATAATGATAGCAGGAACTCTTTGTGATTAGATTTCTTCAATTATTTATATGGCCTGATAATATTTGAGAAATCTTGGTAATAATTACTGGTTGATCCAAATTTATATTTGAGGATCTATTGAGGCAAATTATTAATTCATTAAGCAGATATTTGTCTTTGTACCTATTGGGAGTTCTAGAGTGAAAAATGGAATATGACAGTATAATTAAGGTTAAAAAGCAAAAACACAAATAGACATAATACAAGGTAAAATATGAAGCATGTAATTTAGAAAAATAGCAGTATATTGGCTTTTAGAGAAAAAATATTACTTTTTAAAAGTATCTTTCACTTTTAGTTTGGATTCAGGGCATACATGTGCAGATTTGTTACCTGAGTATACTGCATGATGCTGAGGTTGAGGGTACGATTGACCTCACCACCCAAGTATTGCGCAGAGTACCCAACAGTTAGTTTTTTGACTATCGCCCCCCTCCATCCCTTCCTGCTTTAGTAGCTACCAGTGTCTACTGTTCCCATTTTTATGCTCACAAGTGTCCAATGTTTAGCTTCCACTTATCAATGAAAACCTGTGGCATTTGGTTTTCCATTCCTATATTAATTCACTTAGGATAATAACCTCTAGCTACAACCATGTTGCTGAAAAGAACATGATGTTGCTCTTTTTTATGACTGTGTATTATTTCATGGTCCATATGCACCACATTTTCTTTATCTAGCTACAACCATGTTGCTGAAAAGAACATGATGTTGTTCTTTTTTATGACTGTGTAGTATTTCATGGTCCATATGCACCACATTTTCTTTATCTGATCCACCAGTGATGGAAACCTGACTCTATGTGTTTACTATATTGCACTATAGCACTGTGATAAACATACAAGTGCATGTATCTAAAATAGATTACCTCTAAAAGAAAATCAGGGCATCTTGGTGAATGAAGTGACATTTGGCTTGAACCCAGTAAAACAGGGGGATACTTGGAAACAGCAAAATTTGAATTTGGGGGTGAGCAGACATCGATGATATGGTTTGGCTGTGTCCCTACCCAAATCTCATCTTGAATTGTCCCTACCCAGATCTCATCTACCATATTCCCACATGTTGTGGGAGGGACCCGGTGGGAGATAATTGAATCATGTGGGCAGTTTCCCCTATACTGCTCTCATGGTAGTGAATAAATCTCACAAGATCTGATGGTTTTATAAGAGGAAACCCCTTTTGCTTGGTTCTCATTCTCTCTTGCCTGCCACCATGTAAGACGTGACTTTGCTCCTCATTCACCTTCTGCCATGATTGTGAGGCCTCCCCAGCCATGTGGAACTTTGAGTTCATTAAACCTCTTTTTCTTTATAATTTACCCAGTCTTGGGTATGTCTTTAACAGTAGCATGAGAATGGACTAATACAATCAATCTAATTGACTCTTAAAATGAAACATCTAATTGACTCTTAAAATGAAACTATTTATAAAGCAGCCCATGAAGAAGAAAGGAAAGAGGGACATTCCCCTCATTGACAAGTTGTTCTAATATCCTTTGTCTAGATGATACCAATTTTATCATCCCAGGCACAGTTCCTTGGGAAATAGTTGTTTTTCTGCACAAAGTCTCTTCTCTGCATTTCAACTTATACATTGTCTTCAAGCTATCAGATTTAGTCTCAAATAATATCATTTAGCAATTGCAAGTGACTATGACCCACTGACTCCTGATACACTTCCCAGAATTTAAATCTTAGGAGCAAAAGTACAATTTTGATATTTGAATGATTTAAGAAATAAGCCTTTGGGACCAAAATTGCTAAACAGCATTGTTCCAGGAAGAATTGAGGGCTGGTGACCTTGCCATGAATTCCTGTAAAATCTAGGATGAAGACGCAATTTTTCAAATCTAAACCCAGATCATTTGCTTCAGAAGCTGACTTTAAAATACCATCAGGATGGAGGAGGGACTAGGGTCATGGATAGCAAAGTCTGCTTAATCTGTGTGTGACTATGAACAAGGTGAGTTATAAATTGGGAGCTTTCTAAATTTTACACAATGGTGTTGCTTCATAGGAAGCAGGCTCTTTGCCTCTGACCTTGAGGAACCGTTGTGTTAAATGCAAAGAATAAGCGAACCTCTTTAAATAACCCACGTTACAGTCACAGCTGATTCTGTAATGAGATATCATTGTTTTAACTTCCAGGATAGGACAGAATTATCCAAAGTCTGAATCTCTTGGAACAAGGTATATTTATATATCCAATATCCAGTGCAGGGTGTCTCCTAGGAAAACAGTTTTATTATATTGTGCAAGTCTAAATGGAGCAATAGGACTGTCCTCATGATTTGTTACTGATAGTCTTTGAGGCAAAGGACAACAGATAAAATACAAGGTTTCATTAGACCAAAGGGCAGTGTCTCTAGGAGAGGTTGACAGTGCACCACGTAATACAATAAGCATTTACTTTTTAAAAAGTCTCTTTTATAGACTGAGTCTCCCTAATTGAGGCAGTAGAAAGGGATTCCTGTGATTTTCATATAACTAAATGCTGCCTCTTCAGTGATAACCCCTATGATATAGTAATTACAATGAAGGTAGCTATTACAGTATGATAGACCTTGCTGAATTTCAAATGCAAACTCATCTTTCATTTCCTTGTTACCTATTGCTTCCTGACCCTAAGATTGGCAACAATAGAATTCGAGAAAAAGAAATGTGTATTTGAAGGTCAACAAGTGAAAGGGAATGCATAGAAATATACAATTTATGTAGCAAACCTCATTTAGATAGGTGGATATTTCTGTGAAGGGTTCCTAAGTTCAGGAGATTTTTTTTTTAGCACATTTCAGGAAAATATTCAAAAGTGATCCCTTTTTTTCATATTGTATTATATTTAAGGAAACACTACTTTCCAAAGAAGGTAATTTTCTCATGGTCTGGTTTAGGAAGCAGTTTGATATTTCTGGAATCAGGAGTGGATTGCCACTGTTTTGTTAACTGATGGTAGACACTCTACTTACCATGTTTACCTTTCACCTTCTGTAAAATGATGTACAAAAAAATCTGTGTCCTACTCATGAACTTTTTGTACAAGGAAAGATTAAAAATAGTAAAACTGTAAAATTACTAGACACCTAGTTAATGTAGAAAGTTTACTCACAAAATATCATTCACTTGGCCACCAACCACCTAGCCTGAAATTTCTTGAATAGTGAACCAACAGTGTTTGCCAATCATCAATCAACTCTACAATGTGAAATTTCTGACCGCAAACATGAATTTAGGTGGTAGAAATATTAAAGACACTTTTTTTCCTATTTGTATGTGAAAATAACACTAGAAACAATCCAATCCTTGGGCACCCATGTGACGTACAGCTTATCATACCCATTAGCATGCTCTTGAGAATAAAAAAACAGTTTTAAGTTGTGTCAGAAAGACAGGTTTAAATTGAGAAGTGTGGTTTTGTTTACCCACCCATTGTACCCCGAGAAAACTCTGGTCCAAAGAATTAATTGACTTTCCTAAGAGAAACAAGGACTCTGCAGAATGTATCCCCCAAGTTTAAACTGTTGGGGCCAACTGTGAAACTCCAATATAGCTTCCTCATGGTTAACAGCAACATAGCATGCAAGGTTGAACTGAAAATGTGGTAGTATTTATCGGATGTATTTCTTCCACCTCTACTGCACCTCAGACATTCTATTATTGTTTTCTGTCTTTGCATCTCATAATGTTCTGTAGATATGGGCAATTATTTGTCTACTTTGCTAACTGTGACCAGGGACTGCACTGTGTTGAATTAGCAGTCAAACATATGCTCTGTCCCTTCAAAAAAGCACCATGTCTGGTCAGTTTTATAGGTGAATCTTAGTAAAATTTCATTAAAGAGAATACCTTAACTTTATAAACTTTTTCAAAAATATAAAGTGTGTGAAACCTTCTTGGCACATTTTATAATTCTGGTGGCCCTTTGATATAAAAATTGTCTATGTATAATTTGCATATCTAAAATATTTCTTCCCATTTCAAATAAACGAAGAAGATAATGCCCCCATGCAACCATAAAATAATACACATTAATATTATTTAATCCTATGTTTAGAATAAACTTTCTTAGCCATAAAACCATAGCAAGAACCCATCATTGTAAAGATATATAGGTTAATAAACTATACAAAATATTTTATAAATTTATAGACTTAAAAACTATATAAAATTTACCAATGTACTACACCCAATGTAATCCGTAAGCAAAGCTAAATGCAAAATGAGAACCAGCACAAATATTTGCAACACACAATTCTTCCTTAGTGTTTTCTGACATTATACTTATCTCTTCCCTTTCTCATCTAGACAAGAGGTTGGCAAACTTTTTCTATAAAGGGCCAGGTAGTAGATAATTTTAACTTTGTGTATGATAGAGTCTCTGGTGCACCTACTCACATCTGCCATTGCAGTGGAAAAACAGCTACCCACAGTCTCTAAGGGAGTGGGCATGGCTGAGTTCCAATAACATTTTAATTACAAAACAGGCTGTGTCCATGGAATATAGGATGCTGACGATTAGTCTGGATCTTTCATGGGTTTTTTTAATTTTCTAAAGACAGACTGGTCAAATGTTGTATTTGCCCTGTATCAGTTGTTACTCACCAACAAAATATATGTGCTTTTAACCTTCCCTCTGAAGATTAGAAACTTTAATTATCTGAAGTATCTCCAATCCTTCCAATAGTATGGCTTACTGAATATTGATGACTGTGCAAATGACAAACAGGCTGACATTGGCCTTCCACCAAGGCCCTCCAGAGAATACGAGGGTGACTCTTCCAAAAGCAACTGATGTGAATCTTTTCATAGCTTTTGCTGAGCAAGTGAGTGCCAGCTCATATTATATGAAATGCATTTAGGCCTTTACTCAGGCAAGTAACATTCCAAATTTCCAAATAAATCTTGGGAGTCACTTATAGCAAAAGGGCCTCAAATAGCTGGCTTGCTTATTATTCAGGCAATGCAAATATGGCCACACATTTTTGCTAGTCTTGTGTCTCATAAGACAGACAAATCATTACATAACAGTGACCAGGTGCTCTGGCTCCATAAAAATTCCCCACTTTGGCTGATAGAAAGAAGGCTCTACACTGGCCAGGCTTGATCTACTCTGATCAAGTCTATGATCCCTGTGCTTTGGGAGGTCAAGCAGGAGGATTTCTTGAGGCTGTACTAAGTTGAGCATGCACTGGTATATTGGGACAGATTTGTCTTTTGTGCCAACATTTTCTCTACTAAAGGTGTCAACACCTGCTTCTGCTCCTGACGACTAACATGAGTGACAGGCATAATTCTCAATCTCTGGGGTTTATTCAGCCATTTTAGGGCATGTCTGGGAAAAACAGCCACAGAACATGAGCCACAGACACGTCTGTGGCTGTTTTTCCAAAGAAGTTTTCAGGAGGTTCAGTATTTATATATTTCCTTAAAGGTGGGGAGGCATGGAGGAAGAGGGGCAGGTAGGTGGTTAGACAAATACTACATTTTGCATATGATAAGGTGAATGTCTGAAGAGAAAAGGTTGTAAAGGAAGAGTCAATTATGCAGATGTCTCTGCATAGGTAGAGGAAAAAGTCTTGACTTTGCACCTGGGGGGATAAGCTTGTAGTAGACATTATCAGTGTGGCGTCTTAGGAGCTAGACTTTGGGATTGTAGACTGAAGTTATGATTGGCATGTCCTTGTTTCTGGGAAGCCTGCAAAGAATTTACTTGTGAATGACCTGTGGAGGCTCTCCTCCCCAGGTGCCTGAGGACTTTCACTCCTCCACAGGATCCGGTTGGTACGCAATGTAAGAGCTATTCATTTGGAAGAGGGTGCTGCAATGACCTTCCCTTTCATGTAAGATGTTTGGGAGAGTGGGTCCTGAGATTTATAAAATTTTTCTTTACATTCTTTTTATTAAAAAAATTTTTTTTGAATGCCAACTATACTGAAAGCACTATTCTATGTGCTGGAGAAATAGGAGAGAATAAAATACAGTCTTTGTCATAAGGTCACTCATTCCACTGGGGGAAATCAGACATTTGAAAACAAATGAACAGATGTGTTAGTCAGTTCTCACACTGCTATGAAGAAATACCCACGATTGGGCAATTTATAAAGGAAAGAGGTTTAATTGACTCACAGTTCTGCAGGAATGGGGAGGCCTCAGAAACTTACAATCATGGCAGAAGGAAAAGCAAACGCATCCTTCTTCACATGGCGGCAGCAAGGAGAAGTGCCAATCAAAAGGGGGAAAAGCCCCTTATAAAACCTTCAGATCTTGTGAGAACTCACTGTCATGAGAACAGCGTGGAGGTAACTGTACCCAAGATTCAATTACTTCCCACCGGGTCCCTCCCATGACACGTGAGGATTATGGGAACTACAGTTCAAGAAGAGATTTAGGTGGGGACACAGCCAAACCATATCAACAGATATACCATCTATCTGGAGACGATACAGAGAAAAATGACATAGGGTCAAATGGCATACTTAGACAGTCATGGGGAAGAAGTTGCTATTTTAGAAAAAGGACCCAAGAAAGATCTTTTGAATTAGATGGCATTTAAATAGAGACCTGGAACAAATTGGGGCACTATTTATCATGCATGTCCAATGGGGGAACCATGCAGATATCTGGGAAATGGCACCCCAGGTAGAAGAATTAGAAAGTGCAAATGCATAAAACAGGAGCCTATATATAGTTAATGACTTTACAAAAGACCATGGGAGATTTTATGGCTGGACTAGAATGAGCAACATAAGGAATTGGGGATAAGACCAGAAAGGTAATAGGATTCCATGTCAAGTAGGGCCTTTAGGCCATTGTTAACAGTTTAACTTTTATTTTGAGCAAGATGGGAAACCATTCAAGAGATTTAAGCAGAAAAGTGACACAATCCCATGACCTACATTTGCAGAGAACCCACCTGGCTGCTGAGTTGTGAATAGGCTGCCGGTTGGCAGGTTGCCTGCAAGACCTGGGGGAGAGGTGATGAAGACTTGAACCAGGTTGGGATGGAGAAGGTGGGGAGAAAGGGTGAGGGTTTGGATTGGTTTTGACCCTGGCTGAAGAATGTGTAAGGAAGAAATGAGATGTGGATGACTCCATCTATTTTTGGCCTCAGTAGCTTGAAGAATAGAGTAGCTGCTTTCTAATTCGGGAAAGACTGAGAAGAACATATGGGGCAGAACAGAAGGGGGTATGGGAGGGGGTGTTTAATGCACAAACCGTAGCTTGGGGTCGATAGAGACTTTGGATCTTTGAAGATACTTTGAATTATATTCTATAGGCATGAAGGGCTTCTCTTACAAAATCTGTATTTCCCACCTCTCTGATTTTACATGGCCAATTTTAGGAAAATCATGTCTTGCTTTTAGGCTTACTGAGAACTTTAGGAAGTAGCTAATTCACTCCAACACCCTACCTTTTTCCTCCCAGCTGCCCTAAACCTTGATAGGCACAGAAACTGCATCCCAAGAAATAACTGGTGATTTTTTTTTTTTTTTACAGAATTTTGCTTTTGTTGCTCAGGCTAAAGTGCAATGGTGCAATCTCGGCTCACGGTAACCTCCACCTCCCAGGTTCAAGCGATTCTCCTGAGTAGCTGGGATTACAGGTGCCCTCCACCACACCTGGCTAATTTTTTGTATTTTTTAGTAGAGACGGGGTTTCACCATGTTGGCCAGGCTGGTCTAGAACTCTGACTTCAGGTGATCCACCCACCTCAGCCTCCCAAAGTGCTGTAATTGCAGGCGTGAGCCACCGCTCCTGGCCACTGGTGATAATTTAACTAGTGTTTTGTAACTACTTATCAATAATAATCAACTTAACATCCCAGAATAGTGGAGTTCTCATTGTTTCTGTCTTTATCATTGGTTCAACCAACCCAACATTTTAGATGTGTGAATTATGGTATACCACTTCTTGAGACATTATTCCTTAGTTAGACAATTTGGGATGGCAAGAAACATGGAAAAACATTACTCAAACTTGCTTAAAAAAGAGCTATGTGTGTTGGTGAACGTAGCTGAAATTCAGATGTAAGACAATTTTCAGGGTTGGTTTAACCTGCAACTCCTCCACCATTTTTTTCCGAGATTCCTTTGGTCTTGCCTTTTGCAGGGAGTTGGCTGCATTTTCAGCCTACTCCCATTCATAGTGTAAAAGTGGTTATTGTGTACAAGCCATCACACCAACACACCACTGTGTTCATAGAAGAGAAATGCTCCTACCTAAGCATGGTCAGCTATAGTCCCAATATTAGCTCCAATTGGACCACTTGGGTCACATGTCCTCCAAATGTTGATTGGATTCAGCCAACTGGGTGCAGCATAGCTGTAGGGGCAGGTTCAGCCTCCATCGAGGTATATGGCCAATGTGGACAAGTGGTGGATACTAAATGAAAATATGGGTGACATTAAGAAAGAGGATTAAATGGATCATGGATTGGCAACCTACAATGTCAATTCATATTAAACACACACACACACAAAATTTGTCTGCTTTCATCTCTAAACAAATGATATGGTTTGGCTGCATCCCCACCAAATCTCACCTTGAATTGTAATCATCCCCACATATCAAGGGCAGGGCCAGGTGGAGATCTTTGAATCATGGGAGTGGTTTTCCCCATATTGTTCTCATGGTAGTGAGTAAGTCTCATGAGATCTGATGGTTTTGGTTTTATAAATGGGAGTTCTCTGCACAAACTCTCTTGCCTGCTGCCATGTAAGACATGACTTTGCTCCTCATTTGCCGTCTGCCATTATTTTGAGACCCCTCCAGCCATGTGGAACTGTGAGTCCATTAAACCTCTTTCCTTTATAAATTACCCAGTCTCATCTATGTCTTTATTAGCAGGATGAGAACAGACTAATACAACAGTCACATCCATTCATAAATATTTACAAATATAGCATAAAGAAAATGTGGTATATATACAGAATGGAATACTATTCAGCCATAAAAATAATGAAACCATGTCTTTTGCATTAACATGGATGGAAACAGGGTCATGGAGGTTATTATCTGAAGTGAAACAAGCCAGACCCAGAAAGACAAATAGCACATGTTCTCACTCATAAGTGGGTGCTAAAAAATGGGTATTCATGAATGTAGAGAGGAGAATGATGAACAGCGGAGACTTGGAAGGGTGAGTGGGTGGAAGGGAGATGAATGATGATAAATTACTTAATGGGTACAATGTTCATTACTCAGGTGATGGATACCCAAAAAGTTCTGACTTGTCCATTATACAATCTATGCATGTAATTGCACTTGTACCCCAACATTACATGCATAACTCTGCCCTCCCCCAAGAAACAAATATGCATTAGTTATTGCAATAGGCAGCATCTATGAGGGTCTCCAAATTATTTTCCCCTGTGATATTTATACCCTCATGCAGCTCCTTCCCTCCAGCCTGGGTTGCACCAAGGAAGTTACTTCAATAGAATACAGCAAAAAAATGGGCCACCATTACTGAGATTAGAATTTCATCTTGTGTGTCAACTCTCACCTGCTTCCTCTGAGGGACACCATTTGCAACCATTAGAGATGTCCTACGATGAAGACCACATATCAAAGAACTGCCGTCTCTGGCCAACAGCTAGCAAAGACCTGAGAGTAGCAAAAAGTGACATCAGTGCACCTGGAAGCAGATTCTTACCCAGTCAAGTTTTCACACAAAACCTCAGACCCAGATGACATTTAATTGCAACTCTATAGGAGTCCCTATGCCAGAGGACTCAGCTCATCTGCTCCTAGATTCCTGACACACAGAACCTGTGATGTCAATAATTAAGTTGCTAAATACTGGGGGGATGTTTTAATACAGCAATAGATGACAAATACAAATATAATATCTCAAAACTGGAAACAATTTTAATATTTAACACTATGGGCTTGATCAGCCAACTTAACCTAGATCTATCTTTTAAGAAAGATGAATCAGTGGCTCACACCTGTAATCCCAGCACTTTGTGAGGCTGAGGCAGGCTGATTAACTGAGGCCAGGATTTCAAGACCAGCCTGGCCAACATGGTAAAACCCCGTCTGTACCAAAATAATACAAAATTTAGCCAGGTGTGGTGGTGCACCCCTGTAGCCCAGCTACTTGGGAGGCTGAGGCAAGAGAATCGCTTGAACCCGGGAGGCAGAAGTTGCCCTGAGCCAAGATTGCACCACTGCATTTCAGCCTGGGTGACAGAATGAGACTGTTTCAAAAAGAAAAAAAAACAAAAGAAAGAAAGAAAAAGAAAAAGAAAAAAGAGATGAGTTAGACTCCTTGATGCCATCCACTTACTTACTGAACATGTCACTGTGGCCAAGAAATTTAGCCTTCTATGATATTTCCAATTCTTTAAAAATTACAGTACCTATTCCATAAGATTATTGTGAAGACTAAATGACACAATCCATTACTCAATAAAGTGCTTGGCAGAGAATAAATAATCAAAGTAAGGTTTCTTTTTTTTTTTTTTTGAATTACTGTGTACCTATTATAAATCATACTCCTGCAGAACATTCATTAATATGGGAAATGCTCACAATATATTGTGTAAACTTAAAAGAAATATGTGAATGCATAGGCCAAAAAGCTAGGGGTTTTTTATGTTAAAACATAAGCAGACTAATATTGATTGTGGTGATGGCAGCACAACTCTGTGAATTCACTAAAAACCACTAAATATGGACTTTATGCAGGTGAATTGTATGGTGTGAGAATTATATCTCAGTAAAGCTGTTAAAAATGTACACAGTGCTTTTGTTTTCTGTTGTAGAACTTTGTTTGCCTCCTTCTACATTTTGATATTCTCTATTGTGACCATATTTTTGTTTGCTTGAGACAGTGTTACGCTGTTGTCCAGGCTGGAGCGCAGTGGCATGATCTCGGCTCACTGCAACCTCAACTGCACAGGTTCAGGTGATCCTCCCACCTCAGCCTCCCAAGTCGCTGGGACCACAGGCACATGCCACCATGCCCGGCTAATTTTTGTATATTTAGTAAAGATGGGATTTTTCCATGTTGCCTAGGCTGGTCTTGAACTCCTGGGCTCAAGCAATCTGCCCGCCTCGGCCTCCCAAAGTGCTGGGATTACAGGCGTGAGCCACCACGCCCAGCCAGCCACCACACCGGGCCGTTTTTTTTAATAACTGGAAAGTCTTATTAAAAATCTAATGAGTTTAATTTAAAAATACATGCAGTAAACAACTGTATAGTAGACATGCTTGTCCATCTTCCATTATGAAAATTTATCTCTAACTATACACAGTTTTATATGGATTTATCATTCCTCCAAGCTAAACAAACAAACAAAATTGTTTTGTCTTATTTTTGTTAGTCTATTAAATAGGATAGGTCAATGGACTTAACGACAATGGGACAGAGGTCTCTGTTCTTTGCTGTGCTAGCTTCCAACACATGGCAGTTTCCATCATCAAAGTATTCAAGTGAAAAAGGCAGTAGATGTTGCCTGCTACTAAGATGGTGGCCACAGACCTTTCTGACCCAATCATGGAAGTGACATCTCATCATTTTTGTAGTATTCCATTTATTAGAAGGAAGTCATTAGGTCCCACCCACACACAAAGAGGGAATTATAACAAGGGCGTGGCTATTCAGGAGGTGGGGTTATTAGGAACTCTCTCAGAAGCAGCTGAGCCCATAAACCTGGAACATGAGAATGAAAAGGTTCCCAAAGAGATAATAAATCCCAGGCCTTGAACAGACTTCTGGGTAGAGAATAACCCACCAATCAATAAAGCATACTGAACCTATATCTGTTGAGTTTTTTAATAGTTCTTTCTCAGTGTTTCAGGGTAGGTTATAAGCAAAGTTACTTTGAAAATACTGGAAAATGATTTCCACTGCTTTTCTTTTCCCTTCACATGATATAATACTCCTCATGGCAATCAGATTTACTTACGCCCCTTATAAAGTTTTGGCTATAATAGAATAACAAAAATAAGACAAAACAATTTTGTTTGTTTAGCTTCCAGGAATGACAAATCCACGTAAAACTGTGTATAGTTAGAGATAAGTTTCATAATGGAAGATGGACAAGCATGTCTACTATACAGTTGTTTACTGCATGTATTTTTAAATTAAACTCCTTAGATTTTTAATAAGACTTTCTGATTATTAAAACAAATGGCCAGGTGTGGTTGTTGGCTGGGTGTGGTGGCTCACGCCCACCAACCTATAAGAAATCAAACCCTGCCAGCACCCGCACGAGCTGAAAGTGGATTCTTTCTCTGTTAAGCCTTAACAGGATTATGGTGAGAGAACCAAGCTAAACTGTGCCCAGATTCCTGACCACAAACCCGGTGAGATGACACATGTGTGTTGATCTAAGCCACTACCTTTTGGAATAATTTGTTCTGCAATAATCAATAACTAATATGGTCTATTACTGTGTTTACCAAATGGGAAAGACATTATGTTGGGACAACCAAAGGGAGTGCCTTTTTTATATAAGTGGGGAAAACTCCTCAATTTCTTATGCAAAGAGGTGTTCTCACCAGGAAATAACAGTATTTCAACAAGTTGTCAGATTTTGATAAATGGGTGGTTGATAGGAACTGAGGTTAGAGCTCTGTTTTGAAAGCAAACCGAGCTTACTGTCTTACAAAATGTCTCAAGGCACCTGTGTCTGACAGAATCCTAGCCTCAGGCCGTCATTTTTGCCACCACCACCACCCACCCAAGTCCATGCCCCTCCTTGTTATGGTAAGAATCAAAGCCTACAAGTCTTGGTTTCCACACGGGAACTTTTCACCATGTAATTCTGAATGCTTCTATCTTAATTTGTAAGGATTTCATGGGGCTAATTTGAAGCCTGTGTATAGGCTATGTTATGTACACACTATTAAGATAAGACTGTTTTTGCTCTCTGAGTGGATTCTTCATGGGGCTTCAATAGCAATGATGCCTTTTGGATAATAACGGGTTTACATCTGAGCACTTTCCATTGTGCAATGAGATAAATGGCCAATTACCCCAGCTGTACACTGCGTGAGCTGCGTATTTAGAAAGTCTCAAGTCATCACTCTGACCACAGCAAATGTACATATATGGAACGTTTTCTGGGAAAATATTGTTATCCCCACATAATACCTCAGAAAGTAAAGCTGGACTTGAACTTTGCTATGTGTCCAAAACATTATTGTTAAGACATAAGCTTTTTTTCCCTCTGTAGATTTTCATTCTCAAGGAGTAAAAGATGTTTCTTCCAGCTAACCTCAAAATTTATTCAGGATTTTTCGTATGTAAAATGTAGAGTACTTTATAGTTCACAAAATATGTTTCCACATGTTTTCTCCCACAAACGTGTGATATATGCGGGAAGTATATTATGTATCTACTCTTTAGAAAAGAGTAATGGGAAACTGTTTTCAGGGAAGTGGTCAATGTCAGTTATATAGATGTAAAACAGCAGGCAGCCAGAGTTAAGTGAGAATATTCCAGCCTTAAATTGCACATGGTTCCCACGATATCCCCCCATCTCTGCTATCTGTATTGGGTATTATATAATAAAATAATGCTTCTCAGCCGAACGAGCAGAAATGGAGTCATTTAGAGGAGCAGAAGATTTCAATTCCCTAGCAACGCTTCTCCCTGGTAATGCCCATCTCAGAATTTGAGGCATAAACATCTCGACCAGCCATTTATTATTTTTTGCTTGTTACATTGTTCTTCTCTTTCAATGCTATTAAACCGGTGTTTTGCTTCATCAGTATAAAAAAGATGCATAATTGCATTCTACATGGTTCTAATTGGCTTAATATTTACAGTAAAAGTGTTTACTCCCCTAATTATTAGATAAAAACATTAGGCTATAGATTTAAATATCTTTTGCTTAAAAATATTTTAAGTATTTACACACTTCTACCCCTCAAAAAATTGTGGCGATTTTTAAGACTACAAACCTTAAGTGCCATTTTTTACTTCAAAAGTGTAAAGTTAGCTATTAGTAATTTCTAAGACAAATGAATTCCCAAATCCCACTCAGAATACTACCTCTGTATTTTTCAGTCTTCAAAGAGACTGAGTTTATAGATAAACGCATTTTTTCTGTGTGTAAATTTAAATTCAGCTAATAAAAATTAGTTATGTCTAATTTCTTGACATACATAACTTCTAAGGAAAAGGTAAAACACAAAAATAGCACAATTTTCTACACAATAGTTTAACGAGGTGTCCAGGTGATAGTTTACTTTGACCTAATATAACACAATGTTTTCAGAATACCATAACTAAAAGTACATAAAGTTGTCATAGGTTGTTATATAGATTTTTAGTTGTCAAAGCCACATTAATATTGTATGCCTATGAGAGAAAAGTGAGGTTGTCTTATGTTGATCATATATAAATGAGGACCAGTTAAAAATACTAGATGAATTCAAAGTGAAATAAAAAAACGTAATATGAGTTTCTCTTCTACATAAATCATCATTGAAAATCTAGTCAAAGAGGCAGTCTAGAGTTGCCATGGACACATAGCTATTTTTATAATAAAGATAAAACCAACGTCATTGCTTTATAATGATGTTTTGTGAATGTTTTGAATATTACTGAATTATCCACTCTTCTAAGACAGTGAAGTTATTAACTAAAGGTGACCAATTAGAGAAGAGTAAGAACAGTTCAAAAAGAGGCTTTATTTGGATTAATGAAGATGGGGAAAATCTTTTTCTGGAAATTATACAAACTCTGAAGCTTGAGTGAGTTGATCTATAATATTTCATTCAAGTATACATACCCCAAACCTTGCAGCATTAAACCCAAATAATGACAAAAACAGAAAGGAAGAGTGAACTCAAAATTTCCACAGTTCAGTTGAGATCTTTCTTTAATTATTTAGATAGGTAACTGCAATGATTGCATCCACAAAAGGTGCACCTTTTTCCCCAAATAACTTAAATGTCCTTGTTCATGAGCAGCTAATAAATTAAGTTAGCTACAAGTAGTTACAAATTAACTAATTTGTTCACAAAGATATTGGAAGTCCTGTCATCAGGCAGACTTTATGCAGGAAGAGCACAACATAGACAGTTGCAGAACTCAAATGTTAAAAGCAAACACTATTCCTTAGTTCTGTGATTTTGAGAAAACCACGTCTCCTCTCTAAAACTCAATGTACTCAACTGTAAAATGAGAAAAACAAAGACAGGAACTCCCATGATAGGGATGTTATGGATAAATAAGTTAATTGCATGTAAAACTTTTAGTGTAGTGGCTGGCACGTAAGTCTTCAATAATGAGCATTGGTATTATTATTGTGAACTTAGGATAAGATTTGGCCAATGAATAGCAATGTTCTATGAAGTATATGCTGCTTAAATATGCTGCTTTCTCTTGCTAGAAAAGGAAGGAGTAAGCAGGATTAGGAGCTGGCAAAAATTGCTATGGGCAGAGGATGCCATGTCTGGAAATATGCTTGGAGGTTGGGCATACAAAGAGGCTACTAAATGAAGGGGACACTTTTTGCTATTTCCTGGAAACAAAGTAAGTGTGTGTGTGTGTGTGTGTGTGTGTGTGTAATTAGGAAGAAAAGAAATCAAGGTCAATTTCCTATAATCAGATCAAATTGGAGTGACTGGGGGAGACACAGAGACCAGAAGAGTTAACTAGCATTGATGTCAACAAATCAATTTTTGCAGAGACATAAGAAGAACTTTCGGAGCTTCTAAGGCAGGGCTTAGTGTTTGGTTGTCACCAGGTGTGGATGAATAATTGAAATGGTGTTGAAACTGCCTTTGCAAAATTATAACTGAGAAAATTATGACAGTGAAAGAGATCAGACCTAACCAACTCCATCTTGCTTCTGACCTTTAAGCTGTCCTTGTTCATTCCTAGGCGTAGGCTGAACTAACTTTGGGAAGGAATTCAGTTCATGGTTTGACTCTGAAACAAAATTGATAATAGCCCTTTCCCAAAAAGGCCCCCTTCTTGCCTGGGGACCAGTCTGCCTTTGCAGGACTAACAAATTAGCTACAAGATTAGAAATTACAGTGTAGGGGGCATGCAACCTCTTTCAGGAACAGAAGACAGCAAGAAAAACTCACTTTGACCCCCTATGATTACATCTCCAACATGACCAATCAGCATTCCCCACTTCCCGAGCCCTTACCCACCAAATTATCTTTAAAAACTCTGATACCTGAATGCTCGAGGAGACTGATTTCAGTAATAAATAAAACTCCGGTCTCCTGCACAGCCAACTCTGTGTGAATTACTCTTTCCATTGCAATTACCCTGTCTTGAGAAATCGGCTCTGTCTAGGCAGCAGGCAAAGTAAATCCATTGTGCAGTTACAGTGTCAAGCCTGGAGATTGGAGTTTGTCTTTCATTGTTTGGAGAGAGCCATTCGGATGCCATGCACAAATGTGATGGAGCCACCATTCATGTTCAGATACTGGATCTTCAGTGGAAAGAGGAGACTCACGGCCAGGCTTTGCCCTAACACGATGAAGAGCTCCTCACATAGGGTGGTGGAAAATCACAGTAAAACAAAATCAGTTAGCTTGAAGATGACTAGTTCAGCACAAAAACAACAAGATAGTATTAAATAGGTATTTTTTTCATTTCCAAGACTCTTGATTGTGATGGCTAAAAAGGGAGACAAAGGATGAGCAGAGAAAAAACATGTTTTCAACTTTGTATTTAAAGATGCACTTTAAAAATTAATTGGGAGAAGTCAATTTCTTTTTTTTTTCTTTCTAAATTATGGACTCACTAAAATTTCCCTAGAAGATAATCCACAATATCAACAGCCTTCAGTTAATAATGTGAATAATATGTAAAGAAATCATTATCTGGTATTTAACAAAGAAATCTTGCAATTGATGAGTAGGTTGATGTTTCCACTATATCAGTCTTTTGAGAGAAATATCTTTAAATATAAAATTGCAAAACAGGATCTTGTGTATATGTCTTTGTCTTTGATAATGTTCAAAGATCAAGGCAAATAAGTACGATCTTCAATGAAAAGGGGCATAATGGGAAAAAGTGAAATATCTTCTGAAGGTTTTTAATATTAAACTCAGGACAGGCAAGGTGGCTCACGCCTGTAATCCCAGCACTTTGGGAGGCCGAAGCAGGTGGATCACCTGAGGTCAGAAGTTTGAGATCAGTCTGACCAGCAAGGTGAAACTCCGTCTCTACTAAAAATACAAACACTAGCCAGGTATGGTGGTGTGCACCTGTAGTCCCAGCTACTCCGGTGGCTGAGGCATGAGAATCACTTGGACCCAGGAGGCAGAGGTTGCAGTGAACTGAGATCACACCACTGTACTCCAGCCAGCCTGGGCAACAACAGAGCAAGACTCTCTCTCAAAAAAGGAAAAAGAAAACCTCGAAGGCATACATACTATTGCAAAAGTTGCAGAATCACTGAGAAGCAAACAAGATAAAAAAATAAAGCCTTAGAAAAAAATGTGGTAATACAGGGCAAAGTGAATGAATACAGAAATAGCACCAGTGTATGTTATTTGCAGAAAAAAAATAAATGAATCAAAAGCATGAAACAAATCTGAGAACTGCTTACGGAGTACTGTCCTGTGTAAATAGCCTCCCGGGTTTTGTGTTTGTCAATAAAGTTACAAATTGTGATTCTTAGTTCTGCCCGGGACAATACACCTATGTCCTACTTTTTCTGTATATTTCTTTTGTTTTTGTATAATTTCAGAGGACTACTCAATTGGCAATGTTCTCAGTCAGTCAGGATAAGCGTCTCACTACATGGAAAAATACAACTTGGTTCTCAGATTATGGAAAATTGAAAGCACCTGAATTTCAGTGAGATGACTAGATTTAATTGGAGCCCAAAGGAGAAATTCCCGTTTGTACTAGCTCCAGTCTTCCCGAAGTTTTAGGGGCTACATAGAGATCAGAGCAAATTGGCTCTCTATTTTCAGTGCTTCATCATTTTCCACCCAACAAAGTGTACTTTTGGTCTCAAATGCTGAGATCATATAGTTTTTTTTAAAAAATTACATGGAGATAACAAATGTTTTACCTTGCCTCCAAACCTAAAAGTATTATGAAAATTGTGATAATATTTTTAAATAAATGGTGCACTTTTTTCTTTTTTTAATTTATTATTTATTTTCATTTTTAATTATTATGAATATATAATAGTAGTACATATTTATGAGGTACATGTGACATTTTGAAACAAGCACACAGTGTATCTCTTCTTAAGTTATGAATTAGTAATAGTAATAACTGTCTAGTTCTAGGGTAGAAAAAAGCCTCTTATTAATATTAATACACACTTATAAAGAACCTAGGGGATATAGTATGCTCTGTACCAGACAAAGAAAGTGAAAGAACGTATCTTTTTCTTTAGGTGATTTGCATTCTCTTGAAGATAGCAGAAAAACACAAAGATGCATAACAGACTGGCATATGCCATGCACCAAGAGTGTCTAAATTCTGGACTGTTGAGTGAATGCACAGGACAGGATTTTAGGGAAACAAGCAGGAACTTTGAAAGAAGTCTTCAAACAGAAAATAGAATTTGAGCTGACTCTCCCTGTCCTCAATATTTTATTTAAGAAAAATTTCAGATATAAAGCAACATTGAAAGAATTTTAAAGTGAGTGTCCACCTACCACATAAATTCTGTTAGGTGGATGCTGCCTTTAAATTACTATGAATAGTCTTGTTAAGTTGGTGGATTACTATAGTATTTTCATGAAATATCTATTCACCTATGCATCCCTGTATCCATTCATTCATCCATCTTATTTTTGTATTCATTTCAAAGCAAACTGCACACATTAGTACATTACTTTCTAAATTCTTCAGTATGCATAACAGGAACTAGATTTTAATATTTATGTATAGCTGTTGATGTAGGTTTTACATGAAATGAGATGCACACAGCCGGGCTCAGTGGCTCACTCCTGTAATCCCAGAACTTTGGGAGGCCGAGGTGGGTGGATCACCTGAGGTCAGGAGTTCAAAAGCAGCCTGGCCAACGTAAGGAAATCCCATCTCTACTAAAAATATAAAAATTAGCCAGGTGAGGTGGTGGATATCTGTAATCCCAGCTACTCAGGACGCTGAGGCAGGAGAATCACTTGAACCCGGGAGGCGGAGGTTGCAGTGAGCCAAGATCGCGCCATTGCACGCCACCTTGGTCGACAAGAGTGAAACTCCGTCAGAAAGAAGAAAAAGAAAAAAGAAAGAAAGAAGAAAGAAAGAAAGAAGGAAAGGAAGGAAGGAAAGAAAGAAGGAAAGGAAGGAAGGAAAGAAAGAAGGAAGGAAGGAAAGAAGGAAGGAAGGAGGGAAGGAGGAGACGCACAACTGGTCGAAAGAAATGAGATGCACACATTTTAGCATTCATTCCCTGAGTTTTGACATACATATATATCTGCAAAGCCAAACCCCTTTCAAGATAGAAAACATCACCATCCCAGAGATATCCTTTGTTTCCCTTCCCAGGCAAGTCTAGCCTCAGCAACACCATCTCAACCCCCTTCAGAGGCAACTGCTATCTTCAGGTTTTCCCAGTGTAGATCAGTTTTGTCCATCCTGCAACTTTAAGTGGAATAATACACTACACTCCATTCATCTGTGGATGGACATATGGGTTGTTTCTATATCTTGGCTACTATCACTAATGCTGTACTTGGACAATTTTAAATTTGAGGCTATTATGAGTAAAGCTATGCCAGGAACACTCTTATAAAGTCTTTTTGGAGACATATATTGCCATTTCCATCTGATACTGATACAGTCACTTCAGCATATTTGTGCTTGCTGCTTGCACTGTGTATTTTTTCCCATCCATTTGCATTCAGACTACGCATAAAACACTTGTTTGTAGACTATATTGGTTTTGCTTATTGATCCATTGTGACAATTTCTGTGTTTCATTGAATTTTTTATTCCATCAGTATTTATTGTAAGTTAATATTTGTCTTTTAATTTTATTTTTATTCCTTTTTTTCTTGACTACTTTTGTGATTTTATTGTTTAACTTTTTTATTCAGGGGTACATGTGCAGTTTTGTTATGTAGGTAAACTTGTGTTGTGGGGATTTGTTGTGCAGGTTATTTCATCACCCAGGTATTTAGATTCTACTGTCAATTATTGACTGGCTTTTGAGCTATCTTTAGTGGCTGCAATAGGGCATACACACATTCTTAGCTTTTCATAGCCTAAAGTTAATATTGTACCACCACACAAAAAATGCAGAAAACTCACAACTATTCAGGTTCATTTACTAACTCCCCCCCAGCTTACTGTACATTACACAGGCTTTTACATTTACCTAGGTATTTACCACTTCTGATATTATTCATTCTTCCTGAAGATCTAAGTTTTACCTTTAATTCTTAGGTTTTCTTATCATTCAATTTTACAAGTGATGCATTTATAGTTTTCTTTTCCCTGAAAGTATCTTTTGTTACCTTCAGTCTTAAACAATACTTTTGCTTGATATAAAATTCAACAATTTTTCACCAACGCTTCGAAAATATGGCTCCATAGTCTTTTTGTCTCCATATTTGTGAAGAAGACTGGGCGATTATCCGAACTTTAAGTAATGCATCATTTTCCTCTGGCAGCCTTCAAGATTTTCTTCTTATCATTGTCTTCCAGCAGTTTGACTCCACTGTGTCAAAATAAACAAAGTGTTTATTTTGCTGATGCGTATTAAACTTTTGCATGTGTGAATGTATGTCTACCACCGCATTGGGGAAATTTTATTCAATTATATTTAGTGTAGCATTTCCCCCTCTCTTCCTGGGTTTCCAACTACATGTTAGTTAAATATTTCTTACATTGTGTTACTGATTCAGGTGGTCTGCTTATTTTCTTCAATCTCTCTTGTCTCCCTCTATCATTCTTGATGATTTCTAGAAATCTGTCTTTATGGTTGCTAATTCCTTTCTGTCCATTCTGCTGCTAAATCCATCCAGTTAATTATTTCAGGTATTATATTTTTCACTTTCAGTATTTCTACTTGGATTTTCTTTTCCATTGTTCCACTTTCTCTGCCAAGATTCCCTATTTTCTCAGTCATCTTGGACATATATTCCTTTTCCATCTGAAGCACATTATAATGGCTGTTATAAACAACTACCTTGTCTGGTAGTTCCAACATCTGGATCCTCTTGATGGGAATGGGGGATGGTCTCTGTTGATGGTCTTTTTTCTTGAGAATGTTTCCCATATTCCTTGTTCATTATATGTTGAGTAACTTTGGATTTTGTCCTGAATATTGGAAATTTTATTTTGTGTTCCTGGGGGCCCTATTCATTTATGTGACTTGTGTGTGTGTGTGTGTGTGTGTGTGTGTGTGTGTGTGTGTGTATGTGCTTTGCCAGACAATTGCTTTTGTTAAGGAAGCAGGTGGCTGGAAGAGCCAGAGTGACACCATTTAAAAACAACTCCATCTTAAAACTAGTAAGGCACATTTCTTGCCAGTCATGACCCATAGTCAGAAAATGTTTATAGTTGAGAAAACAACCTAAAGATACCTACAAGGACACACTCCTACAACAACAGAAAGCCCAGATGTCCCAATACCCATAACAATATGTGCTTAACTGACTTGCTTCTTTTACCACACTCTGTGATTTGCCTTAAATGCCTTCCTGACAATGGGGAAAGGATTCCCTATTTAATAAATGGTGCTGGGAAAACTGGCTAGCCATATGTACAAAGCTGAAACTGGATCCCTTCCTTACACCTTATACAAAAATTAATTCAAGATGGATTAAAGACTTAAACGTTAGACCTAAAACCATAAAAACCCTAGAAGAAAACCTAGGCATTACCATTCAGGACATAGGCATGGGCAAGGACTTCATGTCTAAAACACCAAAAGCAATGGCAACAAAAGACAAAATTGACAAATGGGATCTAATTAAACTAAAGAGCTTCTGCACAGCAAAAGAAACTACCATCAGAGTGAACAGGCAATCTACAAAATGGGAGAACATTTTCGCAACCTACTCATCTGACAAAGGGCTAATATCCAGAATCTACAATGAACTCAAACAAATTTACAAGAAAAAAACAAACAACCCCATCAAAAAGTGGGCAAAGGACATGAACAGACACTTCTCAAAAGAAGACATTTATGCAGCCAAACGACACATGAAAAAATGCTCACCATCACTGGCCATCAGAGAAATGCAAATCAAAACCACAGTGAGATACCATCTCACACCAGTTAGAATGGCAATCATTAAAAAGTCAGGAAACAACAGGTGCTGGAGAGGATGTGGAGAAATAGGAACACTTTTACACTGTTGGTGGGACTGTAAACTAGTTCAACCATTGTGGAAGTCAGTGTGGCGATTCCTCAGGGATCTAGAACTAGAAATACCATTTGACCCAGCCATCCCATTACTGGGTATATACCCAAAGGACTATAAATCATGCTGCTATAAAGACACATGCACACGTATGTTTATTGCGGCACTATTCACAATAGCAAAGACTTGGAACCAACCCAAATGTCCAACAGTGATAGACTGGATTAAGAAAATGTGGCACATATACACCATGGAATCCTATGCAGCCATAAAAAATGATGAGTTCATGTCCTTTGTAGGGACATGGATGAAATTGAAAATCATCATTCTCAGTAAACTATCGCAAGAGCAAAAAACCAAACACCGCATAGTCTCACTCACAGGTGGGAATTGAACAATGAGAACACATGGACACAGGAAGGGGAACATCACACTCTGGGGACTGTTGTGGGGTGGGGGGAGGGGGGAGGGATAGCTTTAGGAGATATACCTAACGCTAAATGACTAGTTAATAGGTGCAGCACACCCGCATGGCACATGTGTACATATGTAACTAACCTGCACACTGTGCACATGTACCCTAAAACTTAAAGTATAATAATAATAAAATTAAATTAAAAAAATGCCTTCCTGAGTGGGATCCAAGAACCCTCTCTTGAGATCTGGATCAAGACCCCTTTTTTACTGAGTAACACTTTCACTAGATTCCAAATGCCTACACAGTTTCTGGATGGCAGATAAAATCTCAACCCAGTTATTTTATTTGTGTCTGAGATGACTTGTCTCTGAATTGTATGTGCATGTGTCAGCTAAAGAGTTGAGGCAAATTTATACACAGAATTTAGGGCTCCTTGTATGTGAATATTTTCATTTTGGGATGTACCCCTTCACTTTCCAAAGGGTATAGTTGCCCCAAATTCTTTAGTTTCTTCTGGCTAGAGAAACCATAGGTTTTGTACTGGAATTTCAGTTGAAGTGTTAACTGTGATGTGTTTTCTGGCTAAAATCTGTAAGAACGGAAAAATTCAAACTTGTGGTTTGTTTTATCCATGTGTCAACTTCCCTCCAAAATCAGCCTGCTTGTATTTACTTTCTTCTGACTTCAGATAGTTGATTTGTGTCTCTTCCCTAGATTTTATTTTTATTACCTGAGCATTTGTTGGTGCAGTATCGGCTTCACTGGACACACAGAAGTGAAATTCCTGAACTGAATTTCTACAGAATTTGTTACTTAATTAAGCAAAAATCAGAGAGTGATGAACTACATGCAAGATAAATATGCCTATCAGAGATTCTGGGGCACATTCGAGTGTGCTCCATGTGCAGTGAAAGAAATATGGTGGCCCACTTTGGTTTAATACAAGTGGGAAGCTAGATATCAAGGCTGGAAGAAAATCATGCCCTTATAATTGTCAGGGGTAAGTGGCTATATTGGGTTTTGTCCAATGACTGAAAATTAGAGCTGAGAGATCAGAGGAGCTGACTGTGAATCTTCACACCAAGAATTGTATCAGAGGGAAGGGACCACAGTGATTGAGATAGGGAAGCATGATGGAACAGATCTTTTTAACTAACATAAGGAACATGAGGTTGTATATTGAGGGGCACTGATAAGCGGAGTGACAGCGCATCAACTAATGAATGGATAAATATAATGTGATACATTTATACAGTGAAATTTTATTTGGCTATAAAAAGGAAAGACACACTGATGCATGCTACATCATGGATACACCTTGAAAACATCACAGCAACTGAAAAATACAGTCAATATAGGCACCCATTTATCGGGGGACCTGCCCCGATAATCACGTAGGTTCTTTTCTATTTTCCTAAGCGTTGGCTGGCTTGAGAAATAAAGGGACAGAGTACAAAAGAGAGAAATTTTAAAGCTGGGCATCCGGGGGAGACATCACATGTTGGTAGGATCCGTGATGCCCCACAAGCCACAAAAACCAGCAAGTTTTTATTAGGGATTTTCAAAAGGGGAGGGAGTGCGCGAATAGGTGTGGGTGACAGACATCAAGTACTTAACAGAGTAATAGAATATCACGAGGCAAGTGGAGGCAGGGCGAGATCACAGGACCACAGGACCAAGGCAAACTTAAAATTGCTAATGAAGTTTCGGGCACCATTGCCATTGATAACATCTTATCAGGAGACAGGGTTTTGAGATCGACCAGTCTGACCAAAATTTATTAGGCAGGAATTTCCTCTTCCTAATAAGCCTGGGAGCACTATGGGAGACTGGAGTATATTTCACTTCTGCAGTTTCGACCATAAGAGACAGGCCACGCCCAGGGGGGCTGTTTATAAGCCGATACCCCCAGGTGCGCATTCTCTTTCTCAGGGACGTTCCATGCTGAGAAAAAGAATTCAGCGATATTTCTCCCATTTGCTTTTGAAAGAAGAGAAATATGGCTCTGTTCTGCCCAGCTCACCAGCGGTCAGAGTTTAAGGTTATCTCTCTTATTCCCTGAGCAATTGCTGTTATCCTGTTCTTTTTTCAGGGTGCCCACATTTCATATTGCTCAAACACACATGCTGTACAATTTGTGTAGTTAACGCAATTATTACAGGGTCCTGAGACAATATACATCCTTCTCGGCTGACAGGATTAAGAGATTAAAGTAAAGACAGGCATAGGAAATCACAAGGGTATTGATTGGGGAAGTGATAAGTGTCCATGAAATCTTTACAATTTATGTTTAGAGATTGCAGTAAAGACAGGCATAAGAAATTACCAAAGTATTAATTTGGGGAACTAATAAATGTCCATAAAATCTTCATAATCCATGGTCTTCTGTCATGGCTTCAGCCGGTTCCTCCGTTTGGGGTCCCTGACTTCCTGAAACACCCATTGGACAAATCCATTTACATAAAATAAAAGAGAGAGAAGAAGAGGCAAATGGCTGTCTCTTTATTTTCTCTTACACTGGCATTTTACAGAATAAAACCCCTGCATGTTTACTCTTGTCTTGACATCTGCTTCTCATGGGACATGGGATAAGGTGAGAATCCATCCAAGCATCCTGAAGTTTTCATACCAGCATCTTATGGCAGTTTCTTCCTCCAGGTGCCATGGCACTACACCATCACCCTTCATTTATTTGTCCATCTTTCTTATTTGATTGCAAGATCTTTGAAACCAGGAATGTTTTCTTATACTTCAAACCTACTACTCTGTGTGACACAGTAGTGATGCTTAAATACTGTAGAAAGAATAAATAAAAGAACACAGTCTGTCAAGCTTGCATAAGAGTAAATTACACAAATGCTGGTGAGGATGTGGAAAAAGGGGACCACTTGTGCACTCTTAGTGGGATGTAAATTAGTATAGCCACTATAGAGAACAGTCATTTCTAAAAATAAAACTACCATATGAAGCAGCAATCTTACCACTGGGTATACACCCAAAAGAAAGGAAATAAGTATATTGAAGAGACATCTACAGCCCCATGTTTACTGCAGCACTATTCACAATAGCCAAGACATGGAATCAAGCTAAGTGTCTATCAACAGACGAATGGATAAAGAAAATGAGGCACATATACACAATGAAATTTATTCGGCCATAAAAAATAATAAAATCCTGTCATTGTCAAGAACATGGATGCAACTGAAGGATATTATGCAAAGTGAAATGAGCCAGGCACAGAAAGACAAATTTTGCATATTCTCACTCATATGTGGGAACTAATTTTTTTTTAATTGAACTCATGAAGATAGAGAGTAGCATGGTGGTTATCAGAGGCTGGGGAGGGGAGTAATGGGGAGGGGAGGATAAAATGGGGATTGTTAATGGGTGCAAAAATAGCAGTTAGATAGAAGGAATAAAATCTAGAGTTTAGTAGCGCAATAGGGTGACTGCAGTTAACAATAATTTATTGTATATTTCAAAATAACTAAAGGAGTGGAATTGGAATGTTCCCAATACAAAGAAATAATAAATGATTGAGGTGATGGATACTTCAATTACCCCAATGTGATCATTACTTGTTGTATGCTTGTATCAAAATATCACATGTACCCCATAAATATATACAACATTTATATACCCATAATAATTAAAAATAAAGAATTAAGACAAAAACAGTAAATTATAATAATGTCTGGTTAATTTCAGAGCCAACTGTCCTTCTCCATAAATCACTGTCATAACACCTAAAAAATCAGATTCAGGGTGTTGTGTATACTTGTATGTAAATTTGTGTCATTCTCTGTTAGTGGCCTCTGCAGATACTGCAATGCTTCTCATTATAGGCCATTCTTCGTGTGTGTGGCTATTTAAACCACTTAAGGCCTTTTTTTCATATGATTTGAGAGGGAAACATGAAGTGTACTATATCAGCTTCACTACTCCTCTTTTCTCGCGGAGAGAATAGCTTAATAAAATAAGTCATCCATTCTAAGTGGGTGATATCTTTAGGAATGCCGCAAATGTAGTAACAAGAAAATTAGGAACCAAAATTGCTATTTCAATTCTAGTCAACATTTTCCAAATATTAGTGAGCATATAGTCTCCTTGGAAATCTACATTAGGAGAAATAATAGCTAAAATACTAGCCATAGACAATAATTTGCTACATACAAATTGATTATTTTTGTTACAATAAAGAATGAATCATAATTTGTCCTAGGTAATCCATGAGTAGTTTGAAGGAAATGTAACTTCTGCTAACTATGTTAGATAGTTTACCTCCAGCTCCTATATTTCTACTGCCTAGATTCAGGAGAATGTGGTTGTACAGTAAAATGTACCTGTACTCCTTTATGAAATAAAATACATTGGATCAATCCAGATAATGACTGTGCTGTTTTGCTCAAAGTTTTTGTGATCATCATAGAGTGAAATATGGCTCATAGTATTAACATCTCTAATAAATGTACATATGCAGGATGTTTTAAGAAATAAACTTTGCTTCTAGTTATCTCAGTGTGGCTGAAAAGGTCAGAGTATTTTTCTTTAATTATAATGAAAGAAATCTCAATCTTGAACTGTATTCATACAGTGTCAGATTATAGAAAATTGAGCTCATAATGAGACACTCTCTCTTATTTTATAAACCAGCGTTGTTGGCTTTGTGGGCATATACATTAAAAACAAGAATTCTCCTGTGGGTTATAGTTAATGATATCTTTAATCCCGAAGTCTCTATTAGCTGAAAGTTTCCAAAGTGAGCTTTTACAATATACAGCCTTTTTTTTCATATGGAACCAGAAACTAAAAGGCAAAAAAAAAAAAGTTCTTGGTAAGATAACGCTAAGAATAATTTACAGGACAAAAAGTTTTTTATCCAAGACCCAAGAGGCAAGCTGTCTGCTCAACTGTGTGTCTTTGGCATTAAGCTTTATCTGCCACGTATTCTAAGAAACATTATCATGACTTTACCAGATCATCATAGATACCAGACAATACTCACTATTTTTTTTCCAAAATAACCTCAAATCTCATAAGTTTTAGAATTCCATTTTTTAAAACGACACAGATGTCATGAACATAAACCATTTGCCTTCCAAGTGCAATATCTGCATGATGCTGAATGGCCCTGCTATTAAATGTAGAACAAAGTGTTATTTCTGAGTGAACCTCATAGCACATTACAAAAGCCTCTATTTGGTAATTTCTAAAATTTCTTCTTTTAGCTTTTTATCAAGACGCTTCAGGCATCACTTTACCCGGGGGATTTTCTGGAAATTGCTCACTTTCTTTGGAAAACAGAAGAAACTTTTTTTTTTCCAATTGAAGAATTTCTGAATACAAATGTGGAGTATCCCTCTGTGCTGCAGCCTTTCTCATATCATGGCCACCTCATAATAATTTAGCCCCCCAGAGAGTCATCTAGTTTCAGATGCATGAAGGCAGGAAATAAAGTGAAGGAGGAGGAAAAGGTAGGTCAGGAAGAAATGGGGGAAAAATAAATATGCCAAATTCAAGCAAGTTTTCAGTAATAACAAATAATGATTATCAGATAGCAAAAGCAGTTACACATGTGCTAAAAGTAGAACATAAATAACATGATATTTATTTGAAGAGTCATCATGCTTTGTAGAATGATTAATAATTATGTTGTTCCCATAATTCACACCTAATCTTGCAATTACTTTTCTATAAAGTATTACCTCCTGTAAATCTGTAATAGTGGCCATTTTCTCTACACATGCCAAATCATATATTTAAGTTAATCTCATAATAAAATAATACTGTACTTTTTCTAAAATTATTCCATCATCACTAAGGATTTTGAATTTCATACCATTTGTTCCTAATGACATTCAAATTAATCTGTTTTGACCTATTATTTTATCCTTCAATGGATAGTCACCTTAAAATTTTCTTCCTTTAATTCTATGTTTAACATATATCAGAAGAAGAGGAGGTAGGGTCTTGCCACTGTACAATCATTGAACTTCTACATACTAGTTAATGGTTAAACATAAAGCTACAAGATTTAATGACATATTAGAAGCAGAAAAGCAGTTTAAATTATAATATCCATACATACTTTAAAGCCACCATTACAGGACCACATAAATATATCTAACCTATTTTCCAATGAAACATGAGAAAGTAGAGTTAATAAAAATATTATAAAAATTTAGAAGACAGAGTACAGCAAAATAAGGACACAGTATTATAGGTAGATTGAAAAACAATCATACATTTGAGTTGTACAATGTGATGCTTTGCTATATGTATATATTGTGAAATGATTACCACAATCAAGTTAGCACATCTATCACCTCATATAGTTAGCATTTGTGTGTGTGTGTGTAGTGAGGACACTTAAGATATACTCTCTTAGTACATTTCAAGTATACAATACAGTATTGTTAACTATCATCACCATACTGTACATTGGGTCTCCAGAACCTGTCCATCTTTTATAATAACTGAAAGTTTGTACCCTTTGACCATCATCTCCCCAAGTTTCCCACTCCCCAGTCCTGGTAACCATCATTCTACCTTCTGCTTTTATGTGTTCAACTTTTAAAATTCCACACATCAGTGAGATCATGCATTTGTCTTTCTCTGCCTGATTTATTTAGATTAGCATAATGCTTGGTTGCAAATGACAGGATTTACTAAAAGTGCTAGAATCTCCTTTGATAAGACAGTTTGAGATGTAAATGGGAATGCATAGATTGCCTTCCTATGGGACACATGGACTACAACTAGGATAACATTTGATGGTGGTCAAACAATACAGCCATTGTTGCTATAGAAATTCAGTAAATTGGAATTGAGCATGCCGACTTCCCTCTGCCTTGCATAGAAAGGGACCTTGCTTTGTGACCCACCCTCAGGTAAAGAATTAACTATGGAAGTCTGCTAATCTGTGAGCTCAGCTTTTATCCTAAATATAGGCTGTCTGACTGTTGGTCATCACATTATCATCATTGTCATCATCACTGTCCTTATTGCCATCATCATAATAATTACCATCATCCCCATCACTATCATCATTATCACCATCACCATCATTGTCATCACCACAATAATTATCATCACCATCATCATCACAATCATCATTATCATCATTGCCATCACCACCATCACTATCATCATTACCATCACCATCATTACCTTCATCCCCATCATCATCCTCACCATCACCATCACCATCATTACCTTCATCCCCATCATCATCCTCACCATCACCATCACCATCATCACAATCAGCATCACCATCATTGCCATCACTATCATCGCCATCATCACCATAATCATTATCATCATTTACATAGCCATCATCATCATCACAATCATCATCACCATCACCGTCATCATCACCACCATCACCATCATCACCGTCATCATTACCATCACCATTATCATCATCACAATCATCATCATCAGCCATCATCACCATCACCACCATCATCACAATCATCATCATTATCACCATCATACCATCACCATCATCACCATTATCATCATTATTGCCATCACCATTATTATCACCATCACCACTATCATTATCACAATTATCATCACCCATGATCACCATCACCATCATTACTACCATCATCACAAACATCACCATCATCATTATTATCACCATCATCATGATCATTGCTATCACCATCATCATCATCATCACCATTACCATTAACATTATCACAATCATTACCATCATCATCATCACCATCACCACCATCATCATCACAATTATCATCATCATCATCACGATCATCATCACAATCATCATCATCACCATCATCACCATCATCATCACAATCATCATTATCATCATCACTAGTGTATTTTTTACTGTTGACCAAGTATTTTCATAGGTTTTCTTACTTGAAATGAAATTTATGAATTTCTATCTTCAAGAAATTGTCTGTAAAATGGACAAATTGAGACTGAAACACAAGTAGTGAATATGAGTTAAGTCCTTGAGCATCTTGCAGTGAACAGGACTTAAGTGCTTGATTATGCTATAGAAAATGCTGGGTAGGGCAGATGGAGCATTTTAGCATTGGAAAAAAACTAGAGACATCAAAAGCAAAGTTCTTGGAGAAGTGGAGTCCTGAAATGCATTCACTGATTCAGCAAATAATTTTTAAGTGCCTGTTTTATTCCAAGTTGTGTGGTAGTTGTGAGGAGCTGCAAAGATATGTGAGTTAAAAGCTTCATCTTCAAGAGAAACATGCAGGCTAATGAGGAAGAAAGATAAACAAATAGTGTGATTATTGTCTTACCTAAGCTTCCCTTAACAGTGGCAGGAAAAGCTTCTAGGTGGATACTTTAGGTAAGAATGTAGTTCCAGGAAGAAGGAGTCTAGAACAAAGGGAATAAAACAGAGAACACTCAGTACAAGGATGCTTCATTGACTCATCCACCTCCAGAAAAGCACATGTTCAATCCTGTCAGAGACCTTCTGAAAAGCCTCTGAAATACACCTTAAAATTGTCTATCTGAGACATCAAAGGGGTAAGCCACTTATTTTACAGCTTCTGATAAGCAGTGGCCAAGGACGGCACCATTGGCACTATGATTTGTGGCTCCCCATGGGTGGTGGGCTTTGCAGATGTCTCATGCTGAGATGTCAGGGAAGCCCTAAGCAAAGCAGCATGAAATGTTGTTGCCAATTATACTTGTGTAAAGCACCACAAAGATGTGATGACATAAGAGTTGGAGAAGAAAGGATGTTGAGGAACATAAAAGACTTCAATACAACAACTCTGCAGAAGTCTTCCTTTCATACTCTAATAATAGCAAAATCTCAAACGAATGTACATGCTTTGATAAAGCCAGTAACAATCACATTTATTTGGTACATTTTGAAATTTAGTTTCATTTTGTCTTGACAGGTAACCACATAATACTTATTCTCTAAGATAAAAATATTTCCACTAGCTTTCTAAGAATTAGAATGTTATGAAATTAATAAAACACTCATTTTGTTTGCATATTCCACAATTTATTTTCAAAATAAGCAAATCTGTGACATATGCCCTTAACAAGGTTTTACACCAATTTTTTAATAAAACATAATTTGAGTTTCACAACACTGAAGTGAGAATTTTTAGAGTATTTTCTAAGATGAGTATTCTTCGTTTCTTAAAGGATCATCTTTCTATTTCAAATCAGAAACATGTCTTTAGGTAATATAAGATTGTTTGGCAAGGAGAAATATGTTCTACATTTTGTAGAAATGTAGTACCTGAAATACATTCTCCCAAAAGGAAGGAGGAAAGGATTGACAAGAGAAAGTGGTTATTCCATGAATATGGTACATCTTGGACTTAGGATTGATATTAGGTGAATGATGGTAGGTCTATACAAAGCCAACTTAAGTGAAAAACAGTGTTGAAGCCGAAAGAGTGGTTCTTATCCTTGGCTGTACATTAGAATGACCCAAGGAGCTCTTCGTGTAAAATCCTGACGTCAAGGCCACCTCTTAAAGCAATAAAACCAGACGCTGACCTTGATTTACAATGTGCAGCTATAGTTGAGAGCCACTTACCTAGAAGAGTTCTTCTCGATCTTTAATCTGTATGGGAACCTTCTTGTTATCTTCTTAACATGTAGGATATAATTAACTCAGACTGGGGTGAAGGTTTGAAATTCTGCATTTCTAACAAGCTCCTGCAAGGACCAAGCTGATGTTCTAATGACCAGTCCTGGAGTAGTGTGATTGAGTCTTGGCAACATTGAGATTACTCACCCAACTCGATTTTTAAATACTTCAGTGTGTGTTTATCCGTGTCCACTTGTAACCTTTATTAATCACCCACAGAACATTCAACAGTCATACAAACATGACTAAGACATGACCCCTGCTTTCAAGGTGGAGACTAAGTGTGAAGAGTTGTCTACACCATGGCATGGTGCCTGGGATACGCTTATCTACACCAGACTGCAGTTCTCCACAGCAGCATCAGAAAGGTAAGGTTGACTCCTTCTGGGAGAAAGAAGCATGAGTCCACTTGCAACGTCTGAGAGCAGTGTTTTCAGAGCAAGTATTTGCATGTGTTTGGTTTTTTTCTGGCTGCTGTAACAAATTACCAAAAGGAGAATGGCTTAAAACAACAGAAATATATTACCTTACAATTCTGGAGCTCGAAAGGCAAAACTGGTCTCACTGGAGCAAAATCAAGCTGTTGGCAGGATTGTGTACCTGCAGATGCTCAAGGAAAGGTGGTTTCTTGCTTTTTCCAGGTCCTAAGGACTGTCAGCTTTGCATGGCTCATGGTCCCTTCCATTCATCTGCAAACCCAACAACATAGCCTCTCTCTGACTCTGGTGCAGTCCTCACATCTTTTTGTCTGACCTCTTCTGCCTCCCTCTCCCATTATGAAGGACCCCTGTGATTACACTGGTCCCACCTGATAATTCAGGATGATCTCCCCATCTCACAGTCACTGGATTAACAGCCTCAATGGCAGCTACAGCTTAACATCAAACCAAAACATTTGGTTTTTATTTGATGTTAAGTAAATAAGTGTTGAATACTAAAATTCGGAAATAAAACGGAGCAAACATATAAACTATATTTCCTGTACATCTCAATCATCACAGAAACAAGTAATTACGTTATAGGCTTGCTGTTTGCCCATGAACACAAAATTACACATCTAGTTAGAAATCTAACATCAAATAACATCAACCTAACATCAAATAAACAACAAATTTTTCCTTTGCCATGTAACGGCATAATCATAGATTCTGAGGATTAGGACCGTGGACATCTTTGGGTGGGGGGTCGTTATTGCCAACTTTAATCAAAAAGGTCAGAATCTAGTTTAAACAGGGTTTACTCAAGCACAAGGTTTAGGACAGGCTGCCCTGGGAAGCACAGATTCCAAATAATGGAAGTCAGTGTTTCAAAATGTGGAAGTTTGGGATCACTTATTTAGACAACGTTCAGAGAAGTTTAACAGAATTTCAACATCTTTCAATATGATGTTTGATGCAGTCACAATGATCTGATTAGGCAACATAGTCTTATTTTTTGAGGAAAGGTGTATTTAATATTCCACACTTAAGATATGACTGAGAAGTGGTTTTGGACACCATCTGGTCTGAGTTAGGTACAGGACAATAAATAGAGGAGACAGTTAATCTATAACAAAGATCAGTAATTGGAAGGGGAAGGCCTAGTCTCCGGTCTCTCCTAGTCATTTACAGAACAAGAGTAGTAAAGAAGAGAGTTAAGCTATTATCTAAGAAGCAGAATTGCAAGCATGCTACATGACTCACTTTCCAGGGCTTAACTCCCTCCTTGACATCATAAATTTAGAGGGTCCTGAAATTGTATTTTATTTTCTACATTATTGTGCCAACCACAGCATGGGCACGAAACCCACGGTTCTTCTCATCACTCACTCCCTTCTCTGTTCCCTGTAGTACTTTTCCCTTAGGGGGATACTTGAGAGTTGAATATATACTTTTTTATATTGGTATCTTTTACTTCAGCGAAATCTGGCTTTCCCAGTAGAGAATAAATGCCTTAATGTCAAAGGCTAAAAGGGAATCTGATAGTCAGGCATTGCTTAACTAGAGGGATACATTCTGAGAAACAGTCTTGAGGTGATGTCATTGTTCAAACATCATAGCATGTGCTTACACAAGCCTAGACAGCGTAGCCTACGTCACACTTGTGTGATATTGCCTATTGCTCCTTGGCTACAACCTGTACAGTGTGTTACCATAATGAATATTACAGGCAATTGTAACACAATGGTCAGTGTTTGTGTATCTAAACATATTTAAACACGAAAAGGTACAGTAAAAATACAGTATTAAAATCATATTTAAACAAAGAATATGTAAAGTAAAAATATGGGATTAAAGTATTTCTGTGATTAAACATATTTAAATACAGAAAAGTTATAGTAAAACTACAGTACTAAAATCTTATAGCACCACCACTGTTTATGTGATCTGTCATTGACCAAAATGTGGTTATGTGGCATGATTGTATTTTTTCCCTTATCTTATGAATCTCAGTCCGGTATTGTTTTAGACCTGAAGATAACCATTTCTAGAGTTGATTGGCAGCGATGCTAAATTTCAGAAAAACGACAGAGAAAGACACTAATCAGTTTTTAGACTGTCTTACATATTTACTTTTATTACTTTTTTTTTCTGTTGGGAAAAACCCAAACCTATACCAGAAACAGGAGCTATATGTTGGGATAAGAAAGATTTGTCAAACCTAAATTCAATGAGCCCTTAAAAATTAAAATTTATATTTTAAAAAATAGAAGTATAAATTTTAATCAACATTGTGGTGACAGGATTATGATGGTCTCATGCAAAACAAACAAACAAAAATAAACAAAATAGTTAAATGTCATCCTTAGAAGGCCGGGCATGGTGACTCATATCTATAATCTTGGCATTTTGGGAGGCCAAGGAGGGAGGATCGTTTGAGGCCAGGAGTTAGAGACCAGCCTGGGCAACATAGCAAGACCCCGTCTTTACAAAAAAATTTTAAAAATTAGCCAGATATGGTGGCACGTACCTGTAGTCCCAGATACTCTGGAGGCTGGGGCGGGAAGATTGCTTGAGCCCAGGAGGTGGAGGCTGCAGTGAGTCATGATTGCACCACTGTACTTCAGCCTGGGTGAGTGTGAGACCCCATCTCAAAAAATAAAAAAAAAAAGTAAAAAACTAAAAATCATCTTTAGAGTATGTAGTATCCTGGTTAAAATTTTTTTTCTTATTAACCAAAAGTTTGTTCTATAATTATTAGAGTTTGTTTCTCTCTCATGTATCATCTCTTTTTGAAAGGAGTCCTGTCTTGCCTAGCTCTGTACAATTTTCTTCTCATGGTACTCTGTGTTTTCGTACACAGCAGGTGCTTAATAAATGATTTTACAATTATTTGTACTAAGTCTCTGATCTTGTGGATTTACGGATGTGAGTTTTCTTCCTCTCTGAAGAAGAGAGAATTCCTCTGTGCTTGGGTGTATAGTTACAAACTCACACTCGGTAGACCCACCTGGGTACCTAATCCATCTCCTTGCCTTACTTAAATTTGGATTCCAGGCAATTATCTAATGTCTCTCCACCTCAATTTCCTTCTTTGCCAAGTGGGCATAATAGCAACAATCCATTTGCTGAGTGGTTTTGAGGATGCAGTGCATATAAAGTTCTAAGAACAGGTAAGATATCATTGTGGCCATTATACTAGATTCATTTCAACCTTTAGGTGATCGCTTTACATATTTTGAGGGTCTATCTAATTTTCTTTTTAATGCAGGAATATAAAGGACCAGTGCTAGGCTATTTATTCCCAGTCTATTTATTTTCATAAGTAAGGTGGTGAATATCAATGTTTTAAGAGAATGGTTTTAAAGCTTTGCAACCTTTCAGAGAAAGTCGAGTGGAATATTTTTTCTGTCGTTCATCCCATAATGAAAATGTTCCTCTGGTTGAAACCATCACTTTAAATATTCATGCAACCTCAGTTTAAATATAGTTAAAGAGTCATTTCCTCACCAGTAAATAAAACATAAGCCCCAAAGAAAGCAATCTGAATGTTCAATGTAGAAATTAGATATTATTCTTTTACCAGTGTGTGCCCTTAGAAGTGGATCTGTCGTGTTATCCTAATTCCCTCTCTGTGGCATTCGGACTAAAATATTCCCAGTACTATTAATAAAAACATTTAACCTTTGAATATCGTATTGAAAATACAACAAATGCTCTGCACGCTGATGAAGAGATATTGCATCAGAAGTCTTTAGGATAGGTCTAGCAGCATTTGTTTTTCAGTAGAAAAATCTTCACCATTAAAACCCAGCACAGCACAATTTACTCTGGTTTAATAGCAACTGATTAACTACCTGGATCTGATTTGGAATAACTCATCTTTAATGGAAATAGTCTACAGATCTTCAATTGAAGAGGAGGTAAAATCCCAATCCTTCCTTTTAGAAGAGAGGATTTATGTGCATCATTATTTCACTGTAAAAGGCTCATTGAAAAACATATGTGGAGGGGAAACTTCCAAGTTATTCAAAGGATGAAAAATTGATTTCAATATTGGAAGTGAACAATGCTAAAAGGGACAGGATGAATCACTTAAATCTCCAAGTCTCTTTCCAAAATATAAATATATATATGTGTATATATATACACATATATATTTATATTCTATATATACACTATATTATATATGTACACGCTATATTTTATATATATATATAAATGTTGGAATTTAACATTCCAACCGATCTTAAGGAATATACTTGATATCCTGGAGTATACTTGATTTCCATGTTCAGATGATTTAAGATTTTTTCCCCGATAATTTGAATCATTTGGAAAAGCACTGTCTGTGACTTTTAGAAAACAGCTAAACGGGTTTGAGTCATCTCAAGACCGACTGGTCATACACCACTGAATACATGTTATGGTCTTTTTCAAAGAGATGCTCACTCTTAACAAGAAATTATGTAGTCTATTTCCTGAGTTCATCTTGATTTGATTAAGAATATAATTGCTTTGCCCGCGAACTCAGGGTAAATCATTTGTGTGCCTGCTGAATAAATAAATGAGTGTGTGCACCCCTGGGAGAACCTGGAGGGAGAGGAACAAAAGCACAAAAGTAGAAAAGTGGAGATTGATGGAAGAGCAGGAGGAGGTGGTTGGTAGAGGAAGAGGCAGAGAGTTGAACCACATGATCACTCAGCCCCACTGTCATTTCCATTTCCCTGTGGCACAGATTCCCCAGGAGGGGGCTGTAGGATTAAGACATTCATTTTCCCCTCTTTGCCTCTGTCATTTGAAAAAAAAAAAAAAGTACATATTCACCAAAATCACATTTAGACCTTTGCTTTGTGTATTCTGGGAAGGAGATAAAAGAGGCAGCTTTGGTAATTCATAGCTGACAACGTCATCCCATTTGGGAGAGGAATCACATAATTAAAATATGAATTTCACCTAGTCTTTAGAAAGGGAAAGGGGGGTTTTGGAGGGGCTAGAATGTATTGTATTGTTTTGTTTTGTTTAAAATAGAAAACGTTTGCTTCAGAGATGTTCATTTCCCTCCCAACCAACCACAGTAACTACCTCCCCATGTTTTGTTCCAAAAGATCCCACTGCTTTGGAAAAGACGCCATTCCATCGTAGAAGTAAGGATACAAATATTTTGGGTGAACCAGTTTTGCCCTTGCTTTTGTAACACGTCCATCTTGGTGCGTTCCTTTTTGTTCACCTCTACCACGCTGGCCTCTGTTACTAAATCATTTTTTTTTCAACCGCCAGTTGCTATGGTTTATGAATATCAGATTAAAGTCATTTTTTCAGTCAACGTCCCAGAAACAAACTCCTCACCCTTCATTGCACCTGCCAGCCTATGACCACAGAGTGATCTGAGCTTTAGCTTCCAAGGACGAGGATGCAGGATAAGTTCAGCCTGCCCCTTCTGCAGCTTTTTTCAACAAGAGCCAACATAGCACGGAACATTGCAAACCTGTACATTTTACACTCCCTGGCACGGCCCATTTGTCATCTAGAAAGATACTTGGCCACCTCCGAGCATGCACAAGGAAAAGGCAGCCAGGACCTGCTCCTCTGGCCCTGATTAGCCGGCACCCATAAGTAACTCCCACTGCTGAATCAAGCCATCATTATTCATCTGGCTGAGTACTGCGGAGAATCCATTAATCCATTATTTGTGGTTCAATATATGCTTTCTAAATCAGACCATCTAGAAACCTAATATGTTTCTTTGCAATTTGGTTGTAAGTGTTGGTCTTGCTTTGTGGATAAGGAGCTTCTGCAAAGTATTTGACATCTCAGTTGGATGCATTTTAAGGACAGGTAAGACAGAAAGGGGAGGGAAAGGGAAACCGTGCTGGTTAGCCCTCTTTAAATGTTTTTCTTGCCAGTGGGCATGCAGAACTTGCTCGGGTTTTTGTTTGATTATCAAATAAATCTTCCCTAACAGGCTACTCTATCATAGGAGCAATTGCTTGTACTTATGCATGGGGTTTGATACAGATGTACCTTCCTTCTCATCATACTGTGATTGCAAAAAAAACCGCCAAAGACAGCAACCACAGAGAAAATGGAAGGACGTCATTTTGACTTTTACTTGCCATTTTGCCATCTTGCCTCAAACATAGAGCTCCCTTTGTGTCTCAAGTTTTCTATGTTTTACTCCAACCCACACCCAGCAACTGAATCTCTACCTTCTGGTAAGAAAACATCATGACAGGTTGCAGTTTTTCACTGAGGTGACAGGAGTGAACGCTCATCTTACTTTTCTAGATGTCTGTCTTTTTGTCCTCAAGTTTTATTGCTTTGACATCCGTGAAGCACACTGCCTCAAAAACTAAGAAACAATCTTTTTATTGTGGTTATTTTGGGGTAAAAATGTAGAGGACAGGAAGACTGGAATCCAGTGCCAGTGGAATTTGACCCTTGTCCTACTATTAAGTAGGAAAGTTAGAGAAGTTAGAAATGTAGATCTTACCTTAGAGAAGATCATATGACCGCTTTGAGATTCATTCTGAACATCTGAAAAATGGGGATAATAGTACCTATTTTATAGCAGATCTTCCTAATGGTATACCAGGGTAGAGAGACTGGGCTCAATAAACTCACCCATTTATCCCAGTGCACAAGGCAAATATAAGTTGTGTGTGTGTGTGTGTGTGTGTGTGTGTACATGCAACATTACATGTTAAGGATGGGTAGCCTTGACTTTGAAGGCTACTGAAGGAACCAGAAGTCATAAATGCAATTGACAATGTTAAACTATACCTGTGCTCCAGGAAAACAGTAACAATGAAGAAATACCCCCTGTACTTTTTGGTGTGTTCTGAGAAACCGGTTACTCCATAAACCACCCTTCCCCCATGCCTTCGAAAAGATTCATGGATGCCCTCCCACTGTCATTTTCACTTACGACAAAGACATACACAAACCCTTCAAATTCCTATTTTTTGCCTCATAAAAGGTTAGCTAAACTATTGCTCCCCACAGATGCATCGGAATGCAATGCTCATTCACAGGATTGGACCCAGTTCATTTACATCTCTGCTTTGCCCAGAGGATTCTGAACTTTGACCCAATCTCAGTTTGAGCCAGGACACAGACCCTCTTAAGGGTCTCTCCTGAGAATTAACTGACCTTACCACAAGGAAGACATTGTCTGGTCCAAGTATGTCACCCACTCGCCCACGTCTGGTCCTTTCCAGTGGATTGTCTCTAAATTCCTTTCTGCCTGACCTTTGACATGCTTGAAGATCTTACCCTCTGTGCAGCTCCACATGCCAATACTCCCCTTCCCATTATTAGAACAGTACCCCTCCTTATTGCAATAATCTTTTTGAATAAAGTTTTCCTTTCCTACATCTAGATGTGTTTTTACCTGACATACCACAATGAGTGCTTGTGTGTCTAGTACCACAACCTACATGTTAGATAGCTTTGACTATTACAGTTTTCCTCATTTGCAATCAAACACATGAGATACGCAATTTAAACCCCTGCCTGCTGCGCACATACTGCATTTTGAGTGAGTCTGTTTGCACTACTCTGTATATCACGGTGCCCTTTGCTTTTAATTGTTCAAGTGTTAGTTCACCTGACTCAAAAGGAAGCATGTGTTTGCACCTTGCATAACCATGCTACCCTGCATTTATATCTTTCAGGGCATCAGCAAAGGAATAAGGACATAGGAGTAGAACGTGACGTCCCTGTTTTTGAGGAGGTTACTGTCTAGATAGGGTGGTGGTGGTGACCCACATGCATGGAAGGACAGGAAACAATATAAAAACCACATCACTGAGCTCTCAACTCTATCTTCCAACTAAGAAGAAAGTGATTAACATGACCAATCAGCACACAAAAGACCGCAAACAACTCCTGGTGCAGTTGGGCAGTGAGGAAGGCGGGATTCTCCTTGAGGGTGTAAACCAAAAAGTATCTGACACAGGTCTCAATCAACTTAGAAGTTTATTTTGCCAAGAAGAAGGACATGTCCAGAAGAGATCAACATGAATCACAGAAATGCTGTGTGGTCTGTGCCTTTCTCCAAAGATGATTTTGAGGGCTTCAATATTTAAAGGGGAAATGTGGGCTAGAGGGGAAAGAGGGAGGATATGGTCACATTACTCAATCTACAGGTTGCAAGAGAAAAGGAGCAGGTAGAGGAATAGTCAACTGTACATTCCTCTTGCACTCAGTAAATGGGCACTTTACATAAGATACGGTGAACATAGAGCAGCCACCTGTGGCGATGTTTAACCTTTTATCTGTAGCTATCTGCTTAGGAACAAAAGGAAAAGGCCACTTCTTGCATGACTCAGCTTTTAGCTTAAATTTTTGTTTTGTTTTTCTTTTGCATAGCAAACTGGGGTCCTGAGTTTTTATTTTCCTTTCACAAGGGAAATTCTTGGTTCCTGGAGTGGAAGCTGCCTATAAAATTGGAGCGTGAGAACGAGCTGGGAGCCACAGGCATGATCTAGAAAGAGGAGGATGATCTGTGATCCATGTCTTTTTCTCTCTGCCCTCTGATGCCTAGACATCCTGCAGCAAAAGCTTGGCCCCTTATTCACAGAGCTGAATGCACACCGGAAAAGGAGTCCAGTAAAAGGTAGAGCAGCTTCAGGTCCCATGGCTACCCCCATGCAAAGGAGGTGAGGCCACAGGTAAGAGCTAACCACAGCTCTCATTTGTTTCCCTAATTTTGACTGCAAAAAAGCAATATGGCTGCAGCTTCACTTTTGCCCTGATGTTGTTACAGAACCGAACTGGGGTCTGTTCGCCTGGCACAGCAAAGTCAAACACTAACATTAGGATGGCAGCGAGAGGAAGTGAAGCATTTATTTGCAAGCACCAAGCAAAGAGAGTTGGACAGTTGATGCCTAAGATCCCACCTGCCCGGTGGCTTGCAGGTAAGGGTTTGTAAACACAGGGGTAAATGTCAGGAAAGTAGAAGCTACAGGCAAAATCTTAAGTCAATACAAGGAGGTTATACATTGCTTTTGACCTAAAAGGCAGGATATCTTGACGCAGAGGACTCACAGGTCATAGGTAGATTCAAGGATTCTCTGATTTGCCATTAGCTAAGGGAAAGAAGTTTTTTTAAAAATTGGGGTCAGCAGAAAAGAATGTTAGCTCTGACTCATGGACATGACTTCCTCCAACCCCCTCAGGAAGACATTTAAAATAAAGAATGGTGGTTAGAGTTCAGTCCTCGGTTGCCCCGTTGCCCCGTAACTGAGGTCTACATTCCAGTGGATGCATTTTGTGGGGGTCTGGGTTTCTGAACAACAACTCAGGGACTTATGTCAAGATGTTATCTTTAGTTCCTATAGGAACTAAAACTAGTATCTCCTGGCTCTAGCTTCCTTGGTTGTTGTTTTAAAGTACCATTACCTTCTTGGATATCAAGTTACTCATTTACTTTTCAAGGCTAGCCAAATGCCTGGAATTTCCCCTGAAGGAACTCGAGATTTTTCTTCACTTTCATAAGGCCCTTAAGGGGGGTCCCGGCTTCATCACCAAACCAGGATAAAAATGGCTTTTGTGGGGCACAAAAGATAGAAACACACAGGTGGGAGGATTCTAGGAAAAGTAATTTAGTCTAGGCAGGTTGACACATTACAAAATCACAAGGCTGAAATCTTATCCTTATATGAGTAATTTGACATTAGGCAATGTGTTTTAAAACCTGTCTTTTTGAGAGATTTACTTTATATATTTATCCCATTATGGAGAACAATAGTGAAAATTCTAAGATGGATGTTAATTAAAACAAAAAAATTTAAAATGTCAAAAACTCAGTTATGCAGGTGAGGCTCTCTTTTCAATGGCAGCATGAGAAATTAGTGTCCTACATCTACTTTTCTGAAATAACAGCCCCTGGTGGTTTCAGGGATGTGTGTTGGTCACAATAAATGCTACAGAATACAATACCAATGTGGGAAGATGACAGAAAGATCCTGGAAACCTCAACCCCACCTCATTCTTCAAGATACAGCTCAAAAAGCTCTCTGAATAACGCAGAAAAGCTAAGCTGACTACTCCTGCTTTGATCATGATGATGTCTTGCTCAGAATTTCAGGATAGTCCAGGGATCACCGAAAGAGATCACCAAACTTTCTCTATGAAGAACCAAATACTACAAACTTCCGTCTTTGCCGGCCACGTGGTCTCTGACTCAACTGCTCAACTTTTCACTAACGTGAAAGTAGCCACGGACCATATGCAAAAAAATGGGAGTGGCTGTGTTGCAATAAAACTTTACTTGTAGATGCTGATGTTTGAGTTTCACATAATTTTAATAGACTTTATTTTCTTAATATCAGTTTGAGGTTCATAGCAGAATTGAGAGGAAGATACAGAGAGTTCCCATCTACCCTCTACCCCCCCACAAACAGTCTCCCCAACTACCAACATCTTCCACCAGAGTGGTGCATTTGTTACAATCAATGAACCTACGTAGACATATTATAATCCCCTAAAGTCCATAGTTCACATTAAGGTTCACTCTGTCTTTACATTCTGTGGGTTTGGGCAAATATATAATGACTACTATAGTATCATACAAAATGGCTACACTACCCTAAAAGTCCTCTGAGCTCCACCCTATTTCTCCCTCCTCCGAATACCTGGCAACAACGACCACTGATCTTTGTCTCCAAGCTCTTGGCTTTTCCAGAATATCCTATGGGTATAACTACATAGTATGTAACCTTTTCAGATTGGTGTTTTTCACTCAGTGCTATGCATTTCAATTTTCTCCATGTCTTTTCATGGCTTGATAATTTATTTCTTTTCAGTGCTGAGTAATATTCCATTCTCTGGATGTACCACGGTTTGTTTATCCATTCGGCTACTAAAGGGTGACGTCTTGGTTGCTTCCAAGCTTTGGCAATGATGAATACGGTTGCTGCAAACATCCATGTGCAGGTTTTTGTGTGGACATACATAAGTTTTCAACTCCTTTGCAGAAATACCAAAGAGTGCAATTGCTGGATCATGTGGTAACAGTAGTCTGATATAATGTGCATGTCACAAAATAGTGTTCGATTTTTTTCCCAATTATTTAAACATGTAAAAAATTATTTTACCCATCATACAAAATAAGCATAAGATGAATTATGGCCTACAGTTAGAGTGTGTGGACATCTGGTCAACACTATGATGTAATGTTAATACTTTTTTTTTTTGAGACAGAGTCTCGCTCTGTCACCCAGGCTGGAGTGCAGTGGCGCGATTTCGGCTCACTGCAAGCTCTGCCTCCCAGGTTCACCCCATTCTCCTGCCTCGGCCTCCCGAGTAGCTGGGACTACAGGTGCCCACCACCAAGCCCGGCTAATTTTTTGTATTTTTAGTAGAGACGGAGCTTCACCATGTTAGCCAGGATGGTTTTGATCTCCTGACCTCATGATCCACCTGCCTCGGCCTCCCAAAGTGCTGGGATTACAGGCGTGAGCCACCGCGCCCGGCCCTGGTAATACTTTTTAAAGTGTGTATTTCCCTAATGACTTTAATCCTGTTGAGGGTAAGGATTGGGTCTTATTCATCTTTTTTTAAGTAAAAGCAAAGGAAGTTTAGAGCTACAGAGTACAGGAAAATGGCTGTTTCATAGACAGCCGGGGTACCCCATAGGCAGAACAGCCCATATTCATCTTTACACCATGAACAGTTAGCATAGTGACAGACATAATTACCAATAGAAAGACTAAAATATAAAATGAAAATTCTGCACTTTCATCAGTGATAACCACTGAAAAAAAAAGACCCTGACTCAAAGAAACAATCCACAAATTTTTTCTACAACAATGTTGGAAAGAGATTTCTGCACCACCGTGAACCAAATACATCTATACTGTAATGCCAATAGCTTAAAGGGATATTCGGTATTGAATTTTAGTAGTCTCCCAATAATAAATAAATTTCCTCAATTGTGTCTCCATTATGCATTGAAAATGCCAGAGCCCCAGAAGATTCCATAACAATTGTCAAACTGAAGCCACTGAACGGATGGAAACCAAGGTGGGGTTTGATGTCCTACTTTGACAACTGTCTTACAGACTTGTTTGTGAACATGCACATTAGTTTAGAAAGAAGCACATTGAGTTTTGGAGGCCTGATGCAAATTAATTAATTAATTCAGCCTACAGCAACAACATCTATATCAAAGGACTGCAGTGGTGCCAGAATCATCAATATTTAAAACACGAGTTTCCATTTCATTTTATTTTTAGAGCATCGCTTTCAAGAATTTATTCAATGCCCTAATAATCTATGCTAATTTTCAGGTTGATATCAGGATCTTGGTATTTTTGGGCCCAAGCTAAGGGAGGGTTCATGTGAGTCTGCCTCTTCCCTAGATTGTCGGAAAAGCCCCCAAAATATTTTCCAAAGACTTTGATAATCAAATAGGTCTCGCCAACCATGTTGGTTCCCAATCTCTGCTACAGTCTGACCATGACCTTGCACCTGCAAACCTTAGCTTACTTCTTTTCCCCATGGACTCACTCCTAAGTTTCCATTTTAGGCAGAAGGATTTAAGAGACTTGTCAACACTCTGAGACTCAATCTTCTTATTGTTGGTTCCTTGGCTCCTGTTCTGATGACTTTCGGCCTTGGGACCAACATCCAAACCTGAAGACTGCTCTCTTTGCTCTATATCTGAAGACTTAGTGTTTTGCTCAAGCCTTGTCTGATCCTAGCACCCTAATCTTATCAGGGTAGGGGTTCTGCTTTGGTCTCACCAGATCCCTCCTCAGAAGGGAACCCGGTTCTTGGACATGACCCATTACACATGGCTCCGTTAACTCTCAACACACATTGCAGCAACAAGGTCTCCTCTCGAGTGTGTGAAGCGTGGCCTTTGCAGACTCTCCTATTGTCTTCCAAGAGAAAGGCTCTTGGAATTTTCTTTATACTGATGTACTGCTTCAGACTTCCCATCTCCTCCCAGCCAGGCAGCTGGGTTGCACCTTCCTGGTCTTCCAAGGTGGGGAGGGTCTAGCTCCATGCCTTAGTTCTTGCTGCCTCTGATTGGTCAACTTCCAGAAGCTAGACCATCCAGGTTCAATAAATGACAATGCTTACCTGGTGATAAAGTGTGCCTGGAGGTTTTAGATTTAGGGTGCATGTTTATAACATTGCTACATAAATTTCCAAAACATTATCTCAGTTGGCGATTACTAGGTGTAATGAATTGAATTGTGTCACCTACATATTCAAATCCTAACCTTCGGCACCTGTAAATATTATGCCTCTTTTTGGAAGTAGGGACTTTGCAGGTATAAGCATGTCAACAGGAGGTCATATTGGATTAGGGTTGACCCCAACACAACAACTGGAATCTTTTTATGATAAATTAGAAGAAGGTTTTGTTTTGTTTTGTTTGTGACTGAGTCTCACTCTGGTGCCTAGGCTGGAGTACAGTGGCATGATCTCGGTTCACTGCAACCTCTGCCTCCCAGGTTCAAGTGATTATCCTGTCTCGGCCTCCCAAGTAGCTGGTACTACAGGCGTGAGCCACCATGCCCAGCTATTTTTTTTTTTTTTTTTTTGAGACGGAGTCTCGCTGTGTCACCCAGGCTGGAGTGCAATGGCACGATCTCGGCTCACTGCAACCTCTGCCTCCCGGGTTCAAGCAATTCGCCCTGCCTCAGCCTCCCAAATAGCTGGGATTACAGGCACACACCACCAGGCCTAGCTAACTTTTGTATTTTTAGTAGAGACGAGGTTTCACCATGTTGGCCATGTTGGTCTCGAATTCCTGACCTCAGATGATCTGCCCTCCTCAGCCTCCCAAAGTGCTGGGATTACAGGCATGAGCCACGGCGCCCCCACCCCCATATATATATATACATATATATATATATGTATATATATATATGTGTGTGTATATATATATATATTTGTACATTTTAGTACAGACGAGGTTTTGCCATGTTGGCCAGGCTGTCCTCGAACTCCTGACCTCAGGTGATCCACCTGCCTTGGCCTCCCAAAGTGCTGGGACTACAGGCGTGAGCCACCACGCCCGGCCTTAGAGGAAGGTTTGAATATAGAAACACACCAAAAGAGCCCCAAGGGATGATGAGTTAAAGAGTGCAGTGATGCATCTACAAGACAAAGAATGCCAAGAATTTCCAGCCACCTCCAGAAGCTAGGAAAGGGGGAAGGAACGGATTCTTCCTCAGAGCCTCCAGAGGGAACCAACTGTGGAAACATCTTCATTTCCAACTTCTGAGCTTTAGGGCTGGGAAAGTATAAATATCCATTGTTTTAAGCAAATGGTCTTTGTGTTGATTTTTTTTTTTACAGTAGCCAGAAGAAACTAATATATTAGAGTAAAGGATGATTAAATGAGGCAGCTCTGGAGAAAGAATAATCATTTTATTCCCAATACATTCAGTTAGAAAGGCTTGATTCTGCAATGCTGGGCAATATGGTTTAAACTTCAGGTTTCTCCTTTCTCTTAATTGTGGGTTTTTGTGATGGTTAGTATTGAGTGTCAATTTGCTTGGATTGAAGGATGCAAAGTATTGTTCCTGGATGTGTCTGTGAGGGTGTTGCCAAAGGAGACTGACATTTGAGTCAGTGGACTGGGAGAGGGAGACTCAACCTCAATCTGGGTGGGCACCATCCAATCAGCTACCAGCCTGTTTAGAATACAGCAGGTAAAGGAACATGGAAGGACTAGAATGTCTGAGTCTTCCAACCTCCATCTTCCTCCTGTGCTGTATGCTTCCTGCCCTCGAACATCAGGCTCCAAGTTCTTCAGCTTTTGGACTCTTGGACTTACACCAGTGGTTTGCCAGGGGCTCTCGGGCCTTTGGCCACAGACTGAAGGCTGCACTGTCAGCCTCCCTACTTTTGAGGTTTTGGGACTCGGACTGGCTTCCTTTCTCCTTGGCTTGCAGATGGCCTGTTGTAGGACCTCACCTTGTGATTGTGTGAGTCAATACTTCTTAGTAAACTCCCCTTTATATATACATCTATCCTATTTGTTCTGTCCCTCTAGCGAACCCTGACTAATACAGTTTAGTCTTCCTAATTTAAAGAAAATGAAGAAACTATTTATGCTTTTGCCTTGAGTTATCATCCAGCCTAATGGCTTCCAGGAGCACCTTTATGTGCTGACCTCCAAATTTATATCTCCGGTCTGTTCCCCTCACCAAGCTGCAGAAACATGTACTCAACTGCCTTCCAGTAGCTGTTGTTTATGAGCAATGAATGTAGGTCATGATTCTTACAAGCATTTTATAAATTAACTCATGCCAGTCCTTAGAGGTACACATTGTTACTTCCTTCCCACTTTCCAGATAAAGAAACAGAGGCACAGAATGGTTACGTTCTTGTCCGAGTTCATACCACAGTAAATGAAGTATCAGGAAGTAAATTGATGTAAGATGGATATCAGTCACACTCCCTGTACCTGCACCAGACAAGCGTGGTTTAATATTAATTTATTTAATTTAATTAATATTAACTAAGCAGCATAGTTGCATTATGACTCAGCCCTTGGAGTCTTGACTCAATAGCTCAACTTTTCTTTTTTTTTAAAGAAATTTTTTTAGAGACGAGGGTCTCACTCTGTTATCCAGGCTTGAATGCAGTGGTACAATCACAGCTCACTGTAGCTTCCACCTCCTGGGCTCAAGCTGCCTCAGCCTTTTGAGTAGCTAGGACTGGAGGTGTGCACCACCATGCGTGGCTAATTATTTTCTTTATTTTTGTAGAAATGGAGTCTTGCTATGTTGCCCAGGTTGGTCTCCCACTCCTGTCCTCAAATTTTTCTCATGCTTCATCCTCCCAAAACTCTGAGATTATAGGCGTCAGCCACCACTGCACCCGGCTGACAACTTAACATTTCTATTGGTCAGCTTTCCATACTTGGTAGAGAGATGCCAATTCTCCATTTATATGAAGTGGTGATGCTCATTACACCCACTTCATAATGTTGCCTCAAAGATTAAATATCTGGCATGCATCAACAGCATAATAAGTGTTATCATGACTGCTATTATTATCATTTGGAGGACGTTAATAAAAATCACAATAATTATACTTATTATGGATTTTTTTTTTAGTATGATGTGTACAGGGAATGCTCATTATCTGCAGAGGACAAAGAGCATTCCAGGGTGTAGTCTTGACTCATAATAATAATCACAGAACTTTATTGTGGACAACAAGACAAACTGATTTCCAACCTCTTCCCTTTGTTGAAGCAGGGGGTTTATCATGGAAGAGAAAGAGTCAAAGGGGAGGGGTCTGCAGAGAGAAGGGGACCTGAGAACCACACAGAAATGGTACTGAGGGCCAATCTTAGAAGAGAGCCCAGAAGGTTCCTGAATAGATAGACTTAAAGTAGATATTAAAGAAAGAACATGGCCAGGCATGGTGGCTCACCCCTATAATCCCTGTGCTTTGGGAGGCTGAAATGGAGAATCACTTGGGTCCAGGATTTCAAGGCTAGCCTGGGTAACATAGCAAGACCCCATCTCTACAAGGGGAAGGCACCTTTAGTTCCAGCTACTCAGGAGGCTGAGGTGAGAGGATCGCTTGAGCCCAGGAGTTTGAGACAAGCCTGGGTGACATAGAAAGACCCCATTTCTACAAGGTAGCATGCACCTTTAGTTCCAGCTATTCAGGCTGAGGTGGGAGGATCACTTGAGTCCAAGAGTTCGAGGACATCCTGGACAACATAGTGAGATGCTCTATCTACAAGGTGGTAGGCACCATTAGTCCCAGCTACTCGGGAGGCTGAGGTGGAAGGATCACTTGAGCCCAGGAGTTCAAGGTTGCATTGAACTACTATTGTACCACTGAACTCGGAGTGAGACACTGTCTCTAAAAATAAAAAAGAAGGAAAGGAAAGAACACACCAAGAGAACCATGGTGAGAAGGACCTGCCTCTGTAAATTAAGACTAAACAGGTAAGGTCCCTGGAAAGTCTAGAACCCAACTGGTAGGTGCTATAAAAGTTACAGTATAAGGTTTTTGTGCTGAATTTTCCAACAAGATCTAGGGATATGTGCATCTGTATAACTTTAAACATCAGCTGCATCTACATGGTGAGGCACAAAACCAGCACAGAGTGTGGGGTTGGTCACAGTGAGTACAGGGAGTTTCAATGTCTAGGATCAGAGAAGACTGATTTCAGGAACTCCTGCAGCAATGGGACAGAAACACCATATGTGCGTTATTCACAATGTGTTCATTATGCAGCACTATTCACAATAGCATGTTCTTGTCTTGTAGGGAGGGCCCTATAATCATCTCTGTGTGCATTTTATAACTATTAGCAGCATTTCATTAGTAATAATATCGAGCTGGAAGTTGGTAGCTGTGTGCTGGTGTTTTGCCTCACCACACAGAAGCAGCTAATGTTTAAAGTTCTGCAGATGGATACATCCCTAGATCTTGTCAGAAAACACAGCACAAAAACTTAATACTGTAAATTTTATAGCAGGTACAATTTGGGATCTAGATATCTCGCTTTTATTTACACTAGATCATAACATCACAAGCATGATTTAGGAAATAAGCCTCCACACTTAAAAAGGATGAAGTCTAAGCAAAGTATGTTTATGGTGTTGGCTCTCAGAGATTATATAGTCTTTCTTATTCAATTTTTGAAAAGTTTTCTGCAACAGGCTTCTGATAATAACTTCATCTTTTAATGACAATGCTCTCCTAAATACTTTAAAGTTTCCAAATCAAAAGTGGATAGGTAATAAACACCTGGAAGGTAGAATGAATCTGATAATTATTTCTAGACTATTTCCAATTCTTAAAGTTGTGGACAACTATTGTTAATCTTCCATGAGACTTTAGAAACTGTATAAATAAGAAATGTAGGGTTTTCCTTCATTCCAAACAAACAATATAAGCTAAAAAGAGAAATTATATGATTGGTAAAGTAGGAAAATGTTACTTTATAAACATCAAGTGTTAAAATTAAGGAGACTTAAGGGGAGAGAAGGACATAAAGTGTTAGATGGTAATGTCCCCTGGCCAACTATTATATTTTTGGCCAAACATTATTAGATGCTATACACCAAGAGTCTACAATCTATATCCCAGGGCAAATCTGGCTGTAGTGTTATGACATTTATATATATTGGTTTTCATGCACAGTTTCTGGCTTATAACTCCTAAAATCCTTGGGATCTCCTAAGTGCTGTCTTTTATGTGTCTTTTGTCTGATAGGTTCAGGGTAGCACTGGTCACCAAAAAGACCAAGGCCGGATTAGAGGGTAGGGACTTTTAGCTGCATCCCCTACCTCCAGAGAGGGAAGATGGGCTGAAGATCAAGTTGATCACCAATGGCCAATGTTTTAATCAATCATGCCTACATCCTGAAGCATCCAGAAAAATCCCAAGGACAGGGTGTGGAGGGCTTCTGGAGAGCTGAACACGTGGAGGTCAACAGAAGGGGGATGAAGAGCTCATCCATGTATTGGCACAGTGTCACACCCCAATTCCACAGGGAAAGAACTCCTCACTCCAGACAGTTCCAGACTTCACCCTATGTGTCTTCATCTGGCTGTTTATCTGTATTCTTTAAAATATCCTTCTTAACAACCACTATACGTGTTTTTCTGAGTTCTGCGAGCCACTCTGACAAATTAATCAAACCCAAAGAGGAGATTGTGGGAACCACAACTTGAAGTCACTTGGTCAGAAGTACCGGAGGCCTGAACTTGTGACTGGGGGAAAGAAGAGGGTGGTCTATGGGACTGAGCCCTTAACCTGTGGGATCTGATGCTATCTCTGGGTAGAGAGTGTCAGAACTGAATTGGAGGACAACCAGATGGTGTCCACTGTTTTTTGTGTGAGTAAAAACCCTACACATTTGTCTTATTCTTCTGTGTTGATGATTGTTGTGGTGGTGAGAGCAGAGGAAAAACATGGTGACAGAATTTTTACCTACATACCGGCCCACAATTGCTTTGTGTAAATAAAGTTTTATTGGAACACAGATGTGCCCATTTGTTTAGATAATGTCTATGGCTGCTTTCAAGTCACAATAGCAGAGTTACATAGCTACAACAAAGTCGGATGGCCTGCAAAGCCTAACATATTTACAATTTGGTGTTTTACAGGAAAAGTGCACAGAGCCTTGGTGCTTTATATGCATCAGATTTAGTATTTCCAACAACCTGGATTAATAGTTGTTTGTGTCTGTAGTTTTAATCAGATGCTCAGAATAGTTTAATGACCCACCCAACACCAAACATAAGGGGGGTGGTTGTGTCATGATTTGAGGTCCTAACATTTTAATTCTAGAGCTTTCTTCTACACCTCTGAGAACAAAAGATTAGAAGGCTTCACCATGTAGAGGCAGGGATCTTCCAGTGTTGGATATATTTTGGGCTAGAGAAAAATTGTAGGTGGTAAAATGCTTCCATGTTATTGATGTCTAATAGATGGAGACTTGACAGGATACCAATGATGTGGGAGTTCTCATTCACATGCAGAGAAAATCTTTACATACCAGTTTTGTACACATGGAGTCACACAACCAGGGAGATAGGTACAGGCTTAGCCATTGCTCACTTGAAACATACCTTTACATTTGGAGAGTACTGGTCTTATAAATACCAACAGTATATTCACCAAAATCCAGGTACACAGATATTGATCAGGCCATGAGCTGCCAACATTATCTAGACAGCTGCTACATCATACTTGAGACAGTCTTGCATCCTGAAACCTCAAAAGAAGGGCTCCCTCATATTTTTGTGGGATAATGTGCAAACTTCGCTATGGTTTTTCATCTAACCATCACTAATCTTGAATACCTTGGAATACAAAAAAGTCAACCAAATCTTATTATTTTTAGTGTTAAATAATCTAAATTTCACCTTACTATTCAGGTTAATGTCAACTGGTAAAGAGATTTTGTTCTTTCTGATAGAGAAGCCAAAAACAGGCTGTCCTTCACAGTTCCACTCCTCTGTTTCTATTCATATAGCTCTCATTTCTAGATTTCCATGGTGAATCCACACATTAGCACTGTCAATTAGCACCAGGAGGTATACAAAGTCATCACTTGTTTTTAAAGATCTGTCCAGCTTTAAAATTTGTCCTAAAACATCAATGGGTTATGTGAATTCAAATAAAACTTATTTAAGCATTTGGTGGTATCCATAAATAAACAAATGTAAAGGACTTTTATGAGGTTTTGCACTTCTTTGACACCTAGCAAATACACAAAAGCTCAAGCTTGCATTAATACACTCTGAATTACAAGGTTTTTTCTCTTTATATAAAACAATGACTGTGTCTGCATCAGGAGGTAATTTTCACAGTTCAGCAATTTTTACTTGAACTTCTTTAGAGAAATACCAAGTCTAAGAATGATCAACTGAAAGCCAAGCGTTTGGGAGTCTACTGGGTGTAATCCATCATTATTGGATGAAAACCAGCATTACTTGCCTGGAAACCTGTCAGAACATTGAACCAAGCACACGAAGCAGACAGATTTCTCTTCTGTAAATTATGTTTCCTCATTGATTGACATCCTCAATATAAATGGTGGTCTTAATTTCTTTAGCTCTGTATTTAATAGATAATTATCCTTTATATAAATTAATCAACATAAATATTGCTGTAATAAGAAATCTTTATCCAGACTGTAATGTCCTTTATCAGGATACATGAGCTTGAGGGAATCACATCATTAAAAGATCAGAATATTACTGTCTAGACTGGTGTTCTCCAATAGAGCTCCCTGTGATGATGGAAATGTTCCATATTTATGAGGTGAAGGATCAAGGCCATCAGTCACACATGGATATTGATATAAGGTGGCTGATACATCTGGGAAATGAATTTTAAATTTTGTCTCTTTTTAAGTCCTAATTTTAGCTTAAATAGCCGTATTGGCTGATGGCTACTCAATTGGACAGAACAGAAGTTCTTCACCAGGTGACATTAACCTTAATAATAAGATAAAATTTAGATTATTTAACACTAAAAATAATTACATTTGGGTGGCTTTGGCGACTTTTTTTTTTTTTTTTTTTTTTTTTTTTTTTTTTTTTGTATTTCAAGATATCCAAGGTCAGTGATGGTTAGATTATGAATCATAGGTCCAGGCGCAGTGGCTCACACCTGTAATCCCAGTACTTTGGGAGTCTGAGGTGGGTGACTCATCTGAGGTCAGGAGTTCAAGACCAGCCTGGCCAACATGGTGAAATCCCGTCTCTACTAAAAATACAAAAATTAGCTGGGTATGGCAACGCACGCCTGTAGTCCCAAGGGAGGCTGAAACAGGAGAATCGATTGAACCTGGGAGGCGGAGGTTGCAGTGAGCTGAGATGATGCCACTGCACTCTAGCCTGGGCAACAGAGCGAGACTCCATCTCAAAAAAAAAAAAAGAGAAAAAGATTATGAATCATAGCTTAGTTTGCATATTATCCCATATAAGTATGAGGGAGCCCTTCTACTGGGGGTTCAGGAAGGCAGATTGTTTCAAGTATAATGGAGAGCTGTTTATGAAAAACTTTTATCATTGATACAGAAAAATGTCAGGAATTTTGGGGTATTAGTTCTCATGATATACCCAAATACTTGCTGTTTTTCAAAAGTTCAACTTTGTGGTAGGCTAAATAACATCCCCTCCTACCAGCATCCATGTTTTAATCTCCCAAACCTTTGATTATGCTATGTTACATGGCTTTTATAAGCTAAATCATGTGCTCCCCAAATTCACTTGCAGAGATCCTAACCCCTAGGACCTCAGAATATGGCTGTATTTGGATAGGTCCTTGAAAGAGGAATTTAAAATGAGGTTCAAAATCAGAATTTAAAATTTTAAATGAGGTTACTAGAGTGGGCCTTAATCCAATAGGATTAAGGAGAGGAGATTAGGACACAGACACACACAGAGGAAAGATTATATGAAGACACAGGGAGAAGATGGTGTCTACAAGCCAAGGAGAGAGACCTCCAGAGGAAGCAGCCCTGGCCACAGCTTGATCTTGGACTTCCAGCCTCCAGGACTGTGGGAGAATAAATATCTGTTGTTTAGGTCACCCAGTCTGTCGTACTTTGTTATGGTAGCCCACGCAAATTCATACAATGGCCAAAGGCTCTTTGTACACACCTATACCATGGCCTTTAAAATGGAAAGATTATATCCTGAATTATCTGGGTGAGCTCAATCTAATCACATGAGCCTTTAAAGGAAGAGAACCATTCCTGGCTGTGTTCAGAGAAATGCAGCAGAGAGGAGGCAGGAACAATTTGAAGCATGAGAAAAAGTAGGTCAGCTGTGGCTGGCTTTGAAGAAGGAGGAAGGTGGCTGTGAGCCAAGGAATGTGGGTAGCCTCTAGAATCTGAGAATAACCCTCAGCTGTCAGCCAGCTAGCAAAGGGGGACCTCCATTCTACATCACAAAGACCTGCATTTTGCCAAAAATCTCACTGAGCTTGGAAACAGATTTTCCCCAGAACCTCCAGATAAGACTCCAATCTAGGGATCACCTCGAGTTTGGCCTTGGTGAGACCTAGTTCAGAGAACCTGTTGAGCCACCTGCCACCTAGATGACTCCTCCTTTTCCTTCTTCTTTCTAAGAGACAGTGAGACATTCCCAGGCTGGAGTGCAATATTGTGATTATGGCTCACTGCAGCCTAGATCTCCTGGGCTCAAGCAATCCCCCCACCTCAGCCTCCCAAGTAGCTAGGACCACAGGCTTATACCACCATGCCTGGCCTTTTTTTTTTTTTTTTTTTTTTTTTTTTTTTTTTTTTTCGGTAGAGGCAAGTTCTCACTATGCTACCCAGGCTGACTTCTTATCTATAAAACTGACGGACAATACTTGAGATTTGCTTTAAGCTGCTAAGTGTGTGGTCACTGGTTACAACTGCAATAGAAAATAAACACACATCTAGATTATTGTTATTCAATAATAATAATTCCTGGCACCATCCATGCCAGTTAATTTACAGAGCACTTAAACTAACTAATTAGTAGGCAAACTACTGAGAGCACTGAGATTGTCTTCCTTTACTGGTAAAATCACTGATGCTTCCTTTTCATACTTTAGGCACATAGGAAGGTGACCAAATGCCAACATGCAAAGCATAGGCAAAGGTATTTTAAAGGGTTTTGTGCAAATTGCCAATTGCTCCTCTGGGTAAAATACTACTTTTGACAAGGACTCAACTCAAAGCAACCAAGGATGGCTACAGAGAGTTTTCAAAACCTCATTTACCCACACAACCTTAATGGTAGAGTGTGTGATAAATCTCAGTTCTCAAAGGACCAAGGCTCCAGTGGCAATCTTTTGTTCTTGACATTGTCCATGGAAGTCATAGTATTAGTTACAGCAAATTAGCTGCAACTCTGCAGATGAAGTGTTGATTTTTATTTCCCCCTGGGGTTGACTTGCGGCTTTCTCAGGCATTCTTCTTCTGGCTGCCTTGGCTTAGCAAGTTAACATACCATAAATATTTAAATTTAATTGTACTTTTGTGCTTTTGTTATTCACAAAAAAATCATTTAGCCCTAAAGAAATGCTCTAAACTTTTGAGTTCACTAGGTAACCACTAAAGCTGCAGCATAATAATTATGTGTGCCTTTCACTAGCAACGTTCAACAACACGATTTATCACTGACCTGCTATTTAATTTATCATAATAACACTTCATTCTGCAAATATTGATTTAGTGCTGACCATATCTCAGGAACTGTTGAGAGGCTGCATAGAAATAAAGATGAAGGAGCTACAATCTAGAGTTAAAGATAGGCCGGCAAAAAGTGCAATGTGTGCTCCAGGGAATAGAAGAGTGCAGGCGCTGTAGAGAAACACTGAAGCAGATGCAGCAAATGTGGCCAGGGAGGACTAGTAAAGGTTTCCTGGAAAAGGGAACTCATGCCTTCTCTTGGAGAATGAGTTGGAGATCTTCAAAAACATTCCGTGAGAAAAAGCAATATTCTCCAGTGGAGAGAATATTGAAAGAAAATACTAGGATGTGTAGACCAAAAAGGGACTGGGGCAGATCTCAGTCGATAAGAGGTTTATTTTGCCTAGGTTGAGGAGGCACACTGGAAAAAACATATCACAGGAACATCTGCGACCTGTGCTTATTCCAAAGGGGGTTTTGAGAAATTCAATATTTAAAGGTGAAAGAGCAAACAGAAGGGGAAGGGGGAAAGAAAAAAAAAAGGAAGATGGACAAGCAATGAGGCAAGTGGGTTGCATTCTTGTGAGGCTTTGATTAGTGCTCAGTGAATCTACATTTTACAGTGGAAAAGGGAGTAGAGGAAAAGTCAATCCTGCATTCATCCCTACTCTGTAAATCTACATTTAATATAGGATAAACATGTGGAAAGAGGGAGTAGAAGAAAAAGTCAGTCCCACATTTGTCTTGGGATGAGTGTAGGAATGATTTCTAGACTTGTCTTTGTCCCATACCTGGGAAGATAAGCCAGTAATTTACATTGTTAGGAAGAAATTCAGCAGAGTTTGGCTTTAGTGCTACTTTATACTGGGGATATGTATCCTGAAAGATTTAGGGGCTCACAAGGAATTTCCTTGTGAGCAATTTGTGAGAGAGGCCATCTGGGGAGATACATGGCCTTCTATAGTTGCAGGAACCTGGCTTATGGATGAGGCAATGACACAGGGCTGTGAAATTGCAGTTTTGGGAACAAAAGAAAGGCAGTTTTTGCATGACTCAGCTTCCAAGCTTCACTTTTCCCTTTGGTATGCTGAGTTTGGGGTCTTGAGATTATATTATCTTTCACAGAGGTAAATGCGTAGCATGGCATGAGTTTCAATACTGCTAAAGAAGAGTAGAACAGAACACAGAGTAGGTACAGCTACTATCTCAAGCCGTTTGCTGCATTTACTCTCTACCTCAAAGGAGAGGGATCTACATTTCTTCTTCTGAATCTGTATCTGAATTACAAGAAGAATCTGAATCTAAGGATCACATGGTTTAACACCTAGCATTGATTTCCCCCCATCTTGCCTCTGGCTTCTGCTATCATTCCATTGTTGGTTTGATTTTGGCTTTAGAGATTTCCCTGGACATGGGGCTAACTGCTCTCCATCTTGGTGGCACACTTCAAAGACGTCCTCCCAAGAGTCTTTCCCCTGGTTATTCACTCAAACACGACTCCAAAATCTGCCGTGAAGGGACCTTGCAGATGGAGTTAAGGTTACTCATTGGCAGACCTTAAACTAGAATATCCCGGAGTATGCAGGTAGTCCAGTGTCATCACATGAGCCCTTAAAAGTCCATGAGGCCCTAGAGAGATGTGTGGAAGAGGGAGGCAGAGTAAGAATGAGGCAGAGAGATTCCGAGCATGAACAGGACTTGACCCATCATTGCTGGCTTCAAAGGGAGCCATAAACAAGGAAATAGCAAGGACCCCTGGAAGTTGAGAACAGCTTGTCAATAAACAGAGATCTCCATTCTACAACTGCCTTCTCCCAAACCACCAGGATGATTTTGGAAACAATTCTCTGCTCAAGCTCCCAGAGAGGAAGACAGCCCTGCCTCCAATTTTATTTTCTTCTTGTGACTCAAAGGAGAGAACCAGCTGAGCCATACTATGCTAGGAGGTCCAATCCACAGAAATTGTGAGCTCATAAATGGATGTTGTTTTATGGCACTAAATTCATATTGATTTGTTACATTGACCTAGAAAAAGAAAATCCCATCTTCCAGAAATCCCTGGCAACATAAAATAAAAGTGGTTTCAAATAGTAGCTGAACACTGGGGGAAAACACCATGGAAATCCATCGTTTTGATGTCTGACCTCATATTGTACCATGAGGAATGTCATAAGAATTAAACCTCACTGAACACTCTACTAGACATATGCCTACACTGTTCCATTGCAACTCCACCAAAATTATGTCAGCCTTACCACTTACTCAGCTCTGAAACAGCATTCTATGTTTAGCAGTATCATATTGACAGGTATGGATGGAGTGTATCCCCTGTGCACCAAGAAAGAGGACGCAAATCATATAAGTAAACCATCAAGGTCATGACCATGGGGCTTTCCCATACAATGGGATGTAAATTTACCTTTACAGAAGGTCAATTTAAAAGACAACCAAATAATGAATGGGCATGAAGCTTTAGTTAAGCAATATGAATAAGTTGTAGAGATCTGCTATACCACATTGTACCCAGAGTCAACAACATTGTATTGCACACATACAAATTTGTCAGGTTAACTTTGTCAGGTTAAAAAATGTTAGGTTACCCGGGCATTGTGACTCAAGCCCGTAAGCTCAGCACTTTGCAAGGCCGAGGCAGGACGATCACTTAAACCTAGGAGTTCAAGAGTAGCCTGGGCAACGTAGGGAGACTTTCTCTTTACAAAAAATTGAAAAATGAAAACTAGCCAGGCTTCTGGTAGGTGCCTGTACTCCCAGCTACTCAGGAGGTTGAGACGGGAGGGTTGCTAGAGCTCCGAAGGTAAAGCCTGCAGTGAACTATGACTGTGCCACTGCACTGTAGCCTGGGCAAGACCCTGTCTCAAAAAAAAATTAGGTTAAAGTATACGTTATGTGAAAATTTTATGCTGTGTTAAATATATGTTATATTACTTTATGTTAAACATTTGCTCAGGTGGGATTTTTACTCCCAAACAGAAATGGAAACAATATTGCTGACAGGGAAAACAGCATGAGACTGAAGAAAAACTCCAGATACTTTAAGATATTGTAAGCCAGACAGTGGGGATGCTAGGGCTGAAAATATAGTTGAAGCAGGATTGGAAAGGTCTGTGGAGGATGAAAAACAGGAAATTGAGGAATGCCTTTCAACTAACAAGTGATTAGTCAAACCAATGGTTTAAAATAATTACTTGGTGTGGTCCTAAAATGTAAGAGGTACAGTATGGGGCAGAAAAAGAGCAAGATCATTGAGAGCAAGATCATTGAGGAGGCTACTTAGAAATTAAATTAAAGGAAGACAACTGGATTAATGGACATAAGATTAAAAGGGAGAAAAAAACTCATATGTGAGAAAACTTGCATTGAAAGAATAGATAGTAGTTAGGAACATAAATTGAAAGAGATTTAAATTCACTCATCATTCTTATAAAGAGGATTGGAAGTGACCTGGCCATTCCTAGTGATAGAGTACAATTAGAACCTGGGCCCTCCCGACCTCAACTCCTTCCACTACAATGAGAAAGACTGACTGAATTTGGTGGAAAAGGGAAGGCTTGGTGCAGAAAAAAAAGAAAAATTAGAAAGGGTTGGTTACCCATATACGACCTTCTTTACAATCAAGGAAAGAATGAGAATTTGTATTGTGTTGTATTTCAAGTTATCCACATGGGGAAGGCAGAGTTCTGAGATTTTGAAACATGCTGACCAACAAGAGAGATATGGTATTGATAGAGACAGGAGGGAGGGAAATTCTGGGCAGAAGAGGGCGGGTCCCCAGTGAGGGCCCCACCCTCAAGCCTAGAACTGAGGCCCAAAGTGAGAACTTACATTCCTGTTTTCCTGCTTGAATGTTGCCTTTTCCAAAACCACCCACAGCCTGCCGCATCCCCCAACCTGTGCCCATAAAAACCCCAGGCTCCACCAACAGAGAGAAGAAGAGGAGAAGCAGCTGGACATCAGAGGCTACTGTTGGACATTGAAGAGCAATAGCTTGAATTTAGAGGGATGGCTTGATGGTGTAGCTTCCAAAGATTACCTTCCTGCTCTGTCTCCTTTCTCAGCTCCCACTCCCACTGAGAGTCACCTCAATGGGCAATAAAATCTCCCATCTCCCATCCTCCACACTTACCATCTCCAACGTGTTCATGCGACCTCATTCCTACTGGATGCCGGACAAGAACTCGGGTGCCATAAGTGTGGTTGCAAAAGGCTGTCATACTGACTCTCCACTGTGCTGTGAACACTTAAGCCACCCATGGATGGCAAAACTAAAGCAGCACTGACTGTAACATTCCTTCTGGGGCTTCAGGGGTCATGGGCAGCCCCCCAGATGGTGCTGCAGGGCCAGCATGGAGTTTGTTCCTACTGGCACCCAAAAACATGCCCAAAAGCACCCCAGCTTCTGTACCCACTCACCTGTGTGCTCCCTCCCTTGAGGGGTTGAGCGCAGCAGGTACTAGTGAGTGGAGTTTGCCCCTGCTGGCACCCGTACACTCCAGTTCTCACCCGTGAAGGGGTCAGGGAAAATCTCCTGCTTCAGTATGGTACATAAGTAAGTGTGTGTGTGTGCCTGTGTGTGTCTGTGTCTGTGTGTGTGAAGAGAGACTTAGGGGTTAGGTAATCCATGGTGGTGAAATTAAGTGTGATTGGTGGGTCCATTCTAAGTGAGAACATCTAATTTCCTGTAGCAAAATTCTGCAGCTAAAATGAAGAAAAGTCCAATTACCTATAGCAACAAAATGAAACAAAACAAAACATTGTGTGTTTTACAAGATTTTCTGTTATTATATACTTCATGGCTACAGGCTACCTTCCTTACAGATTAAATTTTTAAAATTGCAGTTAACAGTTATAGATCAAGGAGAGTTCTTTCTTTCTTTCTCTCTCCCTTTTTCTTTTCTTTCTCTTTCTTTCTTTTTCTTTCTTTCTTTTTCTTTCTTTCTTTCCTTCCTTCCTTTTCTTTCTTTCTTTCTTCCTCCCTTCTTTTCTTTCTTTTTTCTTTCTCTTTCTTTCTTTCCTTCCTTCCTTTTCTTTCTTTCTTTCTTCCTCCCTTCTTTTCTTTCTTTCTTTCTTTCTCTTTCTTTCTTCCTCCCTTCCTTTCTTTCTCTCTCTCTCTCTTTCTTTCTTCTTTCCATAGAAGAAAGAAAATGGATACTAAAAAATAAGCATATCTTGTACAGTTTAAACTTTAAAAAGAAACTCAGCCCCCCACCTCACTGGCTTCTCTAGAGGACATCTTCCTTGTTCATCGTGTTCTTGTGGTGCTGGAGAATTCTTTTTTTTTTTTTTTTTTTTTTTGAGATGGGGTCTTACTCTGTCACCTAGGCTGGCACAATCAGGGCTCACTGCAGCCTCAACCTCCTGGGCTCAATCAATCCTCCCACCTCAGCCTCCCGAGCAGCTGGGACTACAGCTGCATGCCACCATGCCAGACTATTTTTTGTATTTTTTTACAGCTATGGGATGTTTCTATGTTGCTCAGGCTGGTCTCCAACTCCTGGGCTCAAGTGATCCACCCACCTTGGCCTCCCAAAGTGCCGGGATTACAGGTGTGAGCCATCGTGCTTGGCCAAGAGAAACATACTATATTCTTTAACCTCCTTTACCCGCCTCACTCCAAAGAGAATTCCTCAATACAAGATGCTACTTCTCAACAAACTTTTTCCTTCCTAAGACATATTTACCAAATACCATAATTGCTTTAAAATTTATAAACAAGGCTTGCTTAAATTTTAGTTCATTATTTCCAGTGTTTATATTTCTGTGCTTAAGGTCTAAGTAAGAGAGCCTCAGATTCTCCATTGCAAATTAAATGGGATTCGAAATGTTTATGGCATTTTTTAATTGTTTAAAGATACTTATGCTTTCATATTTCAATTTGACTTTAAGTAACTTTACCTGAGACTGATGAGTTAATTCGATTTTTTTTTCCAGATAACGTGTGCCATCTGACACATAGCCTCCTGGATCTCTGCCTCTAATTTATTTATTTTGGCAAAAGCACCATGTACTAGTAACCTATTGCTTTTTTTTTTAAGAACCAGGGTTTTACTCTATCACCCAGGGTGGAGTGTGGTGGCACAATCATAGCTCACTGCAGTCTCAAACTCCTGAGCTGAAGCAATCCTCCCACCTCAGCCTCCTAAGTAGCTAGGACTAGAGGTGTGTACCACCATGCCTAGCTTTTTTTTTTTTTTTATTTTTCAGAGATGGAGTCTCACTATGTTGCCTAGACTGATCTTGAACTCCTCAACAATCCTCTTGCCTCAGCCTCCCAAAGTGCTGGGATTACAAGTGTGAGCCACCGCACCCAGCCACCTATTGCTACATAACCTAATTATCCCCAAATTCGGCAGCTTAAAACAACAGCATTAATTATCTCACTATTTATGTAGTTCAGGAGTCCAGGCACAGCTTAGCTGGGTCTTCTGGTTCAGAATCTCTTAGAAGTATCAGCCAGCTCTATAGTTATCTCAAATCTCCACTGGAAATCTTTCAGGCTCTCTTACGGGGTGGTTGGGAGGATTCATTTTCTTGCAGGCTGGAGGACTGCAGGCCTCAAATGCTCACTGGTGTTAGCTAGAGATCACCTTTATTCCTTGCCAGTTTGTGTAGTGCTACATGGCGGCTGGCTTCACCAGAATGACTAAGTGAGAGGGCAAGAAAGGATGCAGTGGTGAGATAGAAGTCATGGCATTTGCTATTTTATAATTTAACCTCAGAATAAGTGTCCTATCCCACACTTCTATTCAGTAGAAGCCAATCTAGCCCACAGTCAATACACAATGGCGTGAAGATCAGGAGGTGGGGATCATTGAGGGTCACTTCCAAAGTTGGCTATGACACCCCACTCTTGCAAGCAATCTGTGGTTCTACTAAGATTTGACTTGGAGAGGTTAGACAGGTGGACAATCACAGAGAAGGCAATTAACAAGTTCAAAACCTGCTTTACATCATGCAATATTCCCAAGTAACAAACCTGCATGTGTACCCCCAGAATCTAAAATAAAAGTTGGAAAGAAAACCTGCTCGTGACTATTTAAGAAAAAAACAAGTCCCTAGTTTACCCAAACCCCAAGGATTTCCTAGCTTCATGTTTCTCAGTTATTTCTCTCTTCTCTTCTCTTTCCATCATTTCTCAACACAAGGATTGATCAGCAAGTTCTCAAAAATATTGTTTTCTTATACATATATTTAACTTTCCACAGCTTCTGCCAAAATTTTGCACCTGAAAATTTACTTGGGGTTTGGAGCCAGCCAGAAGGTCTTCTCTTTCCCAGTCTCCATCCTTAGCAGGTGGTTTTGACAATAGAAGATACATTATTTCTAGCTCTTATATCCATTTCTTGTCTTCTTAACACTGAAAGGACAACATATGTATGTATATATGTGCATATATATACACACATGCATACAGATTGAAGAATGAATTTGAAAAACTAGGTCAGCCCCCTAGAAGCAGGCACATTTTAAAGACAAGGAAACTGAAATTAAGTTACTCCAAGTTAAAGGGTCAATGAGTCAATTAGAACAGTGTTGTTCCAACTTATTCCTGAGAACTCTTGTTTAAGGGAGGTATTTCAGGTGTCCTGAAAGCATTTGATACAAATATGTGAAAACGAAAGTTGAAGAAAGAATGAACCCACCATAAAATTGCTTCTAAATGACACATTTGTTAAAGAAACTGTATTGTTTTTTACTGATTGGCTTTATTAAGAAACAGTCATAAATGTAAACTAAAAAATCAATGTCTTGATCAAATACTGTATTTACTATTTTATATGTTGATCATATGCAAATGGATTCATTTTTGCAGCCGGTGAAGAACCAAGAGAGACACTCAATCTTGGAGTTATGTATCTTTCCCTGAGTAGCAACGCTTCTGGTTCTTGCGTATAGTTATCCAAAACAATAAAGCGGAATGGTGAGCTTTGCTTGGGAAGTTAGTTAGAGCAAGTGTTACCCTTTGTCCCCATAGAGCAATGGGCATTTACGCCAAGCCATAAACATCTTTTATAAGCCTTGCAGGTCTATGTCTTGCAGGTGTTAGCACGCAAAGTCTTTGGCTAAAAAAAGAAATCAGGGACTAAGGAATGTCACCCATTCCGATGGCCAGTGTTTGCCTGGCAGAACATTGTCTCAAAGGCTGCCTTCAACAGTTTTTGTGGTAGGGTAATAACTTTATTAAAATAAAATTCATAAATCCCACAATTCACCCCCTGAAATGTACAATCGCATGGTTTTGAGGATATTCACAGGCTTGTGTAACCATCACTACAATCAACTTTAGAACATTTTTATCACTCTAAAAAAGAAACTGTGCCCTGTCCCTTGGTCATCCCCTCCTAAGTTCCTCCATCCACCCCCACAACCTTAGGCAACTACTAATCTCATTCTATGTCTATATGGATTTGTCTGTGTTAGACATTTCGTGAATGGAATCATACAATATTTATCCTTTTTTATGATGGACTTACCCTTAGCATATCGTCATCAGGGTCTGTCCATATTGTAGCTTGTATTCATTCTTTCACTCCTTTTTATGGCCAAATACTATACCATTGTATGTATATAGCACATTTTTATATCCGTTTATGAGTCAATGGACATCTGGGCTGTTTGCAGCTTTCACAGGTCATTTTTATACAGGACAAATTTCTCCTTCTGATGTGAACCAGCCATGCATGATTTTACTACCATCGTTCCCACAGGCAATACCCAAGTAAACTCAGAAGGGTGTGAGAGATGAAGGGCTTGCGTGCTACAGAGTGTGAAGTCAGATTTCCATTGGACATCTCTTCATACTGGTGCATGCGTTCTTACTAAACAAAGGTAACATCACAGCCATGGGAACAACTGAACTCTTTGGATATGGGCAGTTAAAACAGAATCAGACTCCGAGGGCAGAATATGGAGAATGTTGCATACAGGAGTCAGAGTTTGGGTGAAAGAAAAATTTTACAGAAGAGGAAAGGTAATAAAATATACTACTACTATTTCATAGATACTGGTGGGCATCAGGCAAAAGTGGGATGATGATTTTAACAAGAAGAAAATGAACTAGAAGTCAGAAAAATTGTGGCCAAGTTTTCCCTCCTCCTAGTTTAAAAAATAGAAGTTAATTTATAAGATTCCTATGCAGCCATAAAAAATGATGAGTTCGTATCCTTTGTAGGGACATGGATGAAGCTGGAAACCATCATTCTCAGCAAACTATCGCAACGACAAAAAACCAAACACCGCATGTTCTCACTCATAGGTGGGAATTGAACAATGAGAACACATGGACACAGGAAGGGGAACATCACACTCTGGGGACTGTTGTGGGGTGGGGGGAGGGGGGAGGGATAGCATTAGGAGATATACCTAATGCTAAATGACGAGTTAATGGGTGCAGCACACCAACATGGCACATGTATACATATGTAACAAACCTGCACGTTGTGCACATGTACCCTAAAACTTAAAGTATAATAATAATAAAATAAAAAAAAAGATTCCTGTGACTCAATACTAGAGGTGTTAATGATGATTCTGGGAAAAAATAATCCTTGGAGAAGCAACTCATTAAAGAATACAAAAATTGTATTTTTCCTAAAGGATGACCTTTTCTGCAGAGTTCTTAGTTATTTAGCCTGCCAGTTCCCCAAATCTTTTCCTTGTATTTGTTTTCTGTTGAAAGTACCATCATCTGACCAAACCTATCCACTGAAAAGTGTACATTTATTCTACATATAATGAATTAGTATTTGCTCTTATTTCATTCCACTTCATGAACTTCTCACTTTTTAGCAGCTTCTAAGAAATCACTTGATGCTTTAATTTCTGTATATATAAGTGCTTATGTACATAAAAATGTAATTCTACATAGATGCATGATGTATTACTTAATGCACCACTTTTAAACAAATGGACCCAAACTATACATCCAAGTGTTATTTATGAATGTCATGTTACTACTATTTTTGAAGTTCTTTAGGAGGAATAACTTCTACTGTTCTATATAGCATTGTAGGATGCCTGTAGTTAACGATAATATATGATATCATTTCAAATAGCTGGAATGAGAATATTGAACATTTCCAACACAAAGAAATGATAAATGTTTGGGGAGCTGGGTATGTTTGGGAAGCTAATGACCTTGATCTTATCACTATACATTATTTGTATGGAAACATCACTGTGGACCCCATGAATTTGCCAATTAGGAAAATCAAATTAAAAAAAACAAGATAACATACGACATACCAAAAACCATCCATCTTCTTGTTTCAAGAATATCTGAATTTTAACAATGACAGTACTTCCCCGTTTTCTGGTATTTGTTATGTCTGGTTCCTGTATCACATTATAAGTCCCATCATTTATGTTGACCTTCACTAATGCACAGCACCTTTACATGTGTTGTGTTAGCTCATTACCAGGCATATAAGAAAACTGAGGCAGGGAGATTTGGTTACTTGCTCCCTGTCCCATGATCATGAGTCTTTGAGCTATATCTGAGCTCATAGCCTTTGTCAAATTTTCCAACTCTCTTTCTATTCGCTCCCTACTGTGCCATGCTGCCATTTTGATAACTCACCATATTCACAGGGGTTGGCTTTGAATGCATTTGGTTATTTCCCAGAATGAAAGCCACTGTCGGAGACTAGAAAAAAATAATTAGTGAGGATTTAAAAAAAAAATCAGTTTCTATGTCTGCAAACACCTGGAATTGTATTATAATATATAGACAATATGGTGCAACCAAATCCTAGGTATAGCTGGGCAGGGAAGCGGTGCTACAGGAAGTACTTCATAACTTTCCATTACTCCATAACTCTCTGTGAGAACTGGATTTGCATTTGATCCCCTTCCCATGTTTTTATTTTGAAAAATGTCAAATCTGCAGAAAAGTTGAAATAGTAATACAATAAATACCACTATACCCTTCATTAAGATTTACTAATTATTATTTTACCATTTTCTCACATTTGCTTTCTCTCTCTACTATTTTTGCTTATGCACTCTCTAGTCGATATTATATATGTATCCACAAATACATATATAATACACATATATAAATTAATATAGAATGCATAAATATAATGCATATATATATAGTCACAACCTTCTGAATTACTTGAAAGTAAGGACACTTTACTGATACTTTAGCGTGTATCACCTAAGAACAGAGACATACTTCTGTGTAACCATAATATAATTATCACATTGAAGACATTTAAGATTCATACAATAATATTATCTATTGTACCATCCCATATTAAAAAGTGCCCCTTGTCACAAAAATCTCTTTTCTCCATATCTAAATTCAGGCATCCTTTAATGAACATGCTTTGCATTTATTTGCAATAGGCTTTTGCAAATCTAGAATTGCTTCTCCACATTTTTGGTTCATTGTTTCATAGAATTGACATTTTTAAGAGTCCATGCTAGTTGTTTCATAAAATACTGAATTTGTATTCAATCCAGTATTTGTCTTATTGCTTCCTCATGATTACATTCAGGTGAAGCTCTTTGGTAAGAACATGACTTAGGTGATCTAGAGCAAATTACATCCGGAGTCAGATAATGTTCGTTTCTGCATTTGTTCTAAAGGATTCTTTAATTTAAGATATATTATAATATATACGTGTATTCACATGTGTATATATGTGTGTATACATATATGTGTATATATGTGTGTATACATATATGTGTATATATGTGTGTATACATATATGTGTATATATGTGTGTATACATATATGTGTATATATGTGTACACATGTGCATATGTGTATACATATGTCTACATATATGTGTTCATTCATGTGTGTACATATGTTTGTGTTTATACATATGTAACATGTGTACATATATTTGGGTTTATACATGTGTGCATACAAATTTGCATATACACATGTGTATATGTGTGTTTACATGTGTGTATATGTGTATATACATAACTGTGTATTTATGAGACTAACATTGGAAAGAGATGCTGGGGAAATTAGATTCTGATACAATTACTTTTTTATATCTTTATGTCATACATAAAAAAGAAAAGAAATACCAGAATAATTTTATTAAATAACACACTGACCCAGTCTTGGTGAAAAATTGACTGACTCTGAAACAGGTTTCAATATTTTCTAGTCAAAATGTACAAAGAGAGAAAAGAGCATGGACACAGTTGTGGTGATCTAAAGATACACTCAACTTGTAGCTCAGTATTAGAAATCTCAAGGTCTCCAGGTGACTCTTACTGTACCAAATTGGTATGATTTCCTTTAAGACCTAAATGTCACTTGCACACACCTCTAAGAAGTTTCCAAAACTCAAAATACAAGCAGAACTGAACTGTCCTTTTAGATCAACCTGAAATCCAGGCACCTTTTTTGGAAGATTGCTGTAAGGATTTCATAACAAATAAACAATGGCTAGCCCAGGACATGGCTGGAAAGATAGGTTCAATATATGCCCCTCCCTTTTCAAATTCTTCAGCATCTATCCTAAGACAGTTTACAATCTATAGTATTACTGGAGAGTTGCATGTTATGTTGTAAAGAGAGCAGGGGAAAAAAAGAAAAGGGACAAGTTGGTTTACACCAATCAAACATGAAAAATTCAGATCTTGCTATCCTCATGTGAACAATGATATATTAATATATTTGATAACATGTCCACACATTCATCAGAAACTCAAATATTGGACGTGCAAAATCCTGTGGTTCATTCACAATGTTCAAATAGTAAAGAAAGACACCCTCAGAAAACCTAACTATGTAGCAGCTAAATAAAATCTTTTTTGTTAACAATCTATATTGCGGCTTTATTACTAAAGCAGCTATGTTAAATTTAAATAATTACAAAGATAATTTCTATAGCTCAGTGTTCCCATTTTTGAGGGAAAAACAGAAGTGTTTCACATTACATGTTGTTTAGACAACATGCCCCTAAATGCATACTAAAAATGCCAAAATTCCTGCAACTTTACACTTATAAAAATGTGTGTGATGTGATTTATTCCTTCTAAATACTTATCATTGTGTGTTTATTTTCATGACCAATTCTTGACTCAGAGAGGTCACTAAGCATTCATTTAAGTCACACATTAAAATATCCTCTAGACTGAAGATAGCATTGGCTGAATTATTTTAAAAGAAAATACATTATTTCTAAAGCTCTTTTCTAGTGCCACAGCCTGCAGAATGTCATGCTTTCCGTCTGTTTTTTCCTTTATGATTTCCTCCCAGTCAAAATGTAGAAATGTTGACCACCACAGGCTCAACCATCCTTATTCAATCTTACCTATTCTTCAGGCTATCATGTCTTCAATTCACTTTTCTATGTTATTGATTTTCCAGTGTAACTGTGGTACTGGTATTTTTCATTCCTTGTTGGAGGTCACCTTCGTTTAAGAATTGAATAGCCAAAGCAGTTTTAAGTACCTTTATCTTTTCATGAAGAACACGATTTTTTTTTAAAGTCGCAAGATCAGAATTAATGTTTGATCTCTAAGCTGCAAGTCTTCATGTTATATTAACTATAACAGGGTGCTGATGGAGGATGGAGTTATCATTCCGAGAGAGAATCGTGTCCTAAGGAAAAAGCCCATGTTTTGCTCTTAAAAAAGTAAATTCTTTTTCTTTCTGTAAGCCTTTTAAATCCAAAATTAGTTAGTTTACACTTTGGAAGTGTTTCAATAGATTCATACTGATTTTCTTGAAATTTCAAGCTCCATATGTGTCTTGCTAAGCCTTTTTCATCAAATAGTCTACTCCACTATCTGAAAGAAAAAGTTTTCATTTGTGGATTCTAAGATTTAGACTTTACAATATCGTTTTTGTTATTCCCATGGCATTAATAGGGAATGCTTTCACACAAAAGTTAAAAAGTGGGTTACTCTACCAACCACGTAAGATTGTTACAGATATAAGTCAAATAATATTTGTAAGGAAGCTATTGTGTACAAAACATTGTTCTTGTTCCACCTCCTTAAGGGTATAAATTGCACCCACCTTTGTGTTTTGTACAATGCTATGTAGCTAGAAGGAGCTCAGTAATTACACGTCATTGCATCCGTTGATTTTAAGAATTGATTAAACATCAACCCAGTAAATTACGCCTCATCAATTTTCAAATTGCACAAAATAAAATGTCAATCTGCCATCTCCTTTATCAATTGCGAGACTCAGGTTCTTATGGAAGAACAGATTAGGGCATTTACAATGTCTTTTGACAACTTCCTTTAAAAGAAGTCTTAAATCATTTCAAGCCAAAAATATATCATCTCTCTTCTTCCATAACCAGACCTCCAGTTACTCAGTGACTCTTACAATGCTTGAGATGATTCCTGTTTCAGTCTCTTCCCTAGATAAACCCCGTACCCACCCACCATTTGCCCTTAGGCTACATTTTTCTTTTAAGTAAAAACCAGTCAAGGGACGGGAAGGAATCTCATTTTTGTGCCAAGGAATTCCTGGGCTGGTAGAGAAACTGTCAGGTTCTCCTGAGTGTGTGCGAATAAATTAATTCACTTTACCATTGTGGAAATGGCCGGGGAGGCTTGTTTTTCCTCCAGCTGGAGAGAGGCAGTTAATTTCAGCTCAATGAATTGAGTATTGGATCTGGAAGCACAGCCCACTCCGCCGGCGTTCGTGAACAAATAATCCTTCTGCAGAAATGGCAGGTAATTGAGTTGGTGCCGATGGGGTATCAAAGCGGCGCTGCCAGAGTTCAAGTGTCTACTAAATTTTTCCCAAAGTGGAAACTGCACGAATGATCACTTTCCTAGGTATCCTTCCCGGCATTTGGGGCCCTGCTGTTTATGTTAAAGATGGCTTCTACCATAGGCAACCTGACTGAGGAGAAGGGACAAATGGAAAGGAAAGAGTCTTATTAGATATCACCCTTGTAAACAGGATGACATCTGCTTCCCTATACTCTTTCATTATTCTTTTAAATTAAGTTAGGGGATCTTACATTGCTTTTCTTAGCCAGGTGCAGTGGCTCACATCTGTAATCCCAGCACTTTGGGAAGCTGAGGCACACAGATTACTTGAGGTCAGGAGTTCGAGACCAGCCTGGCCAACATGGTGAAACCCAGTCTCTACTAAAAATACAAAAATTAGCCGGGTATGGTGATGCATGCCTGTAGTCCCAGCTACTTGGGAGGCTGAGGTGGGAGGATCACTTGAACATGGGAGGCAGAGTTTGCAGTGAGCCGAGGTGGTGCCACTGCACTCCAACCTGGGCAATAGAGTGAGACAGTGTCTCAAAATAATAATAATAACAATAATAATAATAATAATAATGATAAGTAAATAAATAAATTGCTTTTCTTACCAAATGCATCAAATGCATAATATGCTTCACAAACAGATGTAGCCTTATTAGTATTTTTATTTTTCTTTCTTTCTTTTTTTTTTTAGACAGGGGCCTGCCCTGTTGCCCAAGCTGGAGTGCAGTGGCATGATCATACCTCACTACAGCCTCAATTTCCTGGGGTCAAGTGATCCTCCTGCCTCAGCCTCTCAAGTAGCTGGGACTGCAGGTACATACCACCGTATACAGCTAATTTTTTATTTTTTGTAGAGACAAGGTCTCGCTATGTTGCCCAGGCTGGTCTCAAATTACTGGGCTCAACTGATTTTGCCACTTCTGCCTCCCAAACTGCTGGTATTACAGGCAAGAGCCACTGTGCCCAACCCTTAATAGTATTTTTATAGTAGATGTGGAAACATTTGGTCCATGGATCTGAGTCTAACTTTCAATTCTCTCCCTTAATAACAATAGGTCTTTAAGTTAATCACTTATTTCCTCTGAGCCTTAGCTTTTCAATTTGTAAAGTAGACATAGTAATATCCATTATTATTACATACTAGTGTCATAATAAAATGTATGTGTTTAAAATAAAGAATGAAGAGACTGGGTGCAGTGGCTCACGCCTGTAATCCCAGCATTTTGGGAGGCTGAAACAGACAGATCACCTGAGGTCAGGAGTTCGAGATCAACCTGGTCAACATGGCGAAACCCCCTCTCTACTAAAAATACAAACAATTAGCCGGGTGTGGTGGCACATGCCTGTAATCCCAGCTACTTGGGGAGCTGAGGCAGGAGAATCGCTTGAACCGGGGAGGCAGAGGTTGCAGTGAGCAGAGATGGCACCACTGCACTCCAGCCTGGGCAACAGAGTGAGGCTCCATCTCAAAAAATAAATAAATAAATAAAAATAAAATAAAGAATAAAGAATTCACATTATAGTTAAGCAAAATCAACTGAAGAATGCCCCCATTGGAATTTTAACCTTAAAGGGTTGCCAGGGAAAAGATCTTCTTTTCACACTATTGATTTTATCAAAAGCCAACACAGACTATGCTTCGTTAAATAAATAAATAAATAAATAAATAAATAAATAAATAAAAAGAACACAAAAGCCTTTTTATTAGAATAAAATTTGACCATGGATATTTGCAGGCAGATATATCTGTATATGTGCACTTAATTATTAATGTCTAGAATCTAGAGCAGTTGTGGTCAAACTGTGACCCTCCACCTGCTTTTCTGTAAATAAAGTTTTACTGGAACACAGCCAGGTCCATTTGTTCATCTATCATCTATGGCACATTCACACTACAACAGCATAGTGGAGTCATTGTGGCAGAAACTATGTCCCACAAAGCCAAAAACACTTGCTATCCAGCCCTTTCCAGAAAAAAGTTGACAAACCCTCATCCAGAGTTCATACACATTTTTCTTCTCAAGAAGTTTTCACTTGATGGAAATCATCCGAAACCTTCCGAGTTGCTCAGATAGGGAAAACTGACCATAAAACCAAGCCAGATTATTATGATTATTACTTAAAATAGATCTCTCCCAGCTGGAAAAATTATAAAGACCAAAATGCCACTATGCAGATTCAGCCTAGAGCCTAAGTAACTGGACATCTTGGGAGAGAAGCCTTGAGTAAAAGTCAGATAAAACCAGCCAGGAAGCTCATTTGTCTGCTTTATCTTTGTTATTGTTTCCCTGTATCAGGAAGAACAACACATGACGACGACCTAAAGCTAAAGACAAAAGCAGGGAAAGCAAGTAGCGGATAAACATTTCAGATGGTAAATGTATCTCTGATTGAAAATTATCCTGAAGATACATGCTCAAGATGTTTGCTCTCCTATTTCCTGAACAGGGAGTAAAGGAGAAAAATGAAGCATATTTCTAGATGCTTTTAATTTCCTTAAAACGTATGAAACATTTCTAAATTGACCTTCTCAAGTACACAAAGCTCTCCACAATCTAGGATCCTGGAATCCTTTCTCTCAATTTTGTCTAAATTACTGGATTCTTTGAATCTCCATAATGTTGGATTAGTTTATCACTTAGTGTCTTTGCACGCCTTGGAGTGCCTCACCCCAGATCCCCTCCTCCCCATTCTCCAGCTCTGTTTTGCATCATAGGGAGCCTAAGCCATGCAGACACTATTTTCAAAGATTCATGTCACCAGGCTTCCTGCTAGAATGCACCAGCAGGAGATTCGCTGATGGGAAAAAGGGGAAATCCAGAATATTTCTCACCCCTCTTATAATGTACCTTCTCCATGCATGGCTCAAAATCCTGCTCTTTTTACTGTTGCAGCCTCCATTGAGTTTATTAACATCGCCTTCTCCGTTTGACCATCAGGTATAGTGTTGGTGTCAGCTTTCCACTGTTACTGGGCTCTGAATTCCCTCACTCTGTTCACGTTGACAGCACTTGTGTTATAAATCCCTTCTATCCATTTCCCTCTATGGTACAATCAGTGGTACAATTGCCTCTGTTCCTGGTTGGCTCCTAACTGATACATCACCTTGCTTTTGTGATAATCATTTGGGTGCATTTCTTAAACTTGGCTTCCCCCTTCTATAACCATCTTAAGGATCTATCTGTGTCTGACCATCTTTGTGTATTCCACAGTATCCAGAACACAGCTCAGCACATTGTAGCTGTGCGATAATTATTTATTGAATTAATTTTGGTTGAAATGCTCACGGTGGTCAAAGACTCAAGGGGATAAGACGACTCATTGTCTTACTGGCAGTATTATTTTCTAAACTGTGGACTGGTAGAAACCACCAGCATTCTGCAAATGTATACTGCACTTATTGGATGAAGAAGGGATCACAGCTAAACTGAGAAATCAAGAGTTTGATGGACTGAGAAACCCCACTGGAGATTGATCGCACACAGCCATCAGAAACTGATAACTATTTCTATGCATTATTTCAGTGCACAATTCCTAATACAAGCATAGGAAGACACTTTTCTCATTGGACAATCATCTGATGTACATCATTCTCTTATATTCTGTATTAGGCAACTCAGATATCTGTAATATCTGTAAATTTACATATCTGTAAATATACCTGTAAATTCGACCTTTTGCTTTGTATTTCATGGCTACATTGAAAAAGTCTCCCAAGCTAGTTAAACAAGACATATTTCCTTTATCTATAAGGAACACTTGGTGCTTGCAGCCATCACAACTTGAGTTTACCCCGTGTGCTTGTCTGAGCAACACTAATTTTGGGGCTTCTTTAAGTGGGCTTACATCTACAGTTTTGTCACTCCTTTCTTAAAGTATCAGAAGAGGAGAAGATGAGTTAAAGCAGTCCAGTGAAAAACATCCTGCTTGTAGATAGTAAAGTTTGAATCCTATCTCCACTGTTAGCTAGCTCTGTGATCTTCAGGGAAGTTACTCAAGTGTGGTATCTTCATCCTTAGAGTGAGTGTGGTGGTAACTATGTTAGATAGTGTGCTGGGATTGAAAGGAGATGACACACGTGAAAACTTACAGCACAGGATTTCACATATGAGTTCCACAGAGGACACTGGCATACGCTGGCCTCACTCTGCATAGAATACAATCATTTCTGGGTAGCCCACTCTGCTGAGACCCACATTAAGAAAGACATATTACATTTTTGCTTCCTCTTCAACTCTTTCCCATTTCTCAATGGCAAATGGGGCATGTCCCAGAAGGAACCACCCCAGCAGAAATTACTTTTCTCATCTTAAACAATAAAATTAGATTTTTAACCTGGGTCCATAATGTAATTGGAGTCCCTATGATGTGTCTCCTGTGTGTATGTGGGGTTTTCTCTTGAAGGAATATTAAACTATCCATGAAATACATTAACTGGGTCCATAGCACCAAAAATTGTAAAACCACTACTGATATTCATTTTCCTTACTAAATCCAGTTATGGGTGAGCTCCAAAATACTCAACAATTTTATAATGTGAATTTTAGTTACAGGCCATTTTTTTTTGAGAGACAGTCTCGCTGTGTTGCCCAGGCTGAAGTCCAGTGACACCATCATGGCTCACTGCAGCTTTGACCTCCCAGGATCAGATTATACTCCCACCTCAGCCTCTCAAGTACCCGGGACTACTGGCATGCACCCCCATAATCAGCTAATTTTTTTTTTTGTAGATACAGGATTGCACTATGTTGCCCAGGCTGGTCTCAAATTCCTGGGCCCAAGCAATCCACCAACCTCAGCCTCCCAAAATGCTGGGATTACAGGCATGAGCCACCATGCCCAGCCTACAGGCCATTTTCAAGAACTATGCTACATTTTCTCTTTTTTTGTGTTGTTTTCCTTAACCTCATTGAGGGGGATAACAGCTGTTTGAAAGAACACATAGAAACAGCGCTAAGAGATTGCCTTTCATGTTCTTACAGAACTGCATTTCATTCTTAAGGATTCCCAAAAATAAAGACCAGCAAGACTTCCTCTGCACTCATTAGCAGAGCTGTCATCCAGTTATCCTACTAGACTTAGATTCCATTACTTTCTATCATATATTATATGTTTCAGATGAACAACACATCTTAGGGCTTAGAGAATAAGCTATAAAATGCCCTGGATCTTTGACCTTCAATGTGACCTTCTCCTGGAAACCTTGTTTCCCACAATCTAGTTACTGAGCTCATGCGTCATCAGGGGGACCTGATCAAAATTCTTATCTCAATAGACTTTACTAATTTTCTGTAGTCAGAGTACAGAATACTTTTCTCCAAGCTTCTATGAAATGCATGTTGTGTTGTCCTTATGGTCCTATTGGACCATTAAGTTCCTGAAAATAAGGTCCTCTTCTTTTCATTGTTGAGACACTTTTCTTTCGACTTAGGGTAATGAGACTACAAGAATGAGCAAACTGGTAGCCACTAATTCTTAGAGCGTTAGGTTCGGTCAATCACAATGTCCTAGGCTTTCTTTTGGGAATGATGACCTCATGTTGAGGGAAGAGTCTTTCTTCCAACTCAGGTTCAGAGCCTTAAGAATGAAGCCCGAAGCCTGGGTATTAAGGCTTTACTAAATCTGCATGATTCGGCTCAGCCCAGGCTAGACAGACTTTCTCTCACCTTTAACATTTTTATCTATCTTAACTCTTATCCCTGGTGTAGAACTTGTTGGAGAACCACAGTCCAAGTAGTATGACTCATTCCTATACTGTTGATAGAAATAGAAGGCAGGGAAATTCTGGGCAGAAAAGGGAGGGTCCCCAGTGAAGTCCCCACCCTCAAACCAAAAAGCCTGGAACCATGGCCCAAAGAGAGAACTTACACCCTTCTTTTCCCCCTCGAATTTTGCCTTCTCCAAAACCACCCATGGCCCACCCCACCTTCCCATCCTGTGCCCATAAAAACCCCAGGCTCAGCCAGCAGAGAGGAGAAGCAGCTGGATGTGAGAGACTACAGTTGGACATTGGAGAGAAGCAGCTTGACTTCAGAGGAACAGCTTGACTCCAGGGGAAGCTTACCTTTGTGCTCCATCCCCTTTTCAGCTCCCTTTCCTACTGAGAGCCACTTTCACCAGCAATAAAAAAATCCCCTGCATTTACCATCTTCAGTTCGTTAGTGCAACCTCATTCCTCCTGGACGCTGGACAAGAACTTGGGTGCCATGAGTGTCAGTACAAAAGGCTGTCACACTGACCCTCCACTGAGCTGTTAACACTTAAGCCGTCTGCAGGTTGCAAAGCTAAAAGGCCACTGTAACACTTCCCCTAGTGCTTTAGGAGTCACAGGCAACCTACCCTAGAGGCAGCCATGGGGCCAGCATGGAGTTCACTGTTGCTAGTACCCAAAAGCACTCACCCTGGCTCCTGCATCCCCTCACCTGCACTCCCCCTCCCACAAGGGGTGGAGCAGTGAATGAGTGGAGTTCACCCCTGCCAGCACCCATGCACTCCAGTTCCCACCCATGAAGGGGTCAGGGAAATATCCTGCCTCACTGTTAGCCTTAAATGACCTGGCACAGTTGAATTCAGGTACCCCAAGCAAAACTATTTATAGGGATGAAATGGCCAATGCAAAGAAGAGGCTGCCTACTGTCCTAGCTCAACCATGGGCACCACCCCAAACACAGAACTATCCTGTGGCAGGTACACATCTTTACCATCATTAGCCTGGCTTTCTACATCCATCACTCACCCAGTGAAAGGTGGAGACAGGAATGGAATCTTGCAAGATATTCTGAATGTGTGGACAGTGGTCTGTGGTAGCTCATTCACCCAAGTCGTTGATGTGGCTTGTGGTCTTCAGTTTTTTCGTCACCTCTAACTTCAAGAGCTGGAGGATAAAGTAGAAACCAATATGATACTGGGAACTGGTTGGTCGATCCCAACCCCTGATCTTCTTCCCATCACCAGTGAAAAAAATCATCCAATTGTGTTTTGGTTAATTTTTCTACTTTAGCAATGCTCTTAAGGCAGATTATTTGTAATACGAAGCAGCAGAGAGTGAAGAGTACTCCATTTGTCTTTCCAGTAAAACACCTGGTAAATAGGAAATAATTAATCGTTTATTGTTGAACACATTGACTGCATTGCCTGTTCCCTGTACTATAAGTATTCGCCTAAAACACGTATTTCTTCTACAAAAAGTATTCAGCTCATAATACGGAGACTGTGTCTTATTTACACATTTCTTAGCAGGGCACTTTACATATGGAAGAAACTCATTTACTATTTGCAAAGAGCTTATTTCTATTTCTTAATTTTAAAATACTTTTTTTTTCCCTAAAGACAGGGTCTCTGTCACCCAAGCTGGAGTACAGTGGTCTAATGACAGCTCACTGCAGCCTCAAACTCCCTGGCTCAAGGGATCCTCCTGCCCCAGTTTCCTGAGTAGCTAGGACTGAAGGTGTAGACCACCATGTCTGGCTGGTTTCTTTAAAATTTTTTTTTGTAGACACGAGGTCTTGTTACAACTTGCCCAGGCTAATCTTGAACTCCAGGGCTCAAGCAATCTTCCTGCCTTGGCCTCCCAAAATGCTAGAATTACAGGTGTGAGTCACTGTACCTGGCCCCAGACAGCCTGTTTCTAAATATCATCTGCCATGCATTTCAGAATGGATCACGACCCTGCTCTGTCCTTCTTCTGGTGCAGCCTAAGCCATCATATTTACCATTCCTGAGTTCTATCATTCATGCTGAGGTATTTGAGAAGATAATAGCTGTTTGAAAGAACACAGAGAAACAGCACTGAGAGGTTGCCTTTCATATACTTACAAAACTACTTACATTTCATTCTTAAGGATTCCCCCCAAAAAACGACATGGAAAGTATATTTTATTCAGCTACTTTAACTTTTTTCTCTAGCCTACATCTATAGGACTACAGTAAATATAGCAAAAACAGGTGGAATAAAATGTCTGTTACAGATTGTCTTTGCTCCAAAGCACAGAATTATGTAATAGAATCCAAAAGCACAATATTTCTCATCTTGAGGAATGAAAATAATGAATTCTGGTAAGCTTTACGTTCTTACTTCTAGTAAAAGAATTCCTGCACTAATATGCTACACAAAAAGTTATATGAGCTTCCAATATGCAAAAGAAATGCATTCAAACATTAAATTTACATAATCCCCTGGTAGGATTTACCTTAACTGCATTGTCCACAAATGATCAAAAGTACTTGAGCAAACTAGCCCCGTATGAAAAATATAATACTACTAAAACCTAATGAACCTTTATATGCAACCTTTTCTACTCCCTACTTCCACTCTGGAAACCTGGGATATACCTGAAAATAGATAGTTACTGATTTCTTGGAAGCAACGAATTGATTGTAAAGGTTGTGTATTGAGAATCACACATATGTCTGGTTCCACATGCTTTGAGATAGTTATGGGGACTTAGGCAATTCACTTTAATTACTGAGTCTAATTTTCTTTCTTTGTAATAAGAGCCTGCAAGGACTAGTTGTGCTTCTGATGGAAAATAAAGTGAGCTGTGGAAGTGACAATAGTATTGTAAGAGTTGAGTGATTTCTTCACCCACATGCTGTCTTTTAAACCTATCAGAGTGGAAACTATTCCGTTCTGCTACTGTACAAAAGCAGTCATAGATGAGGAGTTCCAATAAAACTTTATTTACAAAACAGATGGTCAGTTGGATTTGGTCATGGGTCAAAATTTATCAACCCCCTTTTAAAGGATGGAAAGTAAATTGTTCAGTCATACCTTACTTGGGTTGCTAAACAAGATTTTGAACACATACTAGGTGTTCTTGGTCTAGTGTAGTGAACGTGTTCTTGTTCACTACACTAAGTCCACTGTAAAAACTTTGGAAATTTATTTTAAAAATTAAAGAAAATGACCACCTTTCATCTTCTAGAGATCTTTCATCTTCCAGAGATAACCACGAATAATACTTTTGTATAACTCTCTTTAGTCTTGGTTAAGTAAACTTTAGTGCATGGTTAAGACTGTGTTGGTGGTAGATTCCTGTCTAGTCTCTGATTCACTTAACACACGTCATAACCACTTTTCATCACTATTAAAATCCTTCATGGGCATCATCTGGATGCAGCGATTTTGCATGCCCTGGAGAACATAGGTCAGCTATTTTGCCTCAAGATGGGACTAAATTTGAAGTGCAAGTTGAAATACAGCTCCAGGTGGGACCATATCCAGTCTAGCTCTCTGCTCTCCTGTCCCTAGCCTGCTGTCCTGCCCTTCTCCTGAGAGGTCTCCTTCAGAAACTCATGTCCATTGATGATTTACTGGGTAAAGAAAATGTGGTGCATATACATAATAGAAAACTACACAGCCGCTCTGTCTTTCTGTGCCAAGGCGGCGCGTGGTCCACGCCGAGCGACAGAGATTCTCAGGCTATGCTCTCAGGATGACCGAGTGGGAGACAGCAGCACCAGCGGTGGCACAGACCCTTGACATCAAGCTTTTTGGGAAGTGGAGCACTGATGATGTGCAGATCAATGACATTTCCCTGCAGGATTACATTGCAGTGACGGAGAAGTATGCCAAGTACCTGCCTCACAGTTCAGGGTGGTATGCCCCCAAACGCTTCCACAAAGCTCAGTGCCCAATTGTGGAGCCCCTCACTAACTCCATGATGATGCATGGCCGCAACAACTGCAAGAAGTTCATGACTGTGCGCATCGTCAAGTATGCCTTCGAGATCATACACCTGCTCACAGGCAAGAACCCTCTGCAAGTCCTGGTGCATCATCAACAGTGGTCCCTGGGAGGGCTCCACACGCATTGGGCGAGCCAGGACTGTGAGACGACAGGCTGTGGACGTGTCCCCACTGCGCCATGTGAATCAGGCCATCTGGCTGCTGTGCACAGGCACTTGTGAGGCTCCCTTCCGGAACATCAAGACCATTGCTGAGTGTCTGGCAGATAAGCTCATCAATGCCACCTAGGGCTCCTCTAACTCCTATGCCATCAAGAAGAAGGAAGAGCTGCAGCATGTGGCCAAGCCCAACCACTGATTTTCCCGGCTGCTGACCAATAAACCTGTCTGCCCTTCAGGGCAGCCAAAAAAAAAATAATAAAAGAAAGAAAGAGAGAAAGGAAGAAAGAAAGAAAGAAAGAAAGAAAGAAAGAAAGAAAGAAAGAAAGAAAGAAAGAAAGAAAGAAGGAAAGAAAAACGAACTACAAAAATAAAATAAAATCAAGTCTTTAACTGCAATATGGATGAAGCTGGGAGCCATTGTCCTAAGTCCATTAACTCAGAAACAGAAAACCAAATACTGTATGTTCTCACTTATAAGTGAGAGCTAAACAGTGGGCATACATGGGCATAAAAATGGAGATAATAAACACTGGAGACTCCAAAATGGAAGAGGGAGGGGCGTGAGGTTTGGAAAATTACCTATTGGGTACAATGTTCACTATTTGGGCAATGGGTATGCTAGAAGCTGAATCCCCACCATTATGCAATATACTCATATAACAAACAAGCAGATGTACCCCCTAAATCTGAAAAAATATATAATAAAACCTGCTTTATAGGATTATTTTGAAAATTAAATGAAATAATACATGTGAGGTGTTTAGCATTATGTCTAGCACATACAAAGGCTTTAATAAATATTAGTATTATTATTACTGAAAAAATCTAATGCACAAGAACCCTTCTCCAGGCTCTTCTAGAAAACTTGACCTAAGACACTGGGTATATACATTTTTAAAAATCAGTTTGGATCTTGGTTTTACGATCCTAATTTTATAAAATATTAGTTCTAAAATTCTTTATTTTTAGTTCTGATCATTTCATATAATTTGAAAATGAGCTAGAAAGAAAAATCTTTATGATTTCCTAAGAAAAATCTAACAAGTTGCCATAAAAGCTTATTGACCTAATCTCTAGCTTTTGGTTTGAGAAAAATCTGTTTACTGAGACAGAAAATGGCTCTGTCTCCTGCGTATTCAACATCATCTGACAGTACATTAGTAAACTGCAGGCTTTATTGTTGGGAAAAACAAACTCAAAAGATTAAAATAAATATAATAGCCAGAGACCAACTTAATTTAAAAGTACCCCATGGGAGAAACATAAAAGTGGAATGTTTAGTTCTTGATCTTCAGTACAGAATACAAAGAATGTTAAAAGCGTGGGAAGGAAATAAAACATCTCCACAGTTAAAAAAATATGTCTACCTACTGCATTCAAGACAGAATGTGATCTACCTTCAGAATCCATTGTTCCCAACTCCACATATTAACTTTTTTAAAATTTTGAGACAGAGTCTGACTCTATTGCTCAGGCTGGAGTGCAGTGGTACGATCTTGGCTCACTACAACCTCTGCCTCCTGGGTTCAAGCAATTCTCGTGCCTCAGCCTCCCCAGTGGCTGAGATTACAGGTGCGAGACACCACAACCGGCTAATTTTTGTATTTTTAGTAGAGACGGAGTTTCGCCAGGTTGGCCAGGCTGGTCTCGAACTCCTGACCTCAAGTGATCTGTCTGCCTTGGCCTACCAAAATGCTGGGATTACAGGTGTGAGCCACCGTGCCTGGCCCAAACATTAACTTTTTAAAGGTATTATTTCCCCAGCTCTTACTAAGTTAACTATGCTAACTAGGTTTTGTTGTTGTTGTTTCTTTTAATGTCTTCGAATAGAAATTTATTTATCCAAGCAAGTAACTTTGATAAATAAATTTTTCACTAACGTTTTAAACAAAAGGAAGGCATCATTTATTATGGTGACATTTTTCATAACGGGTTTTTAACTCATCTGAAAACAAACCTGAGCCTCATAGAAGGTCTGTTCAATGCAGTGGGGGTCATTGTAATGTCCATCCCCATTGATGTTGTATTAGTCCGTTTTCACGCTGCTGATAAAGACATACCTGAGATTGGGCAATTTACAAAAGAAAGAGGTTTAATGGACTTACAGTTCCACGTGGCTGGGGAGGCCTCACAGTCAGGGAGGAAGGCAGAAGTTTCATCTTAGATCACGGCAGGCAAGAGAGAATGTACCAGCAGGGGAAATGCCAGATGCTTATAAAACCATCATAGCTCCTGAGCACTCATTCACTATCAGGAGAACACTATGGGGGAACCGCCTCCATAATTCAATTATGTCCACCTGGCCCCACCCTTGACACGTGGGGATTATGACAATTCGAGGTGAGATTTGGGTGGGGATACAGAGCCAAACCATATCAGATGTGTTACCGGCAGGGTTCATTGGAGGTCTGCATTTCTCAAGAAGTTCCCTTGGCTACTGGTCCCAAAAATGCAGTGCTAACATACCTTGCCAAAATTCATAGAAAAAAAAAAAAAGGCCTTAGGTGTATCTATGCTGGTAACTTTTGTTTTTGCTTGGTTTTCTTTTTGTAGTGATCGTCTTTTCTCTTATTCAGCATGACCCTGATTTCAACCCTGCCTACTGTCAGTAGTTTTGAAATTAAATAAATCCATGGCTATCCATGGGAGCAATTTTGCTCTCAAGATGACATTTAGCAGAGTTAGAGACCATTTTTGGTGGTTGCAGCCTGGGAAGCTGGTGAATCCTACTGGAATCTAGTGGGTAGAAGCTAGATAAGCTGATAAATATTCTATGATAAACAGGACTGTCCCTTCTCTTCGCAAGAATCATCCACACCCAATGTCATTGGTACTGGAGTTAAGAAATCATAGTTTAAAGCATTTGAGGTGTCTGTTTGCAAGTCAGTATTTTCTTTAAATTAGTCACAATCATCGTTACCACCCATTAACTGTGTTGCAGGAAAGATTGAATCAGTGCTTTAAACCAGTTATTCTTGGGCATTTGGGGCACAAGGCTGAGAAAGGTTTAGAACCCTAAGAACAGGGGCAGAAATTAATTGACAGTATCTTCTTGAATGTCCTCTGCCCCTCTATTGAGTTTCCATCACACACTTTTAGCCCCCTGAGGAAATCCCCTCCTCAGAAACACCAAATGTATTGTCTTTAATGAGTTTGGTCTAGAAATTAAAACCAACAAGAAAGATGCTGTCTTGAATCTGTTTATATGGGTGTTGACGTAGAAGAGTTTAGAATGCCAAGAATATGTGTCGAAAGATCAAAAGCAGGCCCCAGACTGGAAACCAGCCAAGCCTGGATGCCCTGGAGCTGGAATCCTGCATGGCTCATAGACAAAAGTGGGTTTTTGGATGCTCTTAAATGAGAAATCATTTCTTACCAGTTAAAGAGAAAAAAGTACCAAGTAGAGAATAATGGGGATACTACCTAAGACACAATTCCCTTGGAGCACAGCTTTGCTTCAGGTTGACCTTTTGTATAGAGTATAGACCCTGTCTTCTCTGGCAAGTGACGTAACTTTCCATCAGCTTCCTTGTTTGTTAATTTAGTTTTTATTCCACCTGTTTCCCTTTAATACTGTCTCTCTCCTTTGGATGTGATTACCTTAATATTGAATCTAGATGGTGGACTTAACTTTTTGGTTGCATTAATCAAAATTTCCATGCAAATTAGTGTAAAACACAATTATGCATGAGTTTCCATCCAGGGTTTCTTAGGTCACCTATTTGATGGCCATCTCTGAATGTCATTAGCGCGAAGCTCAGTCTTTAAACATTGGCATCTAAGAAATACAACTATACTTTTTAAACTCTAATTTTCTAGTTAAAGTGAAATGGAGAAAATATCATCCCAGTTCATTTAGCAAACCAACCACTGCCCACAGTTTGCCCTGGGGTGCTTGTAAAATGCAAAATCTTCCACAGAGAGGCAGTGGTACTTTCTGGTCTTCAGCTTCTGCGGCAATGAATCTGGACTTTGACTTTGGTCCATGTAAGGAGATGAGATTTGCTTTGTCCTGCTGTGGTTTCCAGTTCTGATTTGTGTTGAATGTCAGGAAATGAGAGGCCACCCATGGCCCTCTTCACCTGGGCACAACTTGCAGCCAAACCTCTCTAGGGCCATGTCATCTCCCTAAGTTGTTTTTTTGTTTGTTTGTTTGTTTTTGTTTTTTTCCCCAGAATCAGAGAGCAGGACCAAGTCCTTTTGCAACACTGAATGTCCTCTGACTTTCTATCCATTTCCTGCTGTACATTTTTAGTTCCATGAGGAAAATCCTTCCTCAGAAATACAAAGCGTATTGTCATGGATGGGTGTGATCTTCTAGAAATTAAAGCCAACCAGACAAGTGCTCCCTTGAATCTGTTACATGGCTGTTCCCTTAAAGCCAATGTTTCTATCTAAAAAATCGGTAAGAGAAAGAGGTAGGTTAGCTAATCCTTCAAAAATAAAATATTGCATAAAAACATACCATCTTAGGATAGTTTCTTTAGCCTTTTGCAGATTTTTTTTTTTTTTTTTTCAGATAGAAGCATCTTACTGAGATATTGGCTTTTCTGGCTTCACGGCTGTGTTTTGGGAAATACGAACTTTCACTGAACAGCACTATTCTAGCTGGGGTGTGGTATTACAAAAATATCTATTCTTTAATACATGCATAATTTTCCCCGCTTTTTACAACAAACATAAATGCTCATCTGAGGCCAAATTTTTCCCTAAAGGAGAAAAGCTGCATGTTTTTCAGCCCTGTTGTTTCCCATGGATGCTCTGATCAGTTCAAAGAAAGTTTAGTTGGATTTACTCTAATGCATGAATTATCTCTCTTCTGCCTCTGCAGAGCTCTATATTTAGTAGACTGCTATAAGGCTGTCGGTATTTCCACAATCCTTTCATTCTCCTCATTTGTATGATTGCAAGTGCCAATGACTTCTTGGCATGAGGAAAGCTGTAAATCTCATGAGAATCAATGCTGGTGGGTGTACACTCCCAGATTTGAAACCTAGTATCTTTCCCACATGCACAATTCTGTGCTCTGACAACTTCATTTTATTTAATTTTTTTTTTTTTTACAGATTTTGTATTGGGACACCCAACGCAGGACCTCACAGTTATAACTTTACTGGAGTTACAATATGGATTATGGAAGCTTCCTAGATTTCCCTTTTTATCAAGATAGTTATTCTTTCTTTTTTAAAGTATGTATTTAGGGGGTACATGTGCAATTCTGTTACATAGATATCTTGCACAGTAATGAAGCCTGGCTTTTAGTGTAGCCATCAACTAAATAGTGTACTTTATACCTATTAAGAAATTTCTCATCCCTCAATCCCTTCATAAGCCTCCAATTTCTATTATTCCACTCTCTTTGTCCATGTGTACATTATTTAGCTTCCACTTGTGAGTGAGAATATGCAGCATTTAATTTTCCTTTCTGAGTTACTTCACTTAAGATAATGGCCTCCAGTTCCATCCATGTTGCTGCAAAAGACATGATTTTCTTCTTTTTATGGCTGCGTAATATTGCATGGTGTATTATACCACATTTTCTTAATCCAGTCCACCATTGATGGGAACCTGGGTTGATATTATATCTTTCCTATTGTGAGTTGTGCTGCAATAAATGTACAAGTGCAGGTATCTTTTTTATACAACAATTTCTTTTCCTTTGGGTAGATACCCAGTAGTGGCATTGTTGAATCAATGGTAGTTCTATTTTTAGTTATTTGAGAAATCTCCACAGTTTTCCATTGAGGTTCTACTAATTTACATTCCCACCAACAGTGTATAAGCATTCCCTTTTCTTCACATCCTCACCAACATCTGCTATTTTCTGAGTTTTTAATTACAGCCATTCTGACTGGCAAAAGATGATATCTCGTTGTGGTTTTGACTTGGACCACAATGGTGATGATTGTGGTCTCTGATGATTTGAGATGATGAAGATTTTTCATAGACTCATTGGCTTTTGTATGTCTTCTTTTAAAAAATGTCTACTCATGCCCTCTTGCCCAATTTTTCATGGGGTAATTTGTTTATTTGTTGTTGAATTGTTTTAGTTGACTTCATGAACAGGCTTTGTCTATGTGGTTTGACTTCAGTCAATGGTGCTCAGAGTTGCTTTACATTCAACACCAAATTTTGGGGGGAACTTGTCGAGTTCATCTCCTCCCAACTACACATTCAACGACATCACACTGATCACTTGAAATCAGTCTCAGTGGGAGTATCTACACCGTAGAAATTGACAAACATTGCAAATCAAACCTCCACCCCAAGTCCTCTGGAGAGGCAGTTACTGAGGATTTACTAGCCCTATATTGCCTGCGTTTCTGACACAGCAGGAGTGATTAAGAATAAGACTGAAAGTAAAAATAGCCTTGTGTGGAAGTACAAAAGGACTGAGATTCTGCTGAAGATGCCAACAGCAGAAATTCTCACTGCCAATGTGTAAAATTGGCAAGATGGAAAAGTGTAAAGATACACCAAGTCCCAAAGAGGATACATCAATCACTACAGAAGAGAGAGAAGAGGTATTCAAGATGCACCCAAGGGAAGACTTCGAGGCAAAAAATTACCTACCCCTGATCAGATTTGGTGCAAAGGTATCCTTCAATGACTCCAGTTTTCCTGCAGTCTCGAATGTCAACATCACGGCATAGATTTGTATAAGTAGTGACATTTCGTTTTCACGCATGCGAAATCAGTTATTTTGAATTATACTAATAAGGTACTGTGTGGTTTGTATGTGTTATTCCTATATTCAATACATATAGAAGGCTTATACTGAAGTGGAAAGATCTGCTATCATCTAGTACTAATTCTTCTTTCCAAATCGCTTTAAACCGTTATCTTCCTTGTATTCGCTTCTGTATTTCTGCACATATAGACCGTCAATTGTTCTACAACCAAGTCTGCCTTCTTTCTTAATGTCTACTTTATATTCTGTTCTTCCCATCTATTCTACCTGTAAATATTTCCTAAGATTACTCTAATTCTAGTTTATGTCAATGCTTTAAAATATTTTACATACACCTGTTACTATTAAGTACATTTTAGGTGTTATATCAAGTCAATATTCAACCAGATATATCTGCATTATAATAAAAATCATTGAACCTAGGGCAAGGACTCCAAGGCAAAATTTCCTGATTTTTTCCAAACCTATTATCCAAGAAAGTGGGAATGATTGGTGAATTTTAAAGAAAATTGAAGTCTCATGAAGGAGTGTCTTGAGGTGCTAATTTGGAGCATTTTCCAATTTCCATGATGTAAATATTCCTATCATGTCTGAATCCAAGTTGCAAAATGTTGTTATTGAATTTGGAGATGGGAGGAGATGACCCCAGTTGGTTTCCATGAACCAGTTCAAGCTAGCTTCAGCCAACTGTCCTTACAGAAGGGGAAAATAAGAAAAGGTGAGAGTCTATCAGATGAGGGAAAATGAAGAGTTAACAAAAGTTCTGGATGTGAGAAGGTATATTTGTTTTCTTTTGCTGGTATAAAAAGTATTACAAACACAGTGACTTAAAATAAGACAAACTTATTCTCTTATAGAATTGGAGGTCAGAAGTCCTAAAATCACACTGTTGGCATGGCTGATTTGTTTTTAATTTCAACTTTTATTTTGGATTTAGGGAACACATGTGCAGGTTTGTTACTAGGGTATATTGTGTGATGCTGAGGTTTGGGCTTCTAATGATCCCATTGCTCAGGTAGTGAATATTGTGCCCACCTAACATGAAGTTTTTCAACACTTGCCTCCTCTTCCTCCCACCATTCAAAACCCCAGTGTCTATTGTCCCAATCTTTATGTCCATGTGTATCTGTTGTTTAGCTCCCACTTATAAATGAGAACATGTGTATTGGTCCATTTGCATACTGATATAAAGAAATACCTGAGACTGGGTAATTTATAAAGAAAAAGAGGTTTAATGGACTCACAGTTCCACATGGCTGGGAGGCCTCACAATCATGGTGGAAGGTAAAGGAGGAGCAAAGGCACATCTTACATGGCGGCAGGCAAGAGATAGTGTGCAGGGGAACTGCATGCTCATGAGATCTCTGCAGGGCAACTGCACAGATCTCATGAGACTTACAGTCATGAGAACAGCACAAGAAAAAACCCACCCCCATAATTCAGTTACCTCCCACAGGGTCCTTCCCATGATATGTGGGGATTATGGGAGCTACAATTCAGGATGAGATTTGGTTGGAGACACAGCCAAACCATATCAACATGGTATTTGTTTTTCTGTTTCTGAATTAGTTCACTTAGCATAATGGCCTTCAGCTGCATCCATGTTGCTGCAAAGGACATAATTTTGTTCTTTTTATATGACTGCATAGTACTTCATGATGTATATGTACCACATTTTCTTTATGCAGTCCATCATTGATGGGCACATAGGTTGATTCCATGTCTTTGCTATTGTGAATACTGCTGTGCTGAACACGCAAGTGCATGTGTCTTTTTGGTAAAATGATTTATTTTCCTTTGGGTAGATACCTGGTAATGGGTTTGCTGGGTTGAATGGTAATTCTGATGTAAGTTCTTGAAGAAGTCTCTAAACTGCTGGCTGAACTAAATTGCATTCCCCCCAGCAGGCTGATTTCTTATGGAGGCTGTAGGAAGCAGTCAGCTCTTTGCTTTCTCTAGCTTCTAGAAGGTGTTCACATCCTCTAGCTCATGGCCCTGTGTCACTCTAGCGTCTGTTGTCATTGTTGTTGTTGCTGTCTCATCTTTTTCTTTGCCTCTGACCCCACTGCATCCCTTTTATAACAACCCATCTGCATAATCCAGGACAATCTTGCCTTCTCAATGTCCTTAACCTAACCACATCTGCAAAGTTCATTTTGCCATGCAAGGTCACATATTTACAGGTTCTGGGGATTAGGACATGGAGAACTTTGGGGGCCATTATTCAGCCTACCCCAGAGGGAATCCTAAAGTAAGACATACTGTGTCCTCCTCACCTTTCCTTAGCAAGGAGGGGACAAACTTTCATTGATAATCTCAACTGTGATTTACAAAGTTTTAGAATCTGCACTCTGATACCCTTCGGATACCCTTTGCAAGTAGCCTCTTTCTCAGGGATCTATCATTTGTGCAAGTTAATTATGTTTTGTTTGTTTGTTTGTTTTTTGGAGACAGAGTCTTGCTCTGTTGCCCATGCTGGAGTGAAGTGGCACAATCTCAGCTCACTGCAACCTCCACCTCCTAGGTTCAAGCAATTCTTGTGTCTCAGCCTCCCCAGTAGCTGGGATTACAGATACCTGCCACCATACTCAGCTAATTTTTGTATTTTAAGTAGAGACTGGGTTTCACCATGTCGCCTAAGCTGATCTCAAAGTCCTGAGCTCAGGCAATCCACCCACCTTGGCCTCCCAAAATGCTGTGATTACAGGTGTGAGCCACTGCACCCAGCCAAGTTAATTATATTTTAAAGACTGGTGTTTAGCAACCAACATCTCAAAATAACTTTCTATGTCAAACAGGCATTTTCTAGATTGGAAGTTTAAGTTATGACCTACATTTCAACTGATTAAAACACTCTCATCAGTGAGGGTGCAAAATAAATTTCTTTGAAGGTACTGTTTAAAAGATGTGCATTTATGCAAGATCTGGTCTGGTGAGGTAGAGCTTTAAATGGAAGGGCAGATAAGTGGAAATGTTAAAAACCATTGTTTTGAGTCACTTCTAAGTTTACTAGATCTAATATATATACACATATATACATATTTATATATACATATACATATTTATAGATACATATATACATATACATATTTATATATACATATTTTTATATATACATATTTAAGTCTTATTGTCATGGTTCCATGACAAGTCTACCAAAGTATTAAATAACTGGCTTCTGTGTTTCAGGCGTAATTTTATTTGGGGAAAGAAGACCTTGTTGAACTGGGACCTTCCATAACAAAGGGAAAAATCTGGCAATGTTTCCTCACTTCTACGGTCCTATAGTTCTCTCCATGGCCAGAAGGTCTTTCTGAGGAATATGTGTTTGGAGAGGGGAGAGTTTGTGTTGGGATTAAGTCTTCTGAATAGAGAAGGGAGGAGTGATGTTGGAACATGACTTCTCCCACTCTAAGACGGAACAATGCTGTAGTGGATGAAAGCATGTCCCAGACACAAAATCAAGGAGAAAGGGGACTGTTTTATATGGAAAGGGAAAAAAAAACAGCAAGTGATTTTTGTAAGGTTTACATCTAATGAATGCAGGACAATGTTTACATTATGAGAAAACAAAGAAAGGGGGTTAAGAAGGAGGTAAGAGATGGAGACGCGATGCTCAGGGGATAGAGTTAGGGATGGGTTAATGAGGGCCCAAGGAGATGCAAGCCATGTCCTGCATCATGTGACGCACATGTCACCTGCCTAGGCAAAGTCCACAGTAACTTAGCTAAAGAGAGAGCTCAGCTCTTTCCATGTTTTTGCTCTTGTATTCATTTTTTTTTTATTTTCAAAAGACAGGATCTCACTCTGTTGTCCACAACTCACTGAGGCCTCGAATACCCGGGCTCAAGAAATCCTCCCACCTCAGCCCCCCATGTAGCTAGTGCTACAGGTGCACACGATACATTTGTGCAGATGAGGTCCCGCTGTGTTGTCCAGGCTGGTCCCCAAATCCTGGGCTCATGAGATTCTCGTGCCTCAGCCTCCCAAAGTGCCGAGATTACAGGTGTGAGCCACTGCACCCAGCCTAAGTTTATTGATGTGGACAATTTACAATAGCATAATCCAACAGAAATATGTGCAAACCACATGTGTCATTTTGAATTTTCTAGTAGCATGCCTTAAAACAATGTAGATAGGATAGGTGAAATTGACTTGAATAACATATTTTCCTTAACTCAATAAAATTGTCCCTTGAACAACACAGGTCTGAATTGTGTGGGTTCACTTACATATAGAGTTTATTCTTCCTCTGTTACCCTTGAGACAGCAAGGCCAGCCTTTCCTCTTCCTTCTCCTCCTCAGCCTACTCAACGTGAAGACAAGGAGGATAAAGGCCTTTATGGTGATCCACTTCCACTTAATGAATAGCAAATATATTTTCTTTTCCTTATGATTTTCTTAACAACATTTTCTTTTCTCTAGCTTACTTTATTGTAAGAATACAGTATATAATACATATAACATACAATATATGTGTTAATCCACTATTTATGTTACTGATAAGGCTAATAGTAGGCTATTAGTTGTTAATTTTTGAGTGAGTCCAAAGTTATACGCATATTTTCAATGGCTCAGGGGTGGGCACCCCTAAACCCCATGTTGTTTAACAGTCAACTTTATATCTAAAATATTATTATTTCAACATAGGTAATCAATAGTTAAAAATATCAAGGAAATATTTTACCTATTAACATATTTTGAAATCAGGTGTGTATGTGATACTTGCAATCTATCCATATTTAGACTTGCCCCATTTGAAGCACTCAATGACCACCTGTGTTGACTCGCCACCATATTGAAGAGCAGGTCTAGAATAAACCTGCTCCTGTGGCTTGGGCATATGATGCTTCAATGTGCTTTCTCTTTCAAGTCAAAGCCACAGTCAGCCACAGAAGGATGTTGAGGGTATCAGGATCATGCTTCCCACACCACTTATCTGCTATTATTATTATTATTATTATTATTATTTGTTACTACTATTTGTTTTTGTCAAAACTCTTGGTGGGCAAAGTCAGGTTCTCCTTGTATCCATCAGCCTAAGTTTTCTCCCAACTCTTAGCTTCCCTCCTTATGGTGAGATATTCCCAAATTGTCTCTTTCGGGACAGTCTGTTCTCTCATTATTCTCCTTGCTTCAGCTGCTCCTGTGAGCTCCGTGCACTGGCAGAGATGAGACAAACAGGAAAACGACTCACAGTCAACTTGAGAGTGAGAAGTTGCTAAGACACATGGAAACTTTCCACATAAAACAGGCTGGTTTCTCTTTTTCCATCAAAGGGAGAGAGACAGCACCAACAAGTGATTCGGAATATGGTAAGTCAGTCAGCAAAAGTGGTCTCAAAGTGACTTCACCTTATCAGCAATTGCCTCATAGAGGGACTGCAGTGTTTGCATCTGAGAAGCCAGCACCCAGGCTCTTGCAAATACTCACAGAGTATGCTTCCTGAACCTAATCACAGGCGTTTATTTTGTACTGGGAAGCTGGATACAGGTAAAGAAATGAAGACGACCCTCCCCGTGAATAGACACAAGAAGGAACTAGTGTACTCTGAGTTATAATTTGGCTGTAACCAATATTTGCTCATTCTCCTCCCTTTCTTCCTCCTCTTCCACCTCTTCCTTTTTCTTGCCTACCTCTTTCTCCTCCTCATGTAATACATTTTAAAATATTTCAGTGAACTTGTAATTTGCTTACATAATAATTGTATTATTTTAACATGCATATCTTCCCTTTTTCAAAAGCCATTTGAATTCCTTTTTTTTTTTTTTTTTTTTTTTTTCTGAGAAAGGGTCTCACTCTGACGCTTAGGTTGGAATGCAGTGGTGTCATCATAGCTCACTGCAGCCTCCATCTCCTGGTCTCAAGCGATCCTCTCACCTCAGCCTTCTGAGTACCTGGGACTACAGGCATGAGCCATCATGCCCAGCTAATTTTTGTATTTTTTGTAGAGATGGGGTTTTGCTGTGTTGCCCAGGTTGGTCTTGAATGCCTAGGCTCAAGCAATCCACCCACTTCTGCCTCCCCAAATGCTGGAATTACAGGCTTGAGCCACTATGCCTGGCCGAATTCTTTTTTTTTTTTCTAGGAACTGTCCATGCATACCCTTTGCCCGTTTGCTATCTATCGCTTGTTGATCTTTTAATAATCACCTCCTAGGAGCCGCTCCTAGAGGAAGGAGTTCAGTCCTTTGCTTGTGATATGAATCACAATGTTTCTCCTGGTTTGCCATTTGGAAATTCAGTAGGGAATACAAAATAATATATAAAAACAAATGATGGTCACATATATAATAAACAACCACTAATTGGAAGACCATATTAGAAAAATGAACAAAGAATAACTAGGAAGCCTTTGGAAAATAAAAACAATGAAGAGGATGGTTAAAAGTCATTGAAATAGTCTTGTAGCATATTATAAATCCTCAATGATTAAAGTAACATGGCATTGGTAAGCAGACATAGAGACAAACCAATGGAACAGACCAAAGAGTCCAGAATAGGTAAAATGTATATAGGAATTCCGGACATGAATAGCTGGCATGTCAATCTTTGGGAAAAGATAAATTTCAACAAACAGATTGGAACACTTGGTTAGCCTTATGGAAAAATTTAAATCTGGGAAGGGAGGGACTTAGGAGGGAGGATCCTTTGAAGCCAGAAGGTCAATACCAACCTGGGCAACGAAGCAAGATCTCACTTCTACAAAAATAAAAATAATTATTAGGTCATGATAGGCATATACCTGTGGTCCCAGCTGTTTGGAAGGCTCAGGCAAGAGGATCACTTGACCTCAGGAGTTTGAGGCTACAGTGAGCTGTGATCACCCCACTCCACTCTCTCCTGGGCAGCAGAACAAGACCCCATCTCTAAAAAAAGATGAAAAAGAAAAAGAAAAATCTAGATCCATGTCCCACAATATATTCACGGATCAATTCTAAATAGATCAATGATTTAAATATAAACAATGAAGCTATGCTTGTATTAAATATACTAGAAGGAAGGATGGGAGAATTTATAATCTTGGAGTGGGAAGGTCTTTCTAACGATGAAAGTATAGATAAGTCACAAAGGAAACCACTAATCAAAATTTCTGTATAAAAAATACACCATAAATGGAGAATATTAAAGCAAACTTGGGGTCATTCCTTTCCTAGTTTTGTTATTTTATGAGTTTGTAAGAGAAAATTAAGTGCACCTAGGCTAGTCACCAAAAATAAAACTAGTATTTCATCCTTTTAGAAAACACCAAATGAAAACATGAGCCCTGTGCTGTCTATTAAGGTAACCAACAGCTTCCTGTGGCCATTTAAATTTGTTTTCTTCAATTAAATTTAAAAACTGGTTACTTGTTGATATGGTTTGGCTATGTCCCCACCCAAATCTCATCTTGAATTGTAGTTCCCATAATCCCCACATGTTGTGGGAGGGGCCCAGTGGGAGGTAATTGAATCATGGGGGCAGTTTCCTCCATGCTGTTCTCATGATAGTAAGTTTTCACGAGATCTGATGGTTTTATAAGGGGCTTCCCCTTCACTGTGCTCCCATTCTTCTCCTTACTGCTGCCACGTGAAGAAGGACGTATTTCCTTCCCCTTCCACCATGACTGAAAGTTTCCTGAGGCCTCCCCAGCCTTGCAGAACTGAGTCAATTAAACTTCTTTCATTTATAAATTACCCTGTCTTGGGTATTTCCTCATAGCAGTGTAAGAATGAACTAATACAATTGTTTACATCTGCCACAATAAAATCGCTCAATAGCCATATGTGGCTAGCTGCTACCATATTGGGCAACACTGATTTCTATGATTGTAGAAAATCCCACTGGAAAGCATTGGCCATTTGCTGATTCAGCAAACTTTTCTTGAACTGTATTCCAAGCACTTCTGTCGTTGTGGATACAAATGAGCACAAAACAGAGAGAAATCCTTGCCCTGAAGCTACTTATATTCTAGTGAGATCTACACAAAACCAGGAGGCGGTCAAGTCTTGTTGCACAAAGCCTCTACCTCTCACATTCAGTACAGAGTTGATTTATACATGTAGGTTTGATAACGAACAGTGAGGCTTGAGCACAATAAAAGGAGCCAATACTCATCTTTATAATCCCTGAGCATGATACGGCACCTAGTTCAATAGCCATTGCAGTTCTTGCCTTTACTTTCAGTGGCAAAAATCGCAGTGACTTTTGGACCAACCTAATAAAAGCATATGTGTTTGATCAGTAAATAAATTCATCTTTATGAATCATCTCCTCCTCCATTTTGTTTATAGGGAAACATAATCATAGAGCTCAAGAGATGAAATGTCACACAGTTAGGAAGTGAGAGAGCCAATTATCTATTGTCTGCATTGGACACTGTCTCTGGAGAATGATTGAAGGACCCAGGGTACATTTCAGAGTAAGTCACTCTATAAAGAAAAATGTCTGGATCTTAAATATCTGAATAATGATCATGTTTATCATTGAAAAGATTGCTCCATCTATTTATTTTACAAAACATTTTGGGAGAACATGTAATACTTGCAAGCTTCCTTTTTCCTTTAAGACCAGTTATTTTGATGGTGTGATGTGTGTTTGCAAGGTAAGATTGCCCAGCTCATTGCACGAGTTTCTTCGGGAGAGAAAGCCAAGAGCTAAAAGACCCACAGAGACAGTGAATTGTTATAATACGCTGTGATCTTCATATTGAATTTGAAGTTATGACACCTTCTTTTAATCCAAATTAGTATATAATGATTTAAGTACATACAATTATATGTGTTTAGGCAAAGTGCTAGTTTTCTTTTTAAATTGAATTCAGCTCATCCAAGCACTTGCAAAGTGTTTATTTTCAATACCTGTGATTATCTGAATTTCATCTTATGTGTGAACATAAAAGCAAGTCCTATACAATTTCCCAGAATACCATATTACCCTGCTGATTAGTAAAATCGTAAACCACAGGTATTTGAGAGGAAACATGTATTTCTCAAATTAAAGACTGATATTTAGATCAATATCAAAGTTTTGTATGTGTCATGAAAAGTTGTGGAAAATGTGTGAAATCTCAGCAAATAACATAGGTTCTATTAGTTATTTATATAATGAAATGGACAACTTAAATTATATGTTTATCGATTTAAAATAATTTTTAAACTATTATTTTTTCTTTGACAGTGTAAGCTCTCTATAAAAAGATACTGAAAAGATCAAAAAAGCAGAAAGTGCAGTTCACCCATGATTCAGTAATTTTTGGAAATGAATGTTAAACATTTCTTGGCTTGTTTGCTTTTAAGTTTGTTTTTTCTATGTTCATTTCACATAATTAAATTTACAATATCTAATATTCTCATTACATAGAATTGAATCTAATAATTGAGATTTCAATGCTTCGTATGTTTTTAAAAACCCTTTTGCTTGTATATTTCTCTTTACCTCTCAGAATCAAAGCCATTTCTTTTGAAAACATTAAAATTAAATTATCTTGGCTGCCCAGACATAGAAAGGGAGTTTAACATTAGACATAAGTCAAATCTAGGAGCAGCAAGGATGATTCGCCAGAACACTGAGTGTATAAGGACTTCTAATTCCCACATTTTCACACTGGACAAAAACATCTCAGGGACACCTGTGTCACTAAACTGTAAGCTCCGCAATGGGCAGATTTTCCAAATTTTTCTTCATTCCTACTTTGAATGGAACGAATGCTGACCCAGAACACAACTTTCTTATTCATTTTGATTTTTTTGTTGTTGTTGTTGAGACGGAGTCTCCCTCATGTCGCCCAGGCTGGAGTGCAGTGGCGCGATCTCGGCTCACTGCAAGCTCCATCTCCCGGCTCCATGCCATTCTCTTGCCTCAGTCTCCCGAGTAGCTGGGACTACAGGCGCCTGGCTAATTTTTTGTATTTGTAGTAGAGACGGGGTTTCACCGTGTTAGCCAGGATGGTCTCGATTTCCTGACCTCATGATCCGCCCGCCTCGGCCTCCCAAAGTGCAGGGATTACAGGCGTGAGCCACCGCGCCCGGCCCCATTTTGATTCGTTAGCATTGAAAATTCCCCATTCATCTGTTACTTCCCACAAAAAATAGCCTGCCTAATTATTTTATCGATTTTTTCACCCTAATTCTCTCAGAGACATCTACATGTGCTTTTGATGAGTGCAATTTAAATATATTCATGGCTGATCAAGCCCTGTGACAGGCATTTTGGGAGAGACCCAAGCAAGTACATCTAGCCCTTGCAGTCAAGGAGTTTAAATCTAGAAGATAAAATAGAAGATTGCTTTATAATTAAATGATAAATTTAACCCCCTTCCTTTCATCTCAGGGTAGCTTATCCCAATTAATGTGCACATTATGGCTACTTATCACTCAACAAAAAAGAGAGTTTGATTTTCAGTAATGACTTAAATGTCCACGCTAATTCTGTGATGTTCAGAATTGACTCTAGGCTGATTGTATTCTAGCAAATTAATGACAGCATAATATTAATGACTTAAGGGTAACTGATGGAAAAGGTCAGTCTAAATTAGTGAAAAGTATGAATTTCTACAATGCTCATTGAAAAATTAAATGCTTAAAATATTTGCCCATAGTGCTGACTATAATGAACAAACATGCTCATTTATAATTATTGAATTAATTATAGTCAAATCTATAGGCTTTTCTTTCCTTTGTTTTAAACTTTCTCACCTGACCTAAGCCAATTTAGCTGTTCATCAGTTCCCAGGTTCCTTGGACCATATCAGGAGGCTCCCAATATAAGACCAGCCCCAGAACTTGGCTTTCTAGGGGATGCTTTACCATGGAGATCAACCCCACCAACAGAACAAATATTTATTAGCCTACAGACACACTGTGATAACCTCAAGAATAGTCTCCGTACACAGGAGCTTTTCACAAAAGATACCCATTGACATAGAAAGAATGATATTCCAAAGTCAGATTTATACATGTTTAAGATTGCTTTGGACAAAAGTCTCCCCTGGAAGTGTAGAGGGTGACGAAGGGTGGGCTACATGGGACTCACTGGACTATAGAACATGAACATTGGCCTGAAGCTACTTGGTGCTGGGCTGCCCACATTCTCAGACACATACAAATTATGTGTATTAGTTCTTTATGGCCAATGTAACAGAGCATCACACACTTAGTGGTTTAAGACAACACAAAGTTATTGTCATATGTTCTGAAGAAATCCAGCATGGCTCTCAATGTGTTAGTATCAAGGTGTTGTCAGGGCTTCATTCCTTCTGGAAGTTCTAAGGGAGAAAATGTTTCCTTGTTCTTTCTAGCATCTAGAGACCACCTATATTTCTTGAGGCATGGCCCCAATTTCCATCTTCAAAGCCAGCAATAGCAGGTTTCATGCCATTATCACTCTGACTTATTTGTCTTTCTCTTCCACTTTTAAAGATTCTGTGATTCCATTGGGCCCACCTAGATAATCCAAGATGATCTCCCTATTTTAAAAATCTCCCTATTTTAATTCCATCTGGGACCAGAATAGCCTTTTGTCGTGCAAGTGACATATTCACAGTTTCAGGGAATTCGTATATGAACATCTTTGGTAGAGGCATTATTCGGCCTGCCACACTATATTACCATATATATAGTCACTGTCCATGTCACCCACCAAAAAAACTTATTTCTAGTACACCTTATGATAAATAAGGACACTCTGTTGTTGATTCCAAAAAGGATATTTGGAATATAAACTTTTGGATATGTTTGGATTTCTGATTAAGATTCTTAAAATACTAAGGCTCTAGACTGGACTGCAAATAAAGTTAATATTCATACACACATACACCGTGCAGTTTATAAGAAGGCATTTTAAAGCCAATTATCAAACAAACAATATTAGACCATGCACTCAGTGCAATTTGCACTATGAAGCAAATGGAATTTTGTCACTTCAATTTTATTTAGCAAATGCTTTCTGAATTAAAAGTGTCCAAAATACAGGCTTAATGGAAATCTCACAGTAAGAAGAGCTTGTAGGTAGATTTAGTCCAACCCTCCTATGTTAAAGATGAGAAATGTCAACTGAGAGAGATTAAGTGACCAGCAGAAAGTTAGAGGTGAGACCTAATTCTTCTAGATCCAAATCTAGTTCTGTTACTAAAATATAACACAAATCCTCATTTCTGATAAGGACCTTCGAGTGTATCCAATTTAGAATTATTACATTTTAATGTGTCAGAGTAAGTCTCTACTTAAAATTGTTTAAATAGAAGCAATCAGCCATCAGGCTGTGGTCTAACTTGAGGTTTCCACTAGTACCTCATTGATTTTATTTTGCACTTAGTGAAATAGAAGGTAAGAATAAAGAGTAAGACTTGGCACTAGAGTACAACCAACCCTTGTCACTCTCCTGTGAAGAGGATCGTAAAAGGTGCATTTGGAATTGTGGGAGAAAAGACCAAAATACATCTGCTTTACTCCATGGGTAGCATTTTGTGCATTCTTGGACACACAATGCCATTAACTGTATGGAAACATGAAAAACATATCAATCTCCATAGCAACCATGTTGTGTTCTATTATGATAAATGTGGATGTCAAACATTGAGCAACTGGGAAAAGGGTAAGTGATTTTAAATGTCTGCTGTTCCTGAAACTGCTTGAAGACATTCTGAAATGATGACTGTGTGAAAAGTCACAGTCAATACTCATAGCATTGAGATAACCAAAACATAATATATCTTTCATATACTAAAACAAAATAATTGTGATGTACATCGGCAGATATTCATCTCTGTCAAGGTACTAAGTTGATATGATTTGGTTGTGCCCCCACCTAAATCTCATCTTGAATTGTAGTTCCCATAATCCCCACATGTTGTGGGAGGGAACTTGTGGGAGGGAACTTGTGGGAGGTGAATAGATTATGGGGTGGCTCCCCCATGCTGGTCTCATGATAGTGAGTTAGTTCTCAGAATATCTGATGGTTTTATAAGGGGCTTCCAGCTTCACTGGGCACTCATTTATCTCTTCTGCCACCATGTGAAAAAGGACATGTTTGCTTCCCCTTCCACCATGATTGTAAGTTTCCCGAGGCCTTCCCAACCATGTGGAACTGAGTCAGTTAAACCTCTTTCCCTTATAAATTACCCAGTCTCAGGTATTTCTTCATAGCAGTGTTAGAAGGGGCTCATACATAAGTCAAACCTACAGCTTTGGCTGAATGTCCCCAAACTAAGATTTTAGGTGTAGAGTCATCAGAGCTTACAAAGCACTTTACATGCTTTTAAGTTTTGTCTTCTAAACAATCCTAGGCAGAGTTCTTCTCATTCTACAGATGAGAAAACTAAGAATCAGAGAGGTGACATGCCCGATCTAAGTTTACTGAGTTAGTAGATGCTTGAGCTAGGGGTCTCACTTAGTCTAATGACTCATTCATGACTGTTTTCCCCTCCAGAAGAGCTATTGCCTTCTAGCTGGGTTGCACTTGCCCTTGCCCCTATTTTTTCTACTTCCTGGTGCACGTTTTACCCAGTGCAGAGTACTTGCAGAATCAGGTGGTCTTTGTCACTCAGAAAGTGTCTTATCTTTTGGTTGCAGAAGCTTTGTTGGAAGGTCTTTCTATGATTTGGATACTGCCCCTATTGGACCATCAACCTGACTCACTGGTCTTCTAAAAGCACCTAAAAGCCATCTTTTATTCTCCAGCCAAATGATGCCAAGACAACAGTCTAAATTCAACCAATGGTCAGATATTCTGATCCCTGTTCCCACTGAAAACCTGCTTTGGAAGATCATCTCAGCAACCCATCTGTTCATTTATCTAACAGATATGTATTCAACAACTGCTGTGTTCAGAATATGCAGGTGAATCAACACGAAAGTTTTGTTTGTGTCCTCAAGAGTCTTCCAGCATAATGAGGACAGCAGTCATTTAAAAAAATCCAATGCAGCTTAGTTGAGTTGTATTACTGAGGCACTTAAATGAGCTACAGTACCAGGGAAATCCCATACAAATGTCGTTTCCCAGGGCAGGGGATTTGTTTTTGTTCACTGTGGTAGACCTAAGTTTGCCTGAGATAGTTAAGCAAGGGTTCCAGAAAAAGGGAGCTTACGTTTGCTAGAAATAGGAAGACATTCCAGGTGAGAAGAGATGGACTTTGCAAAGCAAAGGAGTATTACGGCATAGCGTGGAACATGGTTGAACACTTCATATCATGCAGAAATTGAGAAAAAGTGGGTAAGAGAGGAGACAGGGAAAGAGAAAGAAAGAGAAGGAGAGAGAAGAAAAAGATGAATAAGGAGGAGGAGAAAGAGGAGGAGAAGAAGGAAGATGTGAAAGAGGAGGAGAAATAAAAAAAAGAGGTGAGGGGAAGGAAGAGGAGGAGGAGGATGAGAACAAAGAAGAAAAGAGGAGAGGAAAGGCAAGGAGAGGAGAGTAAAGATAAAATAAGGGCCAAACAGAGCTGGGAATGATGGGTCATGCCTGCAATTCCAGCACTTTGGGAGACTGAGGCAGGAGGATTACTTGAGGCCAGGAGTTGGTGACCAGCCTGGGCAATATAAAGAGACCACTGTCCTAGAAGAAGAAGAAGAGGAAGAAGAGGAAGAGGAAGAGGAGGAGGAGGAAGAAGAAGAAGAAGAAGAAGAAGGAAGAAGAAGAGGAAGAAGAAGAAAAAGAAGAAGAAGAGGAAGAGGAAGAGGAAGAAGGAGGAGGAGGAGGAGGAAGGGGAGGGGGCAGGGGGAGGTGGAGCCCAGATAGAGACTGCTGAATTCTGAAATAGCCTTGCATTCTAAGCTTCAGAGTTAAGATGGTACTCAATAGAGATGTAAAACAAATAGTTTTGTTTGTTTGTTTGTTTGTTTGTTTTTTTCGAGACAGAATCTCACTCTGTCACCCAGGCTGGAGTGCAGTGGTGCGATCTCGGCTCACTGCAAGCTCTGCCACCAGGGTTCACACCATTCTCCTGCCTCAGCCTCCCGAGTAGCTGGGACTACAGGTGCCCACCACCACACCCGGCTAACGTTTTGTATTTTTAGTAGAGACAGGGTTTCACCCTGTTAGCCACAATGATCTCGATCTCCTGACCTCATGATCCACCCGCCTCGGCCTCCCAAAGTGCTGGGATTACAGGCGTGAGCCACTGCGCCCGGCCTAGACTTTTAAAACTCAGTTCCAAGTTGATTTTGAACTCAGAGAGGTCGAAAACATCACCCTAGTCATCCCACTCAAATGTAAATCTCATAAGTGTAGGAATTTGGTTTTTCATTTTGTTTTTTTTGGTTGTGCTTTGCTGCACAATTCCCACTGCTTACAACATTGGCACTGCTGTTGAATAGATGACTTTCTCTTTATCTATGCAGTCCTTAATAAAATGCCCAGCTCAAAGAAGGTGCTTAATAAATTTTAGGTAAACAGATGGATAATTGGAATCAGGACAGATGGATGAGTGGATGAGTATCTGAATGAATGCATGAGAATATAAAATAATAAAGGATGTGTATGAAACAAAGAGAAAGAGAGAGCACTTTGAAGCTGAAAGGAAGAGTTACTAATCATAGAAGAAGGAGGATAAATTATCATGACTCTTCAGTTCATGGCATAGACAAGAGGAATAAACTGGACAACAGAAGATTGAGAAGACGTTTCTGAGGCTACAGATTCTGATAATGTCTTCCCTATCTCCAACACACAACATTGCACTCTACTTATTACAACATTTGCCTTCTTTGATTCGAACAATGCATACCTGATGCAGTTTGTCTGTCTCCAGTTTATAACATTGACGATAGTGTACATTTTTTCCTATATTCTGCACCGCTTCAAACCATTGACATGCAAGAAGTTATTATTTCAGGTATTAACAAGAAACTATTTGCTTAACTATTTTTCCACACGATGAATCCTACATATAAACTCAAATGTGCTAAAGAAAAGATATACATATTCAATGGATTCAAATGAATGCTTAAATAGTAGAGACTTATTGAGTGATTTGAGAGTTCTACATTCAACAATTTCAGTAGCATTATACAATCATCATTATGTCCTCCAGAAAAGTATAATGCTGAATTCCAGGCATTTCACATGGTAGGTGATTATATTGCATACAAATAAATTGGCTTTCCTGATTTTGGAAGGCTTTGAGGCTTGTTTTCTGGTTTCAACTTATAGAGAAATCAGGAATACAGATTCATAAATACAGCTCCTTGTATCAATGTGTCAGTAAGCAACATTTTTTAAAAAATTATTTTAAATTCCAGGATACAAGTGCAGAAAGTGCAGGTTTGCTTCATAGGTAAACATGTGCCATGGTGGTTTGCGGCACCTATCAACCCATCACCTAGGTATTAAGCCCGGCATGCATTAGCTATTTACCCTAATGCTCTCTCTCCCCGACCCTCCCTGCAGGCCCCAGTGTGTGTTGTTTCCCTCCTTGTGTCCATGTGTTCTCATTGTTCAGCTCCCACTTATGAGTGAGAACATGCAGTGTTTAGTTTTCTGTTCCTGTGTTAGTTTGCTGAGGATGATGGCTTCCAGCTTCATTCATTTCTCTGCAAAGGACATGATCTAATTCCTTTTTATGGCTGCATAGTATTCCATGCTGTACATGTACCACATTTTCTTTATCCAGTCTATCACTGATGGGCATTTGAGTTCTATGTCTTTGCTATTGTGAATAGTGCTAGTAAGTAACATTTAAAAATAAAAGTAGTCTGGATTTTTCACTAAACCACTAAGGTAATGAGCTTGTTCTTTGGGAAACCAAGAGGAAACTGTTGTAAAAATTTAGATTCTTGTGGAAAGAGTACTTTTTTTTTTTTTTTTTTTTTGAGAAGGAGTCTTGCTCTGTCGCCAGGCTGGAATGCAGTGGCATGATCTCAGCTCACTGCAACCTCTGCCTCCAGGGTTCAAGCGATTCTCCTGCCTCAGTCTCCATAGTAGCTGGGACTACAGGCGTGTGCCACCACAGCCAGCTAATTTTTGTATTTTTAGTAGAGACAGGGTTTCACCATGTGGGCCAGGATGGTCTTGAACTCTTGACCTCGTGATCTGCCCACCTCGGCCTCCCAAAGTGCTGGGATTACAGATGTGAGCCACCGTGCCTGGCCAAGAGTACTCTTTTAGAACAATTAAGAAGGTAGGTGATTAAGGTATAATGCTGGGTCCTTTGACCTCTTTGGATCACTTTGCTATTTTGCTGGGTTCTTAATAACCCACTCGAGTGAGGCAGACAACACTTAGCTATGCCCATGGTTGCTTAAGGTGAATGAATACAAGCTCTTATTGTCCATCCCCCGACTCTTCTATGTTGGTTCTTATGGATCTCATGAATGCAGAAACAAGTTGACACTTTTCAACTTGCTTTCATCCCACTTGTGAATAGAAAAGGTTCTTCTTCTCAAAAAACTTCTTACAATTTCCGGTAAGGGAAACTGCTGTGTTTCCCAACTATGCCACTACCTACCAATTCACACAGGACACTAGCCTACCAGTAAGTAGCCTAGTCAAGTCATATGACCAACTTTTACTTTCACCAATAATTTCTGATTGACTGGCTGTTATTTCACACAGAAGGCTTTTGTGGAGAATCAGTCTCGTGGATTTTCAGAAGGGGGTGTTTCCATTCAACGATTGCAAGCGTGGCCAGTTCTCAGCATTATTCTTGGCAGATAAATATGAGTTCAAGGAAAAAATAATAAAAGATATGCAGATTCATTAGAGGCAAAGGGAAGTTAAAAGGATTTTCCTCTTTCAGAATTTATCCAGCTGGATTTATAGTTAATCCAATAATTGCTTTAATCATAGAGCATAACTCAGGACATCTTCCCTCCCTCTCTCTCTCTGTCTCTCTCTGTCTCTCTCGCTCTCTGTCTCTGTCTCTGATAGTTCCAGGGAACCCAGGACTCAGAGATCCTTTGAGTTATAATCACAAGGTCTGACTGAATGAACCAAGTATATGCTGAAGACTTTTACAATCATAGAATACCAAACAAGATACTGGCATTGTTGTGAATATTTGGGTGGTAGATTCTATTCTTAAATAACATTTAGGATCATCTTGAAGGGCTTATTTTTTCAGAAATAACTTTTTTAAAGAAGAATACCACAAACTTGATGAGGGAGGGTTATTAGAGCCTATTAATTTTTTTGGCAATTACCTCTAAGAGAAACTGATGGCTTTACATGGTCAGATAGTTATGGGTCATTCAAATCTCTGCAGATCACTTTTAGAGTAACTGTGGGATGTCTTGATAGTCCTCAAGATCAGCGTCTCAAAGCCATTGTCTTAGGAGTATTATTCCTATAGAATGTTAATGGGGATGTGTTATGGGCTCAACTGGGCCCCTGACAAATTCATATGCTGAAGTCAAAACCCGCAGTACCTCAGAATGCATTTGAAGACAGGGCGTTTAATGAGGTAATTATGGTAAAATGATGTCATGGGGTGGACTCTAATCCAATGTGACTTGTGTTTTTATAGTAAGAGGAGATTAGGACACAGACACACACAGAGTGTCAGCCACATGAGGACACAGGGAGGAGATGGCATCTACAAGCCAAGGAGAGAGGTCTCAGGAGAAACCAACCCTACTAACAACTTGGTCTTGAAATTCCAGCCTCTAGAACTGTGAGAAACGAGAGAAACAAATGTCTGTTGTGTAAACCAAAAAATATATATAGTTAAACACCTATGTTTTCAACAACCTTAGCACTTTGCATAATCTTGTGTGTTATTTGTGTATTATGTGTGTTATGAATCTACAAGGATTTTTTTTTTTTTTGAGACAGAGTCTTGCTCTGTCACCCAGGCTGGAGTGCAGTGGTGTGATCTCAGCTCACTGCAACCTCTGCCTCCCAGGTACAAGCAATTCTCTTGCCTCAGCCTCCTGAGTAGCTGATATTACAGGCGCACACCACCATGCCCAGCTAATTTTTGTATTTTTAGTAGAGACAGGGTTGCAGCATGTTGGCCAGGCTGGATTCGAACTCCTGATCTCAAATATTCTGTCTGTCTCGGGCTCCCAAAGTGCTGGGATTACAGGTGTGAGCCACCAAACCTGGCTGAAACAATTATTATGTGCTATGTTTTCTAAGCTTTATTTTTTTTTGTTTTTGCCATAGATCCTTTGAACTCAAATGATTTTGAGAAACTATTGTTCCAATAGAATGCTTTTGGAAACATCACTCTACATCAAGCAGCTCTAATTAATGGGAGTATGCACGTACCCCAAATTCTCTCAGTTCAGATGTCAAGTTTTGTCAGCATTGCATTTGGTTTTGCTGGGTGGGATTATCAACCAGGAAGAGGGCCCTGAAAAGAAGTCTTGTCCTGGCTCTTTGGTGAGACTGTGTTTTCCAATGCAGGTGGAAAATTTGCCTGTAAATTTAAAATAACAAATATAATGCTTCCTACTCTCAGAGTGGTTTGAGGTTTAGCCCACTTTAATAAGTATTAATTGATCCCAAAAATGTTGTGAAAGCAGGTGGATTTTTGTTTAACAGAGAAGATGAGAGAATAAGCTAAAAAATGTTAGGTGGCTTATGGGTGCATTTGAGAGCATGACTTCACAGTTAATTCCAGCAGCACCAAGTACTCTGTCGTGTGAATCAGCTAACCCATCTGAGTCTTCGTTTCTTCATCCATTAAGTGAGAGAAGAGAGGAAACACAGTTTTGCCACCCCCCAATGGATAAGATAATTAAATGAGCTGATAAAAGGAGGCTGTTTAGCAGACAGCCTTGTATAATAACCACTCAGTGTTTCATGTGGTCTTTATCAAGGTTACCCATGAAGGAGTGCTATAGCTGTCTCCCAAATGGTGTCTTCTGATAGTCAATCTCCTATTCATGTCATTGTATATTTAATTTATACTTTTTTTTTTTTAAGAGTTGAGGTCTCACTGTGTTGCCCAGGCTAGACTCAAACTCCTGGGCTCAAGTGATCCTTCCATGTTAGCCTCCCAAAGACTGGGACCACAGGTGAGCCCCACCACGCCTGGCTGCTTCTTGTATAATCACACTTTCGAGACTGGTTGCTAAGAACGAATTGCCCAGAATTTAATCCTAACTAAGTGAACGGATAAAATTGCTATTATAATCCTTAAAACAAAGATCTATACCACCAGTATAGAAATCGTCAAAACCGTGGTGCCCCTACATATTTATAAAGAAATTTAGAAATTCAAAAATTTATCTCAAAAAGTAGTAATGTCCAAAAGTTCATCAGAGAGACCGGTGAAATTTAATAAAGATGTCTTGTGAAAATTGCCTAAACACCACAGAAAACAAAATATATATTTGGCACGGCAAAGTCAATTTCTTCATCTTGTTTCGTGACTCTCAAATTTTATAATTCAAACAGTTTTGTTTTGTTTTGGTTTGGTTTGGTTTGGTTTGGTTGTATTTCACAGTTAGTTTGGTACATGCATTTCTGGGTCTTTGATAAGGGTTTCACCTAGCTTCCGTTTACACTGTTAGTTCATTTTCATGCTCCATGTCTACATTTTTGTTAAAAATAATATTACAGCATGCCAAAGGACATATTGCCTTAGAAACCAGTAGGCAACTTCCACTAGCTCAACATTCCTGTTCTCTCCTTGATGCCCAATTGTGGGGTATTCACCTCTGTGCTTGTTCTGTTGTGGGATTTTCTCACCCATATTGCTTTTCACATCAATTTTCCTTTCTGGGACCCTGGCCACACTAGAGTTTCAGACCCCTGTCTCAGAGTTCCTTTGAGATGTTACAGAACAAAACTAACTTGCTTATGTCTGGGAAGCAGAAAAAAATGTCAAGAGTGTTGAAAATGAGAGTTGAAGAAGGTTCTGGTTACAACGGAAGTAAAAGTAGGTAATGAAATCCAAGGAGTGAGAAAATGATGAATGTATCATGGCTTATACAATAAATCGAAAGATGGAATAACCCTTAGGGACTAAGACAGAATCGTATAGCAAGTAGAAAGTGCTGAGCTTGTGCAATCGACAAATCAGAAAGAGTGAAGGAAAATCGTTGAAGATTTTTTAAATTCACTTCCAGTATAAGACCAGATCTGTGTTCGTGTCAGACGGCTGTTAGCTCCAAGCCTGTTGAAGAGCAGGCTTCAGTTCATCAGGGCTCAGTTTGGCCTATGTTCTGTTGATGCCACAGATGGTCAAGAGTTGAGGACTGTTCAACTCAGAGTAACAAAAGGAGAATTCCAAAGCACCATTCTGATGTCACAGATGTTGAGAAGGACTCCACAGAAATTCTATCAGGGAAACTGCAAGAATAGACCTCACCTGGCTCAGTCTAAAGTGAATATTGATGAAATTGGCATGCTTTAGGCATGGGCTAAGACAGAACATTTATGAGCAAGAAGGATGTGGGTGCCTGGTTTTAATGTTTAAAGAATGGCTTACACTATTCTAATGGAGATGGATATAGGAGTAGGAAGCTCAAATTCCTCTTGGTTGCTGTGCAGTTAGGAAGCACTGACATACAAAGAACTGGCTTATTAACAGCTTTCATGAGTGTAGTGTATTTGAAATGGTTCATACCTGCTTTTTCAGTCCCTAATTCTGTCTGTCAACTAGAATCAGCACAACCCGAGTGTATGACATTTATACATTCTGGACACTCTCTTATTCCATTTCTGGCATTTTTCTATATTAGCATCCAGCCTGATGGAACTGTATGCCTTACCTGTGTCTGAAACTCTGTGCTATCTGGTTGGGAGGCATTCGTAGACATGCAATTTTCTGGCAATGCAGAGAGATTCTTCCTGTCTTGCTCATATGCAGATTTCTCCTCATTCAGCCCCATATTGTCGAATTACCTCATCTTTTAAGAGCCTGAACTTGTCATTTAAGCCTTTCACCAAAAACTAAGGGTCTTCCAGGCCCTGTTGTCTGTATGTGGGATACAGCACAGCGCTGGCCAAGAAAATGAGCTACTATCCACAAGGAGTCCACCATCAAGCCACACAGAGATAAACAAAACACTGAAATTTAATAAACACTACAAGAATGCAACCTGAGTGTATAGGTGGCCACTTTAGAGACTCCATTAAATTAGGGTCAGGGAAGACCGCCCCAAAAAAGTAATGGCTGTATAGAAGTTGGTCAATACATATGTTGTGGGAAGCCAGAACTAGGAACACCAAATACCATTAAAGCCCAGGGCAATGAGGTGCAGTGAAGGCATTTGCTATGCCGAGCAGTAGCTCTCAAATTTCAAGATGCACATGAATTTTCCAGTGAGCTTGTTATAAAGCCAGTGTTCTAGTTCTGCCCCAACCATTGTCTCTCCTTAGGGCAGGATGGGGCTCCAGGCAGCTGGAATTTACAAGCAGCGATTTAGGATTCTAAGGCTGGCTGTTAATTAGAAATTGGGTTGGAGCAGAGACTGCAAGGGGGAGAGTGATTATCAACCTTGTGTAAACCCATGAGTCTATATGGAAGCAGTTTAGAGATTGTCCTACTAATGGCACACCATAGTAGACACTTCAGTAGGGGAATATGAGATGTATTTAGTAAGATCCTTGGCAACAGTGTACAGAATTGGAAGGGAGCAAGTCTGTACACAATTAATTGGTAGAAAGTTTTGTAGTTATATCGGCAAGACATGTTGCCAGCTTCGACTACAAAGTGTCACTGGTATAGAAAATTAAAGGATTTGAGAGATGTTTGCAGGAAAAAAAATGAAGACCATTTCCATCTTTATGAATTTATATAGATGAGGGATTCATTGTGGTGAAGTAAAGAATGCGGAAGGCAGAAGTTTAAAAAAAGAAGCCAGTTAGTTCCTGAGACAATGTAAGTTTTAGGTACCAAAGATACTGTAGTATCTTTTAATAAAGCTAATGATCTAGTTCTGCCCCAACCATTCTCTCTCCTTAGGACAGGACCAGGCTCCAGGAACCTGGATTTTTATAAGCCGCAATTTAGGATTCTCAGGCTGGTTGTGAATGAGAAATTGGATTAGGGAACAGATTACAAAAGGGAAAGTGAAGATCTCCAGGTGATTGAATATGTGGACATAGAATTCAGAAATAAGATTTGGAATACAAATGGGGACATTTTGGAACCAGTGGAACTTGAAATTCCTTTGGGTGGGGGAGGTATGCAGAGTGTGAAAGGAGCCTGCTACAGAACAAGGAAGAGGACCAACATTTTAGGATACAGCAGAAGATGAAGAAGCTAAGCAAGACGGCTGGGCAGGGTGAGTCACTCTTGTAATCCCAGCACTCTGGGAGGCCGAGGCGGGTGGATCACTTGAAGTCAGGAGTTTAAGACCAGCCTGGGCAACACGGTGAAACCCCGTCCCTACTAAAAATACAAAAATTAGCCAGGCGTGGTGGTGCATGCTTGTAATCCCAGCTACTCGGGAGGCTGAGGTGGGAGGATTGCTTGAACCCGGAAGGCAGAGGTTACGGTGAGTCGACATCACACCACTGCACTCCAGCCTGGGCGACAGAGCAAGGCTCCATCAGAAAAAAAAAAAAGAAAAGAAAAGAAAAGAAAAAGAAAAAGAAAAAGAAAAAGAAAAAGAAACTAAGTGCGACTTTCCAGAGAAGGAGGGCGAAATGCAGAGAAAAGGGTGACCCAAGAGCCAAGGGCAGAAAAAGCACATTTCAGGATCCAAGACAAACTGCAGCACATGTTTCCAAGAGGTGCAGCCATGCATATGTGTAAGAGAGCTGTCAATTTTCATTTGGATTTTAGCTTCACCAGGCACTTGAGTTCCACTTCACAAATGTGAAGGCTACTCTTCTGAGGATATGCGGATTCTTGTTGAACTCAGTTACAGAGGAGTATGGAAGGAGGAGAACAGAAGACAATGAGGATCCTATTATTGTTTCTCTATGTAGCTTCCCTTCTTGCAAATCCCTCACTGCTCCTGAGGCACAAACTCCTTTAGGAAGAAACAAGTGATTGCCATGACTCCCAGCAAGAGGCTCATGGTGGGGTCCCCACTTCCACAGCACCTCCCTTCTTTGTTGTGTAAAGAAATAGGTCTGCGAAATTTCAGAGTTGCAAGATGGCACATAGGGTTAGAAGCACAGAATAGACACAGGTTTCCCCAAGTTTTAGTTGAGTGGTTATTGCATGGCTACCATAGCGGTGTGAACTCCTTAATCAGTACCTCTGTGTACATTCATTGTTCATTGCTACTATTAATAACCCTTTTATATTGGTGCTGGTATCGGAGAGTGTTTGCTGTGCTGTCTCTCCATTAGATGCTAAAGCCAGACTAAGCCTTTCAATTTCCATCTCACCATATTTAACCTCTTTTGAGGTTTAGCTTAGTGTTGTTAATGGTGCATAGCATGTTCTTTTCCATACTCAATTTGACAAACTACGGGGAATCTTTGATCTTATAATTTAAAGACATCATGTCTTATCTCGGCAGACAGATAATCTCAGAACATTTAAGATTTAATTGAATTGGACACGGTAAAAACATGTTAGCATTATCGAAATACTAAAACCCCTAAATAAAGAAGCATGCATAAACTACAGTGGCTTTTTTTTTTTTCTGGCACAGATGGTTTATATTTTTATTTTCTGTAATTGAAAAATTAATCTGTCTTTAGATTGCCCAAGGGAGTTACAAGAAGCTTAGCTGCTTTAGATTTTTTTTTAAAAGTGTTACAGAGTAATTATAAATAGACAGTAGTAGTATTAATCAATCTTTCTAAACTGTTGTTATTTGGATTCTGAATTGTTAATTGACTAATATTATACAATGATAATGTAATTTTATTTTCTCTTCAAAATGTGAAGATATGACAAAAATGTAGCCCCCAAAACATAATTATTTCCACTTATTTTATTTTTCTACTTTACTTTTAGAATACAATATTCTCTATTATTGAACAAGTCTCATCCTTTAAATTTTGATTCATTCATTCTTTTATTAGTGTTAGAAAACTGGATGTTAACTTTTTAATTAACCCTACTTTGTTTGAGGGGATTGGTAACAATTCATTTACTATGTTTTAATAATTATTTGTAGAAAAAAATGTATGATTTTCCCGGGATCCTATTCTTAATACTAAGTAATTCAAGTAATAATAATAGCAAAGTTAGTACTTTTAGGTAAATCCAATTACTGGCATTTGTCTGATTACTGGGAATTGTTGAGAAAAATTATTGGTCATATTTGTTAAAATAATCTACTTTATTATATCTGCCTGATAATTTTCTAGTCAATACAAGCTTATCAATCATTTGCTATGCTCATTATATAAAATACCTTCCATTGATTTAATAAATATATGCATGAAAATTTTGAAGGGCACGTAATCTCAGTAGAAGGTATCCTATATACAGGCATGCAATGCATCATAAGCACATCACGGAAAATTGAGCCTCCATCCCCTCAAACATTTATCCTTTGTGTCACAAACAGAAGTAAAAACTAAAAATAAACTTTAAAGTATCATGTGTAGTTATTTATGCAGTTCTGTTCCTCTAAATGCTTATATTCCATCAATTTTCAAAGGGACTTTCCTAACTGTAGCTTTTGCTAACCATGGTGATTAGTTTATATCATCTCAGGGTAGACGTACTGTGGCAGGAACTTACTTATTCCAAATTTACTATGTTCTGTATTACAATTTAAAATCAACTTTGGGGCTGGGCATGGTGGCTCATGCCTGTAATCCCAGCACTTTGGGAGGCCAAGGCTAGCAGATCACCTGAGGTCAGGGAGTTCAAGACCACCCTGGCTAACATGGCGAAACTCCGTTTCTACTAAAAATACAAAAATTAGCCAGGCGTGATGGTGCGTGCCTGTAGTTCCAGCTACTTGGGAGGCTGAGGCAGGAGAATTGCTTGAACCTGGGAGGCAGAGATTGCAGGGAGCTGAGATTGCACCACTGCACTCCAGCCTGGGCAACAGAGCAAGACTCCATCTCAAAAACTAAAAACAACTTTGGGCATTTGAAGTCTACAGTGATGGTGTAATATGTACATTTTCTTCAAGTCTAGTTGTGTGTTTTTTTGCAATAGTGTGTGTTGATCTTGTGACCTGAACCTTTTTACTTATGTGACCTCCTCGGTAACAAGGAACTTGCTGACTATCTCATCAGGTTTTGATGTCTTTGATTCAGGACACAGAACATGTAAGACCACAATTAATTCACTATTGCCTTGACTAGTGCAAGTCTTGTGTATCTCTACTGGAGTTCTCTAGAATTGCAGACGATTGAACTTCTATGTGACTTTCAATGGTTATTGAGCTTCCTGAAGCCAGTGTACACATGGATTTTTTAGAAGGGTAGTTCCGACTAGGGGTGTAAGATTTCTTGTATTGAACTATAGTTATGATGCTAAGAATAGACAATCCAACCAACTTTACACTTACTGAAAAAGTAAACAGCCCACCCAAAAGTAATGGATGAAGCTCAGTTGTTAAAGTTGTTACTTGGACCTGAGAGTTGTGTAGCACCTGAGGGGACAGAATGAAATGGGGAGGTCATTGTGTCGGTGAAAATACTAACATAGAGTTGGACTGGGCGTGGTGGCTCATACCTGTAACCCCAGCACTTTGGGGGGCCAAGGAAGGAAGATCACTTGAGGCCAGGAGTTTGAGACCAACCTGGCCAACATGGCAAAACCCTATCTCTACTAAAATACAAAAAGTTAGCCAGGTGTGTGGTGCTCACCTGCAATTCCAACTACTCGGGAGGCTGAGGCAAGATAATTGCTTGCACCAGGAGGCAGAGGTTTCAGTGAGCCGAGACCACACCATTGCACTGCAGCCTGAGCGACAGAGCAAGATTCTGTCTCAAAAAAACGAAAACAAAAACCCCGCAATATTAACACAGAGTTATGTGAAAATTGTCTACCCCGCAATATTAACACAGAGTTATGTGAAAATTGTCTGTGAGACCAGAACACAATCTCAGTTCAGCAGAGTGTGTGCATTGAGAGGTGAAAGGTGATAAAAGCAGACACAAATGTGTTAGCAAGATTTCCTACAGTCTTGAGTGACAGGTCAACAGGTTAATTATTGATATGGAGGAATAGCAAGGAAGTGATACAAAGCAGAGAAGAAGTAAAGCAGGTTCAACTCAGGTAGTTTACAGAAAGAAAGAGAACAAGAAGTGTTTTCTAATATATAATTTTAAATTTGTCTATTTGCCTTAAAGAAGGCATGCTGCCTAGTGCTAATTCAGAAATATGTTGGAAAAGGTAGAGATGCATTTTGTTATGCAGACAGAAACAAGAAATTTGGAAATAGATGTAAAAGGTGGAAGTTTAATTTTGGAAGAGGAAATGGTATCAGTTAATTATAGATTTATTATGCTTAATGCATCACTATATTCAGTGGCAGTTGTATAGGTTGGAAAAAAAACAGACAAAAATCAAAGAAGAGAGAGAGAAAAAAAGAGAATACTTGCATTCAAGAAACCATAAGAATATGCTAAGTAGACAAAGGGAGTTTGGTCAAATGGAGCCAAAAGAATAATAAAGATGAATGTTCCATGTTCCTCTTAGGGCATTTGTCTTAGAGGCGTTCTTCTCATTAAAATTTTGTAATAATAAACCAGAAAAAATTATGTCAGAATGAGGTGACAAACTGGGCCTCATGTGGTTCAAGTAGCTCTGCTTTTTGCAGAAGGACAAGAGAGAATTTGAGTAGAAAGAAGATGCTTCCCTCACCTTACATATGTAGCCATGTTTTAATTACTTCAAATCTACGTGATGCATCCTCAACTGACTTGGTCCCAGTCAAATGTCACTCCAGTTGATGCCCCTGAATCCACCTTCCACCACCTGCTTTATTGGTGGCCTCCAGTGGTGGGATGGGGACCCAACACCTGGGAACTGTAGGGCTCACTCTCCCCGCATGATGGCTTTAGAATTGGCTGGCGTGGTTGGCTGTGGCTAGTTTCCAAAGAGTGGTCTTGCTCGCTCTTTGTACCCTCAAAAATAGTTAGAAGAACCAAAAGCATTACTAGAAACTCTACTCTGATGATTAATTGTATGTGTCAACTTGACTGGCCTAAGGGATGCCCAGACAGCTGATAAAACATTATTTCTGAGTATGTCTGCCAGAGTGTTTCCAGAAGAGATTAGCATTTGAATCAGTGGACTGAGTAAAGAAGATCAGTCAACAATGTGGGCTGGCACTGTCAAATCCCTTGATGGCCTAATGAGAACAAAAAGGCAGAGAGAGGAAGGGTACATTCTCTTTCTTCTTGAGCTGAGACATTCACCTTTTCCTGCCTTGCAAAATCAAGGCCCTGTTTCCCAGGTTTTGGGGCTCCAGGATTTACACCGTCAGCTCTTATGGTTTTCTGGACTTCAGTCTTGGATTAAATTAAAAAATGAGCTTTGCTAGGTCTCCATATCTTGCCATAGCATGAACCAATTCCCATAATAAATCTCCTGTCTGTATCTATAACTATTTCTGTATCCACCTATATATGTATCCATCTATTTATATCTATATTATTTCTATTTAATTTATAGATAAATAGACATATCTATCAATAGGATAAGTTTATCCTGTTGATTGTATTTCTCTGAAGAATCCTCATACAGTTATTGAAGACAGTCAGATTATGAGAAACAAAAATCAGCCAAAGGAGCTCTCCATGGTGCTTGGTTGAAAGTGAAGGTGCTTGGTTGTAAAGGGCCTGGATGAAAGTGAAGACAGAAAGAATTATGAGATCCGGAGCCAGATGTGACCTGACAGTTACTCTCATGCAGGTCTCATTATGTGGAAGAGCATTCTGAGGTCCGGACAGGTTAAGTCACTTGCAGAGGTCACATGGTGAAGAAATGATGAAGCACCTTGCAGATCAGATGCTGGCTCAGCAAACCCATGTCTTCTTCATCCCAGGCACACAAGGCTACATGCACTTCCAAGCTTCCCATGTGCCAGAGGTCTTTGTGGAGCCCAGTTCTCACCAGTGGGGTTGGGTGGGGCGGTTGTGTGCTGTGTGCTACTTATGACATGCAAACCTTCACGCTCTTTTCTGTTCCTTGCTGGCTGCAATGGAAAAAATCCCCAACTTGTTCTTAGATGTCTCATGTTGGAGTTAGTAGAATCACAATGTAGAAGAAGTCTGGTTTCTAAGATCAGCCATTAACAAAAGCTCCCTTTTCAGTAATGCCCACAGAATAACATTCTCTGAACGAAGAAAGAGCGGACATAAACCCCTGTAATTTCTTCAGTTACTTGTGTTTTTCTGATGCCATTTATGTTCATTGAGCTACTGTTATTTGAGGCTGATCTTCAGAAGCCACTGGTATTACTGTAACTGATTCAGTCAGTGGATTAAATGTCTCACAACACGGCCATCTGCTAGAAATGGGGAAAGAGCAATGATGCCCTCAGGCTTTGACAAGCTTCTTGGCTGGCAGAAGAAAGTGGAGTCAGGCTTTGAGACTAGGGATTTAGGGGGGGAAATGAGGCCCCTCAAAGTTGATGATATCATAGCCACACTTTACTATTGTGCCTTGTACTGAATTTGCATGGAGATGGCATATGTCGAGGATTTCAACAGGGCTGCTAAGTTTCTCCAATTGCCTTTCCAATGATCAGCCAAACATCGTATTGGTCAGTACATATATGATTTTAAAATGTAGAATTAGAGAGAGCAAAATAGAGAGAGAGAAAGAAAGCTAACTATAAGAGATATTTAGATAATGCATGTTTTGCAGTGAGTTTGACATTATAATTGAATGACTTCAGACATTACAATGGCATCTACTAAAATGTTTTCCACAGGCTGAGATTGCTGCCTTGCCCTTGGTCTACCCCCAAGTTTCTCAACCATCCCACTGTCAGAGGCGTTTGAACCAGAGCAACTCCACTATCTTGAATAGGGGCTGGGGAAAGTAAGGCTGAGATCTGCTGGGCTGCATTCCCAGAAGGTTAGGCATTCTTAGTCACAGGATGAGATAGGAGGACGGCAGAAGATACAAGTCATAAAGACCTTGCTGACAAAACTGGTTGCAGTAAACAAGCCGGCCAAAACTCACCAAAACCAAGATGGCAACAAAAGTGACCTCTGGTCATCCTCACTGCTCATTATATGCTAATTATAATGTATTAGCATGCTAAAAGACACTCCCGCCAGCGCCATGACAGTTTACAAATGCCATGGCAACATCCAGAAGTTACACTACATGGTCTGAGAAAGGGAGGAACCCTCAGCTCCAGGAACAGCCCACCCCTTTCCTGGAAATCTCATGAATGGTCCACCCCTTGTTTGGCATATAATGAAGGAGTAATAATAAGTATCCTCGGTGGAGCAGCTCAGTGGAGTAACCATTCTTTTTTTTTTTTTTTTTAACTTTCTTAATCAACTTGCTTTCACTTTACTCTATGGACTCACCTCAAATTCTTTTTTGTGCGAGATCCAAGAACCCTCTCTTGGGGTCTGGATAGAGACCCCTTTCTGGTAACACCACTATTGACATTTGGAAGGAGATATTTCTTATGATGGGAAGCTGGCATGTGCCCTGTAGTATCGCTGGGCCTCTGCCTGCTAGATGCCAGGAACAACCTCCCAGCGAGGACAAATAAAAAACGTGTCCAGATATTGCTAAACATCCCTAGAGGACCCAGTTGCCTCTGATTTCCCTTGAGTAGCTAAGCATAGCCAGAACTTACATTTGTATAAATGAATGAAAGAAAGAATAAGTCATTTTCCTAACAATGGTTACTTTACATTTGAAACACTAGAGCCCTTTCCCCACTTCTCTTTATGAACACAGAGATCGCCTGGAAAAAGTCTATGCACTTAACCCTTCTACTAGGTGGCTTTGGGTATAGAAGAAAAAAGCCCCACACCCCGGAGCAATCAACATTTAGGAAAGTGAAATCACAGGAGAAAGAGGGTGTCATACAAGTCGCTACTAATTTCCTTGACAAACGCTGTTTTGAGGAGCACTGTTAACTCTCTGAAATCTCTGTTTTCTCCCTCCTGAAAGATTTTTAGAGAGGATTCCTTTCAAAATTGGGTTCCGGGACTCCGTGTTTCCAGTGGAATGCTGTCACCATGAGACCCCGTGACGCACTAGCCCAGGAATGCCGGCAATAGCCAAGCAGAGCCCTGTGCCTGTTCTCTTCCTGGCACAGAGGCACACAAAACCCAAGCAGGCCCACCCAAGTCAGATCCTGGGCTGTGGGAAAGCCTTAGTGAATGAGCTCATTGAAGTGGAGAGATGAAAATGAGGGAGCTCTGAAACTGGCAGGGCCTGCAGAGGATTCCTAGGGGCAATTCCTCTGCCCAGAAAACAAGGGAAGGGGCCTAAAGCCCAAACAAGGACCCTCCTGATTAGTAGGGAGACAGAAAGCTCCACTCTCTTCCCCTCGCCCCCGCCCCCCACCCCATAAAACAAAGCTATTCGGGATGCTTCAATTGCCAAGTAGTGCAACAAATCACTTTGCCAAACGTGAACTCTGAAGTCAGGGGTGCTCAGCTCCGGCAAATGCCACTCTATGTCTGCTCATCCATGCAAGACGCTTTGCAATGAGAATGTTTACACTAGCCCTCCGTAAAGCACACAGTTACAACCCATCAGGAGGTATGCAATCAGCAACCAGGATGCACTGTCTGCTCTGGGCTTAGAGGCTATGAGCTAGGGCCATTTGCATAACTGAGTCAATGAAGGTGGTGAAAAGGGTTTTGATTCCTATCTTGCATGTGGAATCTCATTCTCTCTTAGAGATAATGAGTTATGGGGTCATCTATCCTTCCCTTGGAAAATGATCTGAGATGACACTGTAGCTCCCCATCCTCTGGGATCATTGATGTCTGTAAGATTTTATAGGAAGCAATTGAGTTGAGTGTACCCCCTTTCCCCTGTCCTCAATCTAAGTGATAATCTCTGGCACCCCAAAGGGTGTCAGACTGCTTTGTTGATCTTAATTCTGGAATCCCTCTAATCCCTAACTGGGCTTCCCACAATACCAGTGCCCTGGCTTAAAGGAGGTTTGCAGTATGCACACATCTCTGAGGATGGCTCAACTCTCCTGGCCCCCAAGGAATTCCAGGTATTCCATCCCTCTTAATACCTCCTGAAGTCTCTTAACTTCCACCAGACATCTTGTAATTCAGCCTAGATGACCAGATTTGCGTTTGCACCTGTCAATCAGCCTTTCGAGTTCTTGATGGAGAGAATGGAAAACATTCCGTTCTTACCAGACAATTCCTCTCCATGCCACAGAGCTGGCAGAGCACCTAATAGTGATGCTGGGTAAAGTGGCTCTCCAGGGGCACTGGGCTGCTACAGTTTTGAGGACAAGCACCCACACACAGCCAGTGGGCCCCAGGGCAAGCGCACTGTGAGGCGTGAGACTCTACCCAGTAAAGCTGGAGCCTTCAACCCCATAACTCCACCAACATTTGAAAACTCCAATTGCCTCTGGAAGATACTGCCGCTTTCTTCTCCAGGAAAGCATCTTCTGTCTGCTGAGAGTAATATTGTGCGTGGAAAGTCCCTTACCACGTAGTGTTCAGACACTGGAGAAAGGGAGAGGGAGTCATCACTCTGAGAGAATCCACGAGAGATCTGTGAAGCTGATGGAATTTCAGGGCGCAGGGTGTCCTATTCATACAGTAGACCTGAGTGTGTTCTGCTCACATTCCAAAACAACAGGACAGGGGAGGTAAGGACCTATATAGAGAGCCTCTGCCTATATAAATCAGCTTTCCTTCCAAACCATAAAGCCAAGGAACACTAGAGCTGTGAATCCTGGGAAGCATTTTGATTTTGTGTTCTTTCACATCTGTCTCATTAACATACGAAATAAAGTTAGTTAGTTGCAGGTTGTTTCTTTTTAAAAAAAAGAACAAGACAGGTGTAAAATCTATAAACACCTGCTAGATCAGTAACTGCCTCTCAACAAGACCAGCTGGCACATCAACATCTCCAGGAGATCATATCTTAAATGTAAAGTGAACAGTTAATGTTCCTGAACTACCTCTTATTTTAAAGCCATAGGAAACCTTTTGCGGGGGGGTGGGGGGCATCTCCCCAAACTCCTGCGCATGACAAGAGCTCTGCACAAAAGATAGGAAGACCCGGTCACCCTAGGCCACCTCAGCAAGGCGGTTGGTTATGTTCTGCTGAGAAGCCATGGAGCGATTATGTGAAGAAAGGCTGTTCTCTTTACCGGTGCCAAGAAAAAGATTAGATAAGAAAAGGTCACTGGGGCAAGGAGGGGTGAGTGGTTGTTTAATTTTTAACAAACATTGCGCACTCCATAGCATGGCTGTTTCCCCCACTGTATGATGTTTCAAACATTAATTGAATAAAGGGATGGTCTAAGCAAAGGTAAAAGTAGCCCTAAACAGAATGTTCCTTTGTGATCGGCGAGAATAGTTTGGGACTACATAGTCATGGGGCCTCAGAAGGACAGAAAGTCTACAACCAAGTTTGTGTTTTTTAAATGATTAGATCCAATCTGTGGGTATTTGATAAGTTGCCAAAACATTTCTTTAAATGTGTCGGCTGGGTGCGGTGGCTCACGCCTGTAATCCCAGCACTTTGGGAGGCTGAGGTGGGAGGATCACTGGAGCCCAGGAGTTCGAGACCAGCCTATGCAACATAGGGAGACTCCCATCTCTACAAAAAAATAACAAAAAATCGCCAAGCGCCTATAGTCCCAGCTGCTTGGGAGGCTGAGCTGGGAGGGTCGCTTGGACTCAGATCAAGGCTGCAGTGAGTTATGATCGCACCACTGCACTCCAGCTTGGGTGACAGAGCAAGATCTTGTCTCAAAAAAAAAAAAAAAGGACAGATGTTGCAGGGATGAAGAGTAGGATGAGGTGGGTGGAGGACATCTTTGGGGAAATGACAGGGAGCCGGTGAGACAGAATCCAGAGATGTAGAAGGGAAGTCAGCACAGACATTGGCCTAAGCCCTCCTTGTAAGGGACTGCAATGTAAAACGAAACCTTTCATACTACAGGAGACTCCACGGACTCCTTAACCAGAGCAATAAGGGGAAATCTAGCAGCAGTTGTAATCTTAAATTCCTTCTAAGAGGCAGAAAAGATAAGACACATACACAGAGGAGAAGGCCACGTGGAGATGGAAGTAGAGAGTGCAGTGATGTGGTCACAAGCCCAGGGAAGCCTAGAGCCCCCAGGAGCTGGGAGAGGCAGGAAGGTTCCTCCTCTAGCATCTCTGGAAAGGACTGGATACAATTGTAGTGGATTGAACAGTTGCCTCCAGAAAGATAAATCCACATCATAAAGCCCAGAACCCGGAATATGACGTTATTTAGAAAAATAGTCTTTGCAGATTTGTAATTAAAGTCAGATCTGGAGATGAGATTATTCTGACTTACGGTGGCCTTAATTCAATGACCAGTGTCCTTCTAAGAGACAGAAGAGGAGACATGGACACAGAGGAAAATGCCACGTGCCACATAGAGACAGAGGCAGAGACAAGTGATATGGCCACAAGCCTAGGGATATCTGAAGCCCCCACGACCTGGGAGAGGCAGGAAGAGTCCTCCCCTAGAGCCTCCGGAGGGCATGCCACCCTGCCCATACCTTGTTCTCAGACTCCTGTTCTCCAGGACTGGCAGAGGATATAATTTTTATTATGTTAAACCACCCAGTTTGTAATGATTTGTTACAGCGGTCCTAGAAAACTAAAACTAATAAACTAGTACAGATTCATGACACTACTGTGTTGATTTGCCTCTGCAGAGAAGTAGGTACCATCCAGGCAAGGATTCAAAGCGGCTGGTAGAGAGCTGGGCTCAGAGCAGGAGGAAAGGCCAGGCTTTTGCTGAACTCCTGGATGGACACAAGCTGTGGAAAGGTCACCAGCAATTGGCTGCTAAGAAGACAGGTCAGTGTGTTTACCTGATAGACCCAATTCAAGATCAAAGGAAGCTTCAAAAACAACGCACCAGTTACTTCCAGCAAGAATTCCATGAAGACCCTGAAAATCTTCTATGTCTGTAATGTGGCGGACTCTGGCTGAATACGACCCTGCAAAGGGCGTATAAAATGTATCTTGTGTTCCAAAGCTTCTCAGTGTATCTTTTCATTTGTGCCTTTCAAAAACCAACGTGATTCCACAGGGCTGGCCTGTCTCTACGATGTGGGCTGTAAGACAGCCTACTGTACCCCTCTGAGAGGTTTTTCTTAGCTGATTGATTGGGAAGGGTACAGGCACATCCCCGTTCATGGGAGGAAGAGGCGTCTGCTTCAATAAGTATATGACTGTGGCTGGCAGATTAAACAGACACTACAATGCAGTTACTTGGATTCTTAAAGTTACCCAAACAAATGAGCAAAGAAAATTCATATAACCCCACCAAAAAGTGGGCAAATGCCATCAATAGACATTTCTCAAAGGAAGATCTACAAATGGTCAACAAACATGCTCCACATGCCAACAAACATGCTCCACATGCCAACAAACATGCTCCACATGCCAACAAACATGCTCAACATGCCAACAAACATGCTCCACATGCCAACAAAAAATGCTCAACATCACTAATCATCAGAGAAATGCAAATTAAAGCCACAACGAGATACCAACTTACCCTGCAAGAAGGGCCATTAATAAACAGTCAAAAAACAATGAATGTTGGTGTGGATATGGCAAAAAGTGAATGCTTGTACACTGCTGTTGGGAATCTAAATTAGTACAACGTCTATGGAAAACAGTATGGAGATTTCTCAGAGAACTAAAAGTAGACCTACCATTTGATCCAGCAATCCCACTACTGGGCATCTACCCAAAGGAAAAGAAGCCATTATATGAAAAGGACACCTGCACGCATATGTTTATTGCAGGAGAATTCACAAATGCAAGATATGGAATCAACCTAAGTGCCCATTAACCAATGAGTAAATAAAGAAAATATGGTATATATACAGCATAGAATGCTACTCAGCCATAAAAATGAATGAAATAATATCTTTGTGATGGGGCTGGAAGCCATTATTTTAAGTGAAGTAACTCAGGAATGGAAAACCAAATACTGTAGGTTCTCACTTATAAGTGGGAGCTAAACTATGAATACGCAAAGGCATACGGAGTGGTAAAATAGACACTGGAGACTCAGAAGTTGGGAGGGTGGGAGGGAAGTGAGGGATAAATAACTACATACTGGGTACAATGTACACTACTCAAGTGACAGGTGCACTAAAATCTCAGACCTCACCACTAAACAATTAATCCATGTAGGCAAAAATTACTTGTACCCCAAAAGCTATTGAAATAAAAAATACATAGTTTTAAAAGTTACTACAACTATAGTTGGTGTGATGGTTAGTTTTATGTGTCTGCTTGGCTAGAAACTGGTGACCAGTTGTTTGTCCGAACACGTAGTCTAGATGTTGTTGGGAAGGAACTTTTTTGTTTGTTTGTTTTAGAGACAGGGTCTTGCTCTGTCACATAGGCTGGAGTGCAGTGGTGCAAATAATACAACTCACTCCAGCCTCAACCTTCTGGGCTTAAGCAGTCCTCCTGCCTCCGCCTCCTGAGTAGCTAGGACTACAGGCACAAGCCCCAATGCCTGGCTAAAGTATTAAAAATTTTATAGATATGAGTCTTGCTATGTTGCTCAGGTGGGTCTCACTATGTTGCTCTGACTTCAAGTCATCCTCCTGACTCAGCCTGTCAAAGTGCTGGGATTACAGGCGTGAGCCACCAAGTCCAGCCAAGGGAAGAGATTTTTCTTTTGAGATGTGGTGAACATTTACTATCAGTTGAGTTTTAGTAAAGCACATTGTCCTCCGTAATACGGGTGGGCCCCATTCAGTCAGTCCAAGGCCTCAAGCACAAAGACCAATGTTTCCCAATGAAGGAGAAATTCAGCTTCCAGACTCCAACATAGAAATTCAGCCTGGGTTTCCAGCAGTTAGACACGGGACTGCGTCATCCACTGTTTTCCCGGTCTCCAGCAAGCCAGCCTGCTTTGCACGTTGTTACCAGCCTCTGGCACAATCGAATAAACCTTTCTCCCTCTGTCTTTCCTCTTCCTCTGCGTATATAGGTTGGTGCAAAAGTAATTGTGGTTTTTGCCATTAAAAGTAATTACTTTTGCAACAATTTAATACATGTATCTGTGTGTGTATGTATATCTACATATACATATATGTATATGCACATGTATATGTGTGTATATGTGTATATACACATACGGATATGTATATATACACATATACACGTATATATATATACACATATACATTCATCTATATATGTGTATATATACACATGTGGGTGTGTGTATTATGTGTATATATGTAATGTATATATACTGTATGTGTGCATACATACATGCATGTATGTATGTGTATATATACATGCAAATGATATATATGTGTATATATACATGCATGTATATATGCACACACACAGTATATATACACTACATATATATACACACCCATATCCTATTGGTTCTGTTTTTCTGAGAACCCTGACTCACATGGGTGGCTAAGGTATTTTCTTTTTTAATTTTTATGGGTATACAGTAGGTGTATATATTTATGGAGTATGTAGGATATTTTGATACAGGCATACAATATCATATCATGTAAACTTTGGTATCTATCTCCTCAAGCACTTATCCTTTGTGTTACAAACAATCCAACGATACTCTTTTAGTTATTTTTAAATAATAGTTAAATTGTTATTGACTATAGTCACCCTGTTGTGCTATCAAACTAAATCTTATTCATTTTTTCTACTATTTTTTGTACCCATTAACCATCTCTACTTCCCCTCTCACCACCACCCCCACTACCCTTCCCAGCATTTGGTAATCATCATTCTACACTCTATTCCCATGAATTCAATTGTTTTAATTTTTAGCTCCCACAAATAAGTGACAACATGCATAATGTTAACTCTGCTGAACCACTTTGTGTGGGGGGGAGAGACTGAGAGATACAGACAGAGAGAGACAAAATAGAGAAAGAGAGAGATAAGAGACAGAGATGAAGAGACAGAAGGAAACAGACAGAGAGCTGTTTTTTTTTTTTTTGTATATGAAGCATATATTTCTCATCATCTCTGAATGAAGAATTGTATGTATTAAACCTTTCCAGAGTGGTTTTGTTGTGCACTGTCTTAGCTAACCTAGGACTACACCTTACAACATCCTCTTCTGTCTGTTTCAGAGCCATTGCATCACTCAGACTTCAAAGCTTTCACAGACATTGTTGCCTTTTATTCTTATAATACTTCTCTAAGGTCAAACTAGGTGATATTTTTATTGCCACTATCATCACTTTCTTGTTGTCTCATTTATAGATGAGAATGCTGATAGGAACAAAACCAGAATTTGATCTTTTCATGTTGACTTCTTATCTTTTTTATTACACTGTGCTCCTAGTATTATGAGGTTCCTATGAGCATTCAATTCATGCGTCTATGTTTGTAACACAGTGTCTGATACATAGGATCCGGAATAAACAGCCTTGATAGTAACAATTAACAGTTCACATCAAAATGCCACTCACATTTAGTGAAAAAAAAAAGTGGATATATAAAAAGGAAAAAATATAATTTAGTGGATTATCGATGTTCATCTATACCATTTTCATATAGGTCTCGTGTGAAACTGGCCAAATGCATTAATCTGGCAGCTATAAATGCAAGTTTCCAAATGTGTTCTTTTCCTAGAAATGTATGTATTGTTTAAGTCATTGTGCCATTGTGCATGCATGCTCCTCCTGGGAAGTTCAGAGTGACAGAAGATGTTTAAAGACAGACACGAATCTTTGAAAATTGCATTCTCTGAACTGTAAGGCAGATTTCTCCACAATCCCTTGAGTAATGCAAAGCTACGCTTTCAAGCACAAGAGAACTAAAATGTTCCTGAGAGACTGGCCCACAACCCATCACCCTCTTTAGAAAGGCATTAGGCTGATACCTTAACAAGGACTCTGTAAATAGCATTAAAGAACGATTTAAATTGTTTCCTTGAGAACACTAACTTCTGTGTCACTGAAACATTTTGCTAGTAATTATTTAAGAGGGAAATTATCAACGAGCAGAACAGAGGTGAAATTCTTTAGGTTACAAAATGCTTTTAACGTATTCTAGAAAAGAGACCACTCACAAACTTGGAAGTCTCTTTTGCAGAGTGCTCCATCCACTCAGCCTCATACGGATTCCATAGAGAAAAATAAATGACATGATGCCTGCTGTCATCTCGACAAAGTACCAGTAGATGATAAATCATTAAACACTATGGCAGAAGATGCCTGACTCGTTTCTTTGCAATGAAGTGGAACAAGTCTGAACCCTCAGGTCCGGAAGCCCAGCTTCCAGTGGCATTGTCTTTACTGAACAAAAGCTCAGACTCATTTTAAAATTATCTTTGACACAGAGGCTGCAATATCACCCTCTCTTCAGGGTTCTTCAGAAGATCCTTTGAAGCTCTTTTTGAATTTAAACATACATTTATAAAGCCATGGTTGTAAGGCAGAGTTCTGCAACCCTTTTGTTGTTGTTCCCCAAGAGCCAGATAATGTTTTAGACTTTTCAGTCTGTATACCCAAGAAGCAATGCTGAGAAGATTATGTAAGTACATATACAACCAATTAAGTTTTTTTTCAACTTTTGCATTCAGGGATACATGTGCAGGTTTGTTTCATAGGTAAATGTGTGTCATGGGGGTTTGCCGTGCAGATTATTTCATCACCCAGGTATTCTCATCAGTTATTTTTCCCAATCCTCTCCCTCCTCCCACCCTCCACCCTCTGATAGGCCCCAGTGTGTGTTGTTCTCCTCTAGGTATCCATGTGTTCTCAGCGTTTAGCTCCCACTTATAAGTGAGAACATGCGGCACTTGCTTTTCTGTTCTTGTGTTAGTTTGCTAAGGTTAATAGCCTCCAGCTCCATCCATGTCCCCGCAAAAAAACATGATCTCGTTCTTTTTTATGTCCGTATAGTATTTCTTGGTGTATATGTACCACATTTTCTTCACGCAGTCTGTCATTGATGGGCATTTAGGTTGATTCCACGTCATTGCTATTGTGAGTAGTGATGCAATTAACATATGAACCATTCTTAACACACCAGTCATTAAAAAAACTGTTAACAAACACAGAAACATGGCAGCAGGTCAGATTTAACCCATGGGTCATAGTTTACTGCCCTCTGTCTGAAAGTATCAAGAATGGTCTAAGTTGCCTTATGAATAGTAATTTTAGTAGTAATAATACTATTAAAAATAATCCAAATAACTGAAATTTACCTGTTGAAGCTTACAGAATCATTTCACATGCATTACCTTATTTGATTTAGGTGAGTTCCTTCATTTCAACCATCATTGTAAGTGCTGTCTCCATTGGGAGCCTTAAGGAGGGGACTAATTTGATTTAATTCCATGAGGATAGAACCATCTTTTGTCTGAGATGTTCATAAAATGCTTTGTGGGATCAGCTGGCAATGAAGGATGGCCCAGCAGTTCTGCATGCTATTTTATTGACATTGCCTTCTACAAGACAGGATTTAGAGAAAAACAATAGGCAGTGCATAATACCACTTAATCCTCAGAAGGATTTTAGAGGATAAAAGATGTGTAGCCAGGTTTCCAGTAGGGACTGTGGAATTTCACCTATTTGCTCTTATGATCACTCACTCAGTCGCGTGTGTTACCTCTCCCTGCACAAATGCAAGTTCCATCAGAGACACTTCTCTATTGTTTGCCAGCTCAAATACAAACAAGCCCAAATTCATCTTGCAAAAATCGTTCTTATGTCTGAAGCAATAGATATCGTTCAATGCAGAAGGTTGGACGTAGGTTGCATAAGTAGATTGCAGAGTGCTCCATCCACTCAACTTCATACGGATTCCACAGAGAAAAATAAACGACGTGATGCCTGCTGTCATCTCGACAAAGTACCAGAAGATGATAAATCATTAAACTCTGTGGCAAAAGATGCATGACCAGTTTCTTTGCAATGAAGTGGAGCAAGTCTGAACCCTCAGGTCAGGAAGCCCAGTTCCCTCACGGCCTCACTGGTAAAGGATCATCCTGTGGTTATTAACCTGTCTTTCCCCCTTCACTCCACATGCAGGAGTTTGAAACCGAACTGGAGGAAATCGAATAGGAAGAGTTCTAAGATTTCAGTAAGATAGAATCCCTTCAACGATTTTCTTTTTCCCAATCCTTGCTTTAAGAATGTAACTGCCACAGGGTGTGGTGGCTCACGCCTGTAATCCCAGCACTTTGAGAGGATTGCTTGAGCCCAGGAGTTCCAGACCAGTCTGGGCAACATGGCAAAACCCTGTCTCTACAAAAAATGTAAAAATTAGCTGGGGATGGTGGCATGAACCTGTAGTTCCAGCTACTTGGGTGGCTGAGGCAGGAGGATCAATTGAGCCCCCAAGGTTGAGGCTACAGTGAGCCATGATCATGCCACTACACTCCACCCTGGATGACAGAGTGAGACCCTGTCTCAAAGCGGAAAAAAAAAAAAAAAAAAGAATTCAGCTCAGAAACTACTAGATTCATACGAGCCAGCATGTGGCTGCTTGAATACTACCACGACGACTATTCCACGGAATCTGCCTTGGCAATAGTCATGTTTTTTATTGGGGTTCATTTAAACATGCAGCACCATAAACTCCTGGAAATCAATACTCCAGGTAATAACACTTTCTCTTTTGCTTCCCCACATTATTTTTGTTCAGTGAAGATACACTTATTAGTTTAAAGGAAATTTGAAAAGTTTTTTAATTATGGTAAAATACACGCAGCCTAAAATGTGCCATTTTAACCATTTTAAAGTGTTCAGTAGTAATTAAGAACACTCACGTTGTTGAGTAAGCAAATCTCCAGAACTCTCTTCTTTACTTTTAACTTTAATTTTAGGTTCAGGCATACATGTGTAGGTCTGTTATTTAGGTGATATTTTTTGGGTCTCTGTCCCCACCCAAATCTCACCTCCAATTGTAATCCCCAGGTGTCCAGGGAGAGACCCGGTGGGAGGTGATTGGATCATGTGGGTGGTTTCCCCCTTGCTGTTCTCGTGATAGTGAGGGAGTTCTCACGAGATCTGATAGTTTATAAGTGACAGTTTCCCCTGCTCTCCCTCTCCTTCCTGCCACCTTGTAAAGAAGGTGCTTGCTTCCCCTTCACCTTCCATCATGATTGTTAGTTTCCTGAGGCCTTCCCACCGGGGCAGAACTGTGAATCAATTAAATCTCTTTATAAATTACCCAGTCTCAGGGTATTCTTTACAGCATCGTGGAGATGGACTAATACAATAAGTAAACTGCGGGTCACAGGGTGTGGCGTACAGATTGTTTTGTCAGCCAGATAATAAGCATAGCACCAGCTCAGTGTTTTTTCTGATCCTTTCCCTCTTCCCACCTCCCACCCTCAAGAATGTTCCATTGTGTGGTGTTCCCCTCTATGTGTCCATGTGTCCTCATTGTTTAGCTCCCATTGATAAGTGCAAACATATGGTACTTAGTTTTCTGTTTCTGCATTGGTTTGCTTAGGATAATAGCCTCCAGCTCCATCCTTATCACTGCGAAGAACATAATCTTGCAGAATTCTTTTCATCTTGCAAAATGTGGACTCTGTACCTATTAAACAACAAATCCCCATTTCCCCTGCCCCAACCCTCAGGAAACACCATTCTATTTTCTGAATGAATTGCATTCCACAAATCTGATGACTTTAGAAGCCTCCTATGAGTGGGATCACATATTTCTTTTCTTGTGATAAGTTTATTTCACATAGCTTCATGTTCTCAAGGTTAATAAAGGGAATTTGTTTTTTGTTTTATTTTTTAAAAGCTTGTTTCACAAGGCATAGAATTATAGAATACAATTAACCCCAATGTAGGAACATTTTAGACAAACTTGGGTGGAATATATTTTTCTAAAATCTAGTGATTGGCTCCGTTGCATAAAGATGAACAACATAATTAAAATTCATGTATTCCCTTTTCAAATGGCGTCCACATCGTGTAAAAATATGGGGGCAGTTTTCACAGTTTAGTCTGGGGATTTAATTAGGAACATGGCACTGAGACACAATGTCTGCCAATTAAAAAACTAGAGCACAGGGTAATAACTAATAAAAATGATTTAAAAGTACTTTGGAAACATAGCCTGAAATGTCTGTGCAACAGGATAATGGTGATTTTGGTGGTTATGGGGCAGTTGTTTCCAATAATAGTCGAATGTGCTCAATCCAGAACAATGATGTAAGATGCTTTTAAGATTGGTTACCTTCTTAAAGGGTTATCCTGGTTTTATCCTTATTTAATAGAAAAGGCTTTGTTAGGCACACTTTAAGTAAGACATGAAACACCTAAAAAACAACATCATTAAAGAATATGTATTTTTCCCATGTGTTTTTACCTTTTCTTATTTCAAGGCTTCTTGTCTAATTATTTATATTAAAGAGAAACAATGAGTGTCACATTTGGATTATGAGAAGAACATTCTCTGCTGAGGATAATGCATCTACCTGGAGGAAGAGTGTGTTTGTTTTATCTTCATACAGCAGGGTCATCCTGCACACAAGTGTAAAGGGGATGGTTTTGCAGCAAACTGCAACACTTGGATTTTAGTTAGTGCCTCCTTGCCTCAGATGGGCCGTGTGGCTTTTCTACATCATGTGAAATGAGGAAGCTGCATGGATCATGAGTCTTCAAATAAAATTGTGGCTGAAACTGCAATCCTTTAAAAACAAGAACAACAGAAATCCATAAGATTCTGAGCAATGGATTCAAGAGCAATCCATAAAACAATCAGAAAGCACTTCTATCATTCATAGTCTCCACCTCTATCATTAACAATCTCCACCCCTCACCCTTAGGCCAAGTGGTGCTCAGAACAGAGTTTGAAAATCTCTGGCGTATGTCAGCTCTCAGATACCACCCAGCTTGGATATACAGTTCAAAGACCTGGTAGTAATAAACAAGCAAGCTGGAGAAAAATCTGCTGGTCATTGGTTGCAAATTAGAAAACATATTTTGGAAGATGCCAGGGATAGCAACTTAATGGCTTTAGTCCCTTTGGTATTCAGAAACCTTGCTAGAGATATAAAAGGAGGGAGTAGGGCATCTGGGGTCCTGAACCTATGGGGGAGTTCTCTGGGCAACACCTAGGAGAGGGCTTTAGGACCAGCCCCTAGTGGCCCATACTGGTAGACCTCTCTAGTGCATTGCCTCGTGGAGGTTTTCACCTCGCTGCTTGGAGTGGGTTCTTCTCTGGGCATCTTCCTGAGTGCGTTGACACAACTGTTCCCCAGCCAGAACCCTGTGTGCCTAATGCATACAAGAGGATGACCATTTTCCCCTCCTGATCCCTATAGAGATTTGGAAGCAGAAGCCTCCCTTTACCTCTTAGGGAAGGGTGGACCTCACTTGAGCAGGTTGTTGCCTACTGGCCTATTAAACTGCTCCATCTTCTACTGCCCACCAGAATGAGAGATGGTTGGACACAATGTCTCATGCCTGAAATCCCAGCACTTTGGGAGGCTGATGTGGGTGGATCACTTGAGCCCAGTGGTTTGAGATCAGCCTGGGCAACATGCTGAGACCCTGACTCTACAGCAGAAAATAAACAAACAAACAAAAAAATTAGCTGGGCATGTTGGTGTGTGTGTATAGTCCCAGCTACTCAGGAGGCTGAGGTGGGAGGATCCTCTGAAGCCAGGGGCTTGTTGTTGCAGTGAGCTGTGATCACACCACTGCACTCCAGCCTGGGTGACAGAGTGAGACCCTGTCTCAAAAAAAAAAAAAAGAGAAGAAAAGAAAAGAAAAAAGAATGAGAGCCTCCTCTGGTAAGCTGCTTTGTTTGGTGCAGAGGAAAAACTCAATTAATTTTAAAAATTATTATCTCATTTAAAAATGAGGAAGAGACACTATCAACATCTAATGAGGAGGATATAATCGGAGAGACAAAAGAGAGAGTACAGATGAAAGATCTTGTGACCACCAAGGAGATAAAATGAGGATATTTTTTAAAGAGACTTTCTGAATTTAAGAATGATATTGGTAAAATTTAAAAATCAATAAATAAGGCAAGTTAAAAAGTGATGAGTCACTGCTAATAAACTACATTGATATTTTAGAAACACAAATGAAAAAATTATCTCAGGAAGTAGGAGGCAAAAATAGAAAAAAAAAGGACAATTCTTATTAAATTGATTAATCACAAAGGCACAGAAAAAACCTTATAAGCCTCCACAAATGAAGGATTACCTGTAATAAAAAGAAAATTAGTCTTGAATCAAACATACTCATCACCATACAGGAATCTAGAAAACAGTTAATATTACATACTATGACTGGAAAACAGCTGGGATCCAAGCATCCTATATACACTAACTATTTTACTGGAAGGAAAAAGGAAACAGAAAAAAGAAAAGAATTTTTTTTAATATATGCAGCATCTCAGAAGATTTACTTTCCTTACTGAGACTAATATGCACAAAAGTACTCAATATAAACAAACAAAACCTCTGGCCAGTGCAGTGGCTCACATCTGAAATCCCAGCACTTTGGGAGGCCAAGGCAGGAGGATCACTTGAAGCCAGGAGTTCAAGGCCAGCCTGGGCAACACAGCAAGATTGAGACCCCATCTCTACCAAAAATAATTGTTTCAAAAATTAGCATGATGGTGGCACACACCCCGAGTCCTAGCTACTCAGTAGGCTGAAGGATAAGCCCAGGAGTTTGAGGCTGTCATGAGCTATGATTGCAGTCTGCATTCCAGCCTGGGCCACGAGAAAAACAAAACAGAAAAAGTCTGAGTAGAGATAAAGGAAGATGGTGAGACTAGAAAACCATTTTGAGCAATGGATCTCATTACATAAAAATATGTTTTTAAATATTCATATTTAGAGTTAGATTATAAATATATTTTTAAAAAAGAATGATAATAGTATTAGTGGATATTATAACATGCTCTCTAAAATAATATATATACATACAGAAAAATATGTGTAAATATATAAACAAAAACATATGTGTAAATATGTACACACATATACAGAAACACATATGTGTAAATATATACATATATAGAAACATATGTGTAAGCATATACATACATATACAAGTACATGTGTAAATATATACACACATATACAGAAACATGTGTAAATGTATACATGCATATACAGGAACATATGTACAAATATATACATATACAGAAACATATGTGTAAATATATACATATACAGAAACATGTGTGTAAGTATATACATACATATACCAAAAACATATATGTGTAAATAAATACACACATACACAGAAACATATGTGTAAGTATATACATATATACACCAAAAACATATATGTGTAAATATATACATAAAAATACAGAAACATATGTGTAAATATATACATACACATACACCTAAACAGATATATGTATCTTCTTGCAAGAAAACCATTTACATATATATATATATATATATATATATTTTTTTTTTTTTTTTGAGAGGCAGTCTTGCCCTGTTGCCCAGGCTGCAGTCCAATGGTACGATCTTGACTCACTGCAACCTCCACCTCCCAAGTTCAAGCGATTCTCCTGCCTCAATCTCCCGAGCAGCTGAGATTACAGGCATAAGCCACCACATCCAGCAAATTTTTTGTATTTTTACTAGAGATGGGGTTTCACCATGTTGGCCAGGCTGGTCTCGAACTCCTGACCTCAAGTGATCCACCTGCTTTGGCCTCCCAAAGTGCTGGATTACAGGCATAAGCCACTGTACCTGGCTCATTAATACATTTTAAATTCTCTCTGCAAAATCCTAGGAGTTGAAAGGTAGGGAACTAGTAGGCTCATAAAGAATCTGGATATTGGAAATTAAAACACCTGGATTGAAAATCCCTCTGTGTTATTTAATTTTGAGGTAGTAACAGAGATAAAGATGTTTAGCTACTTACTCAACAAATATTTATTAAGAGCCTATATGGGTAAGGCATTCTTTTAGTCAAGATGATACACCTATCAATAAGATAAGCACAAAGTTTTGTTTCCTGAGCCTTACATCTCAGGGGCAAAAGACAGATAACAAGCAAACAAACATAAATATACTTGAAGGTGGTAGAAAGTCCTATGAAAAAATTAAAGCAGAGAATGGACTGGGAAGCATCTTGGAAAATGATAAAAGAAAGCCTCACTTAGAAAGTAGCATTTGAACTGATATTGGAGTAAATGAATGAGCTCTTATACACACACCCCTCACACACACTACTGGGGGAAAGCATTGCAATCAGATATCAAGAATTTAAACGACTGATAAAAGAGGGGAATAAAGTGGATGAGGGGAAGAATGAAAGAATGTGAGGTCAGAGAGACTGGAATTGTATTTCAAGTGAAAAATGGAAACTGTGTGAGCGTGTTATCAGGGATGTGACGGGGTTGCATTTATGTTTGAAAAACCTAACCCTACAACTTTATCTTCTATTGATGAGAAGAACTTGATAACCTGAAAATGCTCCTGTTAGAAAACAACTAGAAGTGCTATGTACGGTGCAACAGCTGTCCTTTAAACGCAAAATCAAATTCCCCCCTCCAAAAGGAAAAAACTCAGCATACCCCAAAAATAAAAAACACAAAACAACATGAATATAAGTGCATGACATTATTGCCACCCTGGGAATTTTGTGCTGGTTTTAGTAAACTACAGGGATTGATGGAGCTGGAACTGAGACACCAACTAAGTTGAGACCTTTCAAAGTAAAGATAATTTTCTGCCAGTATAGGAGAGTGAAAAAGAAAGTTTGTTTTTTCTTGATCTATAAAAATGGCATTATTGTACATTTTTGACAGTTAATTTTGATTGCATGGATCCAGACTTGTAGTTTATACAATCACTATGCTTCTCGAAGCTGCAACATGCAAGTAAAAAATGAACTGGTCCTGGGGGAGTGTCAACACTACAGCTCATAGCAGAAACACATTTAAAAACCTTCTACAGAGGAACACGCTCATCAAGAGCTGCACACAATTCCCATTGATAAAACCCTCCTGAAGATGAGTTCACAATAAAAAAATCACAATATAGTGAAGTCACAACCCAATGCTCATGAAGGTCAAAAGGCACAACACAATTCCCACTGAAAAACCCTCCTGAAGATGAGTTCACAATAAAAAATCACAATACATGTGAAGTCCCAATCCAGTGCTCATGATGGTCAAAAGGCACAAATAGCAATATAATCACAACAACATAATACGTAATCAGATTTGGATTACAAAAAGCATTTAGAATTGAAGAAGGACCAGAAATAAGAGGAAGATATTGTAATTAAAAGACAGATGGGTTTGAAATAAAAACGAGAACTTGTAGAAGTAAAAAGTAAGCCCTGGAACCTAAACCTCGATGGATAAATTAAAGATCAGATTACACATGACTGAACTGAGAAAAAAATGAATGGGCAGAGAGACATGAAAAAATTACTTAGGATGCAGCACATAAATATCAACAGATAGATTGTATCAAAGTCAGTTTTAGAGAGAAGGAAGGTACATGGAAGAGATTCAGGATATAATGACTAAAAGGTGATGGAGAATAACAGCATCCTGAGAATAAGGAACAAGCAATATTCCAAAAGATAATCATGGAAATATTCCAGAATCATATGAAACAGGAACACGCAGAGTCATGAAACAAAATGAATCCCAAGCAGGGGAAATAAAGACAAGTCCACACCCTGGCACATCAAACTGAAATTCAAGAACAGACAAGTGAAAACTCACAAAAGCAACCAGAATAAATAAAACATCATATACAACAGAATAATAATTATAGGAGCAATACAGCTCATAGTAGGAATGACAGAAGCCAACAAGCAGAGATTTGTTTGTAGTGCCCAGAGAAAGTTACAGTTAAAATTCCATACTTAACAAAATTAACTTTATTAAGTTAATAAAGTTACTTTTCTTTAAAATTAATTAATTAAATTATTAAGATTAACTTAATTTTGAAAGAACAAAAAAAAGAATAATGTAGAGGACTTGTCAAGATTTATTATAAAGCTACAGAAAGTAAGGGCATAATTGTGGAATAATCATTGAAAAAATAGAAGAATGAAACTACATAGAGAGCCTGGAAATTTTTTCCCACATATATGGAAGCATATTTACAGCAGTGTTGTTACGAATTACTGGGAAAAGGATAAACTAATAAATAAAAGTGCTTGTGAAATGGTTATCCATAACGGGTAAAAAGATAGATCCCTATCTCATGCCCTATGAAAAATTAAATAGATTAAAATCTAGAGAGATTAAAGGCCTAAATGCAAAAACCAAAGCTTGAAGGATTTGAAAGCAACCATAGGTAGAAATATTAATTTCCTTGAAATAGAATAGATTTGGCATATAAGACACAAGAAGAACAAATTCTTTTAAAACAACATCGATTAATTTGAATACAAATGATCAACATATCTGAAAATTAAAGATACCCTGAAAAAAGAGAAAAACCGGTGTGAAAACTATTTGGAACATATTTTATTCAAAGGGATTATAATTAATATCAAGAATATAAAAATGTAAATATATATGTATGTATGGAAATATATAGAGATATAGCTATTATATATAGCTCTATTTATGAATACACACACACATACTTCAACAAATCAATAAGTAAAGAGAAAAAAACCTCTGTAGGACATATTAAAGGAAAAGAAGAGCATTTAAATGAAGGAAAAAACCTGAATGACCAATTACATGTGAAAAGACCTCTTTTACTGCTGGTTAGGGAAATTCAAATTAAAACAGCAATGAGACTCCACTAAGATGGCAAAAAGTAAAGTCTGACAGTATCAAGCACCAAGGAAGACATGAAGTCAAAAGGGATCCCTTGCTCTGTTGGAGATAGTGTGCATTTATAGAACCACTTTGGGACGCTATCTTGAAACATCAGGAGAATTGAAGATGTGCTCAGCCTACCAGCCAGCTTTCCACTTGAGAGAAGCTCAAGCTATGGGTGCAGTGTCAAGGACAAGAATGCTAACAGTAACTTGCTTGGAATAACGAAAAGTTAGAAACTGCCCACATTGGAATAATCAACAAGATGAATAAACTATAGTTACAGGTATCAATTCATTCCATCTCAAATTTAACTATAAATGAAGAATGACCTTCAGCATGATACGTTTACTTAAGTTTTACAAATGAACCTATATCTTTATATCTATCTATCCATCTACCTGTCTATCAATTCTATTTATCTATCTATCTACCTATCTATTATCTATCTATGCAATCTATCATCTATTCTATCATCTATCATTTGTTGATCTATCATCTATCTAATCTATCATCTATTTTATGATCTATCATCTACCGGTTCATGTATCTCTACCTATCTGTTTATCTATCTATCATCTATTATTTATCTATCATCAATCTATATCTACTTATAGATATAGATACACACATATGCATTGCAATGATAAGGCAATCCAGAGCAATGATAAAACCAAATTAACTAGAGTCCATTGGGAAGGAAGGGATGGAAAATAAAATCCAGAGCATGTACATAGGGGATTTTAAAATATTTCTCTAGTGTATCATTATATTCTGAAAACCAGCATAAAGAAGACATAAGGGAAATATGGTAATGCTATTCACATTACTCCTTCCTCCATCTCCTCCTCACATCCAGCAAACTCCCAACACCTTGTCTCAGTTGCATGGCTACATTCCACAACATCCAAGTCCTGACACTGTCTCCCTCAAAAAATATTTTTGGGACATGAGGAAAATTACAGACATAATTTTCCTAATGTGAAGTGGTTCCTCCTAAGTTTCAAGAATAACAAGAAATATCTAATTCACAATTGATTTAGTTTCCTTTCATTCATTTCACTTTTTTTTCTAAATGTGGTATGTTTACATAACAGCAAATACACAAAAATAACAAATAGTAGAGATTCTCCTATTTGAAACTATAATTCCTTTGTTTCTTTTTTTATTTTTTAGAAATAAGACCCCTGCGAATCTTGGGCATATGCGAAAACACATATGCTCACACACTTAGATAATGAGGTTCAGTCATAGCAATTAGGTTACATTTAAAATTCCTAGCATCAGTTGTAAGAGTCTAAGTACTTATTTTTTCTGAATGTAACACACCTTTATCTCTGTGCATAGTCTCTAGTATTCCTAAGTCAGTCTCTTTCTTTGCCATGGTCTAACTTGGTAGTCTGAACTTTCCATTCTTTCCTCTGAGTAGGGTAATCTTGAGAGTTGAGGTGATTAACATCTCTAATAATTTGTACAGTATAATGTAGTTAAAAGTTGATGCTTAGGGTAGTGAATGTGTGAAGAGAACAGAAGATCAACAGAGAAGAGAAAAGTTGCTAGCTGGCATGAGCTTTTTCCCAGTCATTATTGCTTGGAAAGAAAGTTAGAATTTTATTGCCAAGATATTTAACTAAATGCCACATATGTGTGTGTGTGTGTGTGTGTGTGTGTGTGTGTGTAGTGTGTGTATATATACACACAAAACACCCAGATACCGATAAGTATATATATATATATATGCACACACACACCTATATATGCACACATATATATGTATATATACGTGTGTGTGTATATATATATGTATATATATATATATATATAGCTCTCTCTCAGAGAGGGGGTGAGAGAGAGAGAGAGAGAGAGACAGAGAGAGAGAAATAGATTAGGAAGAGATAGATGTAGATAGAATAGATGGTAGATAAATAGGATAGATGGAATAGATGATAGAGATAGATATGGATGCAATAGATACATAAATAACACGAGATAGAATATGTATATATATATCAGATAGGGAGATTAGATATAGATGTGACACACATACATACATATACACAGTTATTTAGAATTCTTGTCAGGCAGCTTTGTGGAGATACTATATGTGTTAACTTCACAATTAAATCTTCACAACTGTCATGAGGTGGAAGCTATCATTATAACAATTTTGCATAGAGAGCTGTTGCCTAAAGAGGCAAGTTACATGACTTGGCCCAGCTAGCAAGAGGTGCAGGGGTGACGTGAATCCAGGCTGTGTGATCTGCAGCTCCTTCTTCCAACCCACCGTGCGCTATTAGAAGTTGCCATTTTTCAGTTTTCCCCAAGTGCAAAGTGGCATCTCAAGAGGATATGAATGTCCATAGAAATACTCACAGAAATCCCTCTTACTGAATTCAGTATTCTGCACCTAAGGCTAATCATCAATATAAAAATTCAACGTTCATCTTCGCCATTCTATGTATTGAACCAAATCTCTTCCATATGACGGTTGCATTTTCACTTCCAAGCCATAAGAGGGAGATGAAGGATCCTCTGTAGTTTCTCTTGCTGGCGATAACAGTTGCAAAGGCAAAATTTTGAATGCATCTAAGTTAATCACCAAAGAGAGGCACTAATAGCCCTGGCTCCATTTAAGTAGCTCCTGCATGGAATGTTCCTTATGTATTGAATATTTTTAAGCCCTATCATTACCATTATCATCTACAGCTACATTCATCATCATCCACAAGTAATGGAAAAGGTTTTCCTCGCTCCCAAAGTACTGTGTGCTCATTTCAGAACGTCCTGTGCTCTTAATGCATTTCTTAATGATGACTCTAGTCTGTGATGAGGCACAGGGGTTTTGGAAGTCAGAAAGCCAGGATCTCATTGCACGCTCATCTTCAGTGGAGACCTCTTGCCTAGCTTGAAATGCAACTCAAATACATAGAGCTCAAATTACCTAGCCTTTCTGCTCCAGGTTATTCAAACCCAACGAAATATTGATATACTTTTAAAGATAATTATTGCACATAAAAAGTCACCTCTGATTTTTGTATGAGCAAGATAATGATTGCACATAAGCCACCTCTGATTTTTGTATGAGCAAACACAAGATGGAAAAACGAGAAGCTATTTTCAAAGCACTCAGACCTTGACTTATGTAAGGAGATTTAATATTAAAAAAATTAGTTGCAACTTGAAGTGAGGTCCAGCTTGTCTAAATGTGGAGTTGGTAATGCAAATGAGTCTGAATGGCAATGTGTGTGTGAAGCATTGTTAGAGACAGTGAAAGCCTTCGGTTGGGTTTCTTAGAAGTAGACCTTGACACAAGGATTTGGGTGCGAGGGATTCACTGATGAAAAAACCAGCTGCTCCCATGTCAGAGGGTCTTTGGCTCTGGGACCCTTTGGGTAAAGAGATAAGAGATAAATTTCTAGGAGGAGCAACTCACTGTCAACCAAGGGTCATTCTCCAGAGCAGCAGAGCGGCTGTGAACTGTTAGTAGTCCCCACTTCCAACAGCCAAATGTGCATTGGCCCTTTAAAAAGTATTATCAGGGCACAAAAACAGCATCTCCACGCCTTCTAACTCCTGCAAGTAGAAATCTCTTCAAGCGTCTATTTAAAATAATATCCCTCTTCATGCTGTGATGCCTAATACATCCCACTCAGAAATTTTAATGTGTTAAAATCAGATCAGGTAATGGCTTATTATGCTAATTGTAATTGTACTTAAGGTCATAGTTGCTAAATCTTTCACTTATATCCTAACTATCAGGTAAGGGTTTGTAAATAAAATGGTGTTTTTTTTTTCCCCAAGATTTATTGGTATGATTTCCCAATCTGTGGTAGGTTTCGCACACGTGTTTCCTTGCTTATAAATCCTCATGCTTAGCAAGAGCTGATGCTTAGGATAATGATTTCTCAATGAGAAGTTGAGCTGGATTTATTAGCAGGTTTTATAAATCAAGTGCCAAATATATAGTTTAAACTTCAGAAAGCACAGATTTATGTGTCCTTGCAATAAATCATGAGAATAAGTATCCACTAAGTCCTTCTTTTAAGCTAATCTGGTCAATTGCTGGGTAAATACTTCATGTCTTTTAATCCATTTTGTATTCATAATTAGAACTCATTATTTCAGTAAATATCTGTCGATTTATGGTTATCCTAAATGCATGCATTTGGAGAAGTTTGGAAACTTGCCTGCATATTAACAGTTACAAAGGATAACTCATGCTATCATCATGAGAATGAATGAAAAATGTACAATAATAATATTGAATCCCATAATTAAAGGATAAGGCAGAACTTCAACGAACTCAGCTTCCATTCTCAAAAAGGCATCATTTAATAATAATTATATGGTAATAAGTCATCAGTTATAATTGTATGATGTTTTATAATTGACTTAGCACTTTATGCATGCTTCTTTATTTTATTCTGATGGTAAGAAGTAGGTTGCATATAATTTTAAAGAATTGATGAGACCAAGCCTCGGACATTCAATGTGTTACCCAACATCACTGAGATAGCCTGTCAGTGGTCTCTTTTCTCCAGGTTTTGGCATCCAGCTCTCCTCCGACATCCACCCCAACATGCGTTAGCATGGATGTGAATGTTAATTGCATGAGGCAAATGTTCTCTATGGCCACTTTGATTTCTCTCTTCAAAGTCTGTGTATACACAAAGAATCATACTAAAGGGTCAAACTGAAATTCCATTTGTTTATACCTTCCTCCATAATCATGGGAGAGGACAACGTTTAAATAACCCCCCCCCCCCCACCAAGTTGACACAAACCACTTGTACAGGTTTTAATGTCACTTTTCTTTCATCTTTATGTAAATTGCCAATTACCAGAGAACCCTGGCCAGGTCTCATTTATTCCAGAAGACATAGACTAATAGTTAAGCACAGAGACCCTCCCGTTTGCCTCACAATGGTGGAGCTAGTTCAATGGCTGTATACAGTCATTTAAAAAAATGAAATAGCCAGACGCGGAGGCTCAAGCCTGTAATCCCAGCACTTTGGGAGGCCGAGGCGGGCAGATCACGAGGTCAGGAGATGGAGACCATCCTGGCTAACATGGTGAAACCCCGTCTCTACTAAAAATACAAAAAATTAGCTGGGCGCGGTGGCGCCCAGGCTGAGGCAGGAGAATGGCGTGAACCCGGGAGGCGGAGCTTGCTATGAGCCGAGATCACACCACTGCACTCCAGCCTGGGCGACAGAGCAAGACTACTTCTCAAAAAACAAAACAAAACAAAAAAATATTGACTTCATTTTCAAGGATGGATTAAACACTTTGTTAATATTATTGAATACTGAAGTAACATTTTATAATTTTGATCAACGATTAATACCAATATGGAAAAGAGGATCATCAAAGAAAAGGTTTCCAATGGATCCTATAAATAACAAACTAGTCATTTAAAAAGAAGAAACAAGGACAAGAAAATTGGAAGTTTGGAATGACAAAGTGAGGGGGATGCTGAATGAGGCCACTACATAATTTTGTCATTCAAGCAGGACTCTTGAGAGAAATAGGGACTCAGAAACAAATTTATAATTTTCTAAAGTTTATAATTTTTAAAAACAAACACTGAACATAAATGTTATTAAATTGGTGGAGCTATAAATTAGTTCTATTAAAAAGTATTTCTAGACACAGACACACATCACTTTAAAAAATACTTCTGGCCGGGCGCAGTGTTAAAAAATACTTCTGGCCGGACGCGGTGGCTCACGCCTGTAATCCCAGCACTTTGGGAGGCCAAGGCGGGCGGATCACAAGGTCAGGAGATCGAGACCATCCTGGCTAACACGGTGAAACCCCGTCTCTACTAAAAATACAAAAAATTAGCCAGGCATGGTGGCAGGCGCCTGTAGTCCCAGCTACTCGGGAGGCTGAGGCAGGAGAATGGCGTGAACCCGGGAGGCGGAGCTTTCAGTGAGCCGAGGTCGCACCACTGTACTCTGGCCTGGGTGACAGAGCAAGACTCCGTTTCAAAAAAAAAAAAAATACTTCTTGCATTCTGGTTTGTGATAAAGTGGTGTATTCATTGGCTTGAGCTGCCATAACAAAATATCACAGAGACTGTGCAGCTTAAACAACCTTTTATTTTCTCACAGTTCTGGAAGCTGGAAGTTCAACATCAAGGTGTGGGCAGGGCTGTTTCCTCCTGAGGCCTCCCTCCTTGGCTTGTAGACGCCATCTTCTCCCTGTGTCCTCAAAGGGTCCTTCCTCTGTGTAGGTCTGTGTCCTCATGTTCTTTTCTTATAAGGGCACCAGTCCTGTTGAATTAGGGCCCACTCTAGTGACCTTGGTTACCTTAATCATGTACTTAAAAACTCTATTGCCAAACACAGTCACATTCTAAAGTCCTAGGGGTTAGGGGTTCAATATATAAATTGTTCAAGAAAACAATTCAGCTCACAGATGGGGCATGTACAAGTTTTCCTGATCCACCCACTGAATGAAGCTATGAAATCAGGACAGGATGCATGGGGCAGCTATTTGAGGACTCTAAAAATGAAATGGCCACTACCTACTTGTGAGAATGGCCCAAATTTACAACACTGATCAAACCAAATGCTGGTGAGGACACAGAGCAACAAGAACTCTCATTCATTCCTGGTGGGAATGCAGAACAATACAGCCACTTTGGAAGACAATTTGGAAATGTCTTACGAAACCAACAATAGTCTTATAATAATATCTAGGAATTGTGCTCCTAGGTATTTACCAAAATGAATTAAAGACTTACGTTCAAACAAAACTGCACATTAATGTTTATAGCAGCTTTATACATAATTGCCAAATCTTGGAAACAACTAAGGTGCCCTTCAGTAGATGAACAGAGAAGTAAACTGTGTTAAATGCAGACAATGGAATGTCACCCCTCCCGAAAAAGAAATGAGCTATCAAACCAGTAGAGACACGGAGGAACCTTGAATATGACTAAGAGAAACAAGACAATGTGGAAAGGCTACAGACTGACAGTCTAACTGTAGGACAGTCTGGAAAAGGCAGAACTATGGGGACAGTAAACAGATCAGTGCTTGACAGGGGTCTGAGGGACGGAGGGAAGAATAGGCAGAACACAGAGGACTTTTAAGGCAGTGAAAATGCATGAGACTGTAATGGTGGATCCATGTCATTATACATTTGTCAAAACCCACAAGATGCACAACACTAATGAACTCTAATGTAAACTAATGTGAATCCTAATGTAAACTGTGAACTTTGGATGATAGTGATGTGTCAGTGTAGGTTGATAATTGTAATGTACCATCTGTTGCATGATGTTAATTGTAGGGGAAGCTATTCATATGTGGGGCAGCGGGAAGATGCCCCACTTAACTTTGCAGAGAAGCTAAAATGACTATAAAAAATAAAGGCTATTGGCTGGGTGTGGTGGCTCACACTTGTAATCCCAGCACTTTGGGAGGCAGAGGCAGGTGGATCACTTGAGGCCAGGAGTTTGAGACCATCCTGGCCAACATGGTGAAACCCCATCTCTACTAAAAACACAAAAATTAGCCAGCATGGTGGTGCACACCTGTAGTCCTAGCTACTCGGGAGGCTGAGGTAGGAGAATCGCTGGGATCCAGGAGGCGGAGGCTGCAGAGAGCCAAGATCATGTCACTGCACTCCAGGCTGGGTGACAGAGGAGACTCCATCTCAAAAAATAAATAAGTAAATGTAAAAAAAGCCTATTAATTAAAAAACAACAGCAACAAAAACTAAATACATCCCATTCAGAAATTGTAATATGTTAAAATCAGATTAGGTAATGGCTTATTGTGCTAATTGAAGTTGTACTTACTCAAGGTCACAGTTGCTATGATAGAGGAGACAGGTTGGAGAAGATGAACAGAGTTCCAAGTTCCACCAAGACAGTGATGAGCTGGTTATTGCTTTCCCTTTGGGGTCTGATATGGTTTGGTTCTATGTCCCCACCAAATCTCATGCAGAATTGTAATCCCCAGTGTTGGAGGTGGGGCCCGGTGGGAGGTGATTGGCTTTCATGGAGGCGGTTTCTCATGAATGGTTTAGCGTCATCCCCTCTGTGCCATTCTCACGGCAGTAACTGAGTTTTCATGAGATCTGGTTGCTTAAAAGTGTGCAGCACCTCCTCGCCCACGCTTGGTCCTGCTCCTGCCATGTAAGACACCTGCTTCCACTTTGCCTTCTGCCATGAGTAAAAGCTCCCTGAGGCCTTCCATGAAGCAGATGCTGCCATGCTTCCTGTACGGCCTGCAGAACCATGAGCCAATTAAACCCCTTTTCTTTATAAATTACCCAGTCTCAGGTATTTCTTTATAGCAGTGTGAGAAAGGGCTGATACAGGGTCCTTTATCCTGAATGCAATGCACCAACAAACCAGGAACTGAGCTCGTTAGCACAGGTAGAGAGGATAACAGAAGCACTTGTTCTGGTTTAAGGATCAAGAAAGAGATGCTGTACCATTCAGAGAGGGTGCAGAAACCCCAATTCTTCTCTTTTACTTTCATTATTTCCCCCTGTTTTCATCTTTGCTTTCCTTTGTGCCAGCCCTTGAGTGACCCTGTAACAACGAAGGTAGTGAGAAAGCCCACAGGTGCCTGATTAGAGAGAACCCTGACTACATGCAAGGTTCATTCCTCTCTGTACAAAAGAGGAGGACTATTTCAACAGCCTTTTCAGATAATGTGGCCGTTTATTAAAGTTTGTGTGCAATGTGGAATCTAAAATCACAACCATGAACTTTTTGTATGTTCTTAAGGAAAATGTATTGCTCTGTGTCGCACTCACAACGTTTTGTCTTGTTTTTACTCACTTAAATTTTTTAGCACCATGCAATTGGAAAACAACAGTTGATTGAATTATGCAGATTTTCAATATGTGGACATATTTCACTATACAGGGCCCAAAAGTCACATTTGTTAATGACATCAGCAATCTGATTTGAAAATAGCTTTGCTAAAGGGATTTCTCAGTAGTCAATGAAAGTTTTCCAAAAATCTGATTTTTCCTTGAAGTGAAGGGCTCACTTTATTCAATTCTGAATTACCATGGTGAGTCCATCAGACATTCCTTCAAATGCTTTCACTCTTCCATGAAAACAGCAGCCACTTCAGCATGCAACTGAAGCAACGTCACACTTGTTTTTCCCAAAAACAGCCATCACACTTCAGTATGCAGCAGAAGTGCTCTCAAGCAGTTTCCATGTCACCGTAGAGATTATTAACAAGACAGACATAGAAGAGCTGTATACAATTTTATTGTCTCCTCCAAGTCACTCTTAAGTGAAACGGCCCTTCCCCTTCTTTGTTTCTGAGACTGCATGGTGCTAAAAAAAAAAAACACAATGGCTACCTGTACCTTTCAGTGTCACTGTTTTGATTAGCTTTAAGGCACCAGTAGCTTTATTCACCATCGTTTTACCACTGAAGTGCATATATCAGCATTCAGGAAAAGGTACATGACATGATTATGTTATGAAAGTTGTTTTGACCACCTGGTTTTAAACCCCATCATAGGATCTTGGGGACTCCAAGGGTCTGAAAACCACACTTTGATAATTGCTACTTTTGCCTACTATAAACATTTATAATTGTGGACAATTACAGCTTTGATTTTGATATGTTCTGATAGTGCAGTTCATCTTGTTGCAATTATGAATGATTTGCGAACCACAACTACTCCCAAGTATATGTTTCACCCATTGGTTTCTTACTATGGTAAGAGCTTTGTGCCTACCAAGGTGTGTGTTTTATAAAATTGGTATCACATTATGACAGTAAAACAAATAATTCCATCTTCTGTAGGGAGACCCCCTGAAACTATTGCTATGGAATAAAAGATGAAATGCTCCTGATTATTGTAAATACAAAATTGCATGCAGGATTGTGTAAAGACAATGCCAGGTTGGACTGCCAGAACGAGCCAACAGCGTGTGATGTGCTTCCCCCTGCAGAGAGCCTATGAATGGACGTGCAGTCAGGGAGGTTTCACATCACCAAGATTCCTATCCCAGAAAAGCAGATGTTCATAGCACTGGGAATGGAATGTGACCATCATGGAGAGCCTATAAACGGACGCATGGGGGAGTGCCTGTCCATATGGATAAGATAGGGCTATAAACGCCCTCATCTTGCCATGGCTCTTCTAGGCCTCTTTAGGGTTAAGGCATACTCCCTTCTGAGAATTTCTGGTCTAAACGGTTGCCTAGCTTCACGTCCTGTTTCCATGGATTGTTTGTAACCAGCTTTTGTTGCAATTGTTACTCCTAATTAATATCTTACTAATCATAGGTTATGGAAAGATTGTGTTTCTGTTTTAAGGCTCTGTTAGAAATTACTGACGCACACACTATATTGTAAATTCTTATCTCTGTATACTGTACTTCTGCATACAAATGTACTGTACTTCTACATACAAATGTTATGTTAAGGAATTATTTCATCCCCATGTGACCATCTCACCTCATAATCAAATGACCCTAAATCCCTCACTAACCTACCCCCGCCCTCACTAAACTTAATAATAAATGCTGGTATATCCAGTGCATTGTTGGCACCGTGGGAGCAGAAGATGGTGACCCCCTGGACCCAGCTTTCACTATCTTGTGTGTGTCTATTATTTCTCAACCTGCCGATCCACCTGGGAACAAAGAGAGAGCCCTGTTGCACTGCGGGCTGCTGGCCAGATCCCACAGTAATCGTCCACATTAGACCAGCATTCACAACAAGCATAGAGTTGCAAGTATAATAATAATTTTAAAAAAATTTGCAAAGCTCTACTTTTATTCCATGAACTGGCTAGAAAAAAAAAAAAAAACTGCGCCATTATCAGAATTAGCTTCATTGATATTCTATTTCTGTCCTCTGATGTTATAGATAGAAAACTGATGCCATTCATGTGCTTGTGAAGGTGAAGCTCTTTTGCTAACAGAGCCATCATGCTAATAGCCATCACTTCACTTTCCGCATGTGAACGAGAACATTCGGAACTGAAAAGGAGGAAAAATAGGCCGGCCATGGTGGCTCATGCCTGTAATCCCAGCACTTTGGGAGGCTGAGGCGGGCAGATCACTTGAGGTCAGGAGTTTGAGACCAACTTGGCCAACGTGGTGAAACTCCATCTCTACTAAAATTCTGGGATAACAGGCATGAGCACGCACGAGAATTTGAGAGCTTGAGAATTTGCCACCATTTGATAATTTTCTGGGGGTTATGGACAGCCTCCCTGGAAGAACGTAGCTCTCTATAAATACTCTCCATCAAATTTCAGAGTTCAAGGAGTTCCTGAAGTCTATCCAGGGATCTCCCAGAACGGTAATTATTCAATGATGGCTCTATCTCATCTTGGGGGGTCATTGTGGAATTTTGTGAGTTATTTGTGTTTTATTATTGTTATCATACTTATTATCACTGTTGACATTTAGTGGACAAATGCCAGGAATGAGAAAAAGTTTAGCAATGTACATAACATGAAACAAAAGAAGAATTGTATCATTTCCCATACTATTTTGAAATATCCTGCAGGTATGTATGTATATATAAAACAATTTTGAAATATCCTGCTAGGTATTTATGTATATATAAAACCTCTCAATGATGACCTGAATCTAAATCTAGAACCTAACTCCATTTTATATCTAAACTCAAGCACTTTTTTTTGCACATTTTTAATAAGCATTGAACTTTCCAGGAAACAGTTGCCAAGTAATTAAAGGGGAAATTATAGCTTATTTATTTGGAAACTTACCAAGAGTTGTTAATAATTTCAGAAAAAATTCCAACACTGTTTATGGTATTTGAGTCCCTGGCACAAAGAATTCACCATCCCCACCCCATACTCCTAACGTGTGTCAAGGGCATTTGCAACTATCACAAACAGCTGATTTGATGTGCACGCATAAATATTGGAGCACTTGCTTGTGTCATGCAGTGAAAATACATAAATTATATTATTGCACATTACTTTCTATTTCTTCTTTGAATTGCAGGTAGGAAACTTCACAGAGCTTTTGAGAATCATTATTTATTTTGCATGATACTTAGTAAACACTGCACTCTATGAAATTAGCTGTCATTATCATCATTATTAATATTAATATATATGTGTGAGAACAAGTGGCATATTTTAAGTATTTGTCATATAAGTGGGAGATTTGTGTCTCTGAAAGTTTAGAAGAATTGCTCTAGGAATAGTCCAGGTTGAGAGGTTTAAGGAAAATTGTCTTTAAGTAAAGACAGGATGTTAAGATCTACCTTTAAAAGGTAGGCATGTTTTACTCCTGTTCCCTTAAATGTATCCTGTTTTTGACATTACTGAAATGCTTCTTCGACCTAGAAAAGAAATACTAATTGTACTTGTAATTTTAGATAATTTTAACCTTTTTCCGTTGTTCCTTTTAGTACATAGAGTCCACCTCTTCCATATTTACTGAGTGGTGACGGAATGGACAACCATTTACAGAGAAGTCTTTTGCCTCCAACATTAAATGACATGTTTGCTCAAACAAAAGCAAATTCACGGAGCCTCACCGCAAACAGACCATGGCCATGTCCCTCATGTGGTTGCTCATGAAGTCTTTGTTTACCATGTCTGCCTGTCTCACATCCCTCTGTGATTACAGACACACCTATCACCGTCTGTATTTATGATCAATCATTTTTCTCTCTGTGATCTCCTAGGGACTCCAATGCAATCAACCCCACCAAAAGGGTGACATTTCAGCATTTTAGTTTTGCTGAGACTGCCTTGCTGAGAAGCGAATAAGATGTTTGATTTCTGCTGGTAAAATAAAATTGGCAACCATGAGACCTAAGAGATTCTGAGAAATGGCATGGACTTTATAACTTCTTGTAATAAAAGTCAAATCATGCATTATTTTCTTGGCTGTGTTTCAGGGAGTGAGGGAGGAAAACCAGGGAATCTTTATATATATATATATATATATATATATATATATATATATATATATATATATATGTGTGTGTGTGTGTGTGTGTGTGTGTGTGTGTGTGTGTGTAGCTATCTATCTATATTTATAAATACAGACACATGTATCTTCAAGATATTTACATATCTTTACGAAAGTGACTCTCCTGAAGGTATTTAAATTATATTCAGGAAAGTGACTTTCCTGAAGATATGTAAATTGCTTACATATATTTTTTCTTATTCTTTGAGAAATGCCTATTGCTCCTTCTTTCATTTCTCAAATAAATCTCCTTCAAATTTCATAACTTGCAATGTAAGATGTGCATAATACGCTCTGTTTTGTGATCCTTAAAGTGCATAGATCCACTTTCTGTCAATATCAGTAATGAGCCAGCTATAATTGCTTATCAGAAAAAACAATTCCACACTACATCCTACCTAAGTTCTCATCAAGCCCAGTCAGAAGAATTGTCTTAATGAAGAGTAATTGAAGGAGAAGTAGCTTACTTACCTTCTAGATTTCTAAAATATCAGGACATTTTGTACTCTGTGTATTTGGATAATGAGTCCTATTTGTTTGTTTGTTTGATTTTTGCCACCACATGACAGTCAAATTTAGCATGGATACTAAAAGTAAAAATTAAAACTAATGGCAAAAGCGCAATTACTTTTGCACCAGCCTAATACATCATCAGCACGTGTTGAAGGATTCAACGCACATATGTCCTTTAAGCCAGCCCTTTCATAGGTTGTAAGGATATGATGGCAAATGTTCACTACTCCATCTCTTATATTAAAACCCATCTAAAAATATCCAGGCTTATGTTTTAGAACAACCTCCGTTTCTCCTAATGAATCAATGGGCTTTATTTTTCTTGTGGAAGGTCAAACATGGAGCCAATTTTTATGAACTTTGTGGACTCTGTTATGTTACAATTCTCTTCTATAGTTCTGTTTTTCATTCAAATATGTGTTTTTATATGTTATCATATGTACTATAACAAGTATATGACATTTCCCCGTTCCCTAACATTATGTCCCCAGCACGCCTTCCCTTCAATCTTCTCTGTCGCTTTTTTTTTCTCAAACTTGATGTGCATCCCCTGAACTTGGGAATACCTGACTCTCTCCTGAGAATATGAAACTGCCTTGTGGTGCAGAGCACAGGGCTGTGTCTGAAAATTCACTTCCTCCTATCATCAGGGTGATGGCATGTGGATCGTCATAAAAGGACCAGGGTGAACCCTGCACATCTGCATTGGCTTGAGATCATCTTACAGCGATGAGTTTCCACGTGTGCAGCCTGCAAACGCAGCTTCCCCTCTCTGCTCTTGCCCTCCAGGAGCAGAAGCAGAGGAGGAGGTTTCAGAGTTGCCATCCTGAAGAGCAACACACATTGCCTTTGGCCATAAGAAACAGGAGATAGCAAAGAGCCCACAAATGGGTCCAAAAGAGAGCATTTCAGTCTTGACCATTAGCTAATTCCAGAAAGCAAGGAAAGAGTGTCATCAATGAGAGTGTCATGATACCTGCTGAGTAAGAACCTACTGAGGCTCTTACCTCTCCTCCCTCTTGTAGACCCTGGGAAAAAAAAAAAGAAAAACAGCCACCATATAGGGAAGAAGGAGAGGTAAGAAAAGAGACATCACCCCCTTCCCATATACTTTAACTGACTGGTCTTCATCAAGCTGCAGCTGGGGAAAAGGAGAAGTTGTAAATTTATTCGGTGTTTTATTGTTGTTGTTTTGGGGGTTTTTTGTTGTGGTGGTGGTTTTTGAGAAAGGATCTCACTCTGTCACTCAGGCTGGAGTGCAGTGGCATGATCACAGCCCAACATCTTGGGCTCAAGCGACCCTCCCATGTCAGCAGCCTCCCTAGTAGCTGGGACTACAGGCACATTCCACCACGCCTGGCTAAATATTTTAATTTCTTGCTATGTTTTCCAGGCTGGTTCTTGCTATGTTTTCCAGGCTGTTCTCCAACTCCTGGGCTCAAGCAATCCTCCCATCTTGGCCTCCCTTACAACAATTTAAGTTGTGAATTTAAATCAAGATGATTTTTCTTGGCTGGGTACAGTGATTCACTCCTGTAATCCCATTGGTTTGGGAGGCTGTGCCAGGGAGAATTGCTTGAGCCCAGGAGTTCGAGACCAACCTGAGAAACAAAGAGAGACCCCATCTCTACAAAAGAAAACAAAAATTAGCTAGGCATGGTGGTGCACCTGAAGTCCCAGCTACCTGGGAAGCTGACTTGAGCCCAGGAGGTCAAGGCTGCAGTGAGCTATGATCATGCCACTGCACTCCAGCCTGGGCAACAGAGCAAGACGCTATCTCTGAAAATAAAAAAGGTATAGAAATTATGTCTTGGTGTGCATCTGTACTCCCAGCTATTCAGGAGGCTAAGGCAGGAGGATCACTTGAGCCCAGTAGGTCGAGGCTGCAGTGAGGTATGACTGTGCCACTGCACTCCAGCCTAGGCAACAGAGTGAGACCTAGTCTCAAAAAATATAAACTAAAATAGGATGTTTTTTCTTTAACTTTTTTGTCTATAACTGGACGTCTCGTGTAACTGAATGGTGGATTGTGTGACCAAAGCCAGTGGAAAGAGCGAGATTCCCCTCATGGAGGGCGTTGCCGGGAACAGTAAGAGGCAACGTGAGGATGTGCTCTGATTGTATCTCAGGAGTCCCAGAAGCAATGATCCAGCCATATGCTTGATGAATATTTATCAGGTTCTGACTAAAACCACAGACCGTGCTAAGTACCAGGGAAACTGAGAGAAATGAGACGTGGTGCATCTGCTGGATGAACTCATTGTCTTAGAGAAAGTACGGAGAGATCCAGGTACACAGAGAATGTTTTGCCCCCACCACCTCATGCTGCATGGTAAACGATGGATCTAGTGTGAACTTAATGGTTCCCAGTCCTAGCAGGCAATATCATAATTAATTAAAGGAATGATGCTATGTTCTTCATTCTAAGAAAAAAAAACTTAAAGGAACATTAGTTTACCTTTACTTGCAAGAGACCATTCTAAAAGCATGTCTTGTGCAGCTATTCTATTAAGTAGAATGAGCATTATGCCAGGCACTTTGGGATTAATGGATCATTTTTTAAAAATCTTTGCTACAATTAAAAGTAATTGAGAAGACAAAGTGAATGCCCATAAAACAATAGGCAGTAAAAGTCTGAATGTATTTACCTGCTACTTCCAAGCAATTACAATAAATGCTTCACAGTTTTATGAGGGTCGGTGCCACCTTGATTAGTAAAATCTTCATAAACAAAGTGGGATTTGCAGAATGATTAGGATTTACCTCAAAATAAGGAAGAAGAGAAGTCATTCTACAGAAGAGCACAATAAAATGAATCAAGGCAATAAGAATGAGAAGGGAATATTTTTAGATACCTTGCTTAAAACACACTGACAAAAAGTCGAGTTTGTACAATGGGGGGAGTCAACACTCATTTGTCTAAGTAGAGAAGTGAAAATTATAAGGGATCCAAAATTCCAGAAGAAATTTAAATTTATGATTGAACAATGGAAAAGTATAGTAGGATTTGGAGCAGGGAATTGGGATACACTTAAAGCATTTCAATAAGATTAAACTCATAGAAGAAATTGCCACTAGAGAGAAATAAGAGAGTGTCCAGTCAATTAGGTTCATTGAGAAGCTACTGGCCTCATTCACTGAAGAAGGTGAGTGTAAGAGGCAAAGGTGGAATGAATGGAAAGGAAGACCTGTACAATTTGTGCTTCCACCAATATGACAGACTGGTTATGCCCAAACAACATTCCCACTAAAAACCCATGGAAGTTCTAGAAAAAGTGGAATGTTCCTTAAAACACATAACCAATTCTAGGAAAGCAGAAGTCATTAATTGCTAGCGGGTAGAGACACAGCAAGTCAGGAAACCTGGGTGTTCAGAAGACTTGAAACTCTCTGAGGGGCTTAGTCATTATCAGGATAGAGAATAAACAAGATATTGATCTTGTACCGAGGATGGGGTTGGAATTGAAAGCCCTTCCTGCAGCTACAAACTCGAAAGAGTATTCTGCCAGTCTGGTACTGGACTAGAAAAGATATCCACCTGCTAATATAAGAAAAAAAAAAAGATATCCACCTGCTAATAGAAGAAAAAAGAAAAGTGTACCCTTTAGACCTAAAGTCCAGGCTGGAAAAAATGTCTCCTGTAATGAATTTGTAGTTTCAGAATTGTCCTTGCAAAGGTTTGGGTGTTAGACATTACCTTAGATGCAGAATTTAAGAAGATTCAAGAAAATAACTGGACATCAGATGGCATCATGTTGGTAACACACAGGATGCCTAGAACTGGGAAGGTGGTTCGTCCCCCGTAACAATGGGCAAAAGGATTCTTACAGATGCACAGGTTAACAAACGTGCAAACACAAATTAAAAACCACAGAAGGCAACAAGCCACCAAGAACAAGAGTTAGCTGTAGAAGCAAACAACATGTTAGACCTTCAAGGAACTCAGACTTTGGGATGCTCAAACATAGAATGTAACACCTCAGACATACAGACTTTTGGATGTAACTCAAATACATTTATGATGTTTACAAAAACAAAGCAGGAAACAGACTGCATGAACAGGGCATCAAGTTAAAAAAAGGGTTTAAAAAAAAGGACAAGCAGATTTGGCAAAAGCAAACAAACAAAAGATACAACAAATAGAGCATTTGTGACAGTACGTTAAAATTAAAACAGTGCAGATTAAACGGAAGATTAGATGGCACTGAAGAAAATTATCAGTGTATCAGAAATTAGATATTAAATATAATACACAAATGTAGGACAAAGAGACAAACAGTGGAGCATAAGAGTGAGAAAGACAGTGAGAACAAAAAAATGAGTTCTAGGCCACGCGTGGTGGCTCACATCTGAAATCCTAGCACTTTGGGAGGCTGAGGAAGGCAGATTGCTTGAGTCCAGGAGTTCAAGACCAGCCTGGCCAACATAGTGAGACCCCGTTACTACAAAAAATACAACAATTAGCTAGGAGTCGTGGCATGTACCTGTGGTCCCAGCTACTGGTGAGCCGAGATCAAGCCACTGTACTCCAGCCTGGGCGACAAAGCAGGACTCCATCTCAAAAAAAAAAAAAAAAAATAGTTAAAATGTGTCTGATATACATCAGATCCAAATCCTAAATACTAGAAAAGCAAGAGTAAAGCAGGAAGCACAGCTGGAAAGAGCTCATATTTATGAAAGCTGTGACTCTTCAGATTCAGAAAGCTCAGTAATTCACAAACTACATAAATTAAGAAGAAATTTACACTTAGCTGGAATGTAGGGAGCTGGCAAACTACGGAAGTCATAGAGATGACGTTCAAAACAGCCAGGGGTGGGAAAGGAGCCATTACTTACAAAAATCAACCATTAGGCTGATGGAAGCTTCTCAACAGCAAAGATAGGAAGCCAGGAAGCAGTGAATAAAGTGTCTTCAAAACGCTGCAAGAAAATTACCATCAACCTAGAGTACCTTTATCTATGGCAAAAATGGTACACCTAGTCATCAAGAAAAACATCCAAGACATAGCCAATTGTACACAACGAAAAGCAATTACCTTGGAAACAAGGAAAACAACTCAAATACTGAGACTGGTGAGTGAGGAAATTGGTTAGTGCCATTACATTTACACAAATACTAAATATATTAAGCAAAAATAATAATGTCTAATTTTGGGAGTAACCAACCAGAATAGGAGAGAAGAGGAAGGAAGAACTTAAAAGATGCAAAGGAGGTGTTTGGAATTTAAGTATTCTCAACTTCTTGTGATATTTCATAGAAGTGTAGAAATACAGATTCCATTTAAACTCTCTGAGTATTCAAAATTTTAAGGGTAACCGATAACAGGATAGAAATAGAGTGTAATCTTTCAAACCAAGGGAGAGGCAGATGAAGTTACATAGAGCAAAATTTCTTTGACAACAAAAATAAATCTAGAATGTTGAAAAGAAAACACAGAAAATACAGGACAAATAAAAAGTATCAATTACAATGGGAGAAATTAAACCAAAATGGAGTAAATGTAAATGGACTAAATTCAACTGTTAGAGAGAGAATTTGACCTTTGATTGTAAAATATCTCATTATGTCCAGCTGAAAACGGCCATCCCTAAAACATTCAGGACACATAAAATTTCGAAAGTAACAGAAGAGAAAAAGACATCCCAGGAAAATAGTAACTACAACCCTCTTATTCTGCCTATATTAATATTATAAGATCTCAAGGTAAAAATCTTTAGTAAAGACATAGCAGATCAGAACATCACAAAAAAAATTAAACTCACCAGGAATTACTGAAAAACAATCCTAGCTTATATATGGCAAATACACACCAGGGAGCAGAAATGTTCCCCAGTGAACTTTGAAAAAAAAAATAATAAGATTGTTGTACGAAGGAAGAAGGTGAAAGAATCAAAAGAGGGATAAATCATTGATGATATCAGGAAGAGAGAATGTATGTCATTAAAAAAGAACAGTGGATGTCATCACCTCAAATTGGACTATTAGAAATCCAGAAAAATCTAACAGTGCTCATTTTAAAGTAATCATTTAGGGAGTTAACATGCTAGATTTTTGGTCTAACATGATGTCTTGAATACTGTCTTCCAATTGGGAAGTCAGCATTCCCCTTGGAATTCCCATTGCCATTTGAACAAAGCAAGTCCTAGATACAAAACTCCCCTAATTTATGAGAGTCTAAATCAACTCCGGCTTTTCTCAGCTTCTATTATTACTGAACGCTTATGTTTTCTCTACTTTCAGCTAAATCAATATAAAATATTGATTCTTTCTTTTAACATTTTGCCAAATAGTAGGATATTCATGGAATCAACAGCATGGACAAAAATCGTCCAATAAAGAAAGATTGCAGGTTTAACAACAACAACAGAATGCCATTAAAAAGACATGACCTTAACAAAATTCCTATTTAAGGTAGTTTTCCCTGCTGTCGTGCATAGCAGTCGCATTAGCAATAAGTCAACTAGCTACCAAAAGTTATGAGGTTCTGGGAGTACATCAGATATATTCCCACCTCAAGTATCTGGTAATTGTTAAATGTATCTTAATTTTACAAATTAAATAAAAATGAAAAGGAACTATCATAGAGGCAGATCGAATTCTCAATCTGAAGGCACGTAAATTTTCCTTTCACAGGAAGCTGCTAGGCCACCTGTGCCTCCAAAAGGTATCTAAGGACAGGTATTCCCAACCAAAGCCTGTGGGCAAATGGCAAAGGAAATCAATTTTGACTAATGATCAGTTTCAAGTGGTTGATGAAGGCAGATATGGTCAATAGAAAGGGTATTTAATTTACAATGTGTGCATGACATCATAACTTCAATGTTTTCACATAATTTATTGCATTTTGGCATTTCGTATAATGAACAATGACCATGGGTGATTATGGCTTTAGTTATTTGCGGATGTTGTTATTGAGGTCCAGACAGGTTAAGTATGAATGAGTGAGTGCCAATCCAGGCACCGTAATCCACGTCATTTCATCTGTAATCCAGTGCTCCTGCACTAAAGCACAATTCATATCGCACAGGAATCCATGAGTTAGCTTCACGAAGTGAAGAAAAAATAGTAGATGGAGTAAGTCTTTGCAGGACTATCATTCAGAGAGGCTGGTAGAGTAGATTATTTTCTAAAACAAGCCTCTGGGACTTAACAAGAATTTAACAAAAATGGCAGGTCTTAGATTAAGAGGATGATGTCAATCAACTTTCAAACTTTTCCTGCTTTTAAATTTAACGTAATTCCCATAACTTCTTTGGGGAGTAGGAATACACTAATAGAGGTCTAGCAGTTGCATTTATATTGGACACATCCAAGGTCATGTTTGTATAACAGATATTTTTACAATTATTCCTGTGCATATCTTATTTTTCTTATTACTTGCTACACCCTGCTGTCCCCAACTTTTCCATAAGACAGCCACTTCTTTGACAATATGCATGGTCTTACCCTTTCCTGAGCACAGACAGGGCTGAACCCAAAAGAACTTGTCCACAAGGAACCCAACAATTTCTTCTGGTTAAAATAAAAGGTCAAGAACTCATATTTTGCCATAAACTATGCTTAGCCTAAACCTTTTAAGAGGTATGTTGTTTTGCTTTTTCTTTCATTACCAAAATAAATCCAAGACTATTCTAAAATTTTGATCTATAAATACCTTGAGATAGTATTTATTAAAGTCAACTGAAAAGATTCCTAAAGCATATTCTATTTCAATTGTTAGAAAAAGTGAAGTTGAGGTAAATCTAGAAAAGGTTTCTGAATGCCAATTCACTTCATGCACAAATATCTAGTATTTATACTTTTTCTGAGTACTTTTTAAAAATAAGTTTTTGTCGCTCATATAAGTAGGACCTCATGTGTAAACTACCCAATAAAAATCAGGGTATGTACAAATGCATATGGGTTGTTCAGAAAGGTTTTCCAACAATATTACTGGAAAAAAAATCTGGAGTCAAATGAGTTTGGAAATCCCGGGGTTAAACAAAACGAAGTAGATTTCTTGACTGCAAGACTTGTGAGAATGCCGATAAGTCTGTGAATCTTTAAATCAGCTGATTGTTGGCATATCAGCATATGTTCTTACCTTCTCTCACTTCAGTGAAAGCTGCATTTCTAAAACATCAACCCATCCATTTATCCATTAAGTGCCTTTTGGCTCACAGCCTGTGTTTGGTTTCAGAGACACATGTGAATGTAAAGCTTACAACATCATGTGTATCATTCCTTTTAATGACAATAAACAGTCCAGCATATTAAATATGTAGTAACACAACTAAACAGACTACCAGAAAATATGCATAAAAATGGATCAGATAAAAGATAAAAATTAAAGGTCACATTTATCTGGGACAGAAGCCAGCACACACCGAGCATTCACGCCCATTTAACGTGGTCTTCATTCCAGAGGAATATGACTTCTGAGATGAGATCATGAAGGTTAATACACAATTCAATTAGAGTTGAGGTCAACTTCCATCATGCTACTTCCAATAGACTATTCACACCAGCGTTCATCATCCTACCCTTAATAAACTACACCAACCTCTGACATCTGACCCCCCAATAAACTATTCACATCAGCTTCCATCATCCTTTCTCAAGAAATATTTACACCATTTCCATCATCCTATTCCCAATAAACCATATCAATATCCATCATCCTATCTCTTATAAAATATTTACACCAACTTCCTTCACTGTTCACAATAAATATTTACACCATATCCATCACCCTATCCCCCAATAAACTATATCAACTTTTTCCATCCTATTCACAGTAAAATGTTTACACCAACTCCTTCATCCTATATCCAATAAATATTTATACTAACCTTCATCATCCTGTCCCCAGTAAACTATTTCTATCAACTTCTTCTATTATCTTATTTCAATAAACCATTTACACTGATTTCCATCATCTCATCCCCAATGAATTATTTACTTCACCTTCCATCATCTTATCCCCCAAAACTATTCTTGGGGATGAATCCATGACTAGGGTAGCTGTACATTCTCATAAACATTTCCTTCTCCAACCACATTGCATTCATCACCCCCTAACCTTCGTTCAGCCATTCTTACTTGGAGCCACAAGCTTAACCATATCCTAAGATGAGCTCAGCTTCAAGCTACTATGAAGACACTGGGCAAAGCTGAAGATCCCAGTTCAGTGATTGAGACGGAGAGATCTCACGGGGAGATCTGCACCTCAGATAAGAGCCTAGCCTAGGCAGTACTGAGTCAGACCAACTACACAGGCCATGTGGTGCTCCATGTTTGATCTCTGCATAAAGACTCTTCCTTTAAATGCCCAACACAATGTCTTGTCCAATTGTAGAAATGTAAATCAGTCATCTCTAGTCTTTTCTGTTTTCTTTGTAGACTCATCACCTAAATATATTGAAATACTTTTATACCTACTTATACTCTCTATCTATTATAGCCCTTTCCAGAAACGAGGTCTACATCCTTCCTATCTGGTGTGTAAAGAATGGTTGTGGCATTTGTCCTAAAACTATGACTTTCTGACTTCCAGGAATGTGTCCTGGTTGTGGTATTCTGAAATTAGCTCAATAAAAATATATAAGTGTTTCCATATGCCATGATTTTATAAACGTCAGTCACGAATTCCAGCTCCCTTAAACTTTCCGGAACAATCAATACCTACCTTATGGCTCACTAATAAACTTTGCTTCTTCCAATTCTGTACCGAGTCTGTAGAAGAAAATCCACCTTCCCAGGTCATTAAAAAGGAAAAATACACGGAAAATCACTTGCACATTCCTGAAGTGGTTGATTTCAGATCTTGGGGGCTACAGACACAAATTTTGGTTTATCATTCTTTGATATGCAAAGAGCTTTAAATTATATTGTTTTTGTTTTTTAGGCATACTTTGGATCTGAACATACTATCAGGTGATGTTAAAGATTGGCCTTTGTGATTATGGAGATTTTGAAGGTTTATCTCTAAGAAAACACGCTGAAAGTAGTGAGAGGCAATGTATACCCTAGTTTTGTTTTGTATGTTTTTAAGAGTAATAGCACCTATTTGAGGTAAGAGAAGAGCAAAGTAAATTTCTGAGAGAGAGAGAATACCAGGGAAGTTGGAGAGCAAGGTAGATGATCTTTTGCAAAATAGAACTTGAATAGTAAAATAGTTTGCAAACTATCAAATTGAATTGTTCTAAATATATAAAGACTTTCTATAATATATTAGGTGAAAAATGGTACAAAATAATCCATATAGAACGCTGACTTCTGTGTTGGAAAGATGGTTAAATAGAATTACATATTCATTTTCATATTTGCATGAAGGAAACACCAGAAGAATATACAGAAATCTAATAATCTAATATATGATTACCTGAAAACAACTGATGAAATGTTAGTATGAAATGTCACAACACAAAATGTTTATTTTGAGTTTTGAACTACTTGAACAGCTTACTAATTTTAACATTAAGTAAAACTTAAAAGTTCAAAAGTAAGTCGCATGTAAGCTGATTTTAAAAAGATACGGATTAAATGATTCACTCCTGATTTTTAGTAGATATCTAATATTCAAGACATAATTCTGATCAAGATGAAAGTATTAATTGGGGCTAATATTTTGGGGGTGGGCATGAGTCAAACTATCTGACTATCTATGAGGAGTTCCTTATAGGCACAGAAGGTGGAATTTTGAATGTGCCCACTTGAGATATATAGATATAGGTAGATATAGATACATTGCATTACTCGAGATTCTCCATGAAAAAAATACTCAGGCAGAACAAGTATTTTCAAAAAATGAAATTTTGTACGAAAAATCACAACGAGTCTAAGGATCGGGGTGATCTCTTACTCAATAATTTTCAAATAATATATCCAGATTATCTAACAAGCCCTCAAGGGAAACTACAAAAGAGAGGCCCAGAATATAATTGTAGTGTCAAGAAAGTTCAGATCCAGAACAAGTTGACCACCACACAAAAATGCTAAAATGACAACAGAAAAGTGTTTATAATGTTACAGTTGCTGCAGAAGAACACCACCTGTTGCTTGCTGTAGAAGTTACACTTTTCACTGTTGACAAAGAGACAAAGCTCGATTTCTCTTCTGCTTTACCTTGGTGCTAGGCTGGACAGAATAGAATGAGCATGGTTAGGAAGGAGTGGCAGTTTTCGGCATTTTACAAGTTGCCTGCCCAATGTTCATTGTCGTCTCCTTCAGGCTGAGTAGTCCTCTTGCTTTGTTCTGAGTTAGAATATAACCAACTAGAATAGGACTTCATCGTCCATCCTGCCATAAAGCTGGGTGATGCTCTGTGTGACATGGATCTACCCAATGGTCTTTAAAAGGAAACCATTGCCTTGGCTTGGACAAGTGTGCCTTGCTATGATATGAACTTATCTGGCTTATCCCTTGTATTCTCCCATTTTTCCTTCTCCCATTGTGGAATGGAGACGAAATCACTGGAGCTACAGCTGTCATATCGTGACCATCATGGAGACAGAGACCAAAGAGAGTGGCACCAAATGTGTCCCTAATATTTCTGAATCCCTAAGCAAAAAATAGGCTCATGTCTCCTTCCAGAATTCTTATTAAATGACAACAGGAACCGAAATTGTTTGATAATCATACTAACAAGAGATAACATTTAATCAGCAGCCACTATGTGTCAACTCTTTTCTGGAAACATCTCCTCTACTAGCAAATTTCATGCCCACCACACCCCTATGAAGTATATGCTACAATTGTTCCATCTTACAGAGGAGGAAAAGCAGCGGTTGCCCACATTAACACAGGGAGTAAGAAGCAGAGTGGAAATCTGAAGCCACAGAGTCTGGCTTTGAAGGCTATAGGCTTACCCACTAGGCTACACTGGGTTTCCAAGCCCAGCTTCCTCGTAGAGCACCTGCCCACTTCTGAAGCCGGTGCTCTGAGAATCACAGCAGGACGCGATTCTAATAATTCTAATCATCCACTAGGAGTACAATCCTGGTAAAAGAACACCTAAAGCATTTTGAATCTGCTTAAAACTCTGGCCTCAACAATTACCAGCTGAGACACTGAGAATGTGTTGAAGACATCAAAGTAATATTGCCATCTTTGAAGAATCTTGATCAATGGGAAGGTTAAGAATATATATAAGGATGGGGATAACTATAAGAACTTCTTTTATGGCTTTGACCTAAAAAATATATTAAACATAATTCTTGACTCATGAATACTCTCATCATTAGTCCTTGAATGACCTATTTATTTGTTACTGTGTTTATAATAATATAATAGGCACCCACACAAAAATACAATTTTAAAAATAACAGATTTGTGCTGTTTGGTTCCTCTATTCCATCTCCCTGCATTCCTCTGCCCAGAGAAACTGTTATCCTAAATCTTGTATTCATCACTTTCTTGCCTTCTTTGTATTAAGTCTTACTACAGAACTATGTATTTCTAACATATACACATATGTATATTTATGTTTAGTGCTTAATTTCTATTTAGTTTTTTATACTTGATTAAAACATGTTGAATGCTTTAACTTTTGAAGAATGTGTGCATTTTTAAGTCATCCCTCTCATGACCATTTATTAGATCCCACTGGACTCTATGAAACCAGGTCAGGAAACTAAATCCAGCCCTCCACTTGTGTTTGTAAAGATAGCTACTGTAAACCCATTCTTTTACATATTGATCATGGCTGGGCTTGCGACAACAGCACAGCTGAGTAGTTGTAACAGAAACCTTATGGTCTACAAAGCCAAAAATGTTTACCATCTGCCTATACAGAAGACACGCACTGACCCCTGCTCGGCCGCCATATTGCTACAAAGGTAAGCGATGTAGAGTCTCCCTCGTCAAGGAGCCCTCAGCCCAGAATGATACAGATCTAAGAGTAGCACGAAATGGAATGCAGTGAACACCATTCACAGAACAAGGACAGAGCATGTGGACAAAAAGGAGGATGCCTCTAGCCATTCCTGGAGCAGGTTAAGAAAGTTTCAACAAAAAGATGACACTGACTGGGGCAAGGAATGGAGAGGGCATTGGAAAGAGGTGGGAAAGTAGGGAAAGAAACAACAAAGAAGGGGAGAAGGATGTGGATATAGGAAAGGAATTGGTTTATCCTGAAAACCAGAATATCGTTTGTTCCACAGGAAATACAGAAGCAAATATAGAAGGACCATCATTCTACTCTCTGCTTTTAAGAGTTTGACTTTTTTAGATTCCACAGGTAAGTGATCAGGCACTGAGGAGATGTTGGTCAAAGAATACAAAATTTCAGTTAGGAAGAAGTAATAAATTCAAGAAACACACAGTTAATAATAATGTATGCTTGAAAACTGCTAAGAGAGTAGACTTTTAAGTGTTCACCCTGTTAAAGCAAACTAAATATGGCCTGAGAAGGACTCCGTACTTCTATATTTGAGTCCTTGTGGATGAACTGTAACTTAGCTTAATAGTCAGACAAAATTGAAAACCTAACTTAATAATATGCGCCTGTAACAATAGCTGAGTGTTGGCCAATCCCAGCTGCCATACTTCAACCACTCATAGACTGCTCAATGTTCAAACTGCGTTCAAATCAGGCAAACACTGAGCTGTAACCAATCTCACTGTTTCTGTACCTCACTTCCAATTCCTGTACGTCACTTTACCTTTTTGTCTATAAATTCATTCAGATCATGAGGCAACCCGGAGTCTCTCTGAATCTGCTGTGATTCTGGGGACTGCCCGATTCGCGAATTGTTCATTGCTCAATTAAACTCCTTTAAATGTAATTCGGCTGAAGTTTTTCTTTTATCAACCCACCAAATAAATAATAAGTAGGTGAGTTCATCGATATGTTATTTTGATTTAACTGCTTTGCAATGTACACATACATCAAAAATCACATTGTATACCATAAATATATATTATATATAATTTTTATTTTTCAATTAAAAATTGAATAGAAGGACTCCATTTACTGGCAACACCCCCTCACCCTCATGGCACCAGTTTCCTCTGCAAGGGAGTTCTTGTGACCCCACTCTCCCACTCTGAGCAAAGAGAATCACTGAATTAAATGATCTAGTTTACCTTTGAATCCTGACTCCCTGGGAAATATTACTATTTGGAGAAAAAATAGCTTCTTCCCTATCTTTTGAACAGTAGACTTGATATTATTTCAAATCATCGATTCACATGGCAGTTCCATTTTCCTCCCAAAAATATTTATTGATACCTGCCCCCTCCAAAAAAAAAACCCAACAACTATGGTTCTATATCATAGCTGAGCACGGCCAATAAATCCAGGAGCCTTTCAAAGTATAAAATGACCTTAAGTATAGTGAACTTTAGTTTGCTTAAACTAAGAAATATTTGATGTGCCATATAGGAATCACTTTGGTGAGGTAGATGCACTTGAAGGAGGTTGGTATGGAAGAATAAATTCTCCAGCCTCTCTCTGGGAGAGATATCTTAGAAAGGAATAATTTCTAAAAACACTGAAAAGTTACAAAGATGTTTCATATAAACTACCTAATGCAAAACGAGGATAGTTGCAGCTACGAGTAAATGGTGGTGGTTTCTCCATTTCTCCACCGTCTGCATCTGTCATATTTATTTCCCTAAAAATCCTGAGTACTTTTTTGAGGAAGTTGCCATGGGCATGCAACTGTGAATTTGACTGTCTTCTACAAAGCAGGAATTCTCACACAAAATTGCATCTAAGAGATTGGTTAGGGGTTTGTCCATTCAACTGTGTTTTATAGCTGATGAGTTCTATGTAAAATTATGAAAGAGATGTATTAATAGACACTTCTCTTTTTTTCTTGAATACTAAGTACTTGTTATTTGTCAAGGTAACACAGAATGGCTGTGCTGAATATATTTATTATGAATGTGCATGTATTTAAGTATTATTGATTTTATTATAGAATGCCTAGGGTAGAGGCCAGGCATGGGGGCTCACACCTATAATCCCAGCACTTTGGGAAGCCAAGGAGTTTGAGACCAGTCTGGCCAACATGGTAAAACCCCATCTCTACTAAAAATACAAAAATTAGCTGGGCGTGGTGTCCTGCACCTGTAGTCCAAGCTACTTGGGTGGCAGAGGCAGGAGAATCACTTGAACCTAGGAAGCAAAGGTTGCAGTGAGCTGAGATCACACAACTGCACTACGGCCTGGGTGACAGAGCAAGATTTTGTCTCAAAAAAAAAAAAAAAATGCCTAGGGTTCAGACTATGAATATGCCTCAGAATTCAGATATACCTGAATCCTGTTTAAGAGAAGAAAGAAGATGAGAGTAGAAAGCATCATGAAGCTTAAGAAGTGGCAGGACCACTCATTTGTGTATTTATTCATGTGCTGAGCCAGGCGCATAAAGACAGAGAACTACATTGGTTAAAGTGGCTGTTTTGAAGACAAATACACTCTGCAGCATAGCTGTGCTTTTCTTAATTCATGTAACGTATGGTGAATTGTAAGGCTGGTGAACATTTGGCAGTCTGTTCAGAAAACACCAAAACTTACTTCTAATTTGTGAAAAAATAAATATAAAATTTCAGCAATGTATTATGACAACACTTATTCTAGTTTTACAGGCAGCTGCCATTTTTAGCAGTTGTCAAAATATTGGAACACAAATACTATTAGAGTATTACACTTGAAAAATAGTTATTCTGCACTTCTCATATTATGCATTTTATGATCTACTTCACTGTCATCGCTATGGAATTAATTCTTTCTTTGAAGCCACTTCAATTTTACTTATTTTTAAATGTTTCTTTCTTTCACACTTTTTCTAAAGAGTGGGTGATTATAAATCATTCTGATTTTATTTCTTAATATATTGCTCAGCTTTTCCAGCTAAATCATGCTACTGTGTGCTAAGAAGTTCATGCTAATCCAATTCATTCATTCTTTTACTTCAGGTTTGAATCAAAAATGGAATTTTATTAATCCAAACGTTGTCATGTACCAGGTTCAGTTTGTACTAAAATGAAAGATTTTTATTGTTGACTCTTAAAGGACAATTTTATTTATTATTTGTTATCAATTTTTGATATCAAAGTTTTGCAACTTTGATATCAAAGAATTTGGTATTTGAAAGTGTGTTAGTTCTACCCTGTCTAAAGTTCTTCATCATATAATATAGACAGAAAATCCACAGTAAACTTATAAGCATTACAATGAAAATTATAAACATCATATTTGATATAAAGTGTATGAATTATACACATTTTATATAAACATTTACATTATAAAAATTATAAACATGAAACTATACAATATGCTTTATAATCTGCATGGTGATAGAAATAAACAGAGATTGCAGATACCTTCCATTTCTGGATGATAAGAGTAGATGCCTGAATGAAAATCTCTCCGTGCATCTTTTCAAAAAAGACAAAATAAAAATAAAAATGAGTGAAAATAAAATCATGTATGACCCATGCCTAGTGAAAGACAACAACCATTCCAACTTGCATCTCTCCGTTATGGTCAGCCTTGAGAAAAAGGAAAGAAAGTGTAGGACCCAGAAGAAAAACAGAACAAAACATCCCATAAAGTCTCACATTGAGTGTTAAAGACGGAGCATGAGCCTTGGTGTCTAAGAAAACCAGGTGGAAGAAAGAGCCTTCAATGTGAGTAGGTCTCAGGTTAGCAGCCTAGAAGTGACATTGCCTGGGGAATAACAATCAGAATAGTCTCATTAGAGAAATAGTTATATCGAGAGAAAGAAGGAAAAAAGGGAAAATTAAGATTCTGCTGGAAGGAAAGAGTAACAAGATACTTCAATCCTATCTTCTCCACCACCATCACCATCACCATGACCGAGCATTAAAAAGACCACACTTTACCATCATAACTGAAGAAAGTGGTCTTGAACTAGAAATCCTGTTTACAAAATGCCAAGAAATTGGGGAAAAGTTAAAGCAATTGCAAACAAAGCTACTGTAAAAAGAAAACAGGAAAGGCAATCCATGCTATTCTAGCTGGTAGGAATTCTCACTCACAGCCGGAAAAAAAAAAAAAAAAAAGAAGAGTGAAACTCTCCATTTTGTCCTAATATTCTGCAACACTGAGACAACGGTATTTCTACAAAGTCCAAATGCAGTCACTGACCTACAACAATCTCTGGTAAACAACACTGTAGAGTCCCAGTTCCCCAGTTTCTTCAGAACAACATCTAAGATCAGGGAAGCATCTGCTTGGGGCCAGAATTTCAGGTGCTCACAGCTTCAGTGGTTTACCTTTGCATGTCTATTCTTTGAATGATGGCTTCTCCAAACACAAAGCATGTCTAATATTTGAAAAGGAAATCTAAATTATGTGACACTCAAAATCTCTCCCACAGTTTTCACTACGGAGTAAAACTGTAGGCAACAGGCAACCTTACTTCTTCCTTGAATACTTATTGCAGAAGGAATATCACAGCTGCAGAAGTCATAGAAAGAAATGCTAGGTATTTCCAAAGTAACATTTCCCAAGTGAGAGTTTGAAAACTGAGACACTTAAAACATTTCATTTACTGTGTATCTCCAAACGGACTTTGGGTGATATTTGATTGGCACTTACAAAATTTTTCCACGGGAGTAATCATCTCCTTTCTCTCTCTCTCTCTCTCTCTCTCTCTGTCTCTCCCTCTTTCTTGGTCTCTCATTCTCTTTCTCTCTCGCTCTCTCTCTCTTTCTCTGTCTCTCCCTCTTTCTTGGTCTCTCATTCTCTTTCTCTCTCGCTGTCTCTCCCTCATCCCATTCCACATTTAGAAAGGCTTGGTGGCTTGGAGTTGCCCACTGACACTCCAAACCACCACGCACCTCCAGGTCTACCAAGTTTTGAAGTTGCTGAGTGTCTGGGTAATGCTTCACCAAGGACTAACTACATCGTATTTTATTACGTGAGGATGGTTAAAAAGATGAAGACTCATGAGGGCAGCCTCATCACACTGGATATTAAAATATGCAACAAATTCACTATCAAGACTATTGGCCGGTGTGGTGGCTCACTCCTGTAATCCGAGCACTTTGGGAGGATGAGGCAGGTGGATTGCTTTAGGTCAGGAGTTTGAGACCAGCCTGGGCAAAATGGTGAAATCCCATCTCTACTAAAAATACGAAAATTAGCAGGGCGTGGTGGCACAAGCTACTCTCAAGGCTGAGGCGTGAGAATTGCTTGAACCCAGGAGGTGGAGGTTGCAGATCGTGCCACTACACTCCAGCCTGGGTGACAGAGGGAGACTCTGTCTCAAAAAAAAAAAAAAAAAAGAAAGAAAAAAAAGAAAAGATTATCAAACTGGCATAAGAATAAAGAAAGTAATGGAATAGAATAGAAAGTAAAGAAATAGAGCCAAGGATATATAGAAATGTAGTATAGGATGAAGTTAGACCTCACATCATTTGGACAATAGTGGACTTTTTAAAAAATGGTATTAAGACAAATGTGTGCAGCCATTTAAGAAAAGGTAAATTTAGATCCACCCATCACACCATATCAAAAAAGAATCCCCAATGGAACATATATCTAAAGTTTTAAAGTTTTTTTAAAAAATGAACTACAAAAGAACTAGCAGGAAAGCTGGAAATTTTTTTCTATGACCTGGATGGAGGAAAATGGCTTTTTATGACACAGAACCCATATCAATAAAAGAAGACTGATAAATGTGAGTACATTTTTAAAAACTCTACATTGCATAAAATGTCATAAGTTAAGTAAAAAGCTAGTGACAAATAATGTGGAGATATTTGCAGGGTTTATAATGGATAAGTGGCTAATATTCTCGATATATAGAAACTTATTTGAAAAAACAAGGAGGAAAGAGACATGTTTTTAAGAACAGGCAAAAAGCACAAATAAATAACTAACAAAAAGACCTTTTAACAAACTAACACAGGGATAGAAAATCAAATACCGCATGTTCTCACTTATAAGTGGGAGCTGAATGATGAGAACACATGGACACATAGAGAGGAACAACACACACTGGGGCCTTTCAGAAGGTGGAGGGAAGGAGGAGGGAAAGGATCGGGAAAAATAGCTAATGGGTATTTGGCTTAATGCCTGGGGTATGAAATAATCTGTACCACGAACTCCCATGACATAAGTTTACCCATACAATAAATCTGAACTTGTACCCCTGAACATAAAATAAAAGTTAAAAAAAATCAAATTAGAAAAAACAAATGACCTTAAGCATATGAAAAGAGGTTGAACTTTACTCACAGTGAAAGGAATGCAAATGAAAACAATATTTTTAGAGGGGAGGCTCCTCATGCATTTTCATTATAAAAGGTTGCTTTTTTGATCAAAAGAATCAGAAATGGTGGGACCATTTAGGGCCAATACTGCAGTTGACTTGTGGGTATTCCTTTGTCTTTTGGAGATTTCAGCTAATCCAAGCAGTTTTCAAACCACTGATACTCTCTTGAATGTAACTTTTGTACACTGTTGGAAATACACAGACCAACACGCTCAGTATTTGCGTTGCAAAAATGCACAAAGCTACCTTGATTTTTTCATTACTGATGACATGGGTTGTTAAATTATCTCCTCTATAATTGAGCATAGTGAGTATTAGGCTTTTAGAGTGAAATGCTTTATTACTGTTTTTATAAACAAATGAAAACCTGATGGAGAATTATTTGGCTTGCTGATAATATATTTCACTCTCAGGTAAGGTAATTTTATGTTCAATTAATCTCAGGAGGAGGGAACGGCTGTCTCACCTAAGTCCCTGTTGCCAATTTACATGTATTGTTGTTCCAAGTAATGACCTGACCCGAACTGTCATTAAAAAAGCACATATTTAACCAAATATTCTGTCTCCACGTAGCCCCTATGTCTAGCCTGGATAGTTCATAAGAATTTTTAAATGAGTAAGAGCTGTCTGAAGTATGTTTCCTGCTGTAAAATATACTCTTAAAAGCACCTATGAGTTTATCATGGGTATAATTGATAACAGATTGTTAGTAAATCATTTTTTAAATCTCCTTGCAATGAAAGTATTTTAATTCATATTTTTAACTGTTCCTATCAATGCAACATAAAAAGCTTTCTGATAAATTTTCTGTTGCCAATGGTTAGCAATGTGTAAGTATGGTAAAAATCTTCACTGATCAAAACTCCCAATTTTTTATTTAGCAAGATTCATAAGAAAGAGGCAAATATTTAGGGTTTTAAGCAATCAGACCCTAAAAAAGTTAGGATGTATACTCTGCCCTAATTCCTATCTTCCCAATTTTCTATTACAAAAAATAATTAAAATTGAATTTTATTATGAAAATATTATAAATGGATATAAATTGTTAATGAATTATGAGTGCATATAGGACTGTCATGACATATATTCACTGTATATCTTAATTTCTCTTAAAAATGAGTTCAAGGTCAGGTGCGGTGGCTCATGCCTGTAATCCCAGCACTTTGGGAGGCCGAGGCAGGAGGATCACTTGAGGTCAGGAGTTCGAGACCAGCCTGGCCAACATGGTGAAACCCCATCTCTACTAAAAATACAGAAATTAGGAGGGCATGATGGCACGTGCCTGTAGTCCCAGCTACTCAGGAGGTTGAGGAATGAGAATCGCTTGAATCTGGGAGGTGGAGGTTTCAGCTAGCTGAGATCATGCCACTGTACTTCAGCCTGGGCAACGAAGCAAGAGTGTCTCAAAAATTTTTTTACAAAAAGAGTTTAAGTATATTTACCAAGATTCATCATTTGAAAATAGATTATTGACAGGGAGTCTATTAAGGAAAAATATGTATACAGACACAACTTAATCTTAAATTTATGTTTTTAGAGAATTGGAAAATCATTTAGATGATATGATAAATCAATAAAACAGAAAAGGGAATACAATTTGCTTGATATATACTTTCTGCTAAAATATAATTAGAATTTCTTATTTAACATGTTCAATATATTAGATCATAAATATCATAGGTCATCAAATTTGAAAATGGATCGAATCAAAGTATTCTGTGGTACAAGTCTAATTTTAGACAATTTAGCTTTTTATTTTTGCCTGCATCATACTCTGCACCCATCCCCCATAGTCTTATATACCCATTCAGTCTATCTTCTGGCCTGTCATGTAGAGGACTCTGGATTGGAATTAAGCTATCGACTTCTTGTCCTGAATATTCTTCTAATTACTATCAACTACCTGTGCCTTGACTTTATCACCTCTAAGATGAGACATGAGTTGGTCAACATCAGAGATGCCAACTTTGATTTGTCCAATGTCAATCTATGATCAGCTAGAAATGGCTACATTATATTCTTTGTTGAGAAGAAATATAGGCTTAGTTGGAAACAGTATTGATTATTTCATCTGCACAGAAGCCTAAAAAATAGGCTCGTGGCATATATTCCAAATACCTGCTCCTTGTGTCCTGCAAATGTCCAGTTAACTCTTTGTGTGCGTGTGTGTGTGTGTGTGTATTTATGTGTAGAAGTGAAGTTTTTGTGTATTTGTGGGTCTGTTTCTCAAGTATCTACTCTGTTTCCTTGATCTGTTTGTCCATCTTCATGGCAATATTGTGATGTCTTGATTACTATAGCTTATGTATATCTTGAAATTAAGTAGTGTTAGACCTTCAAATTTGTTCTTTTTTTATTTTTTGTAGCTATTCCAGGTTTTTAAAATTTACAAATAAATTGTAGAATAAGCTTGTCAATTTTGAGAAAAAAATTAGCTGGGATTTTGACTGGGATTGTGTTGAATCTATCAATCAATGTGGGCAGAACCAATATCTTGACCACACTGAGTCTTCCCAACCATGAGCAAAGTATATCTCCCCATTGATTAAGGTTTTCTTTAACTTCTCAGTAAAGTTTTGTAGTTTTCAGTGCACAAGACTTTCTTGAACATCTTCTGTAGGAATTATCCCTAAGAATTTCATATTGTTGATGTGGTTGTTGTTTTGTTTTCTTAATTTCAGTTTTCAAATGCTCATTGCTAGGATATAGAAATACAATTTATTTTTTGTCTATTGATCTTTATCTTGAAATGTTTCTAAATGCACTTAATAATTATAGTAACTGTTTGGTATATTCAGTCAGATCTTCTACATGGATGACCATGTCATCTGCAAAGGAAGACAGTTTTGACTCTTCCTTTCCAATCTGGAGAATTTTCGTTTTCCTTATTTTACTGGCTACAATCTCCAGTACAATGGTGAGTAGAAGTTGTGAGAGCAGACATACTTGTCTTGTTTCCAACTTGTGGGTGGAGGGAAAGAATAATTCACCATTATGTTATTAGTTGCAGGTTTTATGTAGATGCTCTTTATCAAGTTGAGAAAATTGATTCCTTTTCTAATTTTGATAACAATTTTTAAAAATCAGGAGTGGATGCTGAATTTCAATAATTATTTTTATTCAAATATTAAGGCAATTTTGTTTAATGTTAATATGGCATTGGTTGGTTTGAATGTTAAAACAACCTTATATTTTTAGAATTATCCCTCCTGGTCATGATTTAATAATCTTTTTATGTAGTTTTGCTACAATTTGCTAAAAATGCATTTAGAAATGTTGTCTCTATGGTTATGAGGAATATCAGTCTGTTGTTTTCTTTCCTTGTGCTGCCTTTTGTGCAATGTTATATGATAGTATACATCCACTTTTCCTTCCCAGAATATGCTATCGTTGTAATGCATTTTACTTCTAAATATCTTATAAACCTCACAATACATTCCTATATTTCTTTAATCAATTATCTGTTTAAAACACATAAAAAGATAAAAGTCTTATAGTTTTATCAATTATCTACCATTTCTGCTGCTTCTCCTGCTTTTGTGTACAATTGAAATTTCCATCTAATATCAATCCCTCTGCCTAAAGGAATTCTTTGGACATGCATTGTACTGCATGTCTGCTGATCATGAATTATTTCTGGTTTTAAATGTTTAGAAGTGTCTTTTCTTCACTGTTGTTTGATTTGAAGATATTTTTGCTGGGTATAGAAGACTGTACTTATTATCTGTAATAAGTATAGATTGATTGATTGATTGATTGATTTTTGAGACAGAGTTTCTCTCTGACTCCCAAACTGGAGTGCAGTGACACAATCTCCGCTCACTGCAAGCTCTGCCTCCCAGGTTCACACCATTCTGCCTCAGCCTCCCGAGTAGCTGGGACTACAGGCACCCACCACCACACCCGACTAATTTTTTGTATTTTCTGTTTTAGTAGAGACGGGGTTTCACTGTGTTAGCCGGGATGGTCTCCATCTCCTGACCTAGTGATTCACCCACCTCGGCCTCCCAAAGTGCTGGGATTACAGGCATGAGCCACTGCACGCAGCCTAAGTATAGACTTATCACCTGTAATAAGTATAGACTTCTATAACCAGCAAAAATATAGATACTTATTAGAAGTACCGTAAGTATGTTTCTTCTCTTTTTGCTTACATTATTAGTGACAAGAAATCCAAAGTTATTCTTATCTTTGCTCCTCTATACATAATGTGTTTTTTTCCTCTGGCTAATAGTTATATTTTGTCTTTATCACTAGTTTTGAGCAGTTTGATTATGATGTGCCTTGGCAAAGTTTTTCTCAGCTTCCTTGTGCTTAGAGTTGGTTGAGATTACTGTGTCAATAGGCTGATAGCTTTTTCAAATTTTTTGAAAATTTCTGGCCATTATTTCTTGAAGTGTGTGTGTGTGTGTGTGTGTGTGTGTGTGTGTGTGGGTGTGTGTGTGTGTGTCTGCTCCCCTTTCTTTTCCTTTGAGTATTCCAATTACTCACCCATTAGGATACTTGAAGTTGTCCCACAGCTCACTGATGTTCTTTTCGTTTTTACTTTTTTTTTCTTCTGTGTGTTTCATTTTAGACAGTTTCCATTGCTATTCATTCAAATGCAGTAAGCTTTTTTTCCTTCTTCTTTTTTTTGAGACAGAGTCTTGCTTTTCACCCAGGCTGAAGTGCAGTAGTGCGATCTTGGCTGACTGCAACCTCTGCCTCCCCCGGCTTCAAGCGATTCTCTTCCCTCAACCTCCTGAGTAGTTGGGACTACAGGCGCCAGCCACCACACCCAGCTAAATTTTGTATTTTTAGTAGAGACGGGGTTTCACCATGTTGGCCAGGCTGGTCTCCAACACTGCGACAGGCCCAAATGCTGTAAGCTTTGAATGCCAGAGACAGTGAATTTTACCACTTTGGGGGTTGGGTTTTTGTTTTTTTTTTATTCCTCTAAAATTTCTTAGGTTTTATTCTGCGCTTGAGTTAAGGAATTTTGAATGAGATTGATCTCTTAGAGTCTTGCTTTTCAGGTTTGTTAGGCAGGACCTGATTAGAACTCAGGTTGTTGCTAATCTTTTCTTCCTTACTAAAGCAAGACCAACCTCAAAACTTTATACAGTGTCTCATGTATTTAGGGAATTTTTTTTCCTTCTGGCTGGTGAAAACAGGCATCATTTACAGCCCTTTGTGAACCTTGAACAGTGTGCTGATTCTTTTGGATGTTTATATCTCCATCCTTGTGTAATTTTCTCATATGCATGCTGCATCAGCAATTGGTTAAATACTCAACAGGGACACTCTGCATGCAGGCTTTTTTTTTTTTTTTTTTTTTTTTTTTTTTTTTTTTTTGAGGGGGCAGTTCTCTGTACATCTCTCTTCTCTCCTGTAACCCTGTGCTTCAAATTCTAGCTGCCTTGTTCTCTCTAAACTACCAGGTTCATCACTTCAAATCAGACAGTCCACTGGTTCTGTGTAAGTTCCCCTCCTCATACCATTGCCTGGAATCTCTCTCAATGTGGGAGCTATGCAATAAAAAGTATTCACCTCATTTATTAGCTCTCTTTCTGGAATCACTTATCTTTTGATTGATATCCAGTGTCTTAAAAACCATAGTTTCACATATCGTCTTTGTTTCTTTCTGATGGGAAGGTAATTGCCTGTTTACCCCCTCTTAGCCAAAAGTGCAACTTCTACATTAACTTTCTACACCTAAATTTATATAAATCCCAAGGAAGAGAAAATTTATGCAATGTTTGATTTATGAGAAATATGAATTTTATATATTTGAGAATTTTTCACACCAATAATCTTGCCACCCAGCTACTTTCTCAAATGCAAAGGTGCATTAACTACTGCCATCAGTCCAAGTTCTCACTGGTTTATCTACAATGCAGAAACAATATGGAGCCATGGTTAGGCAGCCAGACTCTGGTTTGTATCATGGCTCCAAAACTCATCTGCTGTGTTCAATTGGGCAGGTTACCCATGCTTGTCATGCTGCCATTTTTATTTTATTTTATTTTTATTTTTTAGAAGAAGTCTCGCTCTGTTGCCAGGCTGGATGGAGTGCAGTGGTGTGATCTCGGCTCACTGCAACCTCCGCCTCCCGGGTTCAAGCGATTCTCCTGCCTCAGCCTCCCGAATAGCTGGGACTACAAGTGCGTGCCACCACACCCAGCTAATTTTTGTATTTTTAGTAGAGACGGGATTTCACCATGTTGGCCAGGATGGTCTCTATCTCTTGACCTCATGATCCACCCACCTCAGCGTCCCAAAGTTCTGGGGTTACAGGGGTGAGCCACAGTACCCGGCCCATGCTGCCATTTTCTTATGCACAATGTAGGGAAGGCAATAGTGCTGCTTTGTTAAGTCATTGTGAGGACTAAATGAGTTAGTATTTGTAAGACCCTTTGAACACTTCCTGGCATATAATAAGTACCATATGTGGTTGTTTGAAAAAATGGTAAATCTAAAAAGGAATTATAAATGTTGCAGTGGAATAATGGGAAAGTACTATCTGTGATTTCAGGAACCATTATGTAGACAAATAGCTCTCTCATTCCAGTTGTAATGGTTTTATCAATAAATTATGCTTAAATCTTTTATAGCATTATATCACATCAGTATTTTTTAAATGGGTCATCCTGACAAGATTGAAATTAAATCATTAATCTTATTTTTAATTCAGAATTCTAATGATACTTGCGACTAAATACATACAGAGTAATTATCCACCCTCCAGCTACTTACTAACCAAAGAAAAGAGCTTTTTTTTTTTCTTTTCAGAGGAAAAAGATAAACATGTACTTAAAGGGAAAATGTTAAATGGTCTGATAGAGGAATAAGGTCAGTGTCCAGAAATGAATACATCTAGTGAATTTAGAGGAAGGCATTTCTTAACATCTCCTCTTTGAAACTGGATGTGTATCAGGTATTTCCCTGGAGAGTAGGACAAAGAGGCCCGATTTTTCAAATGGACCAAATGAAGAACTAGGAGTTGAATTCTGATTACCCAGTCATTTTCTGCCTTGAACCCTTTTGCATATAAATGTTCATATTGCCCCTTCCATCATTCTATAATTTCAATCCAAAAGTTATAACCTAAAATCATCCAGCTGTAGCTATCTTAGGATTTAAAGGAGACATGAGTTTTAGTGAAGTCTCTTTAAGGATCAGAACTGGACACATAAGTTGGGAAAACATGGTCCTATCATAGGACATTTATTTGGGCATTTTTACATGGTTTGGATTCTGAAAGGTCACTTGAGTCAGAGCAAGAAAGTTTGGGTTTGGTTAAGTTTCAATTTACCCATATGAAATGGTGAGATCCAGGTCATTAAATGCTGTATAAACTCGGAGAAGTCAGCGAGGAGTGGATAGACGTCAGTGGCTTTGTAATGTGTTAATTTGGCTTTGCTGAATTAAATTTCCAAGAACTCTCTTTCTTACATATTTCCCCTTTCTGCATGAATTTCCGCAAGGGAGATTCTTGGAGGACGAGGAATGTAGAAAGAAAGCAGCAGCCACTTTGCAGGTCACACACTTAGTCACAGATGTGCTGAATCACCTTGTTAGCAGGAAGCAGCAGCCAGGTCTGCAACTGCCCCACCTGTTCCTGGATCCTCCTTTGGCATCTCTGATTCCTAAGCCAGGTGTGTGTGTTTAGCTCTGTAAGGCAGGCTTCTGGATTCTGCAGTTCTGCAGTTCTTCATTACCAAGGTCAGAGGCAACGATAAGACATATGTTTTAGTCCATTTGTCTTAGTCCATTTGGGATGTTAAATAAAATACTATGGACTTGGAGCTTGGAAACAACAGAAACTTAATTTTCACAGGTCTGGAGGCTGGGTGTTGAGGATCAAAGCACTGATAGATTCTGTGTCTGATGAGGACCCACTGGTCCATAGATGGCTCCTTCTTCTTGTGTCCTCATCTGGTCAAAGGAGTAAGGGAGCACTCTGGGGTCTCTTTTACAAGGACACTCATCCAATTGATGAGGCTCCACCTGCATGACCTCATCACTTGGCAAATGCCCCACCTTCTAATACCATCACTATGGGGATGAGGATTTCAACATGTAAATTTTGAGGAAATGGAAATATTCAGACCGTAGCAGCACCATCTTTGTATGGCTGCAAGTCCCACTTGTGGACTCCAGACTGTTCCCAATCTCTCCCACTTCACGGGCATCTTCCCTTCCTAACCACCTGCCCTATAGACGTTTGGCTCCAGCATTAAATTTGCAAAGACAACAGGCTTAGGTAGGCAGCTCAAACAGTTCCTTAAGTTGTTAAAGTGAAATCTCTGTAACAAATATATTATACATACATATATATATATATATATAAACACACATATATACACACATATATACATATATACACACACACATATGTACATATATACACACACATACGTTTTCTAGGAGTTCTGCTCTGATGACATTACCCTGATTGATTTACAGGAAGAGGAAAAATCTGGAAGGCATGGTAAATGTATGAATGAGTATAATGCCACCAACAGTGAGAATAAATACTCTCCTGTCATTGTGATGGGACTTGAAACTTTGCTAACCCCAGGTATCAAATCAAGGTATCCACTTGGGTAGGTTTATTCTTCGACAATTTGGAAAAAAGGAAAAATGATCACCAGTGAAACTACCAGCTGGAATCCTTTAATTTAATAATTAACATCAGGAAAAATGTTTTCAAATGTCAAAAAATGATTTTTTTTCATTCTGTATCATATTTGTAGATATAAAACAGGGAAAATGGGGCTTTCTCCCTACTGCTTTAAAAAAAAAGTAAACTAATACAATAGTAAATTATTGATTTTTAAAACACAAGAAATTAGGTAGTGATAATGATCACTTTAAAGATTTTCCTCTCTTTGCAGTTCTTCAAAATAAAATAAAAATAAATAAGAAGACACATATCTTAGGATGAGGAAGTAGCTTCAACATTTCAAGGAGTAGAGTCTTTTAAAGCATTGTTTCTCATTTTTCTTTTTTCTTTTCAGATGGAGTCTCACTCTGTCACCCAGGCTGGAGTGCAGTGGCACGATCCCAGCTTACTGCAATCTCCACCTCCGGCATTCAAGCGATTCTCCTGCCTCAGCCTCCCGAGTAGCTGGGACTACAGGCACTCGCCACCATGCCCAGCTAATTTTTGTATTTTTAGTAGAGACAGGGTTTTGCCATATTGGCCAGGCTGATCTCAAACTCCTCACCTCAGGTGGTCTGCCCACCTTAGCCTCTCAAAGTGTTGGGATTACATGCCATGTTTCTCCATTTTTAATGGGTATATGAGTCACCTGGAAAACTCAAATGCAGATTCCATAATAGGTCCAGTTTGCATCCTGAAATTTGGCATTTTCTACAAGCTCTCTTTCAAGAATTACACTTCCAATAGTAAGATATACATATGTGTGTGTGTATAAAATATATACATAAATGTGTGTAATATATATACACATACACACACACACATATATATATATATATAATTTTTTATTCTTAAAGGCCAAATAAAAAGGATAACTCTAGTACAATAGGAATTTTGGAGGTGGGAGTGGGTGGAAACCTTAAAAACCCTTAGATCTCTGCCGTTGCATGGATGCAGTATTTGACCTCATCTTTGAAGCAATCACATGGTTCTGCCTTATAGCCAAGATTCATTCTATGTCTGAATTCTATAGCTTCTCTGCGGAAGTCTGGGCAGAGATTTGAAAACGTGCCTTTGTTTTATTATTTAGAGACAGGGTCTCACTCTGTCGCCCAGGCTAAAGCGTAGTGGCGCAATCATAGCTTATTGCAGCCTCCAAGTCCTGGGCTCAGGAGATCCTCCAACCTCAACCTCCCAGGTAGCTGGAATTATAGGTTTCACCACCATGCCCAGCTAACTTTTAAAAATTTTTTGTAGAGATGCAGTCACCCTCTGTTGCCCAGGCTGCTCTCAAATGCCTGGCCTCCAGCAACCCGCCTGCCTCAGCTAAAAATGTGCCTTTTAAACAAATTCCCAGATCATCAACCTTCTGGTCTGGCGACTACAGCTTAGCAACTACTGTTTTCTATTATTGTGTCCAGTTGATTATTCACAGTCTTATTTCTTCTTTTTTTATTGTATGAAAATTACCATTTAAACATTCTCAATTCATACTCTTGTATGATACAAATTACCAATATATGCGTATGTGCATTGTAGGAGAAGAAAAGGAAAAGAGAAGAGAAATGACCTTAATCTAAAGAGAAACCTTCCTTTGCTTTAGAAATACATAAATTTGTAGCTGAGGCTGTGTATAAAAGAACATCTAGGAAAATTTTAACAGAATTTTTAACCATTTAAGAAAAAACATGCTCCACATTTGATCACGTATTAAGGCTAAACGATGTCGTCACTTTAACGTATCATTTTTGTATTAAAATATCTCGTCTTTAATTAAGAAATCCGATGCAACACAAGGTACCATCAAGGACAGTAAATTCTTGTACCTGCTAACTCCAAGGAATTCTGAACAGGGCGTGGAGCCAGGAAATTTCCCTGGTGATCCGTCCTGACCAGAACTGCACGAATCCATTCATCTGGATAAGTAGAAACGGCCAGTCCTCATCAAGACTGATTTCTAGAGTTTTGTTCCTTTACAGAAATGGGAGTTTTCTCATAAGGGGACAGAAACCATTCATCAGAGAGCTAAACTCTATTAGTATTTTACTGCTTCTGTAGAAAAGCACCATGCATTTGCCAGCTTAAAACAACACAAATTTATTATCTTACAGTCTTGAGGTCAAGATTCTGACATGCTATCACTGGGCTAAAATCAAGGTATTGGCGGGATATCATTCCTTTTGGAGGCTCTAGGGGAGATTATTCTTTGGTCTATTCCAATTTCTAGAGGCTACCCTCATTCCTTGACGCACAGCCTCTTATCCCCATTTCCACACGATGCTTCAATCTCTCCTCCTTTCCTTCCCCTTCATTTGTCGTCTTTTTCTTCTTTTTTCTTCTCTCTTCTGTTCCTTCAAGGTAATATCGACTCCAAATACAGACAGGATGCTAAACCCATTTTTAATTGAATGAATAAATCAGTCAGGACTACCCAACGAAACCCAACACGTTTCACATTTTTGGATCCAGTCATGTCTCCCAAAAGCATGCCCTTACATGGCAAATAATAAGTACATAATTCAAATCCTATGATAATTCCATTATGCATCCTTTTGGGTTTACGATGATTTAACTCCCCCTTTGGTCACAGCAGAACCACTCCAGCATCGTTGTGAATTTTGTGATAGAATCGTAGCCATAAAATTTCAGAACCAGAGGCAACTTTGGAGGCAGCAGGTCCAGATTCCTCTTTGTAAAAGAAAACACAGAACCTCACAGTCACTGGCCTGAATGAAGATACCATCATGGTGCAGAGAGCCCAGGGACTAAAGTTCATTCACCTGAAACATGCTCCAATATTCTTTCCATTACTTGACAGCTATTTGCCCTCTCCTCGAACTTCTACCCCTCCTATCTGTTCCTAAATGCAATTTAAGAAAAAATGCTCCTACCTCTAATGCTGTTTGGAGTAGAAACTGGCACAACTCTTTGGGAAAGCGTTTCAGCCATGTGCTTCAGCAACTGTGAAAATATTCATAGCCAAAATTCGAGATGCATCAGAGGGTACATTTTCCTAATTTCAAGCATCACAGTTTGATATGGTTTGGCTGTGTCCCCACCAAAATCTCATCTTGCATTGTAGCTCCCATAATTCCCATGTGTTGTGGGAGGAACTCAGTGGGAAATAACTGAATCATGGGGGAAGTTTCTCCCATACTGTTCTGTGGTAGTGGATAAGTCTCACAAGATCTGATTATTTTATAAGGGATAAACCCCTTCCACTTGGCTCTCATTCTCTCTTCTTGCCTGCCACCCTGTAAGACATCCCTTGCTCCTCTGCCATGATTTTGAGGCCTCCCCAGTCATGTGGAACTGTGAGTCAATTAAACCTTTTTCCTTTATAAATTACCCAGTCTTGGCTATGTCTTTATTAGCAGCTTGAGAACAGACTAATACACAGTTCATCGCCTAAACACCCCTGATATCACAGATATGCATAACCACAGCACTGTGACATCATCGTGGGCTGGGACTTGCACCAGCTGGGAGGTCAGAGATGCAGCCAAGCCTTGGTTTGTCCCCAGCCCAGAAGAAGGTTAAGGAAGGACAGATGCCAGCTCACCTGATCTGTGATATGTTATAGGAAATTATAATTAAGATACAAGAAGTGTCTCCCGCCCTATTCCTACAACTGCTAGTTGATATTGGAGTTCAAAAGGGGGCACAGGAATGGAGAGAAATTACTACAGACAGCTATTTATGGATGGGGATGGGAAACAAAACTTCACACAGTTCAGACTGAAAGTTTATAAAAGATGCCTGTTGTAGACTCCGGGGTCGATTTTAATTTCAAATGAGACCACCCCCTTATGCACCTTTGTGGGCAGTGGGGGAAGAGTAGGAAGATGGAATGAAGGGGCTGAAACTGGAAAGCTCTTTAACTCTAGAAAACAGACTCATTATGGTGAAGTTCCTTCCCCTCACAAAGTTCATCTCTGCACAGTGTTTCGTATATTTGTCACAATTAATTAACCCAAACTGTTACACTATCATTAACTAACATCCGTATATTATTTAGAGTTCCTTCCTTTTTGCCTAACAGTCTCTTTCTGTTCCAGGGTCTCTTTCAGGGTACCCTACATCTTTAATCATCTTTTCCTCTTAGGTTCCTTTTAACTGTGGCAGTTTCTCAGACTTTCCTTGTTTTCAATGATCTTGACAGTTTTGGAGAGTACAGCTCAGGTTTCTTTGTAGAATGACCCTTAGTTGCAATTTTTCTGATGGTTTTCTCATGTTTAGGCTAGGGTTATAGGTTTTTTAAAGAAAGGCAGAGGTAAAGTACGGTATTAATCACATCCTAGCAAAGAAGCGTCCCACCAACATCACTTATTTCTGTTGACCTTGACGTTGATCACCCAGCTGAAGGAGTATTTGTCAGGTTTCTCCACTACAGTTACTACTGGTTGTCATTTAAAAATATATTTAATACAGACAGACATGTGCAAAGAAAGAATTAAATTACTTGTAATTGCACCACTGTTATCTATTGGGCATACATCTTTATAGTTATATCTATGACTGTATCTGTATCTGTAGCTGTGTATCTGCAGCTATGTTTACATACACAAAATCATTTTGACTTCTTTTGTTAATTCATGTATTACACTGGTGACCCCCTCTCTCATTAGTTTTCCTGGAACACTATCATGAAATAGTTGCATTGGCTTTCAACTACTTTTAGTTTTACCCCAATTCTCCATTTGGGATATTCAGTGTCTGTCCACCTCTTCACTGTGAATAAACAAAACTTGGAAGAACATACAATTAAATCTTTGCACCCATCAGTGACTATTTGCATAACCTATGTTTCTAGGAATGGGATTGCTAAGTCAAAGGGTATTCATTGAGTATTATTACAAGGTGAAAAAATAACATGTTGGTAACACTATGGAGAAAAAGGAATGCTTATACACTGTTGTTGGGAATGTAAATTAGTTCAGTCACTGTGGAAAGCAGTTTGGAGATTTCTCCAGTAACTTAAATAGAACCAATCTGAAAGTTTGAAGTGTAGGCAGGACTTCTATGTTGCAGGCTGGAGGCAGAAGTCCTTCTTCTTGAGGAATCCTCAGTTTTTGCTTTTAAAGCCCTCAATGATTGAATGAAGCCCTCTGTTACAGAATGAATGTGCGTGTCCCCTACAAAATTCATACATTGAAATCTTAATTCCCCAGGTGATGATGTTAGGAGGTGAGGGCTTTGGGAAGTGATGAGGGCAGAGCCCACAGGAATGGGATTAGTGCCTTTATGAAAGAGACTGTAGAAAGCTCCCTCACTCCTTCCACCATGTGTAGACACAGCAAGAAACTGCCATCTATGAACCAGGAAGAGAGCCCTCACCAGACACAGAATCTGGCACACCTTGATCTTGGACTGCCAGCCTCTAGAACTATGAGAAACAAATGTCTGTTGTGTAAACCTCCTAGTCTATGGTGTTTTTGTAATAGCAGTTCAAGTGGACTAAGACACCCACACACATCACAGAGGGCATTCTGCTTTTGTCAAAGCATATTATTGTAAATGTTAATCATACCTACATAATACCTTCACAGCATCATCGCAACTGGTCTCTGACAAAACAGGAGCGCACCTTAACCCCGGGCAAGTCGACGCATAAAATGAAACAGCCAAGACAAGAAAGCAAAATCCCAATTGCATCAAGAAGCTGGAGCAAGAAAAGGATAAGTAGCAAAGGGTGGATAAGAACATGCCAGACCAAGGGGATAGCACCTGCAAATGCTGGGAAGAACAAAAGGTCATAAAGCATTCATTCAAGAAACTGCTGCATTCTGCAGGGACTGGAGTTCATAGTATTGATAGAGAAGCTGTGAAAGAAAGGTACAGGAGAGATGCAGGGCAGAGAGTAAACTTAGGAACTGGACATCAGTAGCCCTGTTGGCCTTGGTGTTGTGGTCTTACTAAAAGTGAAAATGTTTTACCACTCCATTGGAAAAAAATATTAGTGGCATCTGAGGGAAGTAAACGACACCCCACGGTTTCTGGTGGGAGATAAATTGCTGTAAGTTTCTGGAAAAAAAATACAGCAACGTACAGGAAAGGCTTTAAACATGTAAATACGCTGTGTTTTTTAATTTCAATTTTTATTTTAGATTCAGGGAGTACATGTGCAGGTTTGTTACCTGGGTATATTGTGTGACACTGAGGTTTGTGGCACAGATGATCCCATCACCCAAGTAGTGACATTGGACCCAACAGTTACTTTTCTAAACCTTGCCACCCTCTCTTCCTCCTCATTCTACTAATCCAGTGTCTGCTGTTTCCATCTTTAGGTCCATGAGTACCCATGTTTAGCTCCCACTTGTGAGTGAGAACATGCAGTGTTTGGGTATTTCGTTCTCTGTTCCTGCATTAATTCACTCAGGATAATGTCCCCCGGCTGAATCCATGCTGCTGCAAGTAACATGATTTCATTCTTTTTATGGCTGTGTAGTATTCCATGGTGTATATGTACCACATTTTCTCCATCCAGTCCACCACTGATAGGCCATTTAGGTTGATTCCATGTCTTTGCTATTGTGAATACTGACATGATGAACCTGCAGACCAAAGAGCCAGAGGGCAATTCTGGGGTGACTCATCATGTATTCTGATGACATTTTCAAAAGAAAATCATTTCTTGGGGCCAGGTGCAGTAGCTCACACCTGTAATCTGAGATGGGAGGATTACCTGAGGCCAGGAGTTTGAGACCAGCCTGGGCAACACGGTGAAACCCCGTCTCTACAAAAAATACAAAAACTGAGCAGGACTTGGTGGTGCATGCTTGTAGTGCTAGCCACTCAGGAGGTTGAGATGGGAGGATCACCTGAGTCTAGGAAGTCGAGGCTGATCCGAAATTGTGCCACTGCACTCCAGCCTGAGTGACAGAGTGAGACTCTGTCTCATAAACAGAAGGAAGGAAGGAAGGAAGGAAGGAGGGAAAGAAAGAAGAGAAAGAAAGAGAGAGAAAGAAAAGAGAGAATGAAAAGAGAGAAAGAAAAGAAAAGAAAGAAAAAGAAAAAGAAAGAAAGAAAAGAAAAGGAAGGAAGGAAGGGAGAAAGAAAGGAAGAAAGAGAGAAAGAGAAAGAAAGAAAAGAAAGAAAGAAAAGAAAAGAAAGAAAGAAAGAAAAGAAAGAGGAAGAAAGAAAGAAAGAACAAATTTTCAGAGTTCACAATGTGCCTACGATTTCACTGGAAACAATCAGCTCATTAGCAGTTATGGGTGCTTCTCAAAATTATACTGCAGGCTCCCCAAGTGCTGCCTAAATTCTCTGGTTATTTCAACTGTGGATGAGAGAATTTGCCCTGTGTGCATGGATGAGTAGCAGGAAGGCCTTCTATTGTTATCACAGAAGACACATGGGAAAATGTGTTTGGGGGCTTACTGCAAATCATACTTATAGGATTGTCAGCATGCTTGCAGAGCAATTATCTGTCATCCCATAAAACAAACCTGTGTCATTATATTCTTGATACATGCATTGGAGCCACCAAAAAAAAAAAAAAAATGTTTCCTAGACCTAAATGTGAAAAATCCCAGCCGGGTGCAGTGGCTCACACCTGTAATTTCAGAATTCTATGAGACCAAGGCAGGAAAATCATTTGAGTCTAGGAGTTCGAGACCAGCTGGGCAACATAGTGAGACCCTCATCTGTACAAAAAATAAAAAATTAGCTGGGCATGGTCCGCATGCCTGTTGTTCTAGCTACAGGCTGAGGCAGGAGAATGCCTTGAGCCTGGGAGGTCAAGGCTGCAGTGGGCCCTGACTACATTTCTGCCGGGGCAACAGAAAAAGACCCTGTCAAAAAAAAAAAAAAAAAAAAAAAAAAGAAAAGAAAAGAAAAGAAAAGAAAAAGAAAGAGAGAAAAATCCCTAAACATGGATGAATATCGTCTTTTAACCCCTTTTCCATTGACTAGACCATTTTTACTTTGTAGGCCCGGTAACTCATGAAATCTCACCTTTACAAGGAAAAGTCTCTCTGTTTTTTTTTTCTGCCTCAGAATTCTTTAATATAATGTAGATATCTTAAGACTCAATGCACAAGACAATATGTTGAATTTTCACCAATCTAGAAATGATGAATAGCCCTTTAAATATTCTGAAATTAATTGAATTATGGAATGTTATAGATTGCATAGACTTTTGACAAGATAGAATCCCATCCTGGAGACTGACATAGCTTTGCCTAAAATATGTATTTAGAAAAGTTTTGAACTCATGTATATACATCATTAACTCACCCTAGTAAAGCACCTGATGACAAAAATGACACGAGTTAGTGCCAACAGCCCATAATCATGTATTTAAATATAGCTTTTATTTTGCATCCTAATTTCTTGTGATACTTGAATGTTCTTTTGATTTCCTGTGATTTAACTTTTTTAATAATTCAACCTTGTGCATTTGTGCTCTCTGTGCTGGAAAGTACAGGTGGCATGAGATTGACAGACCATTCTGAAAACATTACATCAAGAAGAGCAAGTTTTGAGTGGACAGGAGACCTCAGAAAACTGAATGAGGGGGGTCCATTTTTAGCACAAGCTTCGCCAGCAAACAGCTATGTTCCTACCCATATGCAATGTCTCTGAAACCCAGTCTCCTTATTCCTCAAATGCATATGCATTTTACCTGTCTCAAAATTGAGAGATTAACATGAGGTAATGATTATGAGACTCTCTTATAAATGGAAAAGTGCTTTATAGTTGTAAGGTAGCATTACTTTTTTTTTTTTTAAGGAAACTGACAAGTTAATTAAGCTATTCAAGATAATTTTAAAATACCATGTTGTTAATATATTTTAAATAAATTCTAAGATTACCACTCATTTGGTTCATAGCACTGTAAATAAAACTTGTATTTTAATATCATGGAGTAAACCTAATGTCTGTTTTTAATTTTTTGGTCGTTGTTTGTTTTGGGGAAAGCATTAACGTTGAATTTTAATTTTGGTAAATGTTAAATTCTACTAATGTTATTTAAAAATTCATAATTATCAACATAAGTTTAAGATTATTTATTGAATAGTCACACACCACAGCTGGATGGAAATATATATGTCATATTTTGAACACACACCATGAACCGGATTTTATTTCTCTTTCCCCATGTATGGGAATCCAACAAAATTCTCTGCAGTACAAATACAAAAACAACAAGAGCTAGCATCATACGTAATGGTGAAAGGCTGGATGCTTTTCCCCTAATATCAGGAACAAGACAAAGATTTCTGCTCTCACCACTTCTATTAAACATTATACTGGAGGTTCTAGCCAAGGCAATTATGTCATTAAAAAAAAGGAATAAAATGAAAGGCATGCATACTGGCAAGGAAGAAGTAAAACAATATCTATTTGCAGATGTCATGATCTTGTAACAAGAAAATTCTAAAGATGCAAGATCAATATTTAAAAAGTCAATTGAATTTCTATATGCTTCCAATGGATGATCCAAAAACAAAATTACGAAAAATAATTCAAGTTGCAATAGCAACAAAAAATAAAATACATTACTTAGGAGTAAATTACAGAAAGCGGTACAACACTTAGACTCTGAAAAGTACGAACATTTGCTCAAGGTAATTAATGAAGACCTACATAAGTGGAAAGGCATCTTGTGTTCTAGGTTTGGAAGACCCGATATTGCTAAGAAGATTGTATTTGACAGGGTGGTCTCCTGAATCACCACAATCCCCAGCAAAATCCCAGTGGACTATGTCAGAAGTGAAAAAGTTGATCCTGAAATTCACATGGAATTGCAAGGCACTCTGAATAGCCAAATCATTCTCAAAAAAGAAGACCAAAGTTGAATAACTGACACGTTCATTAATTGACGGGTGGATAAACAAAATGTGATATAGCCAGGCAACGGAATAGCTAACCATAGAAAGGAATGAAGTACTGGTACATGCTGCAACATCCATGTGCCTTGAAAACATTATGCTAAGTGAAATAAGCCAGAAACAATACCACTTTTGATTATATTTATATAAATGTCTAGAACAGGCAAATCTATAGAGATCATCAATATATTAGTGCTTGCCTGAGGCTGGGGTTGTGGTGGGGTATGGGGGTGGAATGCAGGGTAATAGCCGACGAATACAGTATTTCTTTTGGGGATGATGAAAATATTCTAAAGTAGGTTGTGATTATGGTTGCACAATCATTTTACTGTGCTAAAACCCATTGAATTTTACACCTTAAATGGGTGAATTATATCTGAATAAAACAGTTACCAAAAAAAAAAATAAAACCAAAAAAAAATTTCTATAAGTCAGAGAGCTCTGTAGCTTGGACCACTTTTTTATACTTCAGCCAGCTCTTTTCACGGTGTTGATTTTTTACCCCCTCATATCCCACAGTTAATTTTCTGTTAAGGGAAAGGATGAATTCTGGGACTTTCAGTGAGTCTTACTTCCTTAGGATACATGAGTCAATTCCCCTGGCCTGCATGTGGGGAAAAAATTCAGGTTTGAAAATATGGAATTCTGATTAACACAATCAATCGATAATCTAATGTTTCTGCTATCAGAAAGGGGTCCCAATCCAAACCCCAAGAGAGAGCTCTTGGATCTCCTGCAAGAAAGAATTTGGGGCGAGTCTACAGTGCAAAGCGAAAGCAAGTTTGTTAAGAAAGTAAAGTGGTGAAAGAATAGCTCCTCCATAGACAGAGTAGGCTGTTCCTGAAAGTAAAAGGAGAAATGCGCCCACCCTAGGTACAATGCTTGTTTATATAGAGGATAACAAAAAATCATGGGGAGATGTGCTGTATTACAAGCATTTGTGATAAGGGATTAATTTTCCTTACTATATTTTGCAAGAATCGATATTATTGTCTTTAAAGCAAAATTAGGAATGCTTTTGTTGTCAAGATATCGGGATATCCAGTACATTCCTGAATTTGGGTCTGTTTGGTAAACATTATTAATCTATTCTCCCCTTAACCGTAAACATCTAGAGGCTAGGAGTACCTAACCTCCTTGGAATGCAGCCCAGGAAGTTCCAGCCTCATTTTTCCTAGCCCTATCTCAAGATGGAGTTGCTCAGGTATGAATGCCTCTGACATTTCTAGAGTAATTGCCTAGAACACAGCATACAAGGTCCAGGAGTTCTGTTGATACTGAGCAACTGTGTAAATGAAAGGAAGCATCCCTATCCTTAAATCCAGTACGACCTAGTCCAGCAGATATGAGGGTTTTAAATTTTTCTCTTTTAATTTCATTTATAGTTTATTTTTGAATATAGAAATTGTAAACTTATCTGTGCCCAAATTCATCAATCTTTGTGGTGCACAGGGTTTCTGTCTTTCTTTGAAAGTTATCTCCACTTCAACACCATGTTTGTAAAATAAACTCTGCTCCCTTTTAGAATTTCTACACTTAAATTTAATTGTATATAAGAAAGAATATAAACCACAAGTAGATAAGTAGAAATCTACATCTATATGCATTCTTATATAGTTGAATTTAGCATATTGTATGTGTATAAATATGTACATAGTTACTAAATATAGTAGCAAATTTAGTTACATATACATGTATGCATGAATATATATATGTATACATGCACATATATGTGTACATGCATGTATTTTTCCCTCTAATGGTCAGAACACACAACTTTTTGTTAAATGCATTCTCTCTTCCTCACTGATTTGCAGTGCTCCCTTTGTCATGTACCAAATTCCTTTCTGTGTACCAATCTATTTATGGGCCGTTTGTCCCATCAATTACTCTCTATGTATATTTCTGTGCCAACCCCAAGTAGCTTTAATAAATGTAGTGTTATAAATCTGGATATATAGGTGGGCTGTTCCTCCCCCATTTCTTTTAAAATCAGCTTTTCTAGAACTCAAAGAAATTCTGTTGGCATTTACATTGATATTGCCTTCAATTTACAAATTAATTTAGGGAGACTGACATCTTTACAACACAGAGTCTTCCTCACCAAGAAAAAAATAATATGTTTTCCCACTAACTTAATACTTACTTAATATACGCCAGTAATGTTTCAACATTTTCTCTAAATTTATATTGTACCTGGCTTGTTAAGTTAGTTTTGAAGTATTTTATTTGTATTTTGCCTATTTGGTAACACAAATGAGTTGTTTTCCTGTCAGTTTATTTCCTAACAGATTATTACTTTGATGTGGGGAATATATTGAATATGTGTGTTAATTTCATAACCAACTATGTTACTTTACTGACTTAACATCTCCATTCTTACTTTCTGCTTGGTTCTCTTAAGTTTTAGTTACAAAATTGTCCCTTCACCCCGATATAATTACTCTACTTCCTCCTTTATAATTGGCACAATATATTTCATTGCCTTCTGCATACTGCATTGAATAGTAATTCTAAAATAACACTAGTCATTAATGTTCTGGGTTCTCATGAAAGCAACTAAAGACTATGTGGTCTCTTAAAGTCTCTAGGGGCCCAGGCACAATGGCTCACTCCTGTAATCCCAGCACTTTGGGAGGTTGAGGTGGGCAGATCGATCACCTGAGGTCAGGAGTTCGAGACATGGCCAACATGGTGAAGCCCCGTCTCTACTAAAAATACAAAAAAATCAGCCAGGCATGGTGGTGGACACCTGTAATCCCAGCTACTCGAGAGGCTGAGGCAGGAGAATCGCTTGAACCTGGGTGGCAGAGGTTGCAGTGAGCCAAGATCATGCCATTGCACTCCAGCCTGGGCAACAACAAGAGCAAAACTCAGTCTCAAAATAAATTTTTAAAAAAAGTCTCAAGGAAGAAAAGAAAACAGAGATGAAACTGAAACTGCCATTGCTAAATCATAACTGAGAAAGTGAAAGAGATCTGACCTAACAAGCTCCATCTTGCTTCTAACCTCCAAGCTGTCCTTTTCCACTCCTGGGCATAGGCTGAACTAACTTTGGTAGGAACTTAGTTTATTCTTTATAGTTTGAAGCAAAGACAATCACAGCCCTTTCCCAAAACAAACCTCCTTCTTGCTTAGGCACTAGACTGCCTTTGTAGGACTAACAAGTTAGTTAAAATATTAGAAATTATGGTTTAGGAGTCACAGGCAGAGGCTGCAAGATTCTCAACCTCCCCAAACTCCTCCTGGGGTTAACATCACTATTGTAAAGCCTAAGATCAGAGCTTGAGATATTTTGCAGACCCTGCACCCAATGGATCAGCTGGTACCACCCCGATCCATAAACTGGCTCATTTAATCTTGTGGTCCCCACCCAGGAGCTGACTCAGCACAAGAGAAGAGCTTTGAGTTCCTATTGAGAGAGGAGAAAGGAAAAAACCTGGTCAGGCAGGCAGTTAGAGTGGGTCCTCAGCTGAATTATTTTAAACAAAAGAACAGCCTGCAGACACAGATAAGGGAGCTTGCAAGGGAGTGGGGAGAGCTTGCCTAAGACATGCCCATAGACACACAGATAAGAAAGCATGCACAAGTGACTTGCCAAGACATACCTGCAATGGAAAATTCCATTCCCTCACACATGTGCAGTAAGGGGAACAAAGCAATATGGAGTAACTCAAGTTAAGGGCCCACGTGTGCATTAGGAGGATGGGTTGGATCTACCAGAAGTTTGTGCATTATGCAAACGAGATGACCAGCCCTCATCAGTTTCTTATAAAAGCTTTGCAAAACAGCAGCCCTTTTTCCAGGATCCCTCTCTGTAGCAGAGAGCTGTTCTCTTTCTTTCTCCTATTAAATTTCTGCTCTAAACCTCACCCTTGGAGTGTCTGCATCCTTGATTTCCTTGGCCATGAGACCAAAAACTCTGGATGTCACCCCAGACAACGAGGCCACTTCACTGTGATTTCCATCTCCAACCCGGCCAATCAGAACTCCTGACTCACTGGCTCCCTACCCACCAAACTTCCCTGAAAAACTCTGATCCCCGAATTCTCAGGGAGACTGATTTAAGTAACATTTAACAATAAAACTCTTGTTTCCCACATAGCCGGCTGTGCGTGAATTACTCTTTCCCTATTGCAATTCTCCTCCGTTGATAAATCCCCTCTGTCTAGGCAGCAGGCAAGAACCCATTGGGCAGCTACAAAACAACAAGTAAACTGGTAAAAACTATAGAAAGAAATGAAAGAATGGAGACTGGTGGTTCTGTCCAGGAAAGAATTTTGATCCTGAACTGCTCTTTGAGGATCTTACAAGAGGACCACCAGTGTCAGATGAGCAAACTCAAGCTTTTCATGTCCCTGATTGTCTCTCAAGGAACTCCACCTACAGCTGGTGAGCAGTAGTAGGGCAGCATTTTCTAGGTTCACCCAGCACCTAGATGGCCTTTGTGGTGATGTTTCCTGACCCCGGAACAAAAGTGTGCATCAATGATGCTCACCTTGATTACTCAGCAAAGGTGGTGTTTGTCATGCTTCTCCAAAGTAAAATTACACATTTGCCTTTAGTCAGAGTTATCTAGAGGAACATAACTAATACGATAGATGTGTATATATGGGGAATTTATTAAGGAGTATTGACTCACACGACACAAGGTGAAGTCCCACAAAAGGCCAGCTGCAAGCTGAGGAGCAAGGAAGCCAGTCTGAGTCCCAAAACCTCAAAAGTAGGGAAGCTGACAGTGCAGCCTACAGTCGGTGGTTGCAGGTCTGAGTCCCAGAGCTGAAGAACTTGGAGTATGATGTTCAAGGGTGGGAATTATCCAGCACGGGAGAAAGATGTAGGCCTGAAGACTAAGCCAGTCTAGTCCTTCCACATTTGTATTAGTCAGGGTTCTCTAGAAAGACAGAGTTAATGGGATATATATTATATATATACATCTATATAAAGGGGAATTTAGGCTGGGTGCAGTGGCTCACACCTGTAATCCCAGCACTTTGGGAGGCCGAGGCGGGTGGATCACCTGAGGTCGGGAGTTCGAGACCAGCCTGACCAACATGGAGAAACCCCATCTCTACTGAAAATACAAAATTAGCCAGGCATGGTGGCGCATGCCTGTAATTGCAGCTACTTGGAAGGCTGAGGCAGGAGAATCACTTGAACCAGGGAGGCGGAGGTTGCGGTGAGCCGAGATTGTGCCACTGCACTCCAGCCCAGGCAACAAGAGCAAAACTCCGTCTCAAAATAAATAAATAAAAATAATAATAAAGGGGAGTTTATTAAGTATTAACTCACACAATCACAATCCCAATCACAAGGTCCCTGTATTAGTCTGTTTTCACACTGCTGATAAAGACATACCCAAGACAGGGAAGAAAAGAGGTTTAACTGGCCTTACAGTTCCACATGGCTGGGGAGGCCTCAGAATCATGGCAGAAGGTGAAAGGCACTTCTTTCATGGTGTAAGCAAGAGAAAATGAGGAAGAAGCAAAAGCGGAAACCCCTGATAAACCCATTAGATCTCGTGAGACTTATTCACTGTCACAAGAATAGCACAGGAAAGACCAGACCCCATGATTCAATTACCTGCCCCAGGATCCCTCCCACAGCACGCGGGAATTCAGGGAGATATAATTCAAGTTGAGATTTGGGTCGAGACACGGCCAAACCATATCAATCCCACAATAGGCAGTCTGCAGGCTGAGGAGCAAGAAAGCCAGTCTGAGTTCCAAAACTGAAGAACTTGGTGTTCGATGTTAGAGGGCAGGAAGCATCCAGCATGGAAGGAATATGTAGGCTGGGAGGCTAGGCCAGTCTCTCTTTTTCACATTTTTCTGCCTGCTTATATTCTAGCTGCACTGGCAGCTGATGAGATGGTGCCCACCCTGATTAATGGTGGGTCTGCCTTTCCCAGCCCACTGACTCAAATGTTAACTTCCTTTGGCAACACCATCACAGACACACCCAGGATCAACAATTTGTATCCTTCAATCCAATCAAGTTGACACTCAGTATTAATCATCACAAGGTTCTTCTGCCTGCTTTGATTCTAGCAACGCTAGCAGCTGATTAGATCGTGTCCACACAGATTGAGGGTGGGTCTGCCTTTCCCAGTCCACTGACTCAAATGTTAATCTCCTTTGGCAACACCCTCACAGACACACCCAGGGACAATACTTTGCATCCTTCAATCCAGTCAAGTTGACACTCAATATTAGCCATCACAGTATCCACTGGGCAGTTCCTTCAAACTGTGAAAATATCCTCTTCCTCATCAAATTTTCTACTCACTTTATCCATATCAATATGAACTTGCTGTTTCTCATTTCACTCAATAACTTATAATCCATTAGTATTTTCATGCGCGTCCGTGTGAAGAGACCACCAAACAGGCTTTGTGTGAGCAACATGGCTGTTTATTTCACCTGGGTGCAGGCGGGCTGAGTCGGAAAAGAGAGTCAGCAAAGGGAGATAGGGGTGGGGCCGTTTTATAGGATTTGGGTAGATAAAGGAAAATTACAGTCAAAGGGGAGTTGTTCTCTGGCGGGCAGAGTGGGGGTCACAAAGTGCTCAGTAGGGGAGCTTTTTGAGACCAGATGAGCCAGGAAAAGGAATTTCACAAGACAATGTCATCAGTTAAGGCAGGAACCGGCCATCTGGATGTGTACATGCAGGTCACAGGGGATATGATGGCTTAGCTTGGGCTCAGAGGCCTGACAAGTATGATTAGTTGTTTTGATACTCAAACTGTACCCAGATTGGCCAGTGGTAGCTCTCCAAATTGGCTTGCATCTTTTACCATAATCTCATGACTCTTTGAATATTTTCTGATATGTTATATTCCTAATTACCATCTTACACTGCTCCTGACTCAGCCCAGGATTCTGCAATTTTTCCAAGGAGCCCTGGAATCTACAAACGAATAATAATGTGTAGAAGACAAAATCTGGATCCTCAATGTTCTCATTAACATTGGAGTGTCCTCATGCCCAGAGTCTCTTAGTGAACAGAACTAAAATATGTACACATATATACGATGGGGTCCATGGCTACCGGCCCCCTAAATGTTTGCTGAAAAATCACTGACATGAGGCAGATTGATTAAGAGGAGAAGAGGAATAGAAATTTATTTAATGTGTATATATGGGAGACACAAGAGTGAAGCTCAACTTCCTAATCCGGTTCAGAAGCTTATATGCCACCCTGAGATTACAGAAAGAATTAGGACTTGGATCCTGTTAAAACAGGTGGTGGGGCGGTGTGGGGGGAGGAGAAGAATTCTATTGAGGGGCAACAAATACTTTGTAGGGAGAATGACAGGAGGAGAACAGAGATTAATTTGTAAAGAGTTCTCTTTGGAATTTAAATGATCCTTGGAAGACACTCATTATCGTGGTAAAAAGGTCTGCTCAGGTGTGGGGTTACATCCTGGTCTTTTCTGCAACAGATAAAGAGATAACGGGGAGGAAGAAAAAACAATTGTTTTCCTTTGGGGTTCTGAATTTTAGGCAGATAAGGGAACTTCAGGTTCCTCGGGAGAGAAGGTTGAGGAAGGAGGTCATCAGAGAGACCTTGAGGCTTCTTCAGTTCAGCATGTCAAAATGCCATATTTTGGGGTATTGGTTTCTGAGCCCCAGCAACAAGTACCTATATTTATTTTCTTTATCTCTCAAAAAGACTATCACAAGCCCATTACTTGATTCTGATACCTCCAATTCTATATCCATACCGTCATGCTCATTCTAGCTTTCCTATCCTTAATTGTAATTCCCTTATCTGATGGAATTTTGGCTCCCATTGTTCCTAATATTTGTGCTTATTTTTATTTGCCCTTCCCCTCTATATGTATCCAATCCTCCATAGCAGCTATCAGATCTTCCCCCAAGACAGATGCCCACTCCCCTTATTTATTTATTTATTTGAGTCTTGTTTTGTCACCCAGGCTGGAGTGCAGTGGCATGATTTCGGCTCACTGCAACCTCCACCTCCCACATTCAAGAAATTCTCCTGCCTCAGTCCCCCGAGTACCTGGAACTACAGGCATGCACCACCACCCCTGGCTAATTTTTTTTGTATTTTTAGTAGAGACGAGGTTTCGCCATGTTGGCCAGGCTGGTCTCGAACTCCTGGTCTCAAGTGACCCTTCCACCTCGGCCTCCCAAAGTGTTTGAATTACAGGTGTGAGCCACCATGCCTGGCACCCTTCCCCTCATTTAAACTTCAACACCTCACACCAAGTAGTCTTCCTGTATGGTCACCATCCTCACACTGACTCTCACCTCTTTCTCTGGACCACTGGGGCACTTTCCCTTCCCCGGTTTTGGCACCTGTCTTTCTCAACCGCATCCTGTAGATTCAGGACTGAATTTGTCAGAGGTGTTTGAACAAGCTTGACCCCATCTTGAATAGGGGCTGGGTCAAATGAGGTTGAGACCTGCTGGGCTGTCTTCTCAGGAGGTTAGGCATTCTTAGTCATAGGAGATAAGAGGTAGGCACAAGATAGAAGTCAGAGAAATCCCACTGATAAACCAGGTTGCAGTAAAGAAGCTGACCAAAATCCTCCAAAACCAAGATGATGATGAAAGCGACCTCTAGTCTTCCTCACTGATCATTATACACTAATTATAATGCATTAGCTTGCTAAAAGACACTCCCAACAGTGCCACACCAGTTTACAAACGCCACGGCAATGTCTGGAAGTTACTCTATAAGGTCTAAAAGGAAGAGGAACCCTCAGTTCTGGGAATTCCTTGTCCCCTTCCCAGAAAACTCATGAATAATCTACCCCTTGTTTAGCATACAATCAAGAAATAACCATAAAAATAGGCAACCAGCAGCCCTCGGAGCTGCTGTGCCTATGGAGTAGCCATTCTTTATTCCTTTATTTTCTTAATAAACTTGCTTTCACTTTACTCTCTGGACTTGCCCCCAATTCTTTCATGTGGGAGATCTGAGAACCCTCTCTTGGGGTCTGAATCCAGACCACTTCCTAGTAGCAAATTAGTCAAGAAAGTAGGAGAAAGAAGAAGATGTAGAAGAATGCTAGGAATATTTCAACTCTCTTCAAGGGCTTGGTTGAGTTGTGAAGAAAATATTTCACTCTATTTTTCATAGCAAACGAAAATTCATGCACTGGATTAGGTATAGTAACACTAGTTCATGAAATACACACAAAAATGTAAAATAGCTCAAACACAAGAGATGATTTTCTCATTCTTGTGATATGAAATCCAAATGAGTAATCTTGACTAGCAAAATGATTCTCCTTTGAGGAATAATTCAGGTGCCAATTCCCTTCCATGTTTTGGTACCATAATTTTCTTTCTCATATACAGTGAATCTGAAAGAGGGGAAAGAATGATGCATATTGTCAGGAAGTTATATGGGAGACCTGAAAGTGGCACACATGAATTCTGCTACCATCTTGTAACCTAGGACCTCACTGCAAGGCAAGCTGGATACATGCACCCCAATGCACCTAGGAAAGAAGAAAGCGGCTTCCTGAACAGTTAACCAGTTTTTGCCAGGTAGCATATACTGTAATTCAAATTTTAAAATACTATATGAACATAAATCCTGAATAATATATGAGGCTATTAGGGAACAAGCTTGCTCTTACAGTAGTGTAACTTGTGTGTGTGTTCAATTCTTCAAGCTTGTTTACCACAGTGTTGACTGTTCTCAGTCATTTCTGTTCTACTTAGACTATTTTGCTTCTATGACCCCTTGGCTTTCATCATTTTGGTGCTTTTATTTTCCTTCTCTGCATTCTCCTCCTGCCATCAGATTATCAGAGGAACTCTCTTACCAGCTGCAGGATTTTGGAAAGTTGCTTGCCTTTTCTGCATTCCCTTTCTCAAGAATGAAAAGACATTGGTTGGCTCCATAATTCTTTGTATTTTTATTATTTTCACCCAGGTTTCATGTTCAAGCAGCAGGCAAGATTTACTGAATGTGGCATTTTTTTATTTCTTTCCTTTTTTTTTTTTTTTTTTTTTTTTTTAGACAGAGTCTTTTCTCTGTCACCCAGCCTGGAGTGTAATGGCACACTCTGGGCTCACTGCAACCTCAGCCTCCTGGGTTCAAGCAATTTCTCCTGCCTCAGCCTTCTGAGTAGCTGGGATTACAGGCGCACACCACCATGCCCAGATAATTTTTGTATTTTTAGTAGAGATGGGGTGTTACCATGTTGGCCAAGCTGGTCTCAAACTCCTGACCTCAAGTGATCCTCCCAACTCGGCCTCCCAAAGTGCTGGGATAACAGGCATGAGCCACTGCACCTGGCCTTTTTTTTTTTTTTTTCTTTTTGAGCCAGGTTCTCACTCTATCACCCAGGCTGGAATACAATGGTGTGATCGCAGCTCATTGTAGCATCAAACTCATGGGCTCAAGCAATCCTCCTGCCTCAGTCTCCTGAGTAGCTGGGACCACAGGCTCCTGCCTCCATGCCCTGCTGATTTTTTTTTTTAGAGATGGGGTCTCACTATGTTGCCAAGTCTGGTCTCCAACTCCTGGCTTCAAGTGATCCTCCTGCCTCAGCCCCCCAAAGTACTGGGGTTACAGGTGTGAGCCATTGCACCTGGCTCCAATTTTCTATGATTGCCATGGCTTGGATGTGTTCCCAAAAGTCCATGTATTGGAAACCTATTCTCCAATGCAATAGTGCTCAGAGGTGGGGCTTAGGGAGAGATGCCTGAGGGTCCTGAGGCCTCCAACCTCATGAATGGATCAATGGCTGCTTATTTTATTTATTTATTTATTTATTTATTTATTTATTTATTTATTTATCTATTTTTTGAGACAGAGTCTCACTCTGTCGCCCAGGCTGGAGTGCATTGGCGCCATCTCGGCTCACTGCAACCTTCGCCTCCCAGGTTCAAGCAATTCTCTGCCTCAGCCTTCCAAGTAGCTGAGATTACAGGCGCCCACCACCACGCCCAGCTAATTTTTTGTATTCTTAGTAGAGACTGGGTTTCGCCATCTTGGCCAGGTTGGTGTTGAACTCCTGACCTCCTGATCCACCTGCCTCGGCCTCCCAAAGTGCTGGGATTGCAGGCATGAGCCACCACGCCTGGCCTTCAATGCTGCTTATAAAAGGGCTTGGGGCCAGGAGTTGAATCTCTTGCTCTCTGGCACTCTTGTCTTCCACCACAAGATGATGCAGCATGAAGGCCCTCAATAGCTGTGGGCCCCTCAATCTTCGACTTCCCAGCCTCCAAGACTGTAAGAAAGAAATCTCCATTCTTGATAAATTACCTCATCTGTGGTATACTGTTACAGCACCACATAACAAACTAAGACAATGATTGAAGAGGGAAGTGTTTTTCACCCCCTGGCAACAGGTTTCAATATTTCACTTGTTTAAGGTTGAATTAAAGAAAGGAATGCAGAATAAGCATGTCTTTACTCAAACTTCATTGGCCAGAAATGTCAAATAAGTGCTAGTTGGATAAATGTACAAACGAGTGGTACATATACACTATGGAATGCTATGCAGCCATAAAAAGGAATGAGATTATGTCTTTTCAGGGACATGGATGGAGCTGGAAGTCATTATCCTCAGCAAACTAACACAGGAACAGAAAACCAAATACCACATGTTCTCACTTATAAGTGGGAGCTGAACACTGAGAATACATGGACACAGGGAGGGGACAACACACACTGGGGCCTGTCGGTTGGGCCTGGGGAGGAAGAGCATCAAGATAAATAGCTTATGCATGCGGGGCTACATACCTAGGTGATGGGATGATAGGTGCAGGAAACCACCATGTCACACGTTTACCTATGCAACAAACCTGCACATTCTGCACATGTATCTGGGAACTTAAAATTAAATTAAATTAAATTAAAAAATAATATACAAACAAATTCATTTCGAATATACCCAGGCACTCACTAAAAATAGCACCATCAGAAGCATAGATTCCCAGCACAAGCCACAATGCTGGTAGCTCACACCCACTCCTTTACTGGAAAAAAAGCACAGATTTGAGTGATAAGAAAGATAACTCAAATGACCTTGTCCATTTCCCTGCCAACTCAGTTTCCAGTGAATGTTTCCTTGAAACCAACATCATCTAGACGGTGTCAAATATGTAAACATACAAAATAAAAAGAACGTAAATCATGACAGTAATCATGGATACTCTAAAACATGCTGGGAGCTATACGCTACAAGATGAAAAGATTAATGGGCATTGCTCCAACTTTCTTTGTTTTACATAGGTCCTTTGGTATCTCTTGATAAATATTTCCTTTTCCACAACAAAGGGATCATATATAGCCAGTCAATTTTATTTTATCTGTTGATCATTCTAGAGATTAGAAAAGACCTTAGAGTAGTAAAATTTTCAGTGCTTTTTAAAGTAAATTTGAGATTCTGAGATAACAGACATTGCCAGTCAGTAAGTCAACACTGTTTAAGACGTAAGAGTGAAACCGTCTTTGCAAAATTATGACTGAGACAGTGAAAGAGATCTAACTTAACTGACTCCATCTTGCTTCTAACCTCCAGGCTGTCCTTGTTCATTCCTGGGTGTAGGCTGAACTAACTTTGGGAGAAATTTAGTTTATAGTTTATAGTTTAAGCCAAAGACAGTAACAGCCCTTTCCCAAAGCAGACCTCTTTCTTGCCTGGGGACTAGACTGCCTTTGTAGGACTAACATTAGCCACAAGATTAGAAATTATGGTTTAGGAGTCATGCAGCTGGAGGCTACAAGATTCTGACCCTCCCTAAACTGCTCCTAAGATCAGTGCTTGAGATATTTTGCAGACTCTGCATTTGATGGATCAGCCGGCACTACCCAGATAGTTAAACTGGCTCATCTGATCTTGTGGCCCCCACCCAAGAAATGACTCAGCATAGGAAGATAGCTTCAACACCCTATGATTTCATTCCTGATCAATCAGCCCTCCTGGCTCACGCGCCTCCCCTCACCCACCAAGTTGTCCTTAAAAACTCTGCTCCCCAGTGCTCGGGGAGACTGATTTCAGTAATAAAAAAACTCCAGTCTACCATACAGCCAGCTCTGTGTGAATTACTCTTTCTCTATTGCAATTGCCCTGTCTTGATAAATCGGCTCTGTCTAGGCCATAAGCAAGGTGAACCCACTGGGTGGTTATAAGAAGACCTGGTCAAAAGATCAAGAATAAAATGAAGAAAGATGAAGTCATGAACTGAAAGTCTGTGTCTCTATCCCCAACCCCCAAACTTATATGGTGAAGCCTTAATTCCCACTGCAATGGTATTTGGAGATGGAGCCTTTGGGAGGTAGGTAAGTCATGAGTGCAGAGTTCTCATCATGGGATTAGTGGCCCTATAAGAAGAACGAAGAGAGAGACGATAAATCTCTGTCCACCATGTGAGGATACAGCAAGAAGACAGCTGTCTGCAGGCCAGGAAGAGAGCCTTCACCACACAGTGGATTTGCTGGTGCCTTGACCTTGGACTTCCCAGCCTCCAAGCAGTGTGAGAAATGAATTTCTGCTGTTTAAGCCACCCAGTATTCTGCTGTATCAGCCCCAGCTAAGTCAGATGAAAAACAGGGGAGAGAAAGACAGAGACCACAGAGATCAAGCCTAGGCTGATATCACATGGACAGCATTTCTACCAGGAGCCATTAGGAATCCTGAGATTCACCTCCACAGCTGTTGGCAGTTTTGTCTTCCCTCTAGTTGACTGTGAATGAGGTGTTATCGGTTACTGTTCTGGTTGTTTGTGGCATAGTAGTCATGTACTGGAAAGTTTGTCATCTACTCCACGGGAATTTAGCTAAAAGTTTCATGGCAGAGTAGAATACTAGAATACGTCTCACTTTGCACAGCATAGTTCTCAGACATGGTGCTGTTGTTGGAAGCAACATGGGCAGTGTGGCAGCAAGCTGTGGGAAGGAATATTATCCTCTGTAATAAAGGAAGCAAGGGAGAGGGGAATTTCATCTACCTTGAGTGAGTCTTACCTTCCATTTGCATGGTGTGTTGTCAAAACTGAGTACAAGCCCTCAGACCAGAAGCAATTTGAAGGGACATAGAGCTTGGAGGGTGAAGAGAAAGAAGCTCAGTTCTCAAAATCAAGGGAAGTCCTTAGGGATCTTCAAAAGAGGGCAGCTCCATCTCTCCATGGAGGGGAAAAGTCTGAGTTTCCAAACTTAGTAAGCACATTATAGGCAGACTCAGAGAAACTACAATCCAGGAACAACTTCCCAAGAGATGGGTGACTTCTCTGTTCTGTTTCCTTATTTTCAACATGGGTCTACTCATAGCCAGTTTACAAAGTACTTGCGAGGATTCCAACAGAGCATACGTGAAAAACTTCTGATACACTTCAATGGCTCTGAAAGTAGTCGTGCTTCTTCCTTTGGCATGCTGAAACTTGGTTCAGAAATGTTGATTTGTTTCAAAACTATTCTTAGAAGTGGCATAACATAATTTCATAATACTAATTGGATTTTGAAACAAAACCTTCCAATGACTAGGCTGTAACTTTGTACATTTTCTGCAAACATCAGGCTTTTACAGCTCTTACCTCATTCCACATCTTACCTCACTCAAAGAGGTTGTTATTCAATAATTAATGGATGCAAGAGATATGTTGAATCACTACTGTTTAAAATGCCCTGAGATGATGTTCTGGGCACTGAAAGAGGCTGGTGAACAAGATGTATTTTTTCTACTTTTGTGTAGCTTAAAATAGACTGGGGAATTACGTTATGTGACGAGTACTCAGAAATACTTAGGGGAACCCCTAACGCGGTGGTCTGGGAACATCCCTTAGAACAATAGGGATGGTCTTCTGAGAGATAACGTATACACTGAAAAGGAATAGATGAGGATGGACATGAGGGATGTGGGGAAAGGGAAGCATGACCCAGGAAGTCAATATCCCATGCCACATCCTGCGGAAGAAAGGAGCCTGGTGTACTTTTGGGACTGCAAGTGGTTCATCACTGCTAAAAAGCAGAGTCAGAAGCAAAGAGCCACAAGAGGTGAAGCTGGAGAGATAAGTAGCAGAATAAGTGGGTTGGGGTGGGAGAGTAACAAAGATTTAGACACAAATCCAAAACATTAGACAACGGTTGCAATTCCTACAGACACACAGGGAAGCATTCCTCATGAATTCATTTGAGTGACACAAAGAGAAACCCTTTGAAAATGACTGCTCTGTATTATTAAATATAGAATTCTATGGCTTCTGTGGAAAAAAAATAGGAATGGAAGGAATGGGCTGAGGTGAGTAAATAACAGTCTCAAGTTCAGAAAGCTTTTTGGATTTCAGAAATGTTATCACAAGAAAAAAGATCTGTTTTGAAATCTTCATAAGGAAAAAGTAAAACCTAGAGAGATCAATGCAGCAATATGCATGGCGATTAGAGAGAGTGGATACCAAGGTGAAGAAAATGGAGCTTTTTTTTAATGATAAGAGAATGTATTAGATTTATTGAGGCTACAGTACCCTGCAGAACATCACTATAAGCTACAAAGAGTAGTTGGGGACTAAGAAAATGAAGACCAATGAAGGAAGGGAGTAAATATTGAGGACATCGTAGAAAAAACTTTCCTTAAGCTGAGAAAATAATTGAGTTTGGTGACTAAGAGTGCTTGCCAAGAATTTCATGGAAAAGGAAAGAATCATATACATTCATTCAAGCAGGAAACATAAGTGACCTAAAAAATGGAAGAAAAAAACAGCTTATCCTCGGGGGTTTTTCCACGAAAAAAATGCCATAAGGTGATTTTAAAACTATGCAGAGCTGTTAAGGAAAATGGTTGTGGGGTGTCATTTGTAGGCATAGTTCATTTCATCTCTGAAGGAAAAGCAAAGTCAATGATAGTGGGAAAGGGTCAATTTAAATATCTACTGTGGGTACATGTTTGAATATGTCATATTACATCAACCTCAGTGGATTATTATATATATCAAAAATAAACATTATGAAAAGCACGTAGAAATTTAGGAAATACAATATACCATATTAAGTATTAACCAGTAAAATACAATTTGATATGAATATGATAACAATGCATAAAATACACTTGAAAAATATTGGTTTGAAATATAGCCACATGTTAATAGTAACTGTCTTTGAGGGAACTTACTATAATGCTTTTATTTTTTTCCCTCTTCAATATGTGAAATGTAAACTTTTGGCCGGATATGGTGGCTCACCCCTGTAATCACAGCACTCTGGGAGGCCAAGGCAGGCAGAAGGCTTGAGCTCAGGAGTTTGAGACCAGCTGGGGCAACAAAGTGAGATTTGTCTCTGCAAAAAAAATTTTTTTAAAAATTAGCCAGGCATGCTGGTATGCACCTGTAGTCCCAGCTACTTGGGAGGCTGAGGTGGAAGGATCACTTGAGCCCAGGAGGCAGAGGTTGCAGTAAGCCAAGACTGAGCCACTGCACTCCAGCCTGGGCAACAGAGCCAGAACCTGTCTCAAAAAAAAAAAAAAAAAAGAAAAGAAATGTAAAGTTTTCTATAGTTAGCCTGCATTAATTTCATACAGAAAAACAAAACTTTATTATTTAATTTATTGATGTTTTGTCCGTCAATAAATTTATGCAACAGATATTTATGCAAATCATCTTTAAAATATTAACATAATTATGCAAATCATCTTAAAAATAAAATAATGTATTTTCAAGGAATTCATGGGCTAGCAGGAAACCTGGACATGATCACCAAGCTGGCACTGTCACAACCCCACAGGTGCTGATCCCTTCCTTTGTGTTTCTACTTTCCAGCCTCTGCTTGTGTTTGATCCTTTCTGTGTGACTTCACAGCTCTTTCATTTTTCCCCCCATCTCTTCCCTTTCTCTCTACCTCATAGCTTCTGCTGCTACCTCTTAAGTTTGGGCTTCCTTAGAGTGTTGTCTAGTATGATCTCTGGTTTCTGTTTTTCCTTCCTCGTTCTGTTTCCACATTTGGGTGAGCTCATTTCTCATTCTTTAACACCTCACTTTCCCAGTGTGTTTTCTAGTTGGTATTTCTAGAAGGAGCCTACCCCTAGTCTGTGTCATCTCTTCATACCAGACCGCACCTGATGTGTCTGGCCTCATTCTTCCTCTTAGGTCAGATTTCCCTCCCCTTGGTCCAATACACAGCACTCCGGGAATAAAAACAAGAACTCTCCATAGTAGATCCTTCAACATGGGGTGTGGCCACAGCAGGAAGTATGGCATGGCAGTCCTCCTCATGATTGAAAATCAATACATAAAACCATTGGCCCTCCTAATAACAGACATTTAGCTAATTGCTATTACTCAACATGAATCATGGTGTCACTGTTTAAGACATTGAGCTGTGGAGGATGAAAACAAATCCTTGCCTCTAATCATATCTAATTCTCTTCTCCCTTCTTGCTTTTGCTTGAAATCACTGGATAGCTTTAAGAAACCTATGTTCATTAGATACATGGATTACTGGAAACATTTATAATGATACTCTTAATTGAGTAACGTACCACATGCCTAACACCCATTTAGTTATAGGAACAACCTTAGGAGGCTAGTATTACTATTACTGTGTTATATATAAAGGACACTGAGGTTAGAAAAGTGACATGACTTACCCAGGGCCATATGGCTCATGAGTGGCTGTGTCATGGCTGGAACTCAGGCTTGGTGGCTTCCAAAGCATGACCTGCCCTTGCCTGCACCATCAGAATTCACTATGGGACTGCAACAGTGTGTCACCCCTGTAATCCCAGAGCTTTGGAAGGCCAAGGTAGGAGAATCGCATGAGGCCAGGAGTTGGAGACCAGCTTGGGAAATATAATGAGACCCCCAATCTCTACAAAACAATCTCTATACAAATAAAAAATTAGGCCGGGCGCGTTGGCTCACGCCTGTAATCCCAGCACTTTGGGAGGCTGAGGCAGGCAGATCATGAGGTCAGGAGCTCAAGACCAGCCTGGCCAACATTGTGAAACCTGAGCTCTACTAAAAATACAAAAAAACTAGCCGGGCCTGGTGGCAGGTGCTTGTAATCCTAGCTACTCGGAAGGCTAACGCAGGAGAATCACTTGAACCTGGGAGGCGGAGGTTGCAGTGAGCCGAGATCGCACTATTGCACTCCAGTCTGGGCGACAGAGCGAGACTCTGCCTCAAAAAAATAAAAAAATAAAAAGCCAGGCATGGTGGCAGGTGCCTGTCTGTAGTCCTAGCTACTATGTAGGCTGATGTGGGAGGATCAGTTGAGCCCAGGAGTTGGAGGCTGCGGTGAGCTATGATCACAGCACTGCACTCCAACCTGGGGACAGGATAAGACCCTGTCTCCAAAAAAAATAAAAATAATAATAAAGAATGCATTGTGACACAGAACACATATACATCAATCAATGTGAGAGATACACACAAATTAGACATTTCTAAATTTTCTGGGCACTTCTGATAACAAAAAAATGAATTTGCTAATGCCTTTCCCAGAGGAAAAAAATGTATAATTTGAATCTAGCACAGAGATGAAGAGACGATAGAGCCTTATCATGAGTTACAAGTATGGGATGAGTGGTAGTTGGCCATCTGCATCTACATGGGTAGAGATTCCTCTCCATGTCTTCGCAAACCTTTGTCTGTGCTCATAAAAAACGGAGTTTGTACTATAAGTACATGTCTCCGGCTTTCCATCATTTCATCTTCATTCTTCCAAACACCCTACATATCTACACATGCCTGATTATGCTAATGATGAAACAAAACCAAGACATAAATGGAAGCCATAGTCACTTGAAAAACAAGTACGTCAGCTTCATTCATTGAAGACCATGTTCATGAACAACTTAATGAGCACATATAGGTGGGAATAAGCTATGCTGAATGCAATTGAGTTTCCCAAGTTTAAGAGGCAAGCCTAGGAATTTGAGATTACATCCTGTTTGTGCATAAACTTCTGAATAAAGAATTGGAGACAATTATCCAAATAATTCAAAAGAAATACAAAAGTTTCTGCCAGATATAGCAACTTCACTTTTTGACAGTGGCATGCTTTATCTCGAATTAAAGACAAGTAACACACACATACACAGGTGGCATTTTCTTCTACAAGTGGCCTAGATTCATTGTAAAATGTGTTCTTTATAAGAAGTGCAAGTTTCTGTAACCGCAAAGAGTAGGAGGATGAGAAAGAAGGTTATCTTGAGTTCTAATACCGTGTCTACCGCTCACAAAGGTGCAACCCTGAAAAGGCTTAATAAGCATTAGGAGTCCTATTTTCTATGTAACTGTAGCAGAAGAATAACATTGCTTTTCGTATTGCTAACCTGCCTGCTCGCCAAAAAAAAAAAAAAAAAAAAAAAAAAGAATTGAAGATGGTTTATACAAATAAACCCAATATAAATTTAGCTACACTTAATAAATCAAAGGACAACTATTTCACAGTAGAAGACAGGCTGTGCTGCACATTGAACCTTTACTAATGTTGTTGTGTTTTCTCCCCCAACTCAGATATTCCTGTTGGTGCAAATCCCTGGAAAACTGTCAAGCATCTTGCAAATGTAGGCATTATTACCATCCCACTTCACTTAGATTATTTCTATTTGTTTTTTGTTCCTTAGAGTGCAACTCATTTTATTATTTCTATTCCTGAAAGTGTGCAGTGAAAATATTCCAGTGCAATTAATGTCTGCCCCAAACCATTGGCAATTACTAAAAAAAAAAATTCTGTCTCAGGAGGTTAATAATAATACTAAGTTCTATCAAAGAAAGGAAGACGCATGTAATTGGAAAGTTCTGATTAAGGCAGAGGGGTTGCTGGGCGTTCCTCCAGTACCTGCTTACTGCCTGTTCCACTGCCTGCAGCTGTGTCTCTGTGGGATTTTTCATACTACTCCTTTCTCTCTGCACTACTTCAGTCCTTATGTGATCACAGCTCACTCTGCTTTATTCCCCAAAACACCTCCACAACAAAGCTGCTGTGTGGAACCAGCCTGAGCATCAAAATATGCAACAACCTCTTTCCTCCCACATCTCCTTGGGTTGTAGAAAAGTGCAGAGAATGTCACTCCCACCAAAAAGAGAGAGAGATGGAGAGCCTACACACTTGTAACTTGCCTTAAGCCCTCTGAAGAGGACAAGGCCTTCCAAGGAGAAATGCTGTATGCAACTGGGGAGGGAAGGCCAGCCTTTACAATAGCAAATACAACAATATCAGCTGAAATGTTAAACAATTTTTATAGGTCCACTGTGTGACCATGTCTATCTGAAATAGCTGCAAGTCCCTCTAGGGAAAAATTTTGAAAGACTTTGAAGTGGAATGGGTGTCCTAACTATCTCATCCATCTGGGTTATTTCTGCCTCCATTGGCCTTGACCAGGCTATTTTATGACTCTCTAAGTTATAGAACCCCAATAGCAAAGCAAATAATTTGTGTCCGAAGCGATGCAAATGATTTCTAGTTGGATGCCATTGGTTTTCACCATGTGAATTTTGCCAGTGTGATGTTTTCTGGATGCGTCAACTTGGCTACACTATGCAACAGGAAACAAATACTAGCATCTGGTCATTTACGCAACCATTTGTATATTCATTTTAGTGTTCTTTATCAGACCAAAAATATGCAAACCGATTGTCTATTTTACCAATTCCTCATTAACTAATAAGTAAAATAAAATACTTAGCACATGATTACTTTATATCTTCACGAGAGTCTGGAATTTACCTTTTTAAAAATTTTAATATCCCTAGAATCCCAGACACAAAGGAAGTTTCTGCCTACTGCCCGTCTCTCGATAGGCCTCATTATGTTCTCATGAGACAGCTTGGAGGCAGGGCAGGAGATACGAGAGAGTCCACTTCAATGACGTAGGCATGCGGTGCGTGGTGTCTCACACCTGGAATCCCAAGCACTTTGGGAGGCTGAAGTGGGAGGATTGCTTGAGCCAGGACTTCAAAACCAGCCAGAGCAACACAGAGAGACCCTGTATTCCCAGCTACTTGGGAGGCTGAGGTGGGAAGATTGCTTGAACCCAGAAGTTCGAGGCTATAGTGAGCTCTGATTATACCACTGCCCACTGCACTCCAGCCTAGGCGACAGAATGAGACCCTCTCTCTGGAAAAAAAAAAAAAAAAAAGGGTGTAGGCCTGAAAATGACCAGCAGTTTCACTGTCAATAAAAAAGTGAAGTCACTTTGTAGTGATTTCTGAGAAAATTTCTGAAAAACCACAAAGTCCCACTGTGATGGGTAATATTGAGTGTCAACTTGATTGGATTGAGGATGCAAAGTATTACTCCTGGGTGTATCCGTGAGGGTGTTGTGAAAGAAGGTTAACATTTGAGTCAGTGGACTGGGAAAGGCAGACTTCCCCTCAATCTGAGTGGACACCATCTCATCAGCTGCCTGGATGGCCAGAATAAAAAGCAGGCAGAAGAATGGGAAACACTAGGCTGAGTCTTCCAGCCTTCATCTTTCTCCCATGCTGGATGCTTCCTGCCCTCGAGCATCAGACTACAAGTTCTTCAGCTTTTGGACTCTAGGACTTACACCAGTGGTTTGCCAGGGGCTCTTGGGCCTTCAGCCACAGACTGAAGGTTGTTCTGTCGGCTTCCCTACTTTTGAGATTTTGGGACTCAGACTGGCTTTCTGGCTCCTCAGCTTGCAGACAGCTTATTGTGGGACTTCACCTTGTGATCGTGGGAGTCAATTCTCCTAATAAACTCCCCTTCATATATTCATCTATCCTATTAGTTCTGTCCCTCTAGAGACCCCTGACTAATACACCCACAAACTTCCCTGACTCCTTCACTCATTGGAAACAAAGACTTAAATCACTGAAAAGAGATGCAGCAAACAATATCAACCATTATAGCCCAGGCGAAAACCCTTCCTTCATAGCCAGTGTAAGAATAGAAGACAAATCCTCTAATTTTAGAAAAGGAGCAGATAACTCATCTGGCCCCAAGATCTTATCCTAATATAAAGCAGTGCTCTGCTGCCTCTGGCGAAAAGAGCATGAATTGCCTCCCACCATGGCCAACCATAGATTCCTCCCTGAGTTTGGCTGCTGTGAAAGGGAGAGTCTCACCTCCCATCCCTGAGAACACGGGACCAGCCTCAATCAGAGGCTAGATTAGGAAAACAGAACCTACTCTTTCACTCAATCTCCATCACCAGCAGAACACAAACTATGAAGTAACAGCAATGAGCTGCTAGGGAAGGTGGGAGAGTACAAAAGGATGTCTTTCCTGTGAGATGCAGAGAGCAGGAGAAGCCAAAAGCTGAGGGGAGAAAAGAAACAATAAGAAAACCGTCGTGCCTCTTAGATTCCACCCTAAGCCCACGGTAACAGCAACTTACCCCTGGACAAATTCGAAGCCTGGGATGCAATGAAGTTAATCATAAGCACAACCAAGCCCAGCTGGGTTAACTGCCCTCCATTATAGGGAAAGATGCAATTATATTTCCAGCTTTGCTAGATTCGTTGACATGCAACCCACACTTAGAAGGGCCCCCCGCACTTGGTTTTTAATGTTTTCCTGTTGCGGTCTTAAAATTAATTACATATATCTTAAAATTATATATACATATATATATATATATAGCATGTATATTATATATATGTATACATGATACAGTGTCTCGCTCTGTTGCCCAGGCTGGAGTGCAGTGCAGTGGGTAGGATCATAGCTCACTGCAGCTTCAAATTCCTGGGCTCAAGGGATCCTCCTGCCTCAGCCTCCTGAATAGCTAAGACTACAAGCCCAAGCCACCACACCCAGCTAATTTTTTATTTTTACTTTTGTAGAGATGGGGTCTTGTTATGTTGACCAGGCTAATACTATTTTTGAACAAGAAGCTTAGCATTCTCATTATGTACTGAACCCTGAACAAGACAGAAATGATGCTGGTTTTCTGCTATTCTGCACGCAAAGGCCAGCATTCAACCCAGTTGAACAGAAATTCCCATATTGTGGTTTGGGAAACGCTGAGTGTCTGCAAGACCCTTTCAAGGAGTCCTTAGGGTCACAAAGCTTTTCATGATAGCCCCAGACAGTGTTGCCTTTTCCGCCCCCCTCTCTCATTCCCTCCTAAGTTTACAGTAAAGTTTTCCAGAGGCCGCATGACATGTGATATTACAGCAGATTGAATGCAGAAGCAGACAAGAAAATCCAGCTGTCTTTGATCAAGCCCACTAAAAAGATTAGTGCGACTACAAAACCATGTGGTCTTACTCCCCGGTTTTTAAAAATTATTATCTTTAATAAAAATGTTTCTATATTAACATGCAAAGGGTTTATTATATATAAATTTAATAAAATAATATAAATACTTCAAATGTTTTTAGGTTTCTACTTTGATAAATATAACCTACATTATAAATGTTATTTGAGGTCCTCAGTCATTTTTAATAGAGTAAAATGGCCTTAAAACCAAACATCTTGAAGAGTGCTGAGTTAAAGCAGATATCCTGCTAAGTTGCTCCCTATAACAAAAATTTGACAAAGGTTAAAACACTTTTTCCCTGAGCTGATTTGTGTTGACTTGAGAGTCTATGCATGAACCTTGACTTGACCTTGAGGAAGACCTCTGCCCTTCTTTGCTGAGGATACTCCATCATTTCTAAATTGTAAGGACCTAGATGACATGTTACAGAGATTTCAGAATATTTAACTGCTTCTCTTCCATGGGGGCTGAAGATGACAATAATATATTAAGAGAAGGTGGGTGAAGATGACTATAACATAAGAAAAGGTGTCATTGAAATTAAATGTATATATACCAAGAGAAAGGGAAGAAGATTTTATATGTGCATAAATGTACATGTTTTCTGCTCTAGTAAGACAATTACAGGTGTGGAATTGGTAAGCCATAAGAACATTTTATTTTCGCTGAGTTTTAGTGAGTAGGATGCATGCTAGTTATTGTATCAAATAACTCCACAGCTCAGTGCAACAAGCATTTCCTTCCCCCGTATACAGAGATGTCCCTGGTCAAATGGTCCTGGGCGGCTTTTCTCTACAGTAGGTATTTTAATGTGTATATGATTCACCAGGTGGTCTTGTCTCAACGCAGATTCTGATTCAGCAGCTCTAGGATGAGGTTGAGACTGCATTTTAATGTTTTATATTTTTTCTTTGTGCATATTTGTGGGGTACCTGAGAAATTTTGTTACATGTATATAACACATAGGGATCACGTCGGGTATTTAGGGTGTTCATCATTCTGCTGCACTACATTTTTGCTGAGTACAGTTACCCTACTCTGCTATCAAGCTTCAAATTTATTCCTTCTATCTTACTGTATGTTTGTCCTCTTTAACCCACGTCTCTTTATCCTCTCTCTTCCCATGCATCCTTCCCAGTCTCTGTATCTGCTTTTCCACTCTCTTCTACCATGGGTTCAAATTTTTTAGCTCCTACATGAAAGTGAAAACCTGCACTATTTGTCTTTTTGCACCTGGCTGATTTCACTTAAAATAATGACCTCCAGTTCCACCCATGTTGCTGCCAAAAGACACAATTTCATTCTTTTTTATGGCTCAATAGTATTCCATTATGTGTATTTTCTTTATCCATTCATGTGTTTGTGGACACTTAGGTTGATTCCATATGTTTGCCATTATGAATAGTGCTGTTATCAACATGGAAGTGCAGGTATCTCTTTGACATATTGATTTCTTTTTTTCAGGGGCAGGTAGATACCTAGTAGTGAGATTGTGGGATTAATGATAATTCTATTTTTAGATTTTTTGTAAAGCTCCGTACTGTTTTCTGTAATGGCTATACTAGTTTAAATTCCTACCAACAGTCAATAAGAATTTTTTTTCTCCAAATCCTCACCAACATCTGTTCTTTTTCTTTTTTAATTTTTTTTTTTTTTTTTTTTTTTTTTTTTGAGATGGAGTCTCCCTCTGTCACCCAGGCTGGAGTGCAGTGATGCGATCTCACCTCATTGCACCCTCTGCCTCCCAGGCTCAAGCGATTCTCCTTCCTCACCCTCCCGAGTAGCTGGGACTACAGGTGCCCATCACCATGCCAGGCAAATTCTTTGTATTTTTAGTAGAGGTGGGTTTTCACCATGTTGGCCAGGCTGGTCTTGAACTCCTGACCTCAAGTGATCCACCTGTCTCAGCCTCCCAAAGTGCTGAATTACAGGCGTGAGCCACCATGCCTGGCCTGTTACTTTTCATTTTTTTAATAAAAGCCATTTTGACTCAGGAAAGTTTATATGAAAAAAATGCTTAGTATCACTAATCATCAGAGAGACTGTGCAATTTTATGAGCTCCAAGATGATGCTTCATGTTGCTGGCTCCTGGACCAGGCTTTGGTGAGGTTGTGAGCCCAAAGGAATGGGGCTCTTGTCAATGTGGTCTTCCCCCTGTGTCCACAGGAAGAGGAATTGCGGTTGATGAGTAGCTACCGAGTTTCTGCAATACATAAATAGTTAGCTATTACTGTGTATTTATTTAGGATGTTTTGTTTCAGTTTAGATGTGTTACTGCATTTGTCTTTGAAAGGACCTTTTACTTAATTTGTAAATGTTTTATATTTTCATGCTGGTAGTTCAAGGAAAATAGAGTGAAATGTTACTATACTTAGAATTATTACATCAGCCTCGCAGGAAGTCACTCCAAGTTCATAAAACTTTCCAGTTTTCAACTGTGTAGAAAATAATGTATATGATATCCATTTCCAAGACAACGTGCCTCTAATAGGCTTGGGCCCACAAACTATGGAACAAAGGATATACTAGGCCCCTGCTTTAATAGCCGGCACCTGCTTGTCAGGGCCCCCTTAGTTACCCACACTGGAACCAAAGACCTTTATCTAGAGTGAAAGTTTACTAGCCTGCAAGATAGCTCGCTTTATCTATTCTTATCAGCTTGCCTGACTACCTGGGTCATAAGTGAAGTACTTGAAGAGCCCCAGAACTGACCATGATTGTAATGCATTATGGGCTGCAACAAAATGCAGTGAGACAACCCTAAAGAAAATACCTAAAAGCCTCAACCCAAAGACCAATAGGCGACATCCGGGAAGATTGTGATCCCATAGTACTCAGCCTATGAGGAACTGAGGGAGGGACTTGCATACTAGGGGATAAATGGCTTGTTGTAACAGTACTGGGTGTGTCTGCCTACCCGACATCCAATCTTGCAAGACCATCATTAAAAGTCTCGCTTCTGCTATTCTCCATGTCTCTGAGTTCATTCCTTGGGTTTGGACAGGTGAGTGCATTTTTCACAACCATGGTCAGAAATTTTTTTCTAAAAAGTCCATGTTTCGGCCGGGCGTGGTGGCTCACACCTGTAATCACAACACTTTGGGAGGCTGAGGTAGACAGATCACGAGGTCAAAAGATCGAGACCATCCTGGCCAACGTGGTGAAACCCCATCTTTACTCAAAATACAAAAATTAGCTGGGCATGGTGGCAGGCGCCTGTAATCCCAGCTACTTGGGATGCTGAGGCAGGAGAACTGCTTGAACCCAGGAGGCAGAGGTTGCAGTGAGCCGAGATTGCGCCATTGCACTCCAGCCTAGGCAACAAAGTGAGACTCCATCTCAAAAAAAAAAAACAGTCCATGTTTCATCTCAGTGCCAAGAACTAGGTGTTTAGGTGCCTAGGATGCAAAATAAACAAGCCCAGTGAATTTGGCCACATGAAAAAAGTGTCTTAATCCATTTTTGTATGACTGCCTAAAACATGGTTATATTTTATAAAATGTAAAAATTAAATATGGATGGTCTCGAAAGAGCATAGCTTACATCTAAATTTGTTTAAATAAACTTTTAAGTGATTTACAATGTATTTTGCTATCAAAACACTAAAAGATTTGATTAAAATTTTATCTACTTTGCTATCTGCCGTTTTGTGCAATTACTATCCCCTCCTCTCTTTTAATTATTCCTTAAAGGAAAACTGCAAAGATAATACATGGATAAAGCTGAAGGATTTTATAACCAGGCAGTTTTCTCAGTTTTACAACGCTTGCACTTTGACAAAATTTTGAGTCAGAAAATCAAAAGTTTAGTTTTGAGAGAAAAATGCTAAATTGAACACTTGGTGCTGATTATCTCTGATCACTACTTGGGAGGATATATAGAAAAACACATTCTTTTGGTAAATGGATGGTTTCTGAATTGTTGACCCCATCACAGATTCCTATACTTCTTTGATGCATTGATTATAATACAGAAACCACATGGCCCTCAATGGCTGACCAGAGTATACTATTTCTGCATCTACATGAGGTTATTATGGAATGTGGTCTAAATCAAATGGGAAGAGAAGTCATACCGCATGGGACCCTTCCATAGCCACTAACCCTGGTATCAATCTCCATATTCCATGAAGACACTGTTTCTTGAGCAAAGGCTGCGTGTGTGCAGAAACTCAGCCTTGTGGGAGAAAGTGCCTTGGCTTTGAAAAGGCAAAATACACCACTTACATTCTGAGATACATAGATTAATAGATACAGAAATATTATTTAAAAGTCTGTAGAACTACAGCAGACCCATTTTCTTTTCTAGTAGAAGTATTATCTTTACCTAAGGAATCTAAGGATGGCAATGCTGGAGGGGGAGGGTGTTTTACAAACTTTTATAGAAAGGCAAATGTCAAAATCATTTAACAAGAATAAACTTGAAAACCACACACAGTGGCTCACGCCTATAATACCAGCACTTTGGGAGGCCAAGACAGGTGGATTGCTTGAGCCCAGGAGTTTGAGACCAGCCTGGACAACATAGCAAGACCCCTTCTCTCCAAAATATTTTTTAAAAATTAGCCAGGCATGGTGATGCACTCCTGTGGTCCTCGCTACTCTAGAGGCTGAGACGAGAGAATCACTGCAGCCCAGGGGGTCGAGGATGCAGTGAGCTGTGATCACAGCCCTGCACTCCAGCCTGGACAACAGAGCGAGACTCTGTCTCTCAAAAAGAAGAATAAAGTTGAGTGAGAGGGCAGATTGAACTTACTTGAAGTAAGAGTCTTTGACAATTCAGGAATGAAATGTATCCAACCAAAATTGAGTTTCAAAATGTGGCAAGCATGATAAAGAAAAAAAAAAAAAAACTATTCCCCTGCTACCACACATAGCTCAAAGAGGAGCTTTTTTATTTCTTGGTAATACTTCATACTGACAAAGTGAAAAGGAAGCAAATGTTGTTGTTACAAAGAATTAAAGATAGCTCATATCATTCCATCTCCCAAGAAGAAAATAAATAGGAACAAGGGTAAAAATGAGAGAGAAATGGTGCTGTTTTTTTTAAACCACACAAGAGTGTCTAATATGGTTTGGCTGTGTCCCCATCCAAATCTCATCTTGAATTGTAGCTCCCATAATCCCCATGTGTCATGGGAGGGACCCAGTGGGAGGTAACTGAATTATGGGGTGGATTTTCCTGTGCTGTTCTCATGATAGTGAATAAGCCTCAGGAGATCTGATGGTTTTTTTAAAGGGGAGTTCCCCTGCACCTGCTCTCTTGCCTTCTGCCATGTAAGACGTGACTTTGCATCTCCTTCACCTTCCACCATGATTGTGAGGCCTCTCCAGCCAGGTGGAACTGTGAGTCCATTAAACCTCCTTTTCTTTATAAATTACCCAGTCTCAGGTATTTCTTTATAGCAGTATGAAAATGGACTAATACAGTGTCCCATCATAGAAAATCATTTAAGTTCCATTCTTTACTTGGATTTATTTCATTTTATTTTTTTTTATAAATGGACACAGTAAATTTTACTCTCTTCAAGCCCTAGGAATTTACCAGTAGATGAGCATAGTACGCATAATATAAGTGTGCTTTTAACTAAGATGGGCAGCCATTTCTCTCTTATACAATACGTTCCTAAAAATCAACACTAAAGTTGGATATGAGAAAATCCAACAATAACTTACCCACTAACAAGAGAGCTTTAGATCCATAAAACAAAAATGCATATTAAAATATCCCTTTCAGAAAAAAAATCATTGATGACACTATTCCAGCATTTCATACTTGCTGTTTAGTTTTTTTCTTTTTCTTCCAAACAGCAGTAGTGGGCTTAAGCCCAATGAGGTAGAGATTCTACATTTTTCATCTCACTGAAGGATTTTCACTTTTGTTTCAATCTCATTGACTTTTTGAGACATATTTCATATTGCAGTAGTAGCATGCTAGTTGTTCCATTTCCTACCCTTTAAGAAATAAAATTATAGAGGCAAAATCAGTAAGATATTCAAAGAACCTTCTTAGCATCACTGTACAAAGAGGAAGAGTCTATCAAAAAGTTACCATTGACTGGCAGAGAATACTATTCAGCAGAAGCCTGTGGTTCTCCATGATCAGATAATAGAGCAAAGTACAGTTTGGCATATTCACACATAAGCATTGATACAAATATATATAAACACAATGATACATACATGTGTGGATATCTAACTACTTATATATACAATACACATATATTTTAAAATCCTTTTCAAATTAAACAGAAAAGTGTTAATATTCCAGTTACTAGCAGTATCAAGGACTAGATCTTTTCATACTCGAATGAGGGTCTACATGTCATATCCAACAAAATGTCCATTGAGTCTTTCTGATTTGGAGGGAGTCTTTACTGGCCAGGCAGTGTGATCTCATGGTTGACTAAGTTCTAGGTTTTGAGTTCTGCTATAGAGTCTGAGTTGGACTGCAGTCTAGTAGAAATAATGAGCTGAAAGTAAGGAAAGTGAGGAAACATTCATCTCCCCAATGAATGCTTTGCCCTGCTATGGTCAAGAGAAATAATTCCAACAATCCCTGTGGATGGCTTAGAGGATGACTTTGCTACATCAGTCTTTTCTTCCTTCAACTGAATGAGAGGGTCCGTTGATCTCTAGTGTGACCCACAAAAGATTTTGAAGGAGATACTAAAGATTGATTTAAGAGAAATGGAAATGTCTTGTGAATGCAACTTGCAACAATTGATTGAAAGAAGGTTCATGGTTTGGAAGGTTTAAAAGCCCCATGAACAAAGGAAAAACAGCAAGAAACTTAAGATATGTGTAGCAAAGAAGACGTGTTTGAACCATGCTGAGAGCTTGGAAATGCAGTTGAAGGCCAGATGGTGGAGGAATTGAAACCCAAGCTTGGGAGATTGTCTTTGAGAGCATTGTGTTGAGCATAGCCTGAGATTCTGGAAAAGAGTGAGCCAACGTCATGAAAGTATCCTGGAATCCTGCAGACTGTGGCTTGGCCACCTTTCACCTGGGTGGTCTGGGAAACTTCTATCCTAATTGGCCCTCAGTCTTATAATCTGCAACGTGAAAGTGATAGGACTGTTGTAAAAATTAAATGTGAGTTCTATGTGAGGTATCTTTTACACGGTAGGCATCCATTAATGTAGGCTTATTATGATTGTTACTGAGACACATTCCTTGAGAATATCCCTCACTGGAAGATGGGTAGAACAACGAAGATGTGTGCAGAATGGTGGGGGTGAGGGTATGTAGGAGTTAAGAGTGAAAAAAGGTCTTGAAATTAACCAGGATTTGAGATTTTGTAACATGAATGTAAGGAAAAGAGAGGCAAGCCAACACATACCTGACAAATAATTTCTGATGAAATCCCAATGACTTAATATCTATTTTTTAGAAACAAATTATTTATATTTTAAGAGAACCACTGGATATAGTAATGGCTTAATCCAAGGCATTGAAATAAAATTTTAAGGGTGATAGAAATTGTAGTCATTTGTACAGCTAAAACAGTAACTTTATCATCACGTCATCATTATTATTATCATCATCATCATCATCATCATCATCATCATCATCATCACATGAGGTAGGTTGTATCTATCATTATGGAAAGGCTAGGAATGGTTATCTATTGATTTGGGGGTAATCATTAACATTCTTGATATGCTTTGGCTGTGTCCTCACCCAAATCTCATCTTGAACTGTAGCTCCCATAATTCCCATGTGTCATGGGAGGGACCGCTGGTAGATAATTGAATCATGGGGGCGGTTTGCCCCATACTGTTCTCGTGGTAATGAATAAGTTTCACCAGATCTGATCGTTTTATAAGGGGTTTCGCCTTTCACTTGGTTCTCATTCTCTGTTGCCTGCTGCCATTTAAGACATGCCTTTCACCTTCCACCATGATTGTGAGGCCTCCCCAGTCATGTGGAACAGTGAGTCCATTTAACCTCTGTTTCTTTATAAATTACCCAGTTTCGTGCTGCTGGTATGTCTTTATCAGCAGCATGAAAACGGACTAATACAATTCTTAACGTAGAAGAAGGACCTGGCCATCTGTTCTGTCTATAAACAATCCTGTACCTTCATCACGGACCCTTGCAACATTTAACCACCTCCTCATTCTTCAGGTATGATATTAAATGTTCTGTCCTGTGCAAAGTTCCTATTCCTCCAATATTTTCTATTGTTGTTAATTTTCTGCTGTGTGTACATGGCAATACTGATCATGGTTTGTAGTTTCCTATTGTCTGATACATTTCTGGCCACCTCCTGTGCTGGACAGACTTTAAAATGACCCCCAAAGATCTGCACTTTCTAGTTTACACTTTCTTGTATAGTCCTCTTCCACTGAATGTACCCTGGACCATGGATATAAACTCTATGCTACATAAAACTCCATCTTGCTAGTCCATTCTCTCTAGAGACTTTCTCTCCTGTGGACATTGAAGAATCCCGTGTTCATGTGAGCTGAGGACGGCCCGTAAGAGTGGAGGGTGTCTCCTAGCCCATAACCAACAAGAAGCTGGTCTCTCAGTTCTGCAGCCACAAGGAAACAAATCTGACAACAGCATACCTGAGGTTGGGAGTGAATTCTTCCCAAGTCCAACCTCCAGGTGAGAGCTCAGCCCAACACTTTGATGGAAGCCCTCATAGACTCTAAGAAGAGGATTCGGCTAGGCTTTCCCTGAATTCATGGCCCACAGAAACTGTGAGATCATAAATGCATATGGTTTTAAGTTTGGGGTAAGTCACAGTTTCTATCCAGGCAAAAAGAGCACCCATCTATGACCACTGTATGTTCAGTTCAGTGTAGGGCACTAAACACTAGAGATCTTAATAAAGATATCTTGTAGGATGGACGACTGGATAAATGACCTTAATGAAGAAAGAAGGGAGAAAGTAGTGAATTGGAAATGAATTGCATTGAATTCTTGCAAGGATCTGCTCAGTCTCATGGCTGAATTTTTCTGATGTTGGTGGAATCTCTGCAGCTAAGACAATTGTAGCACAAGCTCGTTCACATTCAGTCAACAGCCATCACTAAGTGAGTAAGAGCTTCAGAGCTGGATTTGGGAGGGAAAGGTTGGAACCCCAGTTCTGCTGTTTACCAACTACTGATATCACCAAAACATTAAACCTCCTTCTATTTTATTCTTTGTAATTTGAACGGGGCAGATAATAAAGCCTCACAGAGAATTAACCAACATATGCAATGGAAGGATAGTTCTGAAAGTATTTAAGAAGGTTGTCCATATCCCAAGCCCATGATCAATGTGATTTGACTTCCTCTGTTTCTTTCCAGAAATATTAAGGAACATTATTAATCAGCTGCAACAAACTCTCAATTATGACTCTCCTTAATACAAAATTAATTTGGTGTATTCTATTCCATATATCCTATTGTTTCCCTGATTATCATTTGTATTACTCTTATGGAGAAAGGCAACCAATATTAAACTCCTTGACATCACAAGGGTTTTGGTAAATGGTGAGATCACTCTGTTTCTCTATTTCTATGGCTAGCAGTCCTTCAAATTGCTAGGTACGGTGTTTTGCCCATAGGTTAGACTCATTCATTCAATCGTCCATTTAATAAATATACACTGAGGACATCTTTTGTGCCAAGCATGGTAATAGACTCTGATTTTTAAAAATAGAAAAGATGACTATGACTCCAGAGAGCTTTCCATTATTCTGAAACCCCAAATTATACTTTGAGATCTTTTAGTTGTATCAGTAACAAAATTCTACAGTATAACTGAAGAAAGACCGGGGCTGGTCAGGGTGCTACCTTAATCCAAGCACTATTCCCATTTATAAAATAAACCATACTTCCATAGACAAAACTTCATCTTCCTATACCTGTAGGAAGAATCACACAAGGATATTTTGCATATTCTCCAAGATTTTGCTCTGAATCACTGTGGCCAAGTTTTTCATTGATATTCAATGACTTTTCATATTAACATCACTTTGGAATATATGCTCTTAAAGATGATACTTCTAAGAGATTGTGTGTTTTCATGATTAGTATATGGCTACTTTCATCTAATCCCTTAAACTGAACTTTTGATGAATGCTGTGAAAATGGATCAATTAATTCAATTGATGCCATGGTTTGCTTAAGAAGGAGAATGAAAGCAATTCATATTTTATGGATGAAAGGGAGCAGAGTCTTGCAATCTCTGAATTTACATTAAAAAGAAACATACTAAATACAGATGGTAATTTTTTTAACTTGATAAAATATATGTAGGAACTGTATAACTCTAAGCCATTAGAAAGACAGATTCCCAGCATTGACTATGTCTTTATTTCTTTCTATTCTTGATTTCCATCAACTAAATAGATTCCATTCAGTTATTTAACTTCAATGATAAGTAAATCGGAACAAATACTGCCATGATAAATCAGCCACCCACTAACTGGAATCACATGTTCACTAGAGCATGTCATGTAGGGTTTAAGAGACATCACAATTTATTCACATTCTCTGGCACTGAAAAAAATAGAAAAGGTAAATTATCTTGTTTGGCAATTTCAAGGCATTCCTGGAGACGTCTAGTTGTTGTTTTACCAGCACATTTTGGTTCTATTGATGACTTAAGTCCACAATCCAATGTACTTTTGAATATATTAGAATCACAAATTGAAATTTCATTGTTGTAACAAAATGCCCTTGAAGACTTTTCTTTTTATTAACATAAAAAGAAAACCTTTTTGAAACAAAATGATTTAACAATGATGAGAGGAGGCGGATGTGAAACTCTGACTTCCAAGCTGCACAGTGCCCCAACATACCTGCTGGATTTTGTAGCAATTGGAATCAGAGACTAGCATTAAAGGATGTCTGTTCATCCAAAGTTGTCCAAACCTGTTACCTCCAAGACTTTTATGCAGCTCTTTTTCTCTTATTCTTTGATGCTAGCTTGGTCTATAACATCCTCAGAAATATGATCTCTCTCTCTCTCTCTCTCTTTTACTTTCTTGGAGAATCTGAGTTGCATAAATGCCGCAAAAACATTTGCATCAAACTGTTAGAGCACTGGATGTTAAAACACTCATTTTACAACTTAACCCACTGCTTAAATTGCACTGCCAAGATTGCAAAGATTAAATTATAACTCCCAGAAACATGGACAGTGTAGAACTTAATGAAGAAGGGTCTACCGAGATATACATCTTTCGTATTGCTTCCAGCTAAAGCCGCTCAAGGTGAATCCGTCTGGAAGTTTGTTTAAAAAAAGCAAAGAAGAGAAAAAAAGCAAGAAACAGCATCACGGAAATGGGAGTTATATAATTCTCTGGGTTATTTTTAGAATCCTTTCCATGGTGTGAAAAATAACGGATGTAAGAATTAAATTAATAAGGTGCATGTACCTTCTTAGTAACACAGTGAGCTTTCAGATCAGTGGGGTGTGCCGTCTCTGCATCTATAAGAAAAAGGCTTCCAGAACATTAGGCTTCCTTTAACATTTCATGTCAACAATGCACGGCAAACGTCATGTTGTTTTCACCTCTTTATTTTTAAGCTTAGGAGGCGCATCAGAAAGAGGGGGAACTGATTCACTCTCTCAATAATTTGCCAGAAGGCTTTCTCTCCACTGCTCGGGAGTCCTCAGAAACGTCGTTTTCCTGCATACATGCCGAGCAAATATTGTTCTGTTTTCAACAGTTTCCCTACCAGTCTTTTACTCATGTTTCTCAAGATGATGTGAAACCTGCAAAGATCAGTACAGTTACACATTTCACTCTGCCCTCAAGTGTTGCTGTTATTATTGTTGTTTTTCCTTCAAAACCTGCTTTCTGTTGAATCCAGCCTGATTTCTTTCCAAGCCAGGAGGCATGCACTAATCAGCATAACTATTCCATAGCCACCTTTTCTTTTGGGATATCCTGGAAAAAGACACAATGCTCCGTGTTTCATAACAAATATGGGAACATTAGCTCCACAGCTGGAGATGAAAATGTGCATATTACCAAAAACAGTAGGGATTTCAGTAAGGATACTAAACAAACAGCGAGAGGCACCTCATTACAATTGGACAGGGCACAGTCAGACTCCTACAAGTATTTTTTCCTGGCGAGTATTTCCGTTCTCTGATTCAGGGCATACAAGCAAAGCAGCTCAGTAGGTTTGGGGGATGCGGAGGCTAGCCAAACCTTTCATTTGTCTATTTCTCTGGCTTTCCTGCAGACTTCCAGCTCTCAGAAGAAGCCAATAGTATTTGCAAAGGGGCCCAATTAATGCTGAATGGCTTTAAACCTGTTCTGATGGAATTCCACAAAATAAAGTTGCATACACTCACCACAGCTGCAAGTCAGATAACTTCTGCAAGAAGAGAATTTCGAGGAGCAACTTAATAAAACATGTCTCCAGTGCAGGCACCCTAAATTTTGTCAAAAAGGTACAGCGTGTGCCAGAAAAATTTCAGAAAGCTTCCCTAACTCCCTGAAGTGGCCAAGATGAGGAAGATTTGGTGTTTCAAACCCAGTCCTCTGCCCTGTGTGCTGGTCTGCTATTTTTCCCTTTTCAAAGTTAAGCATTGATTACTGAGTCCTGGATGGAGGTTCCTCCTCCAAAACTATCCCTTCCTAAACTACATCTCTAAGCCTTGGGTGAAAATATCTCCCATCTTAGGGTGCACTCATAATTCTTCTCCCGTTCCTTCACATCATTATAATGGCTATCCTTTGCAGTTTTCGGAAGATGCCTTTGGAATTTTTCATCTCCTTGCAGGTTATTTAAATGGTGTCATCATTTTTAAGCATCAGGAACAGTTAAGAACCAGACGAACAATATGTCTCTCTGAGCCATGGCTGCATTTTTTAGGCTTTAGACACCCATGCCACACCACTTAAGGCCATCTTTACTTTGGGAGACCTTCCTCCTATGGGCTGTGACTGCCTTTAAGTTGTAAATTCTCAGAACCAGCATTTCGCTGCAACCGAACTTCCTCTGACAAGAGTCAGCAGGGTTCAACATCAAAATTCATCCAATTTGGTGTCTCACGAAGACCTGCTTGTGGTTGGCGGGATGAGAACTCACTCTGTGTGAAGGAGCTTGCAGTCTCGGGCTTGCCTTTTTCACTGAAGACAGAGAACCATAGGCTGAATTCTACCCACCTTGTGAGGAGCTGAGCTGCCCCCAACTGTCAGGTTGATACCTTGAAGTTCTGAGAACCTTCGAATGTGACTTAATTTGGAGATAGCCTTTAAAGATGATGTAATCAAGTTAAGATGAGGCCATTAGGTGCGTTCTAAGCCAGTATGACCAGGGTCCTTATAAAAAGGGGAAGTTTGGACACAGAGACAAAACACAGGGAGAAGATGGCATCTGCAAGCGAAGGAGAGAGGGATCAGGAGAAACCAGCCCTGTCGACACCTTGGTCTCACACTTCCTGCCTCTAGGACCGTGAGAGAATAAACGTCTGTTCTATTAACTACCCGGGTTGTGGTACTTTGTTACAACAGTCTGGGAAGACTAAGACTCCCCTATGTATCCCTAGCCACAGATCACCAGAAGGCTGCTGCTTTAAACCTGGGCTACCATTTTCTGATGTTTTACAAATTATCAAATGTAGTGACAGGATGACATTTGATAAACAAGGAGATATTGTCAGGCCTCTGAGCCCAAGCTAAGCCATCATATCCCCTGTGACCTGCACGTACACATCCAGATGGCCGGTTCCTGCCTTAACTGATGACATTCCACCACAAAAGAAGTGAAAATGGCCTGTTCCTGCCTTAACTGATGACACTGTCTTGTGAAATTCCTTCTCCTGGCTCATCCTGGCTCAAAAGCTCCCCCACTGAGTACCTTGTGACCCCCACTCCTGACCGACAGAGAACAACCCCCTTTGACTGTAATTTTCCTTTATCTACCCAAATCCTATAAAACGGCCCCACCCTTATCTCCCTTCGCTGACTCTCTTTTCGGACTCAGCCCACCTGCACCCAGGTGATTAAAAGCTTTATTGCTCACACAAAGCCTATTTGGTGGTCTCTTCACACGGACGCACATGAAATTTGGTGCCGTGACTCGGATGGTGGTGGGGGGGCCTCCCTTGGGAGATCAATCCCCTGTCCTCCTGCTCTTTGCTCCATGAGAAAGATCCACCTACGACCTCAAGTCCTCAGACCAACCAGCCCAAGAAACATCTCACCAATTTCAAATCCGGTAAGCGGCCTCTTTTTACTCTCTTCTCCAACCTCCCTCACTATCCCTCAACCTCTTTCTCCTTTCAATCTTGGCGCCACACTTCAATCTCTCCCTTCTTTTAATTTCAATTCCTTTCATTTTCTGGTGGAGACAAAGGAGACACGTTTTATCCGTGGACCCAAAACTCCAGCGCCGGTCACAGACTGGGAAGGCAGCCTTCCCTTGGTGTTTAATCATTGCAGGGACGCCTCTCTGATAACTCACCCATGTTTCAGAGGCGTCAGACCACGCAGGGACGCCTGCCTTGCTCCTTCACCCTTAGCGGCAAGTCCCGCTTTTCTGTAGGAGGGGCAAGTACCCCAACCCCTTCTCTCCTTGTCTCTACCCCTTCTCCGCCTTTCTGGGGGGTAAGAAACCCCCAACCCCTTCTCCTTCACCCTTAGCGGCAAGTCCCGCTTTTCTAGGGGTGGGGCAAGTACCCCAACCCCTTATATCTCTGCACCCCGATCCCTTATTTCCACGCCCCAACCTCTTATACCTCTGCGCCCCGATCCCTTATTTCCACGCCCCAACCTCTTATATCTCTGCATCCCAATCCCTTATTTCCGTGCCCTGACCTCGTATCTCTGTGCCCCGACCCCTTTCCCGCTTTTCTGGAGGGTAAGAACCCCCAAACCCCTTCCCTCCATGTCTTTATGCTCTCTTTTCTCTGGGCTTGCTTCCTTCACTATGGGCAACCTTCCACCCTCTATTCCTCCTTCTTCTCCCTTAGCCTGTGTTCTTAAGAACTTAAAACCTCTCCAACTCTCACCTGACCTAAAATCTAAGCATCTTATTTTCTTCTGCAATGCCGCTTGACCCCAATACAAACTCGACAGTAGTTCCAAATAGCCAGAAAACGGCACTTTCAATTTTTCCATCCTGCAAGATCTAAATAATTCCTGTCGTAAAATGGGCAAACGGTCTGAGGTGTCTGACGTCCAGGCATTCTTTTACACATCGGTCCCTCCCTAGTCTCTGTCCCCAGTGCAACTCGTCCCAAATCTTCCTTCTTTCCCTCCCACCTGTCCCCTCAGTCCCAACCCCAAGCATTGCTGAGTCTTTCTAATCTTCCTTTTCTACAGACCCATCTGACCTCTCCCCTCCTCCCCAGGCTGCTCCTCGCCAGGCCGAGCTAGGTCCCAGTTCTTCCTCAGCCTCCACTCCTCCATCCTATAATCCTTTTATCACCTCCCCTCCCCTCCTCACACCTGGTCTGGTTTACAATTTCATTCCGTGAGTAGCCCTCCTCCACCTGCCCAGCAATTTCCTCTTAAAAAGGTGGCTGAAGCTAAAGGCATAGTCAAGGTTAATGCTCCTTTTTCTTTATCAGACCTCTCCCAAATCCGTGAGCCTTTAGGCTCTTTCATCAAATATGAAAAACCCAGCCCAGTTCATGGCTCGTTCGGCAGCAACCCTGAGACGCTTTACAGCCCTAGACTCTAAAAGGTCAAAAGGCCGTCCTATTCTCAAAATACATTTTATTACCCAATCTGCTCCCGACATTAAATAAAACTCCAAAAATTAAATTCCGGCCCTCAAACCCCACAACAGGATTTAATTAACCTCGCCTTCAAGGTGTACAATAATAGAAAAAAGTTGCAATTCCTTGCCTCCACGGTGAGACAAACCCCAGCCACATCTCCAGCACACAACTTCCAAACGCCTGAACCGCAGCGGCCAGGCGTTCCTCCAGAACCTCCTCCCCCAGGAGCTTGCTACAAGTGTCAGAAATCTGGCCACCAGGCCAAGGAATGCCTGCAGCCCAGGATTCCTCCTAAGCTGCGTCCCATCTGTGTGGGACCCCACTGGAAATCGGACTGTCCAACTCACCTGGCAGCCACTCCCAGAGCCCCTGGAACTCTGGCCCAAGGCTGTCTGACTGCTTCCCAGATCTTCTTGGCTTAGCGGCTGAAGACCGACGCTGCCTGATTGCCTCGGAAGCCCCCTAGACCATCACGGACGCCGAGCTTCGGGTAACTCTCACAGTGGAAGGTAAGTCCGTCCCCTTAGTCAATACGGAGGCTCCCCACTCCACATTACCTTCTTTTCAAGGGCCTGTTTCCCTTGCCTCCATAACTGTTGTGGGTATTGACGGCCAGGCTTCTAAACCCCTGAAAACTCCCCCACTCTGGTGCCAACTTGGACAACACTCTTTTCTGCACTTTTTTAGTTATCCCCACCTGCCCAGTTCCCTTATTAGGCCGAGATACTTTAACCAAATTATCTGCTTCCCTGACTATTCCTGGACTACAGCTGCATCTCATTGCCGCCCTTCTCCCCAACCCAAAGCCTCCTTCGCGTCTTCCTCTCGTATCCCCCCACCTTAACCCACAAGTATGGGACATCTCTACTCCTTCCCTGGCAACCGATCACATGCCCATTACCATCCCATTAAAACCTAATCACCCTTACCCCGCTCAATGCCAATATCCCATCCCACAGCACGCTTTAAAAGGATTAAAGCCTGTTATCACTCGCCTGCTACAGCATGGGCTTCTAAAACCTATAAACTCTCCTTACAATTCCCCCATTTTACCTGTCCTAAAACCGGACAAGTCTTACAGATTAGTTCAGGATCTGCGCCTTATCAACCAAATTGTTTTGCCTATCCACCCTGTGGTGCCAAACCCGTACACTCTTTCGTCCTCAATACCTTCCTCCACAACTCACTATTCCGTTCTCGATCTTAAAGATGCTTTTTCACTATTCCCCTGCACCCTTCGTCCCAGCTTCTCTTTGCTTTCACTTAGACTGACCCTGACACCCATTAGGCTCAGCAAATTACCTGGGCTGTACTGCCGCAAGGCTTCACAGACAGCCCCCATTACTTCAGTCAAGCCCAAATTTCATCCTCATCTGTTACCTATCTCGGCATAATTCTTATAAAACCACACGTGTTTTCCCTGCTGATCGTGTCCGATTAATCTCCCAAACCTCAATCCCTTACAAAACAACAACTCCTTTCCTTCCTAGGCATAGTTAGTGCGGTCAGAATTTTTACACAAGAGCCAGGACTGCACCCTGTAGCCTTTCTGTCCAAACAACTTGACCTTACTGTTTTAGCCTAGCCCTCATGTCTGCTTGCAGCAGCTGCCGCTGCTTTAATACTTTTAGAGGCCCTCAAAATCACAAACTATGCTCAACTCACTCTCTACATTTCTCATAACTTCCAAAATCTATTTTCTTCCTCACACCTGACGCATATACTTTCTGCTTCCCGGCTCCTTCAGCTGTACTCACTCTTTGTTAAGTCCCACAGTTACCATTGTTCCTGGCCCGAACTTCAATCCGGCCTCCCACATTATTCTGGATACCACACCTGACCCTCATGACTGTATCTCTCTGATCCACCTGACATTCACCCCATTTCCCCATATTTCCTTCTTTCCTGTTCCTCACCCTGATCACGCTTGATTTATTGATGGTGGTTCCACCAGGCCTAATCGCCACACACCAGCAAAGGCAGGCTATGCTATAGTACAAGCCACTAGCCCGCCTCTTAGAACCTCTCGTTTCCTTTCCATCGTGGAAATCTATCCTCAAGGAAATAACTTCTCAGTGTTCCATCTGCTATTCTACTACTCCTCAGGGATTATGCAGGCCTCCTCCCTTCCCTACACATCAAGCTCCAGGATTTGCCCCACCCAGGACTGGCAAATTAGCTTTACTCAACATGCCCAGAGTCAGATAACTAAAATACCTCTTAGTCTAGGTAGACACTTTCACTGGATAGGTACAGGCCTTTCCTACAGGGTCTGAGAAGGCCACCGCAGTCATTTCTTCCCTTCTGTCAGACATAATTCCTCAGTTTAGCCTTCCCACCTCTATACAGTCTGATAACAGACCAGCCTTTATTAGTCAAATCAGCCAAGCAGTTTTTCAGGCTCTTAGTATTCAGTGAAACCTTTATATCCCTTACGGTCCTCCTTCTTCAAGAAAAGTAGAACGGACTAAAGGTCTTTTAAAAACACACCTCACCAAGCTCAGCCACCAACTTAAAAAGGACTGGACAATACTTTAACCACTTTCCCTTCTCAGAAATCAGGCCTGTCCTTAGAATGCTACAGGGTACAGCCCATTTGAGCTCCTGTATAGATGCTCCTTTTTATTAGGCCCCAGTCTCATTCCAGACACCGGACCAACTTAGACTGTGCCCCCAAAAAAACTTGTCATCCCTACTATCTTCTGTCTAGTCATACTCCTATTCACCGTTCTCAACTACTCATACATGCCCTGCTCTTGTTTACACTGCCGGTTTACACTGTTTCTCCAAGCCATCACAGCTGATATCTCCTGGTGCTATCCCCAAACTGCCACTCTAAACTCTTGAAGTAAATAAATAATCTTTACTGGCAAGGCTATGCTGAACCTCCTTAGGCACTCTAATTAAATGTCCTAGGTCCTCCCAATTCTTAGACCTTTTATACCTGTTTTTCTCCTTCTCTTATTCCGTTTTTCAATTCATACAAAACTGTACCCAGGCCATCACCAATCATTCTAAATGATAAATGTTTCTTCTAACAACCCCACAATATCACCCCTTACCACAAAATCTTCCTTCAGCTTAATCTCTCCCACTCTAGGTTCCCACGCCACCCCAATCCCACTCGAAGCAGCCCTGAGAAACATCGCCCATTATCTCTCCATACCGTCCCCAAAAATTTTCACCGCCCCAACACTTTACCACTATTTCGTTTTATTTTTCTTATTTATATAAGAAGACAGGAATGTCAGGCCTCTGAGCCCAAGCTAAGCCATCATATCCCCTGTGACCTACACATACACATCCAGATGGCCGGTTCCTGCCTTAACTGATGACATTCCACCACAAAAGAAGTGAAAATGGCCTGTTCCTGCCTTAACTGATGACACTGTCTTGTGAAATTCCTTCTCCTGGCTCATCCTGGCTCAAAAGCTCCCCCACTGAGTACCTTGTGACCCCCACTCCTGACCGACAGAGAACAACCCCCTTTGACTGTAATTTTCCTTTATCTACCCAAATCCTATAAAACGGCCCCACCCTTATCTCCCTTCGCTGACTCTCTTTTTGGACTCAGCCCACCTGCACCCAGGTGATTAAAAGCTTTATTGTTCACACAAAGCCTGTTTGGTGGTCACTTCACACGGACGCGCATGAAAGATATTGTTTGATCAACCATGAAACTTTCAGAAAGAGCTTTTGTGTGCTCATAGCTAAGTATGCCTTCCAGGACAAATCCTGCAAGCCAGCAAGAAAACAATTGATAAAATCAGCTGCATAAACTCAAAATTTCTAAATAACAATAATGTCCTCAACAGCGTAAAAAGACAAGGCATAGTGAGGGAAAATACATGCAATAAATCTGTACCGGTCATGATTCTCCAGACGAACAGAACCAATAAGCATGTCGGATATCTGTATCAATATTTATATCTTAGTTGGGCATGGTGACATGTACCTGAGCTCCCAGCTACTTGGCAGGCTGAGGCAGGAGGATTGCTTGAGACCGGGAGGTCAAGACTGCAGTGAGCCGTGATTGCACCACTGCACTCCAGCTTGGGCAACAGAGCGAGACCCTGTCTCTTAAAAAAAACAAATTCATATTGCCTATATATTTACAGATTATAATATATATTATAAACGTATATAAATATTATATATTTAAATATATTATGTACCATATACAGACACATAAATATATATAATCTATATGTTATATGGTATATACTATATAACGTATACAGTATGTACTGTATATATGGTATATATGCAAGTCAGCAGGGTTCAATGTCAAAATTCAACCAAATTTGGTGGCTCATGAAGACTTGTTTGTGGTTGGCAGGACCACAGCTCACGCTTTATGATACATATATATGTATATACCATATATAATAATATATGGCATATATATTATTACAGTGTATATATTATTATACTAATATATGGTACATATATTATTACAATCTATATATTACAATAATATATGATATAATATATTACAATGATATATATGATATAATATGATATAATAATATATGACATTATGGTATATATTATTTGTGGTATGTTATATAATATATAGATTATAATTTATAAATATGTCTTAATATATGTATATTATGTAAGTTATATGACATATATTTACATGTTTATCTAGAAGTATTTTACATATAATATATGAAGATGTGTTTATTTCAAGGAATTGGCTCATTGAGTTACAGAGGCTGGCATGTTGAAAATCCATATAACAGCAGTCTGGTGGCCTGGAAACTCAAATAGGTACTGGTGCTGCAGTCAGCAGACAGAATTTCTTCTCCTCCAGAAAACCTCAATTTTGGTTTTAAGGTCTTTCAACTGATTGGGCAAGGCCAATCCCATAATCAAGGATCGCCTCCTTCACTTAAAGTCTACTGTTTGTGGATTGTTGACCACAACCTCCGGACATGATAGCTTAGCCAAGTTAACACGTTGTGAGTTGTGCACTCCCAAATTCACATCCTGAAATCCCAACCCTCAGTGTCATAGAATGTGAGTGTATTTGGAGATATAGTTGACCCATGGTATCCTTGGAGGATGGATTCTAGAACCCCCCTTGGATACCAACATCTATGAATGCTCAAATCCCTTATGTAAAACGGTGTAGTATTTGCGTTTAACCTATGGACATCCTCCTGTATACTTTAAATCAGGGATCCCCAACCCCCAGGGCATGGACTGGTATCAGTCCCATGGCCTGTTAGGAATTGAGTCACACAGCAGGAGGTGAGCAGCAGGCAAGTGAGCTAATGTCTGAGTTGCACCGCCTGTCAGATCAACTGCAGCATTAGATTCTCGTAGGAACATGCACCCAATTGTGAACTGCGCATGCGAAGGATCTAGGTTGTGTGCTCCTCACGAGAATGCAACCATAAATGTAATGCAATTGAATCATCTCAAAACCATTCCCCATCCCCCCACCCCACATCCGTGGAAATATCGTCTTCCACAAAACCTATCCCTGGTGCCAAAAACGTTGGGGATCGCTGCTTTAAATCATTCCTACATTACTTACATTATTCAACACACTGTAAATTCTATATAAATAGCTGTTTTCCTCCATTGTTTGAGGATAACAAGAAAAAAAGTATGTATGTGATGTTTGTGTTTAGTACAGACACAACCATCCATTTTTTTTCTGAATATTTTCAAATAGCAGTTGGTTAAATCCACAGATGCAGAACCAACAGATATGGAGAACTGACTAGTCTCTTTAAAGAGATAATTAAGGTAAAATAAAGTCATTAGGGTGGGCCCAGATCCAACAAGACTGGTGTCCCTATAAGAAGCAAAGCTTGGGACACAGACACACACAGAGGGATGACTATGTGAGGACACAGGGAGAAGGTGCCATTTACAAGCCAAGGAGAGAGGCCCCAGGAGGAACCAGCTCTTCCTATACCTTGATCTACGAATTCTAGCCTCCAAGACAGTGAGAAAATTAATTCTGCTATTTAGGCTATCCAGTCTACGTACTTTGTTATGGCAGCTCTAGCAAACGAATGCAACAAAATGCAACAGAAAAATACACACAAAATGCAACAGAAAAATATGTACAAAATACAACAGAATGTGGGCTGGCAAACTTAAAATATATCCAGGATATTTACCACAAAGGAACAAAGACTGAACAGGGAGTTTGAGGGCAACAGAAAGATATATAAATTCAACTAAGTGAAAACTTTTCTTTTTCCCCGTAAGTACCAAAATGCAGATAAAAACAATAGTGAGAGTCCATATTTTTAACCTTCCAATTGATAGCAATCTAACAGATGGGTAAGGCATAGGAAGCACTTTAAATAGTGACTGGGAATCAGGCAGCCCCTTGGGAGGGAAATTTGGGAAAACAGACCCACGCTTAAGATGCACACAGCCTCTGACCCAGCACATACTTTTACTTCAAGGAATACATCCTGAGAGATGCACCCCCACATCATGCAGAGATTTATGCTGAAGGGTGTTTGCACTGCATAATTATTTTGAAATATCACAAAAACTAGAAAAAAGAAAACTAAAATGACTGTCAATAGAAGTTAGCTAAATGACAGTGATTCAGACATGGAATAGTAGGCAGCCATGAAAAAGATTGTGCACGCATAGGCAAGTGCGTGCATGCTTGTGTGTGAGGGGAAGGTGAGCGGGTGGGTGAATGCATGTGTGAATGAGACTATTTGCAGAAGGTTGCTGGAGAAAACTGTAACAGCAACAATCTTATACTGTGGCTCAGAATCTGTTCTTCAAGAACGATTGACTCTTGTTTGTACATCTTTTCATACACTTGCAATTTTTTCTCCATATCTGTTCTGACTTTTGGTGTAAATCATTGATTAAATATTCATGAATTGCCTCATTTCTATTAACACAGTGCTAGATTGAGCCCTATTCTTGTAAAATAATCATGTTAACACTATACAGAAGTGGCTTGTAAAACACTGAATTCTGCAAGGGGACTCACTTTGCTCATTCACATAGACTCCACTGAAGTGCTTTAAAGTTAAGTGCTCCTTCATATGCAACTCATTGTAAGATAAAGATTAATAATGAGTTGATTTCTGGAAAAAAGAAAATGCTAGCCTTTCCTCGAAGGTATAAAATATCTTTGAAACAGTCTCGTGCAGCACACCAGCATGGCACATGTATACATATGTAACTAACCTGCACATTGTGCACATGTACGCTGAAACTTAAAGTATAATAATAATAAAATAAAATAAAATAAAAAGAAACAGTCTCAACTAAAGATTATCAGACATAACTTCCATCTTTTACATGCATTCTGAAGGCTGGGTTACAATTCACCGTATCCAAGCAGACTGTTATATAAAAGTTGACTTAATTACTGAGCACATCACATCTTACATCTGTGTTTTGTGTTTATAAATACAGAAGGAACCATTTATAGTAATAAAACTATGGACTATAAAATGTGTATTCAATAGCTACAAAGAAGAAAAGCCTGTGATCTTAGATTCACAGTTTTCTATCCAGGTTCTAAAAATTCTGGAAAAGATGATGACACACTGAAAGTATTCTCCAAGTGCCAACAATGTTCAGTGCTGCCTCCAAGCAGACAGGCTATAATTGTTAAGAACGCATCTGAGGAGCTCACAGAAAAGACAGTATCTGACATTTATTTAATTGTTCTACACTAAAAAGTGAGTAATTGCCTAGGTGGCTATTACTATGATTAGTAGACGGTATGCACGTAACCATGAGATATGGATTTGAACTCATTACCTTCGGAGTTCAGCAAAGCCTCTTGCGTCAGATAGACTTCAGATAATCTATAGTTATCAAATTGGCTGTAGAGTTTCTTCTGCAGAATTCAAGTCATTTGACAATGCAAAAGCAGAATGCTTCTTTCAAATACTGAGCCAGCTTTTATTGCGGGATTGAGTCACTCTTTGGCCATGTTTTGAGCATCCTTAGTAGCCCAGCCTAAAAGGCACTAAACTTAGAGCTGTGGACTCTAGTTCTTATTCTGCAATGAACTAGGATTGTGGGTGGAATTGTGTCCCCACAAAATTCATATGTTGAAGACCTACTACTTCCTAGCTTCTCAGAATGTGACTTCATTTGGAAATAGGATCGTTGTGGATGTATTTAGTTAGGTTGAGATGCAGTCATTAGGATGAGCTCTAATCCAATATGACAGGCATCTTCGTAGAAAAAACAAATTTGTAGAGATGCACACCAATAGGGAGAATGCCACATGAAGAAAAAGGCAGACATTGAGGCACAGATAGTGCTTGTATAAGTCAAGGAATGCTATAGATTGACAGAAAGCCACCAGCAGGTAAAAGAGAGAGCTGAAACAGATGCTTGCTCATTGAAAGGAACCAATGCAGCCCGTACCTGGATTTCAGACTTCTACCCTCAAGAATAAGACAATAAATTTCAGCCAAGGCTTCTATCTAACTCCAGAACTTGTGCTGACTTTTTCTACAGACAACAGTGAGGAAGGAGACATTGGTTTGCCCAGTCATGAACAGAACATCTGAACTGCAGAAAGAGGTTAAACACAAGAGATTCAATAAAGATATGCTAACCCTACTTCGAGGAATGAGATTTGATCAGAATATAAACTTGGAAGGAAAATTTGAGGTTTAAAAGTACCCTACAGCTAAGCCCTCTGAAGTTGGGAAATTACCATAAAAATTTCCAGAAGAAACTCATCCCCCACAGATGATAATTGACATGTGCCCTCTCAGTGGGATTTCTTTTTTGTAAACTCAGTGTATCATTTGTTTATATATTTTCTCCTTGATTATTTCTCTTTTTTTTTGTAATTTTTAAAAAATAATTTCAACTTTTATTTTAGATTCAGGGGGTATATGTGCAAGTTTATTACCTGGCTATATTGTGTGATCACCCAGGTACCGAGCATAGTATCCAACTGTTAGTTTTTCAGGCCTTGCCCTCCTCCCTCTTTCCTCCCTTTAGTAGTCCTCAGTGCCTATTGTTTCCATCTTTATGTCCATATGTGCTCAGTGTTTAGCTCCTAAAAGACACATGCACGTGTATGTTCATGGCAGAGCTATTCAGAATAGCAAAGACATGGAGTCAACCTAGGTGCCCATCCACAGTGGCCTGCATAAAGAAAACATGGCATATCTATGCCATGGAATAATACACAGCCGTAAAAAAGAATGAAATCATGTTTTTGCAGCAACCAGGATGCAGCTGGAGGCCATTATCCTAAGCAAATTAACGCAGGGACAGAAAACCAAATACTGCATGTACTCAGTGGGATTTTACTACTTCCCATAGACACAATTTTAGAATGTGAATAAGGCAACGTTTGTAAATGAGGTATACCAATTTCTCCCCTTGGGGAAAAGTAGGGTACAAAACAAGATATAATCAGGAGGACTCACGCAGAAAGGTCCCCATTCCCATGCTGTGTGTCATCAAATGGTCAACCATGAGCTCTTACACTGGAATGTTAGGCTGTCCTCTCAGGCCAGGCATCCATTGGGCTGTTGCTGTGCTAACCTTTCCTCTACCCCACCATAGCACATTCTAATCTAGGACACTGTACAACATGGCTGTAAGCAGTTGAGAGTGACAATATGTAAAAGGAATGACTTTAAACAGGTTTCTAGGTATGCATGCCCCGCAATCCCATGCTCTGGGTCCTGGAGAAATTCCCCCTCTGGGACAAATTGGCCCTCGTGTGGCCATGAAAAATGTGCTTCTCATTTCCTTGACCACAGGGAATGTTATTTAGTGAGATCCCAAGCTGCTGTGCTGTGAAATCCATCACCTCATTTGCAACATGCTCATTCTTCCTAGAGACTTAATCTCCCCAATGACTGAGGATGGCAGGGATACTAAGGTGAGTCCTTTATTGGAGACACAGGACCCGTGGTGGCCAGCATTGGCTGGAGGGCTATCAGACCACCATGCCCAATCTTCCTGCTCCTACCCTCTTTCCTTTATGGGAAGTCAGAGTAGCATTGAGCTCTGTCTGGTGGATCTCCTAGCCTCTTTGGGGTGAAAAGAAATCTCATTCGGGACATGATTTCATTCTTTTTTATGGCTGTGTAGTATTCCATGGTGTAGATACACACATTTTCTTTATGCATGCCACTGTGGATGAACACCTAGGTTGACTCCATGTCTTTGCTATTGTGAATAGCTCTGCCATGAACATACATATGCGTGTGTCTTTTAGGAGCTAAACATTTTCGCTCCCACGGGTAATTCTCTCAAAACAATCCTTGCCCATCTCATCACATCTGGGTATTGCTTCTCCAAGGATCTGTCGTGGGGTCTTCTTACTAGGCAACCAAGATTAATACAGGCGTCCTTTGGTTCAGCCTTTTCCATCCAAAAAAGGCACGTCTTTGTTTTTCCCAAGGAGAAGCTGTTTTCTCTCAAATGAGAAGTTAAAGCTCCACCAGTTCAAAAACAGTTTTTAAAAAAATGTTTGCAGCATTCCAATGTCCCTTTTTCTCCTTTCTAGCCATGAATCTCAAAAAAAAAAAAAAAATAATGAGGTTTCAGTTTTGGTGAAAGTACAAGCTTCCCAAGGAATTGGTGTATCTTTCTATTTGCAAGGAATGTCTGCCTGTGTCTGATGGGTGTATGTGACTGTTTTTTGATATTTTTCAGGACAAAAGAAACATGGGTATGTCAGAATAGCTGAATATGAATATTTTTGAAAAAATAATCTGAATTGTAGAATAAATGATAGTGAGAGCTGAAGAGAAAGTCAGAGCTCAGGACAAAACACAGCATGGTTTAAATTTTTTCCTTTTCTTTTCTTTCTTTTAAGTTCACTCCTAAGCTGCCCCACATACATATATTTAGGTCAAAAGCTAGAATCTGTTACTCAGTGATATCAATGCTGGATTGACATTAGGTTGACCCAGATAGCATATTTTTTAAAATGCCAATACCAGGTCCAAGTCGCGGAAGTCCTGATTCAATTGGTGGCAGGTGCAATCCTTGCTGGACACGAGCGGTTTTTATCCCCCTTCCCCACTGATTACAATGCACAGCTGCAGTCGGTCTGGGCTACGGCATTGAACTCTTTGAGTTAAATCGCTGATCCATTAGGAGAAATAGACTACTTGGTTTGTCTCTGCCCCTGAAAGGATGGTAGGACTGAGCCAAGAGCCAGTGTGTGGGTGGATAATTTTGCAAAATTGGTGATTGTGACACATGTTTGACTGACTCAGTAATTTTAGCAATTGAAATGATCCAATCTGTCGTGTAAAATTGTCCAGAAAAAATGTGTATATATTACAGAAAATATTTCTGAAGATTATCACTGCTTTCAAAAAAACTACATAATGATTTAAAAAATAATCCAATAGATAGAGCTTCATATGTAAGAGGGGCTAAGTGGAATATCTATTATTCCATTAAATCTTCATAGTAAACATTTTGGATAGATATGGTAAAGTAATATTTCCTTGTATCTGACCTCAAGGTATAGTTCAGTATGTGAATGAAATTTTGTGTGTTTGTACATGATTTAGTACATTAAACTGAATAGGAGCTCTCACTGATGTATTTAGAAGTTTTAATATATTTTTATAAAGCAGTTGAAATACAAAAAAAGCATATTTAGAAATTTTTGACTAATGTAGATATAATTTTAGTTTCATTCCATTACATTCCTTCTCCCTGCTCTCCAAAAAGAGAATCCCTCAAGTGAATGTAAATAGGTAGGAAAGAACTCCTAGTTCTTTGTGACATGCAATGGAAATACAAGGGTAGCCCACTATGTAGCTTCCAATTTCCCAGGAATCACTTTAAAATATCCAACCAGAAACAGATGAAATCAATTTTAGTAATATTTAATGTAACCAAATACAGACAAAATATAATCCTTCTAACACGTGATCAACTTAAAAATATTGATGAGATATACTCTATTCTTTTTTGTCGTGGTGGTGATGGTGTTAAACCTTTGAAATCTGATGTATATTTTACACTTAGAGCACATCTCAATTTGGACTCACTGCATTAAAAGTGCTCATAGTCACATATGTCTACTGTATCGTGCAGCCGAGGTCTTAGTCAAAATTTTTTTCTCCAGTCAATAACCCATGAATACACCACGGATATTAAAGAATCATAGTAGGTTAGAGAAGAAAGGGAGTATACATCTTTTTCTGGTCTAAGGACCCACTTTAGAAATAATAATACTAAGGCTCAGAGGGGGTCAACTGGCTTATATAAGGTCACAAAATTAACGAGAAAACTAGGACTAAGACTCAAATCTCAGCATCAGGTTGATGACTTTTCTGCGTGTGTTTGTGTGTGTGTATGTAAATTTAATTATCAGCTATTTTGTGCTTACTACTAATGTTCTACTATTATAGATTTATTCTTGTTTATTATTCACAGGGTCTGTAGTGGACACATGTTAGAGGAGTCCCATGGTTCAGTGGTTCATTATACAATTCAATTCCCCTTGAATATAGGCAGGAATGGTGACTTTCTTCTAGCCAAAAACATGGCAAAGGTGAAGGGAGTGTTTTAGATGTAATTTACATCCTGAATCAGTTGATTTTGAGTTGTCTGCCTTATCATGGGTGGGCTTGGTTTAATCAGGAGAATGACCTGAAAAAGACTGAGGTGACAGCCTCTCTTTGAAGACCTGATGAAATAACGCCATGTTGGAGAAACCCAGGTAGCAAGAAAGAGTGGGTGGCCTCTAGGGAGTGTGGGTAGCTTCTATGACCCAAACGTGGCCTCTAGTCAAGAGGTAGCAAAATGAAAGTCCCCTAACCACATAGTTGCAAGGAAATAAATTATGCTAACATTCTGAATGAATTTGAAAATGTCTCTCTCCACATTTGAGACTCAGGATGAGAACATAGCTTAACTACCCGCTTCACTGCAGCCTTTTGAGAACATGAGTAGAGGACCCAGCTAAGCCATACCTAGATTCCTGACTTACAGAAACTATAAGATAATAAACATATGTTACTTTAAGCCTCTATATTTGAAGTGTAATTTATTACAAGATGATAGTAAACTATCAATATCTGTTCCCAAATTTTCAGCCAATGTAGCCGTTGATAATTGATCGTTTTTAACAGTGGGATCATTTATTAATTTTGAAAATACTCTCAGTCAAGCAAAGTGGTTTGGGAGAGTTAACAAATCAAGCATGATTGAGTGAAAACTTAAATAGTACTGTTATGCGTTAGTCATCTAACTTTTGGTTGTATGTGTTAGTTTTCTTGCTTGATCTATTTAGTTTGAACAGCTGTAAGGAAAATTGAGATTCCCTTTTAAAAAATTAACTAACATGTGCCCCAATAAAAATGCTAATGAATAACAAAATACTAATGTTTATTAGAACTCTGATGCATATTGGAATATTTTTAAAAATTGTGATGTTGAATGTTACGTAAGTGAAGGAGAGCACTCTATTTCAGACTTTGGTCAGGAGTTGCAGCAAGAGCATCCATGAGCATCTGATGACCAGCAGTTCCAATGCCAAGGTCTTATAAATGATCCTGCTTCTATGTCTGGATGCTAACTTAATAGCTATTCCAGCAGGGGGCCTTCTGTTAGTTCATATAAAGGCCACAACCCATTTATTAAAAGCTTTTTGGCATTGTCATATAAAAGACAGAGAGAAAAAAATCAATGTGTTAACTTCAAAAATCAATAGATTGCTGAGGTTTGGAGGTGAGTGTAAACAGCACATAATTAGGAAGATCTTGGGAGAAGAAGGATCTAATATTTAAACCTGTCGCACAATCAACACAAGGTCAGATGTTCTGAAAGCATGTGCTCTTAAGGCAAATCCTTCCTAAATTGTACTCCACATTTGGTCTCAGGAGTAGAAAAACTTACAAACTAAGCAACATTAATCTCTCAGCATGATCAGTTCTTTGAGGAAAAAGAACAACAGCAATAATTTTAGTTATTTTTTACATATTTATTCCAAGTCACTCACTCTGATAATAGTCATGATACGGATAAAAGGTTAATTTATTAAAGCTCTTAGCCCTTAAAATAGAAGGGCTGTTAATTGCTTTAGTTAATGGGCAAATTGAGTCAGAGATAAATAAAGTTTGTTTGGATTCAGAACCAGGGCCTTTAACTCTACACCTCACTGACGTTATAATGGAATTAGATATGTATTAGTTATCTATTGCTGTGTAACAAATTACCTCCAAACGTAGCACCTTACAACAACCACCACTGATTATCTCACAGTTTCTGCAGATCAAAGACCTGGGCATGGCTTAGGTGGGTTTGGAGCTCAGCGTCTCACAGGCATGCAGTCAAGATGTTGGCTGGTTGTGTTCTTATCTGGAGATTCAAAAAAGGAAGAATCTGGTTCTAAGCTTAGCCAGGTTGTTGCAGAATTAAGTTACTTGGGGCTGTAGCACTGAGAGTTCTGGCCATTTCTTGCTGCCAGACGAGGACCAGTCCCCCATCCTAGGTCATCCTTAGCAGCTTGACAGTTGGGTCTCTCATCTTGATGACTGACTTCTTCAAAGTCAGCAAGAGAAGTCTCTAGCAAGAGTCTGCTAACAAGATTGAGTTTTATGTGGCATAAAGTAAACAAAACACAGAAGTCACACCCCACAATCCTGGACACACCCAAGGAATGTATCCTCATGCACAAGGGTGTAAATACCAGAAGATGAGAGGCATTGAGGGTCACTTTAAAGTCTACCCACTACAGCCAAGGGGACATGTGGGCTTCTCCAATATGGGTGCTTATATCATTGAGCCCACAAGGAGAACCTTTCGATCTGATGAAGTTAGACCTGCCCAAGATAATCACCCACTGGATTTACTTAAAATCAACTAATTTGAGGTTATTAATTACATCACAATTTTTTTTCACCTTCTCTATATTCTGCATAACTAGAAGCAAGGCACAGGTCCTACCACACTCTATAGGGGGGAATGGCACACAGGTCTGGACACCTCTATGGGGACTATTGGCATAACCTTGGAAATATATTGTCTATCACCATATATTTGAAATGCTTATGCACGAGATCTGAGAATACAGAATTCCAAACAAAACTACCATTGTGCAACTGTTCATAAAAGAAAGAAAGATACTTTTCTGGCATAAATGACTCCAAAAATGTTTTATCCAGATCTTTATACAGACAATATGAAAGGATATACTTTATCATAAATATAAATATAAATAAAATGAAATAAGTTCTAGGCTTCAATGTGCAAGATAAATAAAGGCCACTATGAGCCATGTTGTTAAATCTATAATGTTAATTGTAAAGATAATGTTAACATAATATTAAAATGTTATACCAAAAAGTAAGCTGGAATTGAAATGTTAATAAGGGATGAGACGTAGGGAAGGGCCTTGACCAGGTTGGGTACATTAACACCATTGTCTTGTGCAGAAAGAGGATAAGAGCTATGAAGTTTACTAGAAAGTTAGAAAATCTGAATATTTAAAAGAGCAAGTGAAAAAACTGAGCCGCCAATGAGTAAAATCCCTAGAGGTCAGAAAAAGAGAGGGAAAAAAAGAAAGCTAAGTGTCAGGGGGTAAAAAATGGAAAATACAATTTGAGATAGTAGAAATATGCCCACTTATCTATTATCACACCAGACATGAAAGGCTAAACTTCCCTTTTAAAAAGGCACAGACACTCAGGTTTAATTAAAACTAAATAAAATGATAACCTAGCTCTAAACTATTTAATACTGATACGTCTATGAAAAAAAGATATGAAAATAATGGAAATGAAACTTGCATACCATAAAAGCAATAATCAAAATGAAGTTGATCTACAATAGAATTGAAGACAAAAGTAGGTAACAGAAGTTTAGGGATTTTACATCATAAATAAAACATGCCACCAGAAATCCATAATAATCAAAATCTCATTACATTGAGACTGAGAGTCTTTATAAATAAATATGTGTGTGTCTGTGTATGTGAATATATTATGTGTGTGTGTGTCTGTGTATGTGAATATGTGTATATATATATTTATGTGTATATACATATACACACACACACACACACACAAAATGACAGAATTACTAAAAGATATTTTAAAACCACATCTGTAGTGGAAAAATTGAATGAACCTTTGTCAAGAGTTGATAAAGAAAGCAGAACCCTCCCCCACCAAATAAAAAAGAGAGAGAAAAGGATAAAACTTACAATGTAGTAATTAACAAACATCATCTGATTGATATATCAATATGTATCACAAAAAGAGACATTACTTGTTGTTTTTCAGGCATCTAAATTATTTTGCAAGATTAACCTGTGCTACAAACAAAATCTCAAAAATTCCGTAGTCAAATCCATAGAGACAACATTCTTTGTCTATTGTGCAATTATACACCAGCAATAAAGGAATATAAAAAAATATGGAATTTAAATGTCTAACAATGCTACAGCCACATATAAAAACATGCAGAATGAGCATTATTCACAATAGCAAAGACATGAAATCAATCTAGGTGCCCATGAACAGTAGACTGGAAATATAAAATGTGGTGCATATATACCATGGACTACTATACAGCCATGAAAATCAATGAGATGATGTCTTTTGCAGCAACATAGATGCAGTTGAAGGCCATTATCCTAAGTGAATTAATGGAGAAACAGAAAATGAAAGACCACATGTTCTTACTTATAAGTAGGAGCTAAACATTGGGTACACATGGAGATAAAGATGGGAACTATAGACACTGAGGAGTCCAAAAGGGGTCAGTAGGGAAGGGTAGAGAAGCTACCTTTTGGTACTATGTTCACTATTTGCATGACGGGTTCAGCTGAAGCCCAAATCTCAGCATCATGCAACATATTCATGCAATAAACCTGCACGTGTACCTCCAAATCTAAGATTTAATATGTAAATAAACAAAAAGTAAAACATGCAGAATGCATTGGCTAGGAGAGGAAATTGGAAACACACAAATAAAAAAAAAACAACAATAAAAATTCTTTAAAACCACTATTCGAAAACATAAGAGAGTGACTTTGCACCCTTGATTTAAGAACAAGCCTTCTGGAAAATGTTAAATCCACTGATCTTAGCCTAATTTAGGCTATTACCAAAGACTCCTGTTCATGCAGACTCTATAACTGTTTAACTGATTTCATGCATTCTGATTTTCCAAGGGTCAGATCGTAGTTTTTGAAATGTGACTACGTTCCACGTGGTTAGCCTTGATTCTGTTTTCCCGGGGCTTGACCATAGAAATCGTGCATGGACATAGAAATGCACATTTGTTATTATTAGCAATATGTGTTCATTTTCTTCTGTGATGGAAGCACTTGCCATTCATGGCTATGCTACTAACATGTTTACATTTAGAACTTTCCATTTGCAAGGGAAACATTAGTCTTAGAAATGTCTTGGGTGCTACTCAAGCATTGCCTAATAGTATGTAGCAACCATATGGCACCTGGAAATATATTGATTTATGAGTTCCCTAAAGCACCCAGGCAGGAGATGAAGGATGAAAAGAATGTCACACCACAAGGTAAAAATAGGGTGCAATCACTAATTACTGTTTTTTTATGTTGACACTGAAATTTCAGGTGCAGGTTTTTAAAAACCATTCTAGGTTGAAAATGGATTTTAGAATGCCTTTGCTAGAACAACAGATCTAATTAAATCTCTGGAAAGAAAAGTGCTTTTCTTTGCTTTAGCAGAACTACAGTAGATAAAGTCAATATAAAGATGTGACTTACGCATAGATCTATTGTTAATGTCCTTTTTGAAATACTTCGCAAGTGATTTAATTGATGATTACGCAAAATAAAATTAAATTTAGACTTTATTATAGCTACAATATAGCTTTCAAGTAGTTGTTTACAATTTAAAAAGATGAACTGACTACTGACCTGTGTGAGTACAGCAACTGACACTGAGGTTATTGCTATACCTGGTGGAATTCAACAATAAGGGGGAAAAAGTCTAGAAAAGTAGCCTAGATAAACATTATTGCTGCAATTCATTAATGATACGTTTGTGTAACAATGTAATAATTGCATTGAAGTCAACAGCTTTACATAGAACCTAGTCTCATAATAAAAGGAACTAGGAAAATTCAGTTAGATGTTGTAAAGTACTAACCTCGGCATGTTTGGTTTTAAATGTGGAGCAATTAAAAAGAAAACAACATTCATTTAATGATTTTATGTGAAATAGGATTATCTTCGCAATCCATTTGGTACTTTTCATCAACATTTTTATTTTCCTCTCTCCCTCCTGTATCCTAACATAGCTTTAGATAGTGATTTAGGCAAAGATGTTCTGAACATTTAGTAGCAAAGATAATAGGTCAAATTAAAGTTAATAATTGAAAGGTTGCTGGGTGATAAATGGAATCATGTACTTCATGTACCTAAAACACTCTGTCTCTTTTAACTACAGAAGGTAGCCCAGGTGTCAGCCACAATGTTTTTCTAAATCCCCCTGTAGTTTGAAGTCTCCTTTTAATAGGCACATATTGAAGGAGGAAGGGCCCACCTCATATCCTGCTTTCGTTTCTCATCACTATCCCTGGGGACTCCAGGAGACATCCACCCTCGGTCTAGTCCTCATTTGGGGTTAGGGATGAACCTGCCCCATGGCTCCATCCTACTATAAATATCAACAGCCTCTCAGGTTTCCATCCGCAAACCCTACCCCAGTGACTTCAGACCTCCTACAGGGCACTCTGACAAAACCATGGAAGGTGTGGGTCATGGGGGAGGGGTGATGGAGACTTTAAATGTTAGAAGTTCCAGTCTTTAGAATCTTTGATTTTCTTATGAGAGCACAGGCTTTATCTGAGCTCTCTCTTTGCAGATCAGACCCAAAGATTTCACTCTTCACACTCAAGGGGCATTTCTCTCAACCAGGAGTTTGCAAACATTTTCCATAAAGGCCTGGATAGAGCATAGGCTTTGCAGGAAAGACAACCATCTCTGTTGCAACTACTCAATTCTGCCACTATAGCGTGACAACGGTCACAGATACTACGTGAAGGATTGGGCATGACTGTGTTTTAATGGAATGTAAATTTTATATACTATTCATGTGCCAAGAAAGTTCTCTTATTTGCTTTCAACATGTAAAATGTAAACTCCATTCATAGCTTGCAGTCCATACAAATACAGGTTTGGGGTGGATTTGGTCCAGGCACCATAGTTTTCAAAGTCCTACCATTAAGGATAAGAATCTTTTTGGCTATGATTCTTAAACACTAACCCACTAGACAAAAATTGCAGTAGTCAGATTTCTTTAAGTAACATATTTAAAGAGTTTTACTACACCCAAAGAGACATCTGTTGAACAGAAATTGGGCTTAGTGGGATGCAGGGCTCAGGCTTATAATCCCAGCACTTTGAAAGGTTGAAGTGGGAGGATCACTTGAGCTCAGGAGTTCAGGACCAGCCTGGGCACCATAGGGAGACTCTGGCTCTACAAAAAATAAATTTTAACAGAAAATTAGCCAGGCTTGGGCTGGGCACAGTGGCTCATGCCTGTAATCCCAGCACTTCGGGAGGCCGAGGTGGATGGATGACTTGAGGTCAGGAGTTTGAGACCAGCCTACCAGCATGGTGAAACCCTGCCTCTACTAAAAATGCCACCATGGTGGCAGGTGCCTGTAGTCCCAGCTACTCGGGAGGCTGAGGCAGGAGAATCGCTTCGACCCAGGAGGCAGAGGTTGCCGTAAGCCGAGATCGCGCCATTGCACCCCAGCCTGGGCAACAGGAGCAAAACTCCGTCTCAAAGGAAAAAAAAGAAAAAAGAAAATTAGCCGGGTGTGGTGGTGAGTGCCTGTAGTCCCAGCTACTAGGGAGGCTGAGGTGGGAGGATGGCTTGAGTCCAGGAAGTCAAAGCTGCAGTCACCTATGATTGCACCACTGCACTCCAGCCTGAGTGACAGAGCAAGACCCTGTCAGAAAGAAAGAGAGAGAGAGAGACAGAAAGGAGGAAAGAAACAAGAAAGAAAAAGAAAAAGAAAGAAACAAGGAAGGAAGGAAAGAAAGAAGAAGAAAGGAAAGAAGGAAAGAAAGAAGAAGAAAGGAAAGAAAGAAAGAAAGAGGGAGGGAAGGAAGGAAGGAAGGAAATGGCAGAAAAGGTGGAAAGAGAAAAAAGAAAGGAAGAAAGAGAGAGAAAGAACGAATGCATGAAAGGAAGAAAGAAAAAGAAATTAGGCTTAGAATCAGAAAACCTTGATTTCAGGCCTAACTCAGGTGTACCTGTTGTGGAACTTCTGGAAGAAATGCCTGACTACTAAATCCTGTGGATTTCTGAGCAGGCTATACAAAGGAATGTAGAGAGAGACTGCACTCCATGTTGTTTCCTATCAATGAGGATCATAGCGAAGAGTTTATGTGGCTAGGATTTGATTCTTTGGGCCTCAAAGGAGGAAACCTATTACCTGCACACATTGCAACAAACACCTCCAGAAAAAGCAATTAATTTTGACCAGACTTGTTCTCTCTTATTCCGTCTTTGTATGAATAATCAGCAGAAACAGTACGAAATGACTCTCTGGCCACAGGTTAGTCATGATCATGGGATTCTCCCCAAGGTGAAAATCATGCTGTAGTGCTTGGATCAGCACTACCTCCTCACTTCAAAGGTTGATTGTGATCAATGAAGAGCTGTTCATTTGAACGAACCAGGTTTGCTTTGCAAGGTTCTCCTGCACTCTCCATCCTTAGCCTCTGAAACAATTTGTCTGCATCCTCCTGCTACAGATCAGCAGGAAGAGAGTTTAGGTAAGATTGCAGTGCAACTGTTGACTTAAAAGTTTTATGACTCCAAATCTCTTCAACAGGCAGAGAATTGAAGTAAGATTCCACTTCACTTTAAAATTCACTTTAAAATTTTATTATTCCAGGCCAAGAATGGTAGCTCACACCTGTAATCCCAGCACTTTGGGAGGCTGAGGTGGACAGATCACTTGAGGCCAGGAATTTGAGTCAAGCCTGGGCAACATGGTGAAACTCCATCTCTACAAAAAACACAAAGAAATAATTGGGAGTGGTGGCACATGCCTATGGTCCCAGCAACGTGGGAGGCTGAGGTGGGAGGATAGCTTGAGGCCAGGGGTTGGAGGTTGCGGTGTGTTGAGATCATGCCATGGCACTCCAACCTGGATGACAGAGTGAGACCCTGCTCAAAAAAACAATTTTATGATTCCAAATCTATGTTGCTTTTGTTTTAGTGCTTTAAAATGTTTAAATATTTTTATGTTCACTTTTATTTATTTTTTTCACTTAAGTTTTATGTTTTGGTGAAAAAAAATCACCCAACTCCCCAGTCAACTTTAAAAAATATTTTTGACACACAATCTCTAACTCCACTGCCTTGAACAACTATGGTGACATAGACCCTTTACTTGGAATTTATGGCACCGAGCAAACCCGCCTATAAATAACAGGTATGTTAATTGTGTTAAATGAAATGCTTGAGGAAGAATGAAGAGTTTTTAGGGTGTTCAATTTCTCATATTGTCTGTTTTGTCTGCAGAATGAAACTGAGACAGACAACGCATTTCTTGGTGTTCAGTACAGGGTATAATTAAGTCTCAGTGCTTAATAAATAATAAATGCAGCAACTAAGCACACAGTATTCCTACCCTGCTTAATGAAAATAATTAGTTTAAATAAATGACTTCATTGTTTAAGGCCCAGAGAACCTACAGAAAAAGTTCCGTATACTCTCAGCTTGAGATTTATTTAAGAATAAAATGTGAGGAAGGAATGCTTTCCCAGGCTGGAAGATCCCATTAGGTCCAAGTGGAGATCAGAATTTTTAAATTGAATTCTTTACGGAATTTTTCATGTTTCAGTTTCCTAGAAAAAGCCGTGGTGTGCTTGCTTTCTTCTCTCAGTAGTCACGAAATCAAATTTTTTTAAAAATAGTGCCAAACAGAGAGTTGGAACGTTTAAAAAACAAAAAACAACACAAAAAAATCATTCAAACTGGTTGAAGTTTGTCTTCATGCCCAGCCCAAATTGAGGCTGATTTAATGGCTAGACCAAATTGGTTGTTCAATTTCAAGGTCTACCAAAACAAATTGAGTGTACTTTCCATTCAGATGACTGCAGACCTATTAAGAGAGCCGATCCACTTCTAAAAAACAGCAACAACAACTTGAACCTCCTCCACTAACTTGGACATTGTGTTTTGTCTGACATACCCAGAAACAGAAGCAACCAATTTTCTGTCTTAGTTTTAGGTCACGTCAGGTAAATCCGCAGTATCTTTCATGACTATGTTTCTTTCATCTGTATATGGATTTTTTTTGAGCATTGCTATTGAGTATTTCAACACATGGTTTAGTAAGAAAATCTTCTTTGTATGACATGAGAATATGAGAGGTAATTTGTCCTTTTATCTCATTTTTCAAATCCAAATCCCAAGGGAAGACACTCTTCCAAATGAGAATATTGTTATATATTTGCTTATCTTAGAAGAAGCTCCTATGGAAATTAAAAGGGCAACCTGGCAAACCCTCATCAGTTTCCCAAGCATTAAAGTGAAGTGGATTCATTGTGGCTATTTGGGTTTCTCGATACCATTTTTTTTGGTTGAATTCTCTCTGGGGCCTTGATTGACACTCCCTTAAAATAGGTAAGACTCAGATTAGATTCAGGGCAGATACAACCAATTCCACCCAAGCGGTAACAACCAAAGCAGAATGGAAAAATCTAGTTAACGACTAAAACTTCCCCACATACATTTGAGGGCACTTCTCAATCTCAAGGTCAATCACAAGTGAAACCTGCAAAGAAGAAGCCAATCTTACGACATCCATGAAGACCTCAGTATTTCAACTTGGTGCTGGGCCCAAATGTTTTGCAAGTAGGGGAAATGGAGTTCTCCTCATGAAGTGCAATTAAATAATGATTGCTCACACCCTGAGAAAACACAGACACTGCAGATTAGCTACCTATTTTTTTTTTTTTTAAGAGAGAGTCTCTCTCTGTTGCTGAGGCTGGAGTACAGTGGTGAGACCATGGCTCACTGCAGCCTCAAACTCTTGGGCTCATGTGATCCTCCTGCCTCAGCAGGAGTACAGGCACACAGCACCATGTCCAGCTAATTTTTTTCTTTATTTTGTAGAGATGGGGTCTCACTGTGTTGCCTAAACTGGTCTCAAACTCCTGGCCTTACGTGATCCTCCTGCCTTGGCCTCCCAAAGTACTGGGATTAGAGATGTGAGTCACCATGCCCAGCCATTCCTAATGCAAGCAATTTGCCACCAAAAGTTTCTTGACTTTATTACAAGCCAAACATATAAATTGATGAGATTCTACAGTGTTGCAGAAACCTAGCCAAAGTATTTTCCATCACATTTTTTTTCCTCATAGTCTCTTCACCGTAGTTATCTGATTTTCATCCCCAGTAAAAATTGTTAGCTATGCCCCATGAATCACAGTTAAAAGAGAACACATTTAAAGAAATAATAAGCTTGCCATTAGAACCAGCAGAAAGGTCTTTCATATCAGTTATTTCCTTTTCTGGAGATATCCCCAGCTGAAATACCAAAAGTTTTGCATGGCCTTTTTAAAAATGTAACATAATCTTCATAAATGTTTTTAAACATCAAACTTGACCAACAGAACATTTCTACTGTCACTCTGTGAAAGTAAATATGAATGACCATGTAGGAGTAGGGCTTTTCAATCTGCATAATAGCCTTAGTATTCTTGGTGAAAGCTGCCTGTGAACTCCCCAGACAACTGAATGCAAGAAATCAAATTTAGCACATTCCTATAGTTAACTTCATAAATTGTTTCCTGCCTGTCTTTTTTTTCTCATAAAATAAAATATTCATCCATTGCAAATGTTCAAATTCAATCACTATATTACTTTTACTGAAATGTCTACTTCAATAAGAGAAAGCAGAAGATATTATAAGAACTAAATGTTATAAAAGGTTTCACTAAAAACAACTGAAATTTTGTGTCACCATCGTTAATACCTTTAAAGGGTGAGGTACATGTTTATATTCCTCTGTCTCAACAAAACAAACTTCTATCATGTTCACAGAAAAAAAGTGCTTTTAATTATATCCTTCACTATAGTTAATATGACATTGACTTGTGATAAAAAAATAAGTTTGCCAATCCTTGATTTAGATTGACAGGTACAGAAGACTGTCTTGATGACTCAGGTTGAGTGAGAATGTCTACTGTAATTGTGCCTGATTCATTCCCAACTGTACTGTAAGATCAAGTCTCTCTAAATCTTCCACTGAAGAACTAGGGGCAAGGGCTGTTGCTGTCATCTTTAATAACGAGGAAGCTGTCACAATTACTGTGTCCATTTTGTTTACTGTGCATTTTGTTGAAATATAAAATTCCTTAATCATGTTGTTATAAAATATTTAAATATCACTGGTAAAACAAATAAGTAAAATCTATAAATTATGGGAAGATATTACCTAATCTTTTGAAACTAACTTTAATACCTGTCTCCTAAACATATTAGTAAAGCCCCACACTTAATAGCTCAGTTTCTTTTAGGCCCATGTCCCGCTTACTCCCATCCCCAGCTCCTAATAAGTTGACCACACCTCCTTTGGAGAAAAGGGGCCTCAGCTGAGGACAGGAACCAATCTCCAATAGCATTATAACCAAATCTGCACTTTTTAAAACTACATTTCAAATAATAGCCATTCTGACTTAGGTGAGATGGTATCTTATTGTGATTTTAATTTGCACTTCTCTGATGACCCACGACGTGGAGTATTTGTTCACGTTTCTTGGCTGCATGTATGTCTTCTTTTGAGAACTGTCTATTCATGTCCTTGGTCCGCTTTTTAATGGGTTGTTTGTTCTTTTCTTGTCAAATTGCTTATGTTCTTTATAGATTCCAGATATTAGACCTTCACTGGATGCATAGTTTGCAAATATTTTATCTCGTTCTGTAGGTTGTCTATTTACTCTGCTGATAGTTTTCTTTGCTGTGCAGAAACTCTTTAGTTAAACTAAGTGTCATTTCTCAATTTTTGTCTCTGTTGTGATTGCTTGTCAGGTCTTAGTCTAAATTTGTATTTTCACATGGTAGGTTTTATGGGGGTAGGTAAATTTTTGGATAGTTATTAAGCTTCCAAATATTAAAACTCAAGATCGGTCCATAAAAACCACAGTTTCCAAAAAGCATGGGTCCTTTGAAAAGGTCTGGCTCCATCCATGCTCAAAGCACAAAGTGATCAGGTTGAAAGGATTTTCACCAGGCTTGTCAGAATCATTTAATTATTTTACATAAAATTACAATAAAGCCAACTGGGACAAGCCGAGTTCATGAAGAGCCATCAAAACCCAACAAACTCTGAAATGGGAAAGCTGAACTAGAGTCAACTAACAGGTAGATATATAGATGTAGACTATGACTATACACTATGTTTCACTGTTTTATTAATTGGACATCAATTAATCAATTTTTTAATTCTTGGAAGGCATCCTATGTAACCCAAGACTTATTCACATTGCATCTTCCAGTTCTCCCTAATAGTTGCAGTGGTCTCCTAGACCCATTTTGCACTGGCTCATTAGAGTTAATCTCTCGTATTTCAGAATTTTAAAAAATGCCATTATTAAACACAGTCTCCATTAAAAATTTAATTATACAATCTTAAAATTAGATACATTATTTTAAAAGGTGCTAAATGCTCAAAACTCCTCATTGACTAATTATTGTACTTCATTTTAAAGTTATCTATATTCTTGAGGTTATTTAAGTCTATTACATCTTCATTGTGGAAACCCTATAAAATCCTATACTAATGTACATCTCTTTGTATGTCCATGCTCTGGGATTTCACTTTGGTATATGAAATTGGACAGAATCCAAGTACATACACTTTGGAAATCAGTAAGTGCTACCAATGAAAGCTTCCGCCTCTGCCAGATACCCACTTGTTAATATTTACCACCATACTTCATGTAGAATATTTTCCTCACAATATAAATAAACATTTTCTGAGGACCATGCCTTATGCCTTTAGTTTTGTTTTGCTTTGCTTTTTTTGAAACAGGGTCTCATTCCAGTGCCCAGGCTGGAGTGCAGTGGTGCCATCATGGCTCACTGGAGTCTTGAACTCCTGGGCCGACGTGATCCTCCTGCCTCAGCCTCCTCAGTAGCTGGGACTACAGGTGCACACCACCATGTCCAGCTAATTTTTTGTATTTTTGGTAGATACAGGGTCTCACCGTGTTGCCCAGGCTGGTCTCGAACTCCTGCACTCAAGCGATACTGCCACCTTGGCCTCCCAAATTGCTGGGATTACAGGTGTGAGCCACCGTGCCCGACCTTATCCCTTTTTTGTACAAATTAACATGTCAAGCACCATACTGAGTATATCCACCACCTCAGTAAATTCTTATTTACTTACTTTTGGTGAGTGGCTATTGATGCTATTTGAAGAAATGGTGACATTTTATAATTTGTCCCTTAAGTCATAGATTCAGTGCCTTATAGAAATATTTATCAGCCTATTGTTCATTATCCCCACCACCACCCCCAGGGAGACAATTTAGATGTATTTTTAAAATTTGCGCCAACTGTATGATTTTCACACAGCAGACATATCGTGCATTTGCTTGCATACTCTATGTATATCTTTATATATAAAAAGAGTAGTTTTTTTGCTCCTCAAGGACCATCTTTCACTCTCTAGAGGGTGACATCACCCTGTCAAGAAGGAAAGTCTAATAGTTTAACAACACCATTTGCTGTTGTCATTTCTCATTCCTTGTTAGCTAAGCCATATTCCTTGAAACTCTTCTTCAGTATTTTGCTCATGTCTTCTGCTGTTTCTGCTTCTGGATAGAAAAAAAATCTTCAAAGTCCTACCCATAGCATTATGATCTACATAGGTCAAGACATGCTTAACAGACTCTCTAACTGTCACTTTTCTCATCTGTGTTATGGAGAGATCAAAGACCATCTTCTCGCACTTGTTGAAAATATTCAGGAAGAGGTTGCATGTGGAAAACTCAACCCCATTCACTGATTATAAGTGAATCACTCTTCCCCTTCCGGTTTGGTCAGTTTCATTTGAGTAGATGAGAACATCTTAAATACTGTTTATAGACTCAATCTTACATAGACCAGATGAAAATATTTATCTTTGTATTAATAGTTTGCTCTCTTTCTCCCTCTCTCTCTCTCTCTGTGTGTGTTTATGTGTGTATCTGTCTCTCTCTTCTTTATCTTTTTACTCTTGCTTTTTTCTGCTTTCTTTCTGTCCTTAATTTTTCATTTTAGCAAAATAGTAAGTGGGCTTAAAATACCTAGACTACTGGCTGGGCACGGTAACTCACACCTGTAACCTCAGCATATGGAGAGGCCGAGGCAGGTAGATCACTTGAGCCCAGGAGTTTGAGACCAGGTGGGCCAACACGGTGAAATCCTGTCTCTACTAAAATTACCAAAAGAATTAGCCAGGCATAGTGGCAGGCACCTGTAATCCCAGCTACTGGGGAGGCTGAGGCAGGAGAATTGCTTGAGCCTGAGAGGTGGAGGTTGCAGTGAGCCGAGATTGAGCCACTGCACTCCAGCCTGGGTGACAGAGGGAGACTCCATCTCAAAAAGAAAAAACAAACGAAAACAACAAAAATACCTACAGTACTGAAGAAAAAAGCCTGAAACTGGAAATGGAGTAAAAGAAAAGCTCTGCAAATAGCCGGCCACTTCAAGAAATGCAGAGGGAAAAGTTTGCTTCTCTAGGAGTCCTCAACCAGGGTAATTTAGCTTCTAAACCAATGCAGGGTGTTTGACCTCCACAGTAAATGAAAAGTGCATGTCCTTAATTAAGAAAAAGGCGGCCCGAAGGAAGCCAGATGGTAGAGGAATGAGCCATTGGAGGGAAGATAGCTTTGCTTCTCTGACAAGGCAGGTGTGGTGCAAACTGATGGACCCCCCAGGAAGACCCAGTGTCTGAGGCCTAGGTAACATTGCAGTGAAGTACTTGCCCGTCTAATTCTGTGATTTAAAGTGCCAACACAGGAAGAGAAAAGTCTCGTGAGTTGTCAGTTGCTGCCTACTTTTTATTCAGGTTTTCTGTTCATACAGAGCAGAAGAATTAAAGGGGAAAACTCCTCCAGGGGCAAGCTCTCTAAAGTGTCAGAATCACTCTCCCCAAGCTCTGGGGAACTAGTCCGGTGGGGATGGCCAGGGGGAATTCAAACCCAGGACATGTGGTTTTGTTTTATTTTTATTTTTTGGAGGTTTCAGCTATATATAAAAATAAATGTGCCAAGCATGGTGGCTCACGCATATAATCCCAGCATTTTGGGAAGCCAAGGTGGGTGGATCACTTGAGGCCAGGAGTTTGAGACCAGCCTGAACAACACAGCGAAACCCTGTCTCTACTAAAAATACCAAAATTACCTGGGTGTGGTGGTGATGCACACTTGTAATCCCAGCTACTTGGGAGGCTGACGCAGGAGAATCACTTGAACCCGGGAGGCAGAGATTGCAGTGAGCTGAGATCATCCACTGCACTCCAGCCTGGGCAACAGAGAGAAACTCTGTCTCAAAAAAAAAAAAAAATTAAAATAAAGATATATTAAAAGAGGGTTATAAAAATCATGAAATCTTTTGTGTACACACATGGAAATAGTTGATTGCAGCACTATTCACAATAGCAAAGACTTGGAACCAACCCAAATGTCCAACACTGATAGAGTGGATTAAGAAAATGTGGCACATATACACCATGGAATACTATGCAGCCATAAAAAAGATGAGTTCGTGTCCTTTGTAGGGACATGGATGAAGCTGGAAACCATCATTCTCAGCAAACTATCGCAAGGACAAAAAACCAAACACCGCATGTTCTCACTCATAGGTGGGAATTGAACAATGAGGACACATGGACACAGGAAGGGGAACATCACACACCAGGGCCTGTTTTGGGGTGGGGGGAGGCGGGAGGGATAGCATTAGGAGATATACCTAATGTTAAATGACGAGTTAATGGGTGCAGCACACCAACATGGCACATGTATACATATGTAACAAACCTGCACGTTGTGCACATGTACCCTAAAACTTAAGTATAATAATAATAAAATAAAATTTAAAAAAAAAGAAAATACAATGATTGTGTATGTCCTGAAGAATCTCAGGTTGGGGCCCTGCTATTATAGATGGTGAAGCCCTTGATGCATGAATTTCCTACCGCTGGATCTTCTTCCTCATCCTGCCTCCTCTTCTTGAGCTGGAAGTGTGGCCCAGGGTGATGCCTGAAGCCAGTCAGGAGGGTGCTTTCCTGGGAGAGGAAGCCTCTTGTGTAACTCTGGACACAAGGATGGGTCCCAACAGGCTGAGGTCTCAGGCAAAACCAAGGGCTTCTCAAAGAAAAAGTGTGAGACAGCTTGAACTTTACAAAGGGCAGCCTACAGGTCCCTGTTGGGAAGCAGAAGAATTTGCTACATTTCACAGTCCTTGCCTGTCACTGCCCAGTTCTGTCCAAGGGGGAAAAGGGTGGTTGGAGGGGTGGGGGTTGTGGGATGGGTGTGTGTGTGTGTGTGTGTGTGTGTGTGTGTGTGTGTGCACGAGAGAGAGAGAGAGAGAGAGAGAGAAAGAGGGAGGAAGGGAGACAGAAATTACTTTTTCTTAGTGTTATGAAACACAATTCCAATTTGAATAAAAATATAATCTGTAAATGATTTTTATTTTCTTTGAATTGGCCAACTTGAAACAAAGATTCCTTTGTAGTCTTGTATATCCGATGTGCAAGGAGCTCCTATTATAGATATTTATCCCTGTTTACTATCAAAGGGCGCTTTACCATCGGGGTCTAAGAACAGAATGGCTTAATTTTGCTAGTCGTTGGTGCCGGTAACTTAAGAATTATGATGATGTGCGTGGAAACTGTGTTTATTTGGGACTTCCATCCTTTCCTGTTGTTAATAAAAAGCATGTTACTTCATTTAATACCAGAAGGCCAATGACATTAATATTTTTATTAGATCTCATGTGCAAATGACTTCACCTTGGTCAACATAAGACAAGAATCTCAACATTCAAGAAAGACACAACGTAAATGGAAAGATGTGGTAATATCCACTGCTCCCAGTAAGTTTCTATTGATTTTTTTGAGTGATTGGATCAGTGTACCAAATGAAAGTGAACTGAAGAAAATGAAGGCAAATTCAACATTATATTATGTTAAATATGTGAAGGGGAAAAAGATGATAAATGTATTGATTCCCACTGAACAGTACACTTAAAAATGGCAAAGACAGTAAATTATATATGTATATTTTACCTCAATTTAAAAAATAAATTCGCCAGGCCCCGTGGCTCACGCCTGTAATCATAGCACTATGGGAGGCCTAGGTGGGTGGATCACTTGAAGTCAGGAGTTCGAGGCCAGCCTGGCCAACATGGTGAAGCCCTGTCTTTACTAAAAATACAAAAATTTTCCTGGTATGGTGGCAGGCACCTGTAATCCCAGCTACTTAGGAGGTTGAAGCAGGAGAATTGCTTGAGCCTGGTAGGCAGAGGTTGCAGTGAGCAGAGATCGTGCCATTGCACTCCAGCCTGGGTGAAAGAGTGAGGCCCTGTCTCAATAAAATAAAATAGAATAAAAAATAAATATAAAACAAATAGCTTTAAAGCAAGCCATTAGGGACAGATATGGAAATGGAATCCACAGTGTGATGGATGGCGACCCCCACCAACCCACACACACACACGCACACACACACACACACACACACACACACTGTGTGTGCCATTGCAAGTAGGCCAATTACGTGCTGTTAGAAGGTTAAGGTGCTTTTAATGTAGAGAGGTGGGATGATGAATTTTTCTGAGGAAGGGATTTTGGGGGAAATGGGTGGGTCAAAGGAGATTGCGCTGATGCCGTGTTGAAGAAGGTTTTGGGGACTATGCATCAGTCCACGAAGAAGAAAGCATCTCCTGTGGAAGGAACATGAAACACTCTAGTCAGCAACTAGCAGTATTTGATCAGCCAACACCTACCGGTTTCACAGTGGTTCTTGGCCAGGAACCTCAACACTCCCTTCTCTCCTCCACCAAGAGTATTTGCAAATACACAGTGAGTGTTTGCTTGTCAAAATGACTGGGGAGCCTACTGCAATTATGACACAGGTGCCAGAACTGGTAAGCATTCTGAAAGGCACTGGAGTTGGACATATCGCAGAGATTCAAAATGCCTGTGGGAACGTGGTGAGAAGAATTACCAAGGGTGGCTTTCAAGGTTGTGCAAATTGAAGAAGGGATTCTTTGTCATTTTTTTGATGGTTTGTTTGTTTGTGTTTTGCTTTAGAGCAATGGTTCTCAATGATAGTGATTTTGTCCCCCAAGAGACACTGAGCAATGTCTGAAGACATTTTTGATTGTCACAAGTGGGTGAGTGGGGGAATGATACTAGCATCTAGTGGATGGAGGCCAGGGATGCTGTCCAGCACCCTGAAATGCACATGATATCCCTCTGCAACAAAGAATTTTGCAGCCACAAATATCAATTGTGCTCAGCTTGAGAAACCTTGCTACAGAACTTTCCATGTATATGTAGCTCAGAAAATTAGAAGTACCTGGAATGGCATAATATTTCTAAGATTCTCACACCCTGCTTAGCACAGGGCCTCCCAGATGGTAGGAGGATTTGCTAATTGTGTACTGATGTGATGAATTGTAGAAAGATGAAGATTGTTGATGAAAGCAAAGCGATTCTCAGACAAAGTGAAGAAAATCTATTTTGCTTGATGCAGAAACTACAGATTTGGTTGTCAAATTCCTCCTCTTCCTTAATTTGATACATTTTGGCAGGCTTTATGAGCAGATGATGGACGTTTTACTCTGGTTCATTCATCTATGCTGTGTCTGAAAGGGTTGTAGCAGCAATCCTGCAAATTGGAAAATATCTAACATATTTGTTCAACTTAGTCAATTTTTTTTACTCTTCCTATCTGCTAAAGTTGTGTATTGTCATCTATATCCATATCTATTCCTACATACATATTTATATGCATATGTAAATAATAGTAGTCTATTACAACATAGTGGCTTCAAAAAATACACATTTCATATGTCTTACCTTCTGTGGATCAGAATTTAGAAAATAGTTGAATCCTCTGCATTGAGTTTATTTACAAGGTGCCATCAAGGTGCCAGCCAGGGCTGAGGTCTCATCTGAAGACTCCAGCGGGGAAGAACTCATGTTGAACTCACATCATTGTGGGTAGAATTTGGCTTCTCACAGACTGCTGAACTGAGGGCTTTAGTTTCTCATTGACTGCTGGCTAAGGCCCACTATTAGTCTCTCGATATGTGAACTTTCTCAACATGGAAGTTTATCAGCACCTATTATTATCACAGGGGCACCCCAGAATGTGTGGAACAGGCCTTAGCCATCCCATGCAGTATTTGACATTCTCCTTTAATGCCATATCCATTCCACGTTGATCCTTTTGGTGACACAAATATTAAAATGAACAAAAGACATTCCACAGTCATAATAACAAAATAGGTGATTTTTTTTCAATCATCAATCAGCAAGGCAGAAGGCTGGATGGCAAGATGGAAGTCACAATCTTTATATGCTAACCACAGAGGTGGCATCCCTTAAACATTGAAGTATTGAATTGGTTAAAGCCAAGTTAATCCAGTAGAGGACAGATAAATATATATAAATATGTAATATATGGTATACAGGCCTGGTGCAGTGGCTCACGCCTGTAATATCAGCACTTTGAGAGGCCAAGGCGGACAGATCACTTGAGGTCAGGAGTTCGAGACCAGCTTGGCCAACATGGTGAAACCCCATCTCTACTAAAAATGCAAAAATTAGCTGGGTGTGGTGGCACGCATCTATAGTCCCAACTACTTGGGAGACTGGGGAATAAGAATTGTTTGAACCCAGGAGGCAGAAGTTGCAGTGAGCTGAGATCATGCCATTGCACTCCAGCCTGGGCAACGGAGTGAGAACCCATCTAAACAAACAAAAAAATAAGTATGGGCTGGGCAAGGTGGCTCATGCCTGTAATCCCAGCACTTTGGGAGGCCGAGGCCAGTGGATCATCTGAGGTCAGGAGACCAGCCTTGCCAACATGGTGAAACCCCATCTCTACTAAAAATACAAAATTAGTCAGGCATGGTGGCGGGCACCTGCAATCCCAGCTACTTGGGAGGCTGAGGGAGAGAACTGCTTGAACCCAGGAGGTGGAGGTTGCAGTGAGCTGAGATCGCACCACTGCACTCCAGCCTGGGAGACAAGAGTGAAACTCTTTCTCAAAAAAAAAAAAAATTTAATATGTGGTATGTTCTCTCTCTCTCTCTCTGTGTGTGTGTGTGTGTGTGTGTGTGCGTGCGTGTGTGTGTGTGTACGTGTATGTATTTTTAGAATGAGTGTTGCTCTGTTGCCCAGGCTGGAGTGCAGTGGTGCACAATCGCAACTCACTACAGCCTTGAATTCCTGGACTCAAGCAATCCTCCTCCTTCAGCCTCCTGAGTACCTGGATCTATTGTTGTACACCACTGCACTTGGCTAATTTTGCAATGTTTTTAGAGATGGGGTCTATGTTGTCCAAGCTGGTCTCAAACTCCTGGCCTCAAGTGATCCTCCTGCCTCTGCTTCCCAAAGTATTGGGATTACAGGTATGAGCCACTGTGCCAGGCCTGTAGTCTATAATCTTTACATATATATAAAATGTTCTTTTTTTTTTTTTTTCACTCTGTCGCCAGGCTGGAGTACAGTGGCACAATCTCGGCTCACTGCAACCTCCGCCTCCAGGGTTCAAGTGATTCTTCTGCCTCAGCCTCCTGAGTGGCTGGGACTACAGGCGCCTGCCACCATGCCTGGCTAATTTTTTGTATTTTTAGTAGAGACGGGGTTTCACCATGTTGACCAGGATGGTCTCGATCTCTTGACCTCGTGATCCATCTGCCTCGGCCTCCCAAAGTGCTGGGATTACAGGCATGAGCCACCGTGCCCAGCCAAATGTTCTTTTATAAATTACATGTATTATCTACATATATAATATACACTATATATACTATATATACACACATTATATAGTGCATTCCTTTTTTTTTTAGAGAGGGTTGGGTTCTGTTGCCCAGGCTCGAGGGCTGTGGCACAATCTCAGCTCACTGCACTGCAACCTTCACCTCCTGGGCTAAAACGATCCTCCCACCTCAGCCTCCCAAGTAGCTGGGACTACAGGTGCATGCCACCATGCTCAACTATTTCTTTTTTTGTATTTTTTGCAGAGATGGGTTTCACCATGTTGCCCAGGCTGGTCTCAAATTCCTGGGCTCAAGTCATCTGCCCGCCTGGGCCTCCCAAGGTGCTTGGATTACAGGCGTGAGCCACAATGCCCAGAAATGCATACTTTTAAATTGGGTTTCCCACAGCCACCTCAAAGACAGACAACAGAGGATGGGCCAACACCCCCACTACCAGCACACACACTTCATTTACAGCATCCGTACATGGCCTATGTCATAATTCCTAGTTTCATGTTGTTGTGGAAAAATAAAGTTGACTTTCTTTGAAAAAAATCTGTATACCATTGCCACCTCCCATATTATGTCTGCAAAGCTCATGTCATCAATTATTCCACTTTAATATTTTAAAACTGTAATTTTTCATAAGCTTTATCTTAAGGACAGCACTGGGTTAACAAGAATTCTGAAGACAGTAAGACAGTCACCATACATCGTATCAGGGGTACATACTATCAACATAACATCACTGTTGATGTTGATCTTGCCCACCTGTTTGAGGTAGTGTTTGCCAGGTGGCTCCACTGTGAAGTTACTCTTTTGTCACTCCTTTCCAAACTGTAGGTAGAAAGTCACTATGTCAGCCCACACTTCAGGAGTGTGGATTAATGCTCCCCTCCATGAGAGTGGACTATGGTATTAGTGCATTCTTACATTGCTATAAATAAATAACCTGAGACTGGGTAATTTATAAAGGAAAGAGGTTTAATTGGCTCTCGGTCCTGCAGGCTATACAGGAAGCATGATAATATCTGCTTGGCTTCTTGGGAGGTCTCAGGAAACTTACAATCATGGCAGAAGATGAAGGGGAAGCTAGGTGTCTCACATGGCCAGCATGGGAGGAAGAGAGAGAGAGGGAGGAGGTGGCACACACTTTTAAAAAACCAGATCTCATGAGAACTCACCCACTATACAGTACCAAGAGGGGACGGTGCTAAACACACAGATCCAAACCATATCAGTATACCTGAATAAATTATTTGGAATGATTTATCTGTTACCCTTCCCAATTTCTTTATATAATCAATCATTTGTGTATATCAATATTGAACTCATAAATGATTTTTTATTCTTTGGGTTATAATACAATACTGCTTTATTTATTCAGTTGCTCAAAGAGATACAACTCTGGCCATTGGGAGCTCTTTTGGTTGGTTCTTCTGTCCCTTTGACATACTCTTATCATTGCATTTTTTTTATCTTTGATTTTTGTCTGTTTTAGCACATTTTTACTTTCTGTAACTACATTATGCTCCAGGCTCATCTTGGATATTTCCTGCCTGAGTCCTAGAATCATTTATTTCTTTATAAATTCCTGGATTCTTTTATTGGATAATGGTATTACAAACCAAACTCTGAGCACTAGGTGTACTCATTGGTACTTAGACATTGTGGCTTTTAGATTTCACCAATTATTTTTAATTATGATTATCATTCCATTATCATCAAGTGCCAGGAAAAATACAGCATAATAACAGCATGACTCTGTGGCTTTGTGTGTTTCATGTAGGTTTTCTTCCTATAATATTATTGGCAAGCACCAATCAATAGCTAAATTTTAATCACCTGTTAGCCAGTCTTTAATAATCTATGATAGGGTGTTAGATTAGCTGATTGATATGGTTTGACTGTGTCCCCACCCAAATCTCATCTTGAATTGTAGCTCCCATAATTCCCACATGTCATGGGAGGGACCTGGTGGGTGGTAATTAAATCATGGCCGGTCTTTCCCATGCTGTTCTTGTGATAGTGAGTAAGTCTCACGAGATCTGATAGTTTTATAAAAGGGAGTTCACCTGCACAAGCTTTCTTACCCGCTGCTGTGGAAGAAGTCCCTTTGTTCTTCCTTCGTCTTCCAACATAATTGTGAGGCCTCCCCAGTCATGTGGAACTATGAGTCTATGAAACCTCTTTCCTTTATAAGTTTGTGTTTATTAGCAGCATGAGAATGGACTAATACACTGATTTTATAGGTACTAGATCTCTCCCAAATTACTGAAAATGATTTTGTGGTTTTTTCAACAAAATGAACTAGATCTGGTTGAAGTGGCTGCTTGGCATCAGATTGATTATTCTAAAAATCCACTGTAATTAGTCTGATTAAGGATAAAGTTCTAGCACTGTTCTGCCAACACGTATTTATGGAGTTTCACTAAGGCCCGGCAGGTGCAAGCAAAAGAGAGAGTGATGAGTGGATATTGCAATTGGTTTTCATGGCAATGAGAACAAACCAGTGCCAGGGGATGACGAAAAGTGTGACTGAACCTAGGCATGAGCTCAGAAATTTGAAGTTAATTCTCAGCGAGTCACTAGAATCAGTCCAGAGACAAGGCGTCTCCAAACATGAAAAGGCATGGCAGTGTAGAAGGTGAGAAAAGCAAGCTGCCTTGGGGAAAGTTACAATTATCCAAGAAGCTGTGCCTGACTGCTATGCTCAGAATGCTCCTCCCCACCAAATTTGTACCTTGAAACTGAATTCCCCATATGATAATATTAAGAAGTAGGCCATTTATGATGTGATAAGATCCCTCATGAATGGGATCAGTACCCTCACAGAAGATGATCCCTTTGTCTCTTTTGTCACATGAGGACACACAGCAGCCATCATCTTTGAAGGAGGGAACCCTCCCCATATGCTCAGTCTGCTGGTGCTTTGAACTTGGACTTCTGGCCTTCAATAAATTGCTGTGGTTTATAAATTACTCAGTCTAAGACAATCTGTAATAGGAGCCCGAACGGACTAAGAGAGTGGCTTATTGGACATATGGAAATACTGTCTCATTAACAAAGAATGGAAAGTCCACAGCAAGATTAAATACATCAGGAAGCAGGACATCATTGACCTCAGCCAGGGATATTTTGTATAATTTTACTTTTTTCTACAGTCAATGAGTCAGTAAGTGTAGGTAACCACAAATTTATTGGCTCAATTTTGAACTTGAAGATGGAGTTACGGAGTTATGGTAGGTGTGGGGAAGAGAAGAGTCATACTGAAAACCAACTCCTGATATAAAGAGTCAACTAGAAGCAGAGTAGGCATGAAACATTCTGTGGTATGTGGCATAAATGGGTTTGCCAGATAAAAATCCAGGATGCCCAGTTTCATTTTGGTTGTTGTTGCCATTACCTTTTTTTTTTTTTTTTTTTTGTGAGACGGAGTCTCGCTCTATCACCCAGGCTGGAGTGCAGTGGTGTGATCTCAGCTCACTGCGACTTCTGCCGCCAGGTTTCAAGTGATCCTCCAGCCTCAGCCTTCTGAGTAGCTGGGACTACAGGTGCGCACCACAACACCCTGCTAATTTTTGTATTTTTTAGTAGAGAGGGGGTCTCACCATGTTGGCCCGGCTGACATCGAACTCCTGAACTCAAGTGATCCACCTGCCTTGGCCTCCCAAAGTACTAGAATTACAAGCGTGAGCCACTGTGCCCAGCCCTCAGTTACATTTGAATATGAGACAAACAAAGAAAAAACCAGCATAATTATATCTCAAATATTGCACAAAACATTCTTTTAGTAATGTTTTTGTGAGTCCTATATTTTTAGCTGTTAAATCTGGCAACCCTAGGCCCAGATGTCTGTGCTAACGTCTGGTCTATCTACCACTTAGATAGATACTTGTGTGGTTATAAGCTGTATACTTGTGTAGTTATAAGCCGACCACACCACTTCTCCCAGACAGCTTCCTTACATAAGTTTCCTATGACAAAGCCCCTGTCTTAATACTGCTCATCTTCTCGAAGACGCATTTTAAAAAATCCATTAACACCTTTCATATTAATTAGGGCACTTCCTGTGCAAGTAACATAAACCCATTTAAATAAGCTTAATCAAAAGAAAACAGAAAAGGAAATGTGTTCAAGGATACAGGATGTCTCACAGGTTCCAAGGGCAGTATAGCAAAATGAACACTGTCCACTAAAAATTCATGTCTACCCAGAACCTGGGAATGTGACCTTATTTGGAAACAGGGGCTTTGCAGATGTAATTAAGGTAAGGATGAAGATGAGATCATACCAGATTAAGGTGGGTCCTAAATCTAATGAGAATGTCCTTACAAGAGACAGAAAAAGACACATGAAGACACATACAGAGGAGAAGGCCATAGGGAGATGGAGGCAGAGACTGGAGTGATGCGGCCACAAGCCCAGGGACGCCTGGAGCCACCAGGAGCTGGGATAGACAGGAAGGATACTCCCCTAGGTCCCCTGGAGGGAGAATGGCCATGCAGACACCTTGATCTCAGACTTTTGATCTCTAGAACTAGGGGAGAGTAAATGTCTTTGGTTTAAGCTGCTCAGTTTAAGGTACTGTGTTACAGGAGGCCTAGGAAATTCATACAGGTAAGAATGTGATGGGGCCGGGTGTGGTAGAGTGCACCTGTCATTTCAGCACTTAGGGAGACTGAGAAGCAGGAGGATCCTGTGAGGTCAGGAGTTTGGGACCAGCCTGGGCAATCTAGTGAGACCCTGTCTTTATACTAGATTGGTGCAAAAGTAATTGCGGTTTTTGCCATTAAAAGTAATTGCAAAAACCACACCAACTTAATAAAAATTACAAAAATTAGCTGGGCGTGGAGGCACACACCTGTAGACCCAGCTACTGAGGAGGCTGAGGTAGCAGGATCTCTTGAGCTCAGGAATTCGAGGTTGCAGTGAGCTATGATAATGCCACTGCACTCTAGCCTGGGCAACAGAGCAAGACTCTGTCTCTAAAAGAAAAACAACAAGAACAGCAAAAGAATATGATGAAGATGTAGAAGGATGTGCAGCCCTTCTCTTTGTCATTCATTACCTTTCTGTCTTCATATCTACTTTGTACATTGTATATAAGCTTCCTCCATTTTCCACTGGACAAGGTGGAAAAGCATGACCAGGAAGGCCCCTAAATTTACCTGTTGCCTGTCCACTCCTCTAGAGCCACCATTTGCTGTGTGTGTGGCTGTGTCCATGGACTGCAGTGTCACAGTTGTGAGCCAGCTTTCCAGGGACTGCATACCCATAGCCCGGCTCAGCTTAGATGCTCAACCTTGGACCAAGCAACGTGGCCACAAGATGAAAATCCCTTTGGGTGGATGCTACTTTAACTCTCAGCCTGGATGACCAGATACCTAGGAGGCCATGCAAAGCTGTCCTCCAGGCAAGAGCTTCTCCAACTTTGGCGTTTGGTGCAAATCACCAGAGAACATGTTAAAACGCAGTTTTGATACAGTTGATCTGGGGTGGGGGCTCAAAGTTATGCATTTTTAACAGGCTTCCAGGTATTAATAACACCCATGATATTAGACCGAGGACTATAATTTGTTTAGCAAAGTATCAAAACTCTAGATCTTTTTGTATATTTGCAGGAAAAGAACAAGGTATTGCATGGGTCCAGGTGTTCTTTACATAATTTTAGTCATGACTCTTCCAGGAAAATATTACCAGGCTCCTAATACACCAATGCTTTATAACAGATCAAACCCCACTCAAAACAATCCCATTGGTATTTATACATATGTTGCATCTGCTCTGTTTCCACATGTATGCATACACACATGTGTGTACTTGTCACATGCAAAACGGTATTTGCAATACATTCCCTGTCTTCTCAATGAATAAGACCTGGAAAAAACCAAAATAAGTGTTTTTTAAAAATTCCAATACAGACCTCGAGTTTGAAAAGATAAAAGGGAACCATTGTCCTAGGAATTTTTTGTCAACCTCATTTTATTTCACCTAAAATTATAAACCACACTGCATTCACCAGAGGTGGTCTATATGCCTACATACCTATGTCTAACACCGGTCATTAACAAGAAAGAAAGCTGTTTGCTTGAGCTTTAATAAATAAAACACATTGATGCTGCCTCTTATTGTCTTACCCCCATGTTAAATGTCTCCTTTTAAAGTACAAAGGAAGAAAACAGGAAGAGAGTCCATGTGCACACCCACAACAGAGATACAATCAGGCATAAGTCAACCATCCTGGGAATATAAACCCCTCTGTATTGTATAGATATATATAGATATAAATATAGATATAGATAAATATGTATCAATATATAGAGATAACTATTCATATAGACAGATCCATATCTCTATAGATATCTATAGAAGATACAGATACGCATATATATGTCATAGATACCTATAGAAGATACAGATATCTATAGAGATAGAGATACAGATATACATTGAAACAGACATAGCAATTTCTATAAACATCTATATAGAGATAAATTTATGAATTTATATAAGCCTATCTATATGCCTATTTCTAAATCTCTCTCTATATACATGCATATCAATAATTCCAAGGTCCCAAACTTGGAGAAAGATTTATGTATATTTCCATACTTTTAAAAGTGTAGTGCATGTTGTCATTCATCAAAGCGACATAGACATTGTAAAAGATTTTCATTTTAAAAGTCTTAGGCAAGAACAGTGGTACAGTCGCTGCAGAATGTCATTTAAAAATGAACTCTATTTTGGGCCTCTTATTTGGGATTCAATATCCTTGGTTTTCTTACAAAAGCAATAGTTAATGGATTTCTCACCGTCAATGAATGTAGTGAAATTTTGGAGCCTGAATCTTTTTTAAAAATCAGGGCCGTTTAAAAGTCATTTAGGCTCATCATGCCCAGTGATGAAATAATAACTGGGGATAGAATTTAAAATAATCAAATGGAAGGCCAGCAAAGAGCATAACTCTCTACTGTGGATGCATGTTACATAATTAATGGTGTGTTACAGGTTTGAAATAACAGAAGTCAGAAGGACAAAGGCTTCAAGAAACCAGAAATAGACTCTTGCCCACAAAGATATCTTTATTCCCATTCATCAGATGCAAAAATCGAATTAAGGGTATGTACAACCTTTTTATCGGAAAATATCAATTTAAAGTATTTCCTTCAAGCTGTATTAATCTTATAAAATACTTTCCCTACAAAACCAATGGGAATAAACAAGAGCATCTCTTTATCTCCTCCATCTGGATTTCTGTAATTATATTTACATGTAAGAAATGTTATATACATTCAACTATTTCAATAAAATCTTATTTAAGTGACTGACATTAATTTTAAATTTATGATAATTCAGCTTCAACTGGTCTGGAGTTTACTTGCTATCATTGAAAGAAAAAGGTTGATTTAGCAACTTTGGAGTGTAAAATAAGACAGAATGAATTTTGCTTAACCTTAAGGGTGCAAATATTTCTAAGGTTTACAGCATATTACTCTTATTTAATCTACGTTGTTAATTACCTTATATTTTAAAAGACTTTAAATCCTGTTTGGGAATAACATTTCTTAAATGTTTTCTAAAAAACTGAGTATGTTGTTTACCCTGGTTTATGATTTATACACATATATATTTTTAGATATTTTCTAGTTTACATATATATCTATATGTAAATATCTATAGCTATATCTTTTTATATATCTATATCTATATATTTCCATGTGTGTATATAGATAGATATAGGTATCAAAACAAGTATTATATAAATGTTACTCTTTGTCCTATCATTTCTCAAATTTATTAAACCTCATGTTCTGAACTGGCCTCATATAATGGTGACCACCTAAGGCAATTATCATCAACATGTTTCCGAGATATTTTTCTAAAATGGTGTCTACAATAGCAAATGAAAGTAAGAAACACCACAAATAAACTAACAGATGAATAAAAATAAAGTGGAACAATCGTTCGGATCAGAAGGGGCATTGGGTAAAGAATTAGCTATGTGAGGGCAAAGACTATGTCTTATTTATCCATCTTGAATATTTTGCAGAGTTTGTGGAACAAGCAACAGTTCTCACATTCACGCTTAGTGAATAGTGAATAAAAATAGCAATCAGCAAACCACTTAACAATGACCCACCACAACCCTGCTATTTCTGAATTTACCTTATCTTTTTTTTTCCTTTCACAGGCAGACTATAATTATGATTTCAACTTCCTCATCGGATCCCCAGTCATGAATCTATCTAACATATTCAGCTGAAGGCTGTCAAGGATCTACTGATTCCACAATGCAGTGGTACTCTCCCATCGCCCTTCACTCCTAAAATCTCTGAAGACCATGACACAGTTGACTCCTGCCTACTCCTTGTGGAGGTTAAAGTCCTTCCTTGAATTCCATACCACACTTTCTCTTACCAAAGATCTTCTGCAGATGGGAGAATGACCCTATTTTAGGTTGTTATCAAGACCCTACCCAGTGTCACTTTCTCCAAAGATTTGCCTTTTCTCTTAAGGGAACACTTTCTCTATTTTACACCAAAATGTTAAGTATCATATCCATAGGGTTTGTGCTTGGATCCGTAGATCCTACCTTAAGATCCCTATTCAGGTCAAATCTCCTGTCCCAAAGATCTCAGGTCTGTGGGTCATTGGTATTTCTATGATCCACCAGCACCTCATTTTTCTTTCCACACAAGTGACTCTGGCTGAGTGCACTCTCATTCATCTTAGCCTTCCCATCTCACCACATGAAGGCTATCTCTAGTATCTTCTCATTTTAGGGCTCCATCCCATTTTTGCTCAACTTCTGCAACTATGCATATAGTCAAATGCCACTCATAGTGAAATAAATTCATCATAACTGTGTTATTTTCACTAATACTGCCCTAATTTATGAATGCAGCAGCCTCGCTGTACTCTTTTGTTCTAGAATGTCCCAGCCCTTAAATCCCCTCAGAGTAAGCTCTCTGAAAGGTAATCTCTGCTACCATCCCCGACTAACACCCATAAGGATTCCAGCCAATGAATATTCATCAACCTCTGTAGTCCAGCCTGACCAATTTCTTCTTATTCTCCTCTATGAATCATAAGAACCTATCATCAGCTCACCACCACTCCTGTTTTCAGGGTTTAATTTGAGGATTATCTAAAAAAGCAACCTCATGTAGCAGGGTGGCCCCCCAAATGCAGGTTCCAAGAACTCACTCAAGACCTGCTAGGTTTGAATCCTGGTGTTTAGCTCTAGAGGCATGGATTTTGTAACCATCTTCCTGGGTCATCCTTGTGCACCTTGAACTTCCAAAGCCTTTGCTCACACTATATCTGTTTCTCGTCTCCAGATATTGTTAACTTGGAATAATGTCCCACCCCTGCTCTCCAATTCCCCAGGGAAACCTTGTTCATCTGTGAACCATTTTCTCAGCATCCCAATAGGAAGCCTGTTACGCCTTCTGTATGCTTTGGAGATGGCATATGTCACACATTGAGTTGCATTTTAATAATTAAAGAGCTTAATTTATCCTCTTATTAGATTTTAAGCACCTTCTATACTATACATATTTCTCTCTCTAATAATGATTAGTAATTAATAACATAGTATATATTACTATTGCACGAACAATTATTATCCTACTGAAAATATTTCTGTTTCACTTGGACCATTGTATTAGGAGAGTCAGTATGAATCAGTAGTGCCCCACTGGCTTCACCAGTATTGCATTCAGAGTTCTACGTATTGATCTCACAGGAGCTTGAACATAATACCAGAATGTGGTTGATGGAGACACTGAGATGGAAAATCAGAGAGAACAAGTAGTGTGGTATAGATTATTTCTCATGTTCCCTCCAGTTCTTGTACCAAACTCAGCTTATATATCTTTCTTGGAACCCTACAGTTTTATTTCATTTTATGACTCCCCCAGCTCCCACATTTCACCATACTCCACAATTAGATTTAAAATGGAAGCATGAAGAATGATACTCTTATCTCTTCCAGGAATTGTGGATCTAAACCTCTGTAGCTCCTCTGTCTGTGTTGCAATCTGGTGGCCCAGTTGTTAAAAATTGGTGTTTTGGGTCCTATCCTGGTCTCCTGTAAGGGATTTTGGATTAGGGAAAATGATAATTTCATAACATCTTATATTCACTTTTTCTTACAATCATGATTCCACCTGTCTAAGATGCTTTCTGACTTTTTTCTTTTTTTGAGGGAGGGTCTCATTCTGCAACCCAGGCTGGAGTACAGTGGCACGATCATGGCTCACTGCAGCCTCGACCTCTCTGGCTCAAGTGACCTTCCCCCTTCAGCCTCCTGCACTACCACTCCCAGCTAGTTTTTAATTTTTTTATAGAAACAGGGTCTCACTATGTTGCCCTATTTTTCAAATTATTTTAAAAAACTCTCAATGGAGTCATTCAGATAGAAGTGAAAATGTGCTTGCCTGCTCTCTTCCAGGTCACATATCTCAGGGAAGAGATCTGGTACCCAACCAATCCACCCACAAGCTAAGCCAAGCATTCAGATTTTGCCCAAACTCTCCTTCCCAATCTTACTTTATCATGCTGCCTTATTTAGAAGTGATGTCTCCCCACATCAACTTCTCTTCCCTTCACTACCCTTCCCTTCCTTTTTCCTCCCTTCCCTTTCTCCTTTTCTCTTTCTCTCTCTGTGTCTCTCATTCAGGACTTCATTTGTTGCATCCATTCTTGCAACAATCTTACAAATATTTTCTTTTCTTTCCACGTTGGCCCTCTTCAACTTGTTCTCCATATTGCCATCACAGTGATTGTCCTAAAATATAAATCTGATCATTTCTTCCCCTCTCCCTGCAGAAAATATGTTACTGGCTTTCCCACTGCCTACTGGATAAATTCCACCTTTTCAGTATGGCACTCAAAATTCTTCACAATTAGGTCTTTAATCCTTTCCTTACCACCTTCTTTTCATACTCAATGTCATGGCATTCCAAACCCTCCCTATTTCTAGATCTCCACACATACAGTATTGCTATGATGTCTTTATCCATGGCTTCTTTCTCAACTTCTTGACCCAATCAGTGTCTGTGTACCATTTCTTCCCTACTCAGAAAGTTCTTCCTTTGCAAACCCTTCTTTAATCATTTTCACCTCCATGGGTCCCTATGAATTCATATGTATTCCTTGTGCACACCTTCTTGTAATCATATTTTTTCTCATGCTTTTGGCTATCTTGTCCACTAGACTGTATGCTTTCTCAAAAATAAATGGATGAGTTTCACTCACAGATGCATGTCAGTGCTTAGGACTGCACCAGTGCTAAAAAAAAAACAACCCTGAATTTATGAATAAGTCAATGAATTAATACATTCTTGGCAAAACCCATGACTTTCTGGCCTACTATAAATTACTGTGTTCAAGGTGAGATTCTGCTTTAGTTTAGGATATAGATATCTATATATATGTCCATATATCTGCAGCTATATATCCATATCCATGTATATCACTGATTTGGGGAATAAGCTATACTTATTAACAATATTACTATGTTAATGGGTCTTCAATATCTATACAATAACGGAAAAAGTACATGCATATTTCTAAATATCTATCCAATAATTGGAACACACACGTATGTATGGATGGATATATTTTTTTTTATTATTGGGTATAGATATCTATTAATAGATAAGTGTATATTTATGTACCTATCTTGTTGGTAAAAGGTGCTTTTATACATATTATTTCATTTAGTCTCCACAAGAAATCCACAGGAAAGGTAATTTTAATCTCAGTTTAACAGATTCACAGAACATAACTGACTTTACAACAAGGCAAAGTTTGTGAGGATAGAGTCTTAACATGAAACCAGGTCCCCAAATTGGTGTCTATCACCTTCCCCATTATTGGTCAGGCTGCCCAAATATCCTTCACATCACCATGGCAGGCTTCATGCTTTGGTTTACTGCCTAAAGCCGAAGCAATTAGGAGGATATCCTATGTGTTGCGGACACTATCTTTTTCCTTCCATAAATGAATTAATGGGCCATGAAATAATTTTAAGAAAAGCTAACTTTTCTGGCCAAGCAGAAGAATAAAAGTAATCACCATGTAATATTGTTGTGAAGACTACCTGGCCCCACACATTAACTCAGCTAATCATTACAGTATTACACGGTGATTATCTGTTCCATTTTACAGATACAGAAATGGAGGCAAACGATTAAAATACACACCTAAGGTCACATGCATCTTGAACCCAAGCAATCTCATTTTAAAATCCGTGTTCATTGTCACAACACTCTATTATGCCCTCTGATCTTTGCATTGCCAATTTAAATCCAACTTTCTCCAACTCAACTTTAAGTACAGGGGTCATACCCCCGTCCTCGCCCCCCGCAACTTGAAACTCCCTGGGAAAGATAACCTCCTGGACCCTGGAAATGAAGAGGCGTATTTAAAAACAAATGCCTCATCCTGGGCACAATTCCAACATTTTATCAAAATCATGAAAGTATAAGAATAGAAGTAAACAAAAAGCTTTCATCGATCCCCTCTCAACCATACCCTGAGCATAAAACAGGTCCTGTACTTTACAGAACTGTATTCCAAATTTTGCTGCTCTTAAAAATTTTTTTTATATCATTGCTTCCCAAATGAATTACAATAACGCAGACATAGAGACTGCTGGAGATCGTGACCTTAAACAGTTAAAGATGTTTGCATATACTGCAGCATGTTTGGTGTGGAGGGTATCTAGAGAGTCCTAAAAAAGCAAAGAGGAAGAAGGTTTGCTGTACGCGTCTGGTGCGGTGGCACCGTTTGCCATGCCCACCTGCTCTATCTCCCGAGTACCCGGGATCTCTCCGTTACAGCTGGTTTGCATTGGGATTAGCAGCTCTTTGCATGAGGTTGTAGCTGTGGATGTGGTTTCTGTAGTGATGGGGCCGACTCCGGAGATCTATTGGCTGCTGGCTTTGTAAATTTCATTCAGTTTGGTCCAATGGCAGAGGGAGAGCCCCGGAGACAGCAGGACCTCTCTCCTCAATCTCTCTTTTTCTTGCAGAACCGTCTCTCTCCCTTCTCTGTCTCTTAGCACAGAGCTCTTATTCAGCCACTAGCTTGGCCCTTCCTGCTTCAATTGTAATGCTTGTTCTGCCCGTCCACAGACTATTGGCGGCAGAAACAACGAATTTCCTCCAAACTAGGCGGTGTTGGTGGCTCTTGCATTCCTCTGGATGAGGAAATCTAGTTGGGGGGTTCCAGAAGGGGAAGGCTCCTGGGCTTTCAATACATCCTCCTGAATCATACCTCGTTTCGGGTTCCCTAGAAAAATCTGGACGTGTAAAAAGAACTCTTAACGGCCGATGCAGCTCTTCCAAAGCTAAGGTAGGTGCAGTTTTAAGACCTGTCTCTGGGACATTATTCTCATTTTAAAAAGCCGTTTAAACATTTTGACTTGCAGCAAAGGATGGAAAGCCTCACTGCAGATACTTGAGCTTCACTTCATCTGATCTTTATTTTTTCCTTTTATGATTATTAATATTATTTTTGGAAAATTTGGACAGGACTTTCTCCCATCTGTCTCGCTGCATTTCTTAGGTGTGGGTGGGAGTGTAGACCTTCATACGGTTTTTACATGCAACCTCTCCACAGAAATATTTGGTTTTATTTTCACTTAAAGAGAAAAATCCAGACCACCGTTGTTTGGAAGCGTTTTGCTGCAATCAGCTATTTGAACGGCTCTGGGGCCGTGTGTGATGTGTTTACAAAGTAGCGCTGCCTTCCACACAAATAAACAGAAGACTGTGGCGGGGAGAGGAGGAAAAAAATATATATGTATCTGCAGTACAGGGAGAAGAAGGAGAGAAGCGGCCAGGGCTGGAGATGGTGAAGGCAGGAAGACTTCTGCAAACTGTGAGGCATGGGAGGCTTTTCTTTTCTTTTTCTCTCCCCCCCCACCCCCCCCCCTTATTCTTTAAGAAAACTGTCAGCTACCACCGCCTGGGGTGCTTTTTTGAGGGGTTGGGGGGGTGCTGTTAACCAGAAAGAAAAAGGGAAAACCGGCTTGGTTGGGGTCGCATTTAAGCGATTTTTTTTCCCTCCTTCATCTCCGGGCCTCGGATAAGATGACGGCTTGGGTGATGCACGAAATAACGCACGTGATTGATTAGACCTGGCTTGGCTTGGCTAGGGAACGATCCAGGCGCGCTGGAGACCCCGCGTGAAGATGAAATGACGGTAGCTCCGGGCTGCTTCTGTAAACCGGGGAGCGGGCTCCATGCACCCCTTTCCCGTGTGTGTGGGTTTCGAGGCGGGTGGGAAGGGTGAGGCAAGCCGCAGAAGGAGGGTAGAGCTGGTGGTTTTGCTTCTTTCGGAGCCTTTGAGTGTAGTCTGAACCTTTGAGGGGGGCGCGGGGGGGCTTGCAGCTGCCGCCCTGGGAACCATCTCTGAACTGCCCGCTTTTCCGAAGGAGCGGAAAAGTTGGAAGCTGCGAGGACAGACTACCGGAGCCCTGGTCTGGGTCTCGGGGGATCTGGAGCCCTAGTCGGTGCCCACTGAGAACACCCCTTCTCGGAGCGAGGGTGTCGGGGGGAGTGTTAAGCCTGCGGGGCGCACGGTCCGCCAGTCCCCGAGGTGGGGACGGGGGAGGAGGCTGAGGAGTCGGTTCCAATAGGCGCACCACCTCTACAGCCCTGGAAAACGCAACCGCCACCCCCTCTTCCCTTCCATCCCATCCCAAGCCTCTCTGCTGTCCCGGGCCGATTTCATCTCGTCTCTTCCCCCGCCTCCCCGCTTCCCCGCCTCCCAATTCCCGCGCGGCTCGGCTCAGCCCCTTCCCACTCCAGTGGGCAGAACTGATGGAGAAGATCCGCCAAGCGCGCAGCCGGCGGCGGAGGAGACAGTGCGGGGTGGGCGAGGGGCTTCGAGACCACGCAGAGAGAGAGTGAACTTCAGTCCTGACCCCTCCCCAAGGCCGCGGCTGGGGCGCCCACAGCCCGCGCTGGCACCCGCGTGGCCTGACCTGCGGAAGCGCGAGCGGGGATGAGGTAGGGAGAGGGAGGTAGGTGCCGCTCGGCTGCAGATGATGCGTGGGTGGGGGGCTTGCTGTGGGAGGAGAGGCCCAGGTCCCGGCCTGCGCCCTCCACTCCGCGGCTGCTCCCTCCGCCTCTGGTTTTCCAAGAGGCCGGTCGCTACCCCGGAGGACACTCTCATCCTTCAGTCAGTCTCCTGGACACCCCTTCCTCCTCCTGTCCCTCAACCTGACCTGGCTCTTTCGCCCCTCCGAGAACCGGTAGGCTGGGGTCCCTCGGCGGGGTTCTCCTGGGCCGCACCCGAAGCTTTGCGCCCCCGGTATCCGGGCCCAGTGCTCCGTGCAACCCTGGGCCCGAGCGCACGATTCCGGCGCCTGCTCGCCGCCAGACACAGCGCCCTTTCTTCCCGGAGCGGCGGGGGCGGGAGCAGGGGGGTCAGGCCAACCCTTGCACCCCCGAGGCCTGGCCCGGGCCACCCTGGGAACGGATGTTCTGCATGGAGAGCGAGGGGCAGCCGGAGGACGTCCTCCGCATCATACCCCTCCCCTTCCCCAGAAGGCTTTTTTTTTTTCCGGACTGCGGGTTTCTTTTTCTCTGCCTTCTTCCTCTGAACCTACGGCAGGTGTCAGCCTCTTTTTGTGTATGTGCTGCTGCTATCTCGGGGATGGCGGGGGAGGGGGTGCAGGAGGCAGCGTGAAGGGGTCCTAGGAGGTTCCGGCGGGGTTTTGGCCCCTGCGGTGCGCCGGGGCTTGCAACTCGCCCGGGTGCTGGGCGCGCGCGTCACGAATTCAGCCTAGGGCTTGGGCGAGTCTGCGGGGAGTGAGGACAGAGGATCCCGATCTGTCATTTGGACCCAACTTAAGAAATTTGGGGTGGGGGTTGGGTGGGGGTTTTGGAACTAAGCAGGTGATGTTCTTGCGAGCTGGATCCACAAGGTGGTAGTATGGCTTCTTTTTATTTTTATTTTATTTTATTTCTATTTGGTCATTTTTTTTGGGGGGGGCGGTGGTTTGTTGTTGTTGTTGTTGCTCTTATCTTATGCTTTTTGAAGGCATCCGTTGCCCGTAGGGTTTACATCGGAGCGCGTTGCATTATATTTTCTTGAAAGGGGGTGGTGTGCGTGAGCTCCCATCTCAGAATCAGCCCTTCCGGTGATGTGAGGAAGGCAAAAGCAAAAAAAAAAAAAAAAAAAAAAAAAAAAAAAAGAAAAAAAGAAAGAAAAAAAAGGAAAAGAAAAAGTTTAGGGAGACCTCGTTATCCTGACGAAGCAGAATTGCCAGTTTGTGTGGGCGTTCTGCGGGCAACATAGAAGTGCATGCTTAAGAAATCCGGGGTAGCTTCCTTCTCCAGCTAGAAATTAAATGGCCAGGGTGCAAACACCTGACTTTGATGAGAACAAAGCGGCAGAAACTGCAAGAGACCTGCATGGTTTGAATGGACGCACTGAGCCTTTTCCTAGGGGATGGCAGAGCGGGGTGAAATCAGATAGCAAAGAAATCTGCCGTTTTGTGGGGGCAGATTTGGAGAGTGGAGAATTATTTCATACCTTTAGTTGGCTGTGGGGAAGATGTTAGCAGTAATCCATTAAATCCTCAGCATAGATTTTCCTGTGGAAATGAGCAAAATGTTAAGTGGGGGAGGGATGGCTAATGGCACATGGTTGCATTAATCCCTGTATTTCCAGAAAAAAATATGGAATTTCTGTGTATCCTAAAATTAAGAATACAGGAATTTCATGGAGAACTCTGCAAGCATGTATTTTCTCAGATTAGAAATTCAGTATTTTATTACTCAATGAAATGTAGAATGCGTGTGTGTGTATGTGTGTATACAGACATACACACACGCATTCTACATTTCTACATATATGTGTGTGTGTGTGTATATATATATATATATATATATATATATATATATGGCCATTTTAAAGAGTATTTTCTTTGACATGTAAGAACATAATCAGGGCCAGTTGTAGCAAGTGGAAAATTACTTCATCAGTTTTAAGTCAGTAGATTAAAATGGAAGGCTTCATTTTTTTTTGAAATCAGAATAATAATTGCATTTTCATAATAATGCCTGTGCGTGGATGCAGTTTTAAAGATGCTTTGATGTTTTCTTCTCCAGTGGAAGAATTGCTACTTTTCTTTGCGTTTTATTTAAATAAACTAATGCCGAGTATACAGTTGGCCCTCAAACCAGTAACCTAGCTGATTTTTACCCAAACCTGAGAATGTAACAGATACTTGATAAGGGACTGGTGGCTGCATAAGGTAGATAATGAAGTTATCTTGATGCTGTGAAATTTACAAGCAGACTTGAAAGAATTTGAAAGTTCATAGTTGTTGGCCTGGAATGTAGCCTAATGGTAAATATATAGATTTTTTAAAATTTGTGAACTTGGCTATTTCATTGTTTTGTGTGTAGTAATTTGTGGAAAGCTTATAGTCTCTCCACAAAGATGAGAGTGTTGACTGACTCCGCAACAGAGACTTGCTTTTGGAAGTGCAGGGGTCTCTTTAAAAGCCATTTGGAATACTGTGCTTTTATTTCTAGACCACAACCAAAAGGTTCTCAAAAAACTAAACATTCAAGTGCACGAGGGAATGACCTCCGTTTAACATTCTTTCTTTTTAATTGGTACGCCACATTTCAAACCTTTTGTAATACTGTTGAATATTGCCAATAATGCAACTTGTTGAGCGAATGCATTGCATTCAAATGAAGTAGCAATATACAAATATTTTAAGTCCTTTAGTATCCTCCTTCTAAAGATAGGCTTATCTGGTTAAAATATACTTATATTCCAAATAAGGTGAGAGTTGGTCTTAAGATGTGAATGTCAAGTGTAAGAGACACGATTTTAGTTTGTAAACCAGAATGTATTCTTTCTGTACTGCTTTCTGCCTTTTAACAATATGTATTCTATTCCCAAATGGGGAAATATGTTCAGTTTAGTTTAAATCTGTTGCTCTTTTTGTGTGTGTTTTTGTCTGAGTACTGTACTTTTTCAGAGGAGAGACTTCGTCTCCTATTTAATTATGTGAATGGATATTCAGACAGATTTGAATAGCCACCACTGATTTCTTAAACTCCTGAGCTACCAGTTTTAAATCAAAGATACATCTTTTGCACAGTCAATTAGAGGAAGTGAGAATCAAAATTGAAGCCCAGGCTGCTGAGGCAATTAGGTCATCTGCTGTGCTCTCTACTACCATTCACTCAACGAATATTTTCCAGTTCTGTCATTTTTCTCTAAACAACCTACATTTGGACTTTGAAAGGCTCCACTGTTCTTTGTTAAGTGAACGGCAGTGTAGGAAGCCCTTCCTCATTTTTCTTGGAGCACAGTAGCACACATGAACAAGAAAAAAAAGAAGGTGATAGCTCCTAGCAGTTTGTCATTGTGCCATTTATAGGCTTTGAATAAATGTATAGATGAAAAGGCTTTCCCTCTGCAGGTGGTTACATTAAACAAAAAATAAGTAAATAAAAGCCTCATAAAATCATTACGGGAGTGGAAGGTTGGTGGTGGAAAACAGCCCATCTACCTCGGGCTGAGATTTCAAACTTTAGACATCTCGTGTTCAGTTCACGTGTCCCAGGTGTGTGCGGAACACCTCCATACACCACATCTTCCCAAGGCACTCTCATCTTCCCAGAAATGGTACCTGAAGGAGAACAGACCTAACCCCAACAATACTAAAATACGTATATAAAAAACTATATATAGTAAGATATGTATCCTACTATATAATATATATATGGTAATACATATTATAGTAAGGTCTGCATCATGTATATAAAAATACACTATATATCTTATTATTATATATATAGTGAGATGAGGTGTATTAATCCATTCTCAGGCTGCTAAAAAAGACATACCCAAGACTGGGTAATTTGTAAAGGAAAGAGGTTTAAATGACTCACAGTTCAGCATGGCTGGAGAGGCCTCAGGAAACTTACAATCATGGTGGAAGGGGAAGCAAATACTTCCTTCTTCACATGATGGCAGGAAGGAGAGGAATGAGAACCGAGTGAAGGGGGAAACCCCTTATAAAATCAACAGATCTTGTGAGAACTTACTCACTATCATAAGAATAGCATGGGGCAAACTGCCCCCATGATTCAATTACTTCCCACCACATCCCTCCACGACACGTGGGGATTATGGGAGCTACAATCCAAGATGAGGTTTGGTGGGGACAAAGCCAAACCATATCATGAGGTTTTATTGAATTTATTTGAGACAGGAAAAGAGTAATCCTCCATAATTTAGAAAGGAGATGAAGTACAATGAACATTTAGGTCCTCATTAGTTGAGGAATACATTTCAAAGAGAGAAATGTTAATTTCAGTATAGTGCTAATGAAACGATCTAGGCTTTCACTGCTCTCTGGAAATGTGGATAAATGGCCCAGAATTTTGTTTGGGTTGTTTTATTTAAAATGTATATTATATAAAGAAATCATGGTTTGTCAAAGTAACAGAGTGCTATTTTTGGCTTACAACAGGACTTTCTTAGCTCCACCTGTTAATATCGGTGATCATTTTGGTTTTAAGAGGCTGGTACCTGATTGGATGATGAAAACTTGGATCTCAAAGCCATCACCCCAGACATGTGATTTTATTAACATCTGTGGGCATCTGTCCGGCTCCCACATCAACCCTTCATCCAGGCTCATTTTCTGTTTGTTTTTGTTTGGTTGTTTGTATGCTTTGGTTGGGGAGAGGGGACACGGATTTTGCTAAGGGCACCTTTTTCAGGAGTGAAACTTAGCCTGTCATATAAGCTGAAAAGGAACTTGGGTTGTTTCAAGTTGCATTACTTGGTAAGTTTTTGGATCCTTTAAAAAAGAAAGGACTGAGGTTACTAAAAGTGTTATTGGCACTGATAAAAGAGCTATGGTGAATTGTGGTTTGTTTTTGTAAAGTGCAGAAAAGGCCTCTTTGGTTCTGTGATGATGGCTGTGGTGAAGTTGCATGCGGTGCCATTTTCCATGTTTAGTATTTCAACACCACCAATATGTGGCTCTGGAGTATGGGACGGGCAAGTCCAAGAACTCAGTGAGGCATGCCGTGTGACTCCAATGGTCAGAGCTGTTCAGCATGGAACTGTGGTCTCAAAAGCATGGGGGATGGGGGCAGAAGAAGCTCGCTGCAACTGAGTGCCTTTAACTTATTCCACTCTTCAGTACTCTCTGTGACTATAACTCTGTGAATGGGTTAGGTGGGGAAACTCACAAAAGTAAATGCATGTTTTCACAAACAAAATATGTCATTGTTAACTGTTTTCCTAAGTGAGACAATATGCCCTCATGCCCTGAAGCTACATGGTAAGAATGGCAGTGTGTATGAGCGGGTGTATACACATACATGTATGCATATGCTAACACATTAACTAGGAACTAGTCTTTGCTGAAAATGTTTTTCTCAGCCATTGCAACACATTAGATAAAAGCAAATATATATATATATATATATATATATATATATATATATAATATAAGAAGGAAAAATGTGGTTTTCCATTATTTTCTTTTTCTTATCCTCATCATTCACCAAATCTATATTAAACAACTCATAACATCTGGCCTGGGTAATAGAGTGAGACCCCAACTCCACAAAGAAACAAAAATTAAAAACAAATTAGCCGGGCCTGATGGCAAGTACCTGTGGTTCCAGCTGAGGTGGGAGGATCACTTGAGCCCAGGAGTTCAGGGCTGCAGTGAGCTATGATTACGCCAGTGTACTCCAGCCTGGGAGACAGAGCAAGACCCTATCTCTAAAAATATAAATAAATAAATAAATAAATAATAAATAAAAATAGAAAATGTACAATGAAAGTTATAAAGTTGGCCAGGCGTGGTGGCTCACGCCTGTAATCCCAGCACTTTGGGAGGCTGAGGTGGGCGAATCACCTGAGGTCAGTAGTTCAAGACTAGCCTGGCCAACATGGCGAAATCCTGTCTCTACTAAAAATACAAAAACTAGCTGGGTGTGGTGGTGTGTGCCTGTAATCCCAGCTATACAGGAGGCTGAGGCCGGAGAATTGCTTGAACCTGGGAGGGGGAGGTTGCAGTGAGCCAAGATCGTGCCATTGCACTGTAGCTTGGGTGACAGAGCGAGACTCTGTCTCAAAAAAAAAAAAAAAAAAAAAGAAAGTTATAAAGTTACCTATGATGGGTCTGGATGTACTCCTTATTTAGGAGTGAAGACATTCGTTAACATGAGACCTAAGTAAGTAGAAAGTATGTGTTTAAGGGACAGGTGTCCATTTTCTCTAGGTCTCCTGGAAGCTTTTTTTTTCTAATTTGAGTACTAGTTCCAAAAAAGGTGTTACCGCCTATGTTTATAGTGAAACTATCTATGTGTGACAAAATTCTACCCTCTCTTGTCCATCAATATTGTGCAATGTTGTGTACTTGTATGGAGAAATAGACAACTTTTACAAAGATCAAACTAGGCACCCTTTACCAACGCTAAACTCATAACCCTTTTATCTGCCTTTGTAGAAGATTCTCACCTTTATTTCTCTTGGTCCCTCTGAGAAATATTTTCCTCTGAGACAATGCAATCTATGCCTCATCTTTAAGCAATCCTAGCTCACCAGTATGAGTAATGTTGTCTATTTTTAAGGTTATCTCATTATTCTAAAAGACTTTAAATTGTTGAAAAATAAATTGTGTGAGGGGTGGTAGAGTTTGAAACAATTATCTGTGATGTTACCAGATATTTTAGACTAAAATATATTAGAATCCAAGGTATTGTTCATGCCTTAAAAATGCTGAAATATCTGACTGTTGCTTATTAATTTTAAAAAGAATATAGGAAATAGCCATTAATTAATGAGGCTGTTTCCACTACCACATAAAAAAAAAAAAAGCTCACAGGTGCCTGTATGTTTTTGTCGAATCAAAGTAATCTGCTTTATGTATGCATTTATTCATAGAATTTACTAAAATCAAAATCAAGGTTTTATAAATATAGGGTTTGACAAAGTTTTAAAATATAACCAGCTATACAAATATGGCATGTGGGAAATTCTATTAAATTGTCATGAACATGCTTCTTTGTCATTCCAGGAGTCTTTCTTTTCATTACTCTTTCCTATTTGATCTGTTATTCTATAGAATTATCTTCATTTTCTCTTTAATACTTTAAGGATCCCTGAGACCTTGTCACTCATCCAAATAGAATAAAGGAATGAGGGAAGAAAGAAGGAAGGGAAGAAGGAAGGAAGAAAGGACGGAAGGAAGAAGGAAGGGATGGAGGAACGAAGGGAGGAAGGGAGGGAAGGAAAGAAGGAAGGAAGGAAGGAAGAAAGAAAGAAAGAAAGAAAGAAAGAAAAGAGAAAAGGAAGGAAGAAAGGAAGCAGGGAGGGAGGGAGAAGGATGATAGATCGAAGGGAAGGAGAGAAGGAGGGAAGGAGGGAAAGAAGAAAGGAAGGAAAGAAAGAAGAGAAAAAGGAAGGAGAGAGGGAGGGAATGAAGGAAAGAAGGAAAGAAGGAAGGAAAGAAAGAAGAGAAAAAGAAGGAAGGAAGGAGGGAAGGAAGGAAGGAAAGAAGAAAGGAAGGGAAGAGGGAAGGAAGCTGTGGTTTCTGTGCACCATTAACTAACAATAGCTCCTGTGAACCAGCCTGGAAGTTCATTCACCACATACAATATAGTTTCTTTTGGAAAATGCATGTCAAACTATATATATGGTTTGTGTGTGTGTATATATATATATACACACACACACATACATATATATACGTATATATGTATATACATATAAAATTTGCATGTACTTTTCATACAAAAGAACAAGAACTATATATATACAATATATATACATTGGAATATATTTATTATAGATGTATATGGATTTTACTATATATTATTTCTTGAAAAAGTATAAGAACTCCCGAATCAGGGATTCTTTCTTGAAGAGGCTGCCTGGTCCAATATTTTTGGAAAACCATATATCATTTGCCTCTCTTCAATTATATCCTGAAAATGGACACATTATGGCCTTAAAGTCTCCTGTACTAATGGGTTTAGCAGCTGTGACGGATAACTTAGGGTTCTTTGTAATGAGTTTTAACCAAATTAACCACAAGAGTGTTGAGAATACTTCTGTTGACACAGAGCAGAAAGAAGTACTAACAGGGTATGAAGATACTTGAAAGTGTTTAAATTACCAAGACTACTTGGAGATATGAACTTGTTGGTTTTTTTCTTTATTTCACGAATTTATTCAAAACTTGTTGAGTACCAATAAGTGGGGTACAAAGAAGATGAAATTGCTTATCTTTCCTATATTAACCATACACTAATGTTATTTTGCACCTCTGGTTTTATGTTTAAGAACAAATAAGTTTTACCAGAATTTTTCTTCTGGTGTGTGTGTGTGTGTGTGTGTGTGTGTGTGTGTGGGTTTAATCTCTCATGTCCTATTTCAAAAGTTAAGGAAAACAACAGCTTGATTCAGTCTTCATACATCTTTCTTAAATAGTTAAGGGCAAAATCATCAGAGCTACATAGCCCAAATATTAGGAATTAGGTTCATGTTCGAATTCTCAGAGGGTAATTATATAGTTCGATTTTAACTTCTTCAACAGACCGACTACTACAGTTGATGAGCAAGGAGATGAAAGTATTTGATAAACATCATGGAGTTAATATGATTCTTGAGGGAGGGGAGAAGGCTGCTTGTCTTAGGTAATGCTTTTGAGGGTAGGTTTGTCCTAGCCTTGAGGTAGCAGGCTTGCTCTGTTGGCTGAAGAAGCCTTAACATGCATGCCCGTATTGCAAATTTACCCACATGCCAACTGTATGCTGTGGGAAGAAATGAATAATGTAGATGCCATTACAGGGAATTAGGCGGAACGGATAGACTTAGTGCATCAGAACCAATGAGAAGTAGACAAGACATTTAGAAAATAGCAACAGCAATGAAAACAAATATAAGTAAACCACAATCAAAACCCTTACATTTGGGTTTCTAGTTGCCTGTTACCACAGAGGGTTCTGGTTACTAGCTAAAATGTAACCCAGTAGGAAGGTCAAGACAAGGCCCCTCATGCTGTCTCAAACAGTAACAAACAGTAAGGATGACCCAGGGAGAAAGGGTAACAAGTTACATGGAAGTTAAATACCAGTTACCTGTGCAGAGACTGAAAACATAAAGCAGACACAGGAATGGCAGTAGTAGAAAGTGGGGAAAATCTGAATTTGTTGCAGCATAAAACCAACCAACCAACCCTAGTGAGGGAATCAATACCTCAAAAAAAAAATCTTCTGACAATCTAGGTTCATGGTAGAGATTAAACGGTACCATATTATGAGGACAGAACAATAAATCACACATGGCTTCCCATAGAATTTGTGTGACAGTGGTTGTGTACTATGATTCAGTCTGTCATGACAATTTCACCAGTAAAATAACCTTCCAGGATTTATTTGATATCTCAATTGATAAGCCTCCCGTAAGTGAATAACCAGAATATGACATAATTTATAAAAATTAACTTAAAATTACACAAGAAGTTATGTGTCTAGTCATTTCACAATCAAATGTATTTAGGCATTTAATCTAGTAAGATCCCAAATAATAAAAAATTGTTTCTTTCTAGACCAACATGTATCCTGATGTTATAAATACATATGTAAATTATATACATATATTTGTATATGTAAAATACACATACATTTACATATGCATACATAGCTCACTTTTTATTGGGGAGCACATCTTCCTGAAGGTTTTTCAAAGAATAATTATTCTACCTGTAATGCTGTAGCAGTATTTGTAAAAAGTTCAAATGTGGCTGGGTACAGTGGCTCATGCCTGTAATTCCAGCATTTTGAGAGGCCAAGGAAGGAGGGTTACTTGAGCCCAGGACTTTGAGACCAGTCTAGGAAACACCATCCATACGAAAAAAATTTAAAAATAAGTCAGGTGTGGTGGTGCATGTCTGTAGTCCCTGTTACTCAGGAGGCTGAGGTGTAAGGCTCACTTGAGGAGTATATCAGGAGTTTGAGGCTGCAGTGAGCTATGACCTCACTACTGCATTGCAGCCTGGGCAACAGAGTGACACTCCATCTCTTAAAAAGAATTCAAATGCCTCATTTATCTGGACAGAATTTGATTGGTGTTATTCTATTGCTGAATAATTCCAGGGTATGCATTTACCTTTTCTCTATTGACTTTAAACATAGCTTATGAAAAACAAACAAACAAAAACCAAACAGAGGAGTTTGCAAAACTATATTTAAAAGTAAACCATACTCCCTCACCCCTGACTCCACAAAAATACTGTTTAATGTAGAGAAACCACAGACGGTGCAGCCCCCAAATCTGGAGCATCCTCAGGTACCTGGGGGCATTCTGGAGTGAGGGGCTGAGCCTCAGAGGCATTTGGTCACACTTGGGTGGGGATGCCTCATTGGCTAGTGAAGAAGCAGCTGTCTCTTCCATGTAGTGGTCAGTTGTGGCCTCTCCTGGAAGGGAATTTATCCAGCAGTGTGTGTTCCTGAAGATGCTAATAGCAAATTATGTTCAGTGAAGCCAGCTGCATCCTGTTGGTCTTGCTAGTCCCGGGATTCTTGCCACAGCAGGTCAGAATGGAAGGGAGCTGCTTATCTTTCCTCCTTACTTCCTCTCCCCATCCCAGCTCTCATCTGACATCCTTCCAACACCTATATGACAGGAAAAAAATTCTCTCTTCAAATTAAGAAAAGGGTCTGGTCTGGGTACGATGGCTCATGCCTGTAATCCCAGCACTTTGGGAGGACGAGGTGGGTGGATCATATGAGGTCAGGAGTTCAAGTAGTGAAACCCCATCTCTACTAAAAATACAAAAATTAGCCAGGTGTGGTGGCACGTGCCTGTAGTCCCAGCTACTCAGGAGGCTGAGGCAGGAGAATGGCTTGAACTCAGGAGTCGGAGGTTGCAGTAAGCTGATATCACGCCACTGCACTCCAGCCTGGGCGACAGAGCAAGACTCTCTCTCAAAAAAAAAAAAAAAAGTGTTTGAGTATTTACTCTCCACATCTTTCAGCTATTTCACTTCACTGGGAGTAGACAGGACAGGATGGCTCCAGGGACAGTGCTATTGTTACCTTGTTATCCACTTCCAATTTGGAAAGGTAAAAATATGCTTCAGTGTCTACTAAATTGCCTGCATTGAATTTGAAGTACAGTTTGTTGGGATACTCATGATGAAATTGGAAAACAGAATCACAGATTGTTAGGACTTGAATGTACTTGAGCAATCATTTGTATTCCCTCATGTACACAAGGAAATTGAGTCACAGAGAGTTTCAGTGATTTATCCTCATCCTTTTTTTTTTTTTTTGAGACGGAGTTTCGCTTTCGTTACCCACGCTGGAGTGCAATGGCGCAGTCTCGGCTCACCGCAACCTCTGCCTCCCAGGTTCAAGTGTTTCTCCTGCCTCAGTCTCCCAAGTAGCTGGGATTACAGGCACACACCACCACTGCTGGCTAATTTTGTATTTTTAGTAGAGACAGGGTTTCTCCATGTTGGTCAGCTGGTCTCGAACTCCCGACCTCAGGTGATCCACCTGCCTTGGCCTCTCAAAGTGCTGGGATTACAGGCGTGAGCCACCATGCCCGGCCGTGATTTATCTCCATAATTTTAAACACTATCCCTGCAATGAAAAAGGAATACCCCCAATTTTTAACATATCTGCTTACGCCAGTTCATGACAAGCTTACAAAATTAGAAGTAATTTTAAATGGGCAAAATAAAGCAAAGTGCATTATTTAATTTTCAAAACAGACTTTTCTTTATTATGCAGCAGCGATTTAAACAGATAAATCATTTCTATGAAAGGGACTAGCAGAGAAAGCAGGAAAAGACATGTCCCACATTAAAAGCTGAACTTGTTGGTGGGAACTCATTTTGTTTTATGAGTTATGATGAATGCACCTTAGCTGTTTCTAACCCCGCTCCCATTCCCTGTTTTTATTTGTAAGTCAGAACCCAGCATTTTTACATTTTTTGAAGTGTTAATTAATTGCCTTTGTTTAATGCACCTTGCTGTGTCTCAAGCATTGTTAAGAAAGGATAAGATCTTTTTCAGGGATGATTCTTTCCTTTCCTTACAGGGCTTTGTCTGTGATGAGAACTTTCTATACACATATTTTTCTTTTTAAGAGACGGGGTCTCACTATGTTGCGCAGGCTGGTCTCGAACGCCTGGGCTCAAGGGATCCTTCGGACTGACCTCCTGAAATACTGGGATTACTGGTGCGAGCCACCGCACTTGGCTCTATCTTTCTGCAAAAACTGGTGGATTCTACTTCTCTCTCCATCTATGTTTAGTCCTGGGAGATATAATCAAGAGAAAAGAAACATCTACCTTCATTAGATTAAGAGTCAAACAAAAGGGCCTAGAGGCAAAGAGGCTCCACGACCCTCTTTTGCGGGTGAGCCTGTGCATTGAAATCCTCAGCTTCAAAGAGACACAGAAGGCAAAATAGGAAGTTGGATTTGCAGGAGTTAGTCTCTTGGAGGGTCTTGTAAAATTGAAGGGTTCACATATGCCCTGTCAACTCTCCAAGAGAGAGATGACTTGGTGAAATCTGTATTTTGTGATGATTAGTCTTTCTCAGAGGGCTGGTTCAAGGGCAAACGAAGGGCAGAATAAGGACTTGCAGATGTGTTAAGAACAGAACCCGCTGTGTTGTGCGTCAACGACAAAAGCCCACTCCACTCCTGACATTCATATTTTGGGGTAACTGTTTTTTGCAGTGCAGACCTGTGAAACCTGGAGTATTTTCAGTCACAGCTTTTATCGAGATGCTTTCTGTTGACCTGAGAATTAATTATGGTTTGTCAAACAGCTTGACGACCTTGTCAGTGGTGTTTTTTGGTTTTTACAACTCCCCATCTAAGGATTTGAGAATGCCGCAGTGGATAAAACTGTGTGACTGACGTTCATTATTTTTTTCCACAATGCTTTAAAGTAAGTGCGCTGGGAATGCTCCATTTATTATGTAGAGGAGAGACATTTCCAAACTTTAACTTTGTTGCTGTTGCTTTTGTACACTGAGGCATTGATTCTGCAGGATTAAAAGAAGGTGCTGATTATTCCATTTGGTGGAAAGTTTCAGGAGTGGAAGCCAGCAGAATTGTTCCACTGAGATGATAATTCTGACTCTTTGATTCTTACACATTGACTACTTTTACAAAATACAAACCTGTTTTAATCTTTTTAAAGGACATTTGTGCGCTACTGTTTTCATTTTTTAAAATAACCTTTTAAAAATTTTAGGATAGTTTCAGGTTTGCTGAAAGGTTGCAAAGATAGTACAGAGAGTTACTCTTTAACTCCACACGCATATCGCATCTTACGTGACCATCTGTTACACTTAAGGAACCAACATTAGTACGTTACTAAGAACTGACATCACAATTTGTTTGGATTTCACTGGTGTCCACCTAATGTCCTTTTTCTCTTCTGAGGTACCATCTGAAATACCACACTGCATGGATTTGCCCTATTTTCTTAGCCTCATCTAGTCTGTGACAGTTTCTCAGTTTTTCCTTGTTTTTCATGACCTTAATAGTTTTGAGGTATTAATGTCATGGAGAATGTCCACCAACTAGAGCCAGTCTGATGTTTTAGACAGGGGTATGTGTTTGGGGGAGGAAATCCACAGAGATGAAGGTTTCCTTCATCTCACCCTAGCAACGGTGACTACTGTCCAGAAGACTTTTGCTGCTGGTGTTGGCTTTGATCACCTGGCTGACAGAGAGTTTGTCACTTTTCTCTGCTGTAAAGTTGTACTCTCCCCTCCCTGCCCAAGTCTAGTCTTTGAAACCAAGTCCCTAAAGTGGGGTGGGGGTGGGAGAAGAGGCAGAATTAAGCTCCACTTTCCGGATGGTGGAATATCGATAAATTATTTGGAATTCTTCTCTAAGAAAGATGGGTCTCTCCCCTTTATTTACTTAATCAATCATTTATATCAGTATGGACACATGGATATTTTAGATATGCTTTGGGCTACATTGCTGTGACTTATTCCACTTTATATTCCTTGTGGCCATGATGTAGACACCAGAGAGTCTATTCACTTGAATAGCAAGTAAATGAGGGGACTCAATGGTAAATGACTCTTAGAGAAACTCTCAGCCCTGCTGGTTCATGGATGCTCAGCTTGCAAAAACACCTTCTTCCATCAGGAAACCTCAGTGGATGGGCAAACATTACAGCGTCCTTGAATATGCTTCATTGCTTTAATCTACGAACTTCCTATGCAGTAAGCAAAACCACCCATACCACAGCTTAAGAGTGGGGCTTTCCTCCCAACACTCATCCTAGTGTCTTTTGATAAAGAGGTATAAAGTTGAAGGAACATGTTACTAACCAGAAGACTTCCAGAGGACCCCATTGATCAGGGTAGATGAATGGCTGTGTGCGTCTTGTCACAACCATCAGTATTTCAAAAGGTGATATCATCCTCTTAACCTTATGATGTGTTTTAACATAAAATTTTAATATGCATACAGGCGGTTATTACTTAAGCATTGCTTAAGAAGCAGTCTTTTTTTTTTAATTCATGTAACTGGATCTATTCTCTGAATAAGGAATATAAGCAAATCGTAGCCATTTCAAGGACTCTTTTTTTTTTTTTTTAAATGGAGTCTTGCTCTGTCGCCCAGGCTGGAGTGCAGTGGCGCGACCTTGGCTCACTGCAACCTCCACCTCCTGGTTCAAGCCATTCTCCTGTCTCAGCCTCCCAAGTAGCTGGGATTACAGGTGCCCACGAGCACACCAGGCTGATTTTTGTGTTTTTAGTAGAGATGGTGTTTCACCATGTTAGCCAGGCTGGTCTCGAACTCCTGACCTCAGATGAGCCGCCCACCTCAACCTCCTGACGTGCTGGGATTACAGACATGAGCCACTGTGCCCAGCCTCAAGGAGGCTTTTAAGGGCAGGATGTTTTTTTTTCTTATGGTGAAGGAATGAAGAGTAGTATGGGAAAGAAATACAGAAACTTTGAAAAAAGAAATGTAAAACTGGATCATCATTCCATAGGCTAGTAGTTAATAGTAAATAACTGTATAGTTTGTTCAAGGGATTTTGTGAATATTTTAAACACAGATGATAATTCTCTATCTACATCTACGTGTTTACCTGCATTTATATCATATGTACGTATGGACATATATATTTGCCTGTAGATCACATCTTTGTATGGTATCTGTACCAATATTAGAGTCTATAGCTACAGCATATCAATAACAGTATCTATTCTTATCTATATCTTAATCATATCTATTTTTGTATCTGTACACATATCTTTACCGATATTCACATTATATTTCTATGTCTAGATCTATATATATCTCTATCTATACCATTTTGAACTTTACATTTCCTACAGTATGATAGCATAAGCTATTTTAGGATTATTAAAAATCTTCATAAGCATTGTTTTTCATGGTTAATTTTCTCAAAAGACTATGCTTTAACATACCCAGTTCTTTATATATTTTTTGACATTTGGCTTATTTTAATGTTTTTGCTCCTCTAATGTATTTTTCTTTTTTTACTCCACACCCCTCCCGCCTCTAATTTTCAAATTGGGCATTCTTCATTATAGGGGCATTGCTTATTTTCTTTTGTATGTTTCAAAAAACATTCTGCATTGGTCTGTACACATTTTTCCCTCTTGTATCCCTTCTGTAAACATTTGTATTCACTTGAAACCTTATGGAATATTTTACTACAGAAAATTTCTGGTTATGATAAAAAAAGGCAGAGAAGATAGAATAAAGGATCCCATGTGCCCATCAGTTGGCTTCAGCAATTATGAATGGATAGCCTAATCTTTAGTATCTAACTTCATTCATATTTCCATTCTTATTATGGCATGATGTAATTCATTTAAAGATATGTCTGTACGTTGCTCTAAAATATAGGAACCATTTTATTTTACACAGCTGCAGAATCTTTTCCATGCCTAAAATTATCAACAGTAGTTCCTCTGTATCATCCACTATAAAGTTGTAACTGTCAAAATGATCTTCTCGTAGTTTTGTAACTCACGCAAGGTCAAGGTCTAGCACTGCAATAGGTTGATTTGTCTTTTACATTTCTTTTAATTGATATAGCTTCCCTATCTTTTTATGCACATTCTTGTTGAAAAAACTGCTCTTTTTACTCTACATGAAAGTGGGTTTTAGAATTGGAAAATGTAGTTGTCAAGTTATTTTAGAAGGAACGTGTGTATTTTCCGTAATGCACAGTCTTAAGTTACTAACTCCTTAGGAGCAAACGCTGTGTGACTTGGTAGTGTTCTACCCAGAAGGAATGCTGCTGGGTAAATTTGGCCAGCTACGTGACAGCTCTTTGGACTCAGTATATCTCAGTTTTATCTATTTTTAACAAGGTTTTATTTTGAAGACAGGGTCTCGCTCTGTCGCCCATGCTGGAGTGCAGTGATGCAATCATAGCTCGATGCGGTCTTGAACTTCTGGGCTCAAGCAATCTTCCCACCTCAGCCTCATATTATCTAGTACCTGGCAGAGATACAGATCTGATGAGAAGCAAAGATAGAGGGGTGTCAGAAGGTAGCTTTTGTTGCACCATTACATACATACACACACACACACACACACACACACACACACAAACGGGCGCACACGCACGCACAAAGAATCAACTGCAATTTTTTCCTCTTTGCCAACCCACAGTTAAGTAAAATTATTAGTTCTATTGAACTCCACATTGCATGTGATATTTTGAATGATAGAGGCTAAAGAGAGGCCAAAGAGGGAGGATTGCTTGAGGCCAGGAGTTCAAGACGAGCTTCGACAACATAATGAGACCGCGTTTCTACAGAAAAAAAGAAAAAAAATAGCCAGATGTGATGGCTCGCTCCTGTAATCCCAGCTACTGGAGAGGCTGAGACAGGAGGATGGCTTGAGCCGAGGAGTTGGAGGCTGCAGTGAACTCTGATAGTGCCACTGCACTCCAGCCTGGGTGACAGAGAGATTCTGTCTCTAAAAAACAGGAAAAATATGACTAAAGAAAACCAAACTAATCTAATCTATACAGTTATAGATAGTTGGCTATCATTCTTATGCTAATGTAAGTATGCCTCATTTTAAGAAGAGTTGTGTGTGTGTATGTGTGTGTATCTGTGAGTGTGTGTGTATGCATGATATAAATCCAGACTTCTAAGCGAGTATCAGGGATGGTGAACTATTATTAGTAGATCATTGGAACCTGTTACACAAGGATGCACTAGAGAATTTTACAAACTATTAAATTCTGTATAATTTAAAATGTGACTTGATTTACTCAGATATTTTAAAAGGATGCATGTCTCTTACAAAACAAGATTTACTAACTTTGGTGCTCTTGACGTTGAGGCTGGATAATTCTTTGTTGTGGTGGCTGTCCTGTGCCTTGCGTGATGCTGAATGGTATTGCTGGACTCAAGCTTCTAGGTGCCCGTTGTATACACGTTCCTGTTTTAAAAAAAACTTATATAAATTTAACGGGCACAAGTGCTGTTTTGTTACATGGATATATTGCATAGTGATGAAATCTGGGTTTTTAGTGTAACCACCACCCAAATAACATACATTGTATCCATTAAGTAATTTCTCATTCCTCATCATCCTACCACCCTCCCACCTTTTTGATTCTCCAGGGTCTATTATTCCACTCTCTGTGTCCATGTGTACACATTATTTAGCTCCCACTTAGGAGTGAGGACATGTGGTTTTTGACTTTCTGTTTCCGAGTTGTTTCACTTAAGGTAATGGCCTCCAGTTCCATCCATGCTCCTGCAAAAGAGATAGTTTCGTTCTTTTTATGGCTGAATAATATTTCGTTATTCATATATACCACATTTTCTTTATTCATTTATCCATTGATGGATGCCTAGCTGGATTCCATATCTTTGCTATTGTGAATAGTGCGGTATTAAACGTATGCGTGCAGGTATCCTTTTGACATAGCGATTTCTTTTTATTTGCGTAGATACCCAGTAGTGGGATTGCTAGATAAGATGGTAGTTCTATTTTTAGTTCTTTGAGGACTCTCCATACTGTTTTCCATAGAACTTATACTAATTTACATTCCCATCAACAGTGTATGTGGATTCCCTTCTCTCTGCATCCTCATCAACCTCTGTTATGTTTTGAGTTTGACATCCACAATGTCTGCAGACAGTCTCAGATATCCCCTTGGGAGTAAAATCCATCCCAGTTAAAAAGCTCTGTTATGAAATGAGGTGTACTTATTCCAAGTTTTACATGGGGAATTTCACTGGTTTTTGGGTTCTAGTAGCCCCGACGTGTATACTGGGCATGACCAGATAAGATAAACTGGGCAAAGAGTGCAATGAGAGATAGTAACCACATTATTTTGGAAGATGTTTTTCATAACCAGAATAGACTTTATGAATTCTATCAATTGTAATGAGAATCGGATTGACATTTGGGGACAGTTAATATAACGCACGTTATCCGAAAGGAGGTGGCATTGATTTATATAAGTGAGAGCTTACGAGAAAACAAAGACTGGAAATAAAGAAAAAGAAAATCCTTGATAAGTATCTGATAGAACAAAGTGCAGAACGAAATGCAGCTAGCTTATCTAAAATTGGGCAAAATCATGTTCCAAATGAAAGCTCAGTAGATGGGAAGAGAGTATTTGAACATTTGATGTGAAAAATGAGATTTACTGTTCCACAGATATGAACACATTGATGAGAGCTGTCAGTTATTAGAACTTATTAACATCAATGGGAACACCAGAAATGTGCTGCACAGAAAATTAAATTTAAGACTGTTTGAAAATGGTGTTATATTTTCTGAACTGTTACATTGATTGATTAAAATTAGATTATCCAACAAAATAAGAACTTTTGATATTCTGTGAGTGAATATGAGATGAATTTATGTGGCAGATGTGTTTTTAAAAGATGTATTATTAACCGCAGAGATTCAGAATTAATGTCGCCAACCCCAAAGAATGCAGTATAACATTTGTCATAAGTGACCTCATAATAGGTTATTTTATAATATCGTTTTTAATTTTGATAATAAATGGACACCTTTTACATCTTTAATAATAAAAGGATATATGCAAAACCAGTTATTTTTATTCCAATGTTAATAAAATAGCAATAAGCCTCATTTCATTTGAAGCACCAACTTTCACTCCATATCAAATTTCTAAAAGTCTGGGAGATACTCACCAACTAGTCAAGAAGATTTTCATTCTATAAAATTGTATAATGCAGTGAATCCTGTTCTTTTCCCATATGCATTTATTTAATATTTATATTTGATACAAGGAATCTATATTATTTTCATTAAGCCACTCATAAACGTAAGTGTTTTACTTCTTCTTGGGTACATTTTTAAAAATTTGGTTACATTTTTGAGATGTTGATGCCATGGTTAAAATATTCCAACTAAGTAATGGGATGGGTTTACAATAAGTTTTTGCTCTACAAGGAAATAGGTCAATAAATCAGGCTCCAGCCAATTATAGGAGAAAAGGAAAAGTTAACTTATTATACATTATTGCACACAGTGTTTGATGTATGTATGCAAATTGCTCCCAAATACAGTTTGGTTGCAGTTGTGCTCCACATTTATGGTGGATGCAGTTTTGAATATGTGCAGAGAGAATATATTCTGACCTCATTCATCAATGTGATGCAAATGTGTAGAAATGGCAAGGTCATTTTTGTATGATGATAAAATGCCTGTTTGAAAGTAAACTCATCCACCCATCCATCCAAAGGTTGCATTTTCTCAATTCCCAATTCTAAATATGTCTGTGTGTGTGTGTGTGTATGTGTGTGTGAGAGAGAGAGAGAGAGAATCTAGTGCAATTTTATTGTTCTACTTTGTTCCAGGCTTGACATTTTAGTGATTGAAACTAAAATACCTTGATTCTTACCCTCTAATTTTACAAATAAAATCTGGTTTACTGTTATGGATTGAACTGTGTTACAGATTGAATTGTGTTCCCCAAAAAGATATATTGAAATCCTAATGCCCAGCACCTCAGAATGTGATCTTATTTTGAAATAAGGTCTTTGCAGATGTAATTACAATGAGGTGATTAAGGTGGCCCTTATTCCGTACAACTGGTGTCGTAACCACCATGTGAAGACACAGACACTCACAGGGTGAAGACGGCCATCTGATGATGGAAGGTTGGCATGATGCAGCTACAAAAAGGGAATGCCAAGGATTACTGGCAACTCCCTGAATTTAGAAGAGACAGGAAAGTATCCTCACCAAGAACCCTCAGAGGGAGCATGGCCAACATCATGATTTTGGACTTCTAGACTTCAGAACTTTGAGAGAGTATATTCCTGTTTCCTGAGACATAAGCCTTGTGATTCTTTTTGATAGTAACTCTAGGAAACTCATACACCAAGACACAGAGTTATTTATTTAAATTCATTTTTTTTCATTTAAAAATACTTATTTGACAAAGACTGTAATATGGAAAGTGTCCAGTGTGATGACTGGATGTACGTATACATTGTGTAACAATGATCACAATCAAATTAATGAACATATCACTCATAGCCCATGTGGTACATAATGGATGGACCTGAAGTTATGCAGCCAGCTTGGGGCAGAGCTGGGTTTGAAGGGCAGACTCCTCACCCAGCCACACTTGTCTTCCAGAATCACTTTCACATCGTCATGAGGATTTTAGAGACTCCACTGCTCCATGTCACTGCATCAACACATTGTGGAGTGGGGGGTCTCATAATTCATTGCAGGTGTCTGAAGATCAACAGTTGGGTTTCCCTTCCCTCAACTGTAAAATGAGTGAGTTGGACCTGTCTCCAGGGCCTTTCTAAGCTATATGATTTGAGAACAATGATCATTGTAATTAAGACGCTTGACTTGAATACTGCTCATTTTAAACCATGATTAGGGATATGAGATGCTCCGTGTGTTTTCTAAATAAACTTCATTGTGACCTGGTTAAGTGTTGGATATGAATTGGCAAGAGGAGGCTTGCTAGTAGAAATGGTGTAATTTAAAACCCATTCACAAGTATTTACACACTGCAAGACATCTAGATCCTCAGAAGTCAGGTAGTATCCTAAAAGCACAGTGTGTAATTTATGGTAGATAATTGAAATTGCACTGAAATTGAACTTGGTGGTGGGGAGTACACTTCATAGTATTCAATTTTTGCCTTCACTTTATTCTATGTCTGACTCTCAGGAAATAGGAACTGCAACGTTGGGTTTCTCCAGTGTATTTTCAACTTCAAACTTGTGAATTGTAAACCATTAAACAAATGATCAAACACTACATCTTTCCCTGCTCTTGTATGGACATAGAGTTTTGTTATTCATGCCTTCTCTTTTCTTATCTGGGAAGAGATCTTTCTTAACCTTTAGAAATTGGATTAATGCGACCCTCTTTAACCTCACATTTGATGTGAATGTCAGAACTTTTTGAAACTTAGCTGTGCTTTTAGTACACTGATCACTGAGTGCCCGTTGACTGGCAGGCACTGGGCTGCTCAGTGAGGTAGGTGAAGAAGAGACACCAGCTCCCTCCTGGAGTGTGTGCTCTGCTGGAGGATAAAGACACTTATCAAGCAATAGCATAAATGCTTCTGACACCATGACTCTAATCAGAGTGGCACAGCCAATGGGCATGGGGCTAGGAGAATATGAGAATTCGTAGGTATGGGGATGCTGTCAGGGTTCATGAAAGGTCTTCCCAATGATGAGAAAACTGCAAGTTGGGAGGAGGTAGAAATAACTGAAAGAAATGGTTGTAGAGATGAATACATTGGGGGATGATCGTGTTGCAGGGTGACATCTTTTAGTGATAAAAGGGATAGAGTTTGAGCTCCTGCTGCAGACCCTCAGCGATGTGTTGTAATGGTAAGAATTGGCTCATGGTTTCCTGGTTTGCCTGATTGCTGCATCCACAAAACCATGGGTTCTGGGGTTAATTCCCATCCATTTTGTTGCTGAATTTCTCAGAATGATAGTCTTCGGTACATTGTTACTGAAAGGAGGTGCTAAACCCAATGTCTTCATTGCTTTTGAAGCAGATGGTCCAGTGTAGTGTTTCTCAAACATAAGCATCAGAGTGTCCTAGAGGTCTTGTTAAAGGCAAATTGCTGGGATCCATCCCAGGAGTTTCTGAGTCAGCAGATCTGAGATGGGACCCATAATTCCCCAGTTGAAGTTGCCGTTACTGGTCTTGGGATCACTCTTTTAGAACTACTGCCTTAGGGTATTTCTGGGTTACATGTGCACACATGACCTGCTTAAGTTTTGAGCTCAACATTCTGTTTTATTCCTTCCTGTTCAGAGGCCGGCATCCACAGCTCTGGGTCTCATCATTTGCTTTTTGTCATCCAGTTGTGCTCTACTGATTTATAAGTTATCTTTATGTTTTCAGTTTCCCAGTCAATTCAAGCCAATGCATATTTATTGGGCATCTACCATGTGCTATGGACTGTGAGGGACTTAAAGATTAATAACAACAACCATAAAAACTCATTGACGTGCTGGGCATTATTTATTTCCCCATGGCCCCCAAATGCTAGGCTTATCATTCAAAACACTACAGCAACTTGAAGGCAGCAGATTGTTTCTCATTTCAGGGATCCACAGGTATATGGCTTCTCAAACGAAGGTCTGGTAATTCCAGGCTGCATGCAGCTATTCTTCCTTTAAAGACTGAGAAACCATGCATACAACATCTTTTCTTCCTTCTTCGTTTATACATTTGATAACTATGTACTGACATCTTACTTTGAGAAGGTCACCATGCCAGATACCGTCAGTGATAGAAACACAGATAAGATTCAACCTCTGATCCCAGGGAGACTCTCAGTAAGGAAGAGAAAATGAGAAATGAAAGTACCTATACTACAAGGCATGCACGTCACACATTCCATAAGTGGGTAAAAACACAGACCTTGGCAGCACAGAATCTTGTTTTCCATTTGTGTCATTTAGGACACTGCATTGGTTATCTATTGCTGCATAAAAAATTCTTCTAAACCTTAGGTTAAAACTGCAAACATTTATCATCTCATGCATTTCTATACATCAGGGATTTAGGAGCAGTGTAGCTGGCCAGTTCTAGCTCAGGGTCCGTCATGATGTTGTGGTCAAGTTGTAGACAGGGCTTGCAGTTTTATGACGGTGTTGGAGAATCTCACTTATGTGTCACTTGGCAGGAGGCTTCAGTTCTTGGCCACATGGGCTTCTCCCTAGGGCTAGACGTGTGACATTAACAGCTGGCTTTTCTGAAAGTGAGGAGAGAAAGAGGGAGGCTGAAAGAGAGTCTAAGGTGAAAGCCACACACTCTTAGAACTTGATCTTGGAGGTGACACCTTGTCACTTTTGCACTTGATTTGGAGGTGACACCTTGTCACTTTTGCTACATGCTATTGGTTGTTCAAATCAAATCTGGCACCATGTGGATGAGGATTCCAGGAAGGTGTTAATTGCAGGTGTCAGTTGGCCATCTCAGAAGCTAGACTATCACCAGAAGCTCTTCCAAAGGAGGTGGCTTATGAGCTGCATAGAATTTTGTCATAAGGACAAAGGAGAAAGTGTGAACAAACACATAGGTACAGCAAGTGTTGAGGAATGGGCTGTGTTGTGTTGAGTGTTGTCTCAAGGGCATGTTGAGTTTGGGTGATGAAATTGAAATCAGATCATTTCAGGTGGTGCAACTTGATGGTAAGCCATATAGATGTTATTCTGTAGGCAATGGGGCAATCATATTAGGACTTTTGCAGAATTATTTAAGGAATAGCAGTTTCATGATAGTAGAGGTAGGGATAGAAGACAGAAGGTCAGTAATGCAAGTTGAGATCTAGTTATAGATTCAACTGTGGTAGAGATTGAGGAAATGGGGATGGCATGAGGCTCTGCAGAGGCATTGGAAGGATGATACTGATAGAATCTTGCAAACTATTGGATAGAGGCCAAGACAATGAATAACCATCCAAGGTTGCAGTTATGGGTGGAGTTGTCCAGTTAAGAAAAGGGAGAGAGTTCAGAGGTAGGTGAAGGTCAGCATTATTAGATGCTTTGGAGACACATGAGACTGACAGAGATGTTTACTATTTTTTTTGGTGATTATAAGGTAATCAATAGACTTTGAGAGATTACTGTTTTTCAGTCTTCCATATTATGTTGCTTGGATGCATTTTTCTTTTTTCCTGAAACTTGGCAGACATATCCATTATCAAGACGTTTTCAGAGGGGCATGGTGGCTCATGCCTGTAAATCCAGCACTTTGGGAGGCTGAAGCAGGATTGCTTGAGCTCAGGAGTTGGAGACCAGCCGGGGCAACATGGTGAAACTCCATCTCTACACAAAGTACAAAAATTAGTCAGGCATGGCAGCATATGCCTGTAGTCCTACCTACTCGGGAGGCTGAGGTTGGAGGATTGCTTGAGCCTGGGAGGCGGAGGCTGCAGTGAGCCCAGATCACACTACTGCACTCCATCTTGGGTGACACAGTGAGACCCTGTCTCAAAAAAAAAAAAAAAAAGAAAATGAAAAGACCTTTTCAACCATTCTAATCATAATTCCAAGACCTATTTGTGTCCTGACTTCAAGAGCAGGTACTCTTATTGAGAAACATTTCTGTAATTGTTCCCACTTCCCTTATACCTTTTTTTCTGACAGCAGGTGGCATCCCCTCAGTTGTCTAGCTGACCACTGGAAGGGCTGACCCCTCAACAAACCCATATCCTGCTTGGAGTTTCTCTATAGGCCCTGTCTTATTTATTGCTCCTGCTTTGAGTAACTTTCTCCTTCCTCAAATCTATTCTTCTAATTTTCCTTCACTGCCTATTAATTGAACTGACTTTTCTGATTGTCTGTTCCTCCTGCCTTTGCAGTTACTGTCGCTCCCTAAATTCCATCCTCGAATCACTCCTCTTCCTTCCGTACTGTCCTATGTAGCTTTGCATCTACTCATGGTTTGATGATTATTTCCATCGGAGAGACCACAGGGGTCTCTATCTTCTGCTCTCACTTCTCTTCCAAGTTCCTTCCTGCCCTTACAGCTCCCCTTTCAACAACATTGCCTATATGCTCTGGCCAAAACTCAATTCAGTGTTCCCAAAATTGTCCCATCATCTTTCTTGCCAAGCTTACCCTGCTCCCTGCTCATGGCATCTTCTCCTCTCAATTCCTCATCTTGGATTTGAATCCCCTCTCTTTCCCATCCCCAGTGTAAATCACTTTCAGAAATAACAGGTCCTGTCATTTCTTCTTCTGAGATACATCTGTACTTTCCTTGGTCATCTTCTCACTTTATGTGTTACTATTTTAATCATATCCTGTCTATGACTTGTACACTCTCCAATCTATTTTTAAAGCTATTCTTTCTTCATCTTCACAAATAATTGATTATGTAAGACTACTATCTCGTTCAAAATTCATAAACAAGCATCCACTGTGCTTCACCACCTGCCCCATCTCCGCCGTTACAACTGCAGTCATCATTTTACTCCTCTGGGTGTTATACTTCATCCTCCACCCAACCTGAGTATGGATAGGAATCACTGCATTTCACCTTGGTTTCTTGCTTTTTCTCATTCTTCTCAGGCTCTCTTTCAACCTGGAATACTGTTATTTTCCCATCTCCACACCTTATTCATGACTGAGGGCTAAAATGCTGTTTCTTTCACTGCTCTCTCTAACATGCATTGTTTGTATTCCTCTGTGGTAGTCATCAATTTCCATTACAGAGGCCAGGAGACCTGATACTTTCTTGAGTGTGAATTTCAGTAGTTGACGTCTTGTGTCTCAGTTTCCTCAGCTGTTGAGGGCTGTGAGAAGAGTACCTACCTCGAGGGATGTTTGCAAAATAAATAAGTTAAGGTCAGGCACTGTGGCTCATGCCTGTAATCCAAGCACTTTGGGAGGCTGAGGCAGGAGGACTGCTTGATCCCAGGAGTTCGAGACCAGCCTGGGCAACATAGGGAGACCCTGTCTGTACAAAGAATAATAATAATAATAATAAAAATTAGGCAGGTATGATGGCACATGCCTGTGATCCCAGCTACTTGGGAAGCTGAGACAGGAGGATTGCTTGAGCCTGGGTATTCAAGGTTATAATGAGCTAGGATTGCACCATTGCACTCCAGCGTGTGTGACAGAGCAAGATCTTGTAAAAAAAAAAAAAAAAAAAAGAAAAGGAAAGGAATAAATTAAGCATATAAAGCACTTTAAAACAGGTATTTAGAAAGTGTTGAAGGCGGCCTTGACATTACTTATCTTTGGCCCATCCTTGTCTTTCTCCTTCGTAGTCTAAAATGTTTTACAAAGGACTGTTTCTCATGACACTGAGAATGAACCCCAAATTCCTTTCACTGACCTATTCCACTTTTATACAGTAAGCCTCTTGCTCACTTCTCCACCTTCATCCCAGGCCATCCTCTTCTCACTGAACTGCTGTCCCAGTCCTCTTTTGGTTTTGTGATCTGAGTGGATACCGTGTTAGGACATTTTTGTGTGCCACTCCCTCTGCCCAGAGCACCCTGTCCTGTTCCCATTTAAAGTGGGTTCCACCCTCGATTGTGTTCTTATTTAACCCATTATTTACTTTCTTCTCTGAGCTCACCTGATCTCAAAGGCTTTTTTATTCTTTGTCTACTTATGGATATGTGTGGAGGATCTGGGGGGTTAGTGAATTTTTCTCTGCATTCTCTAAACATGTGTATTGCATGAATCTGGAATAGATCAGCCCTTACTGGGTATTTATTAAAGAAATGAGTAGTTGTAAGACACTCTATAGATATTCATTTAATGAATGAGAAAATCAAATGTTGCCTGGTAAAAACAAGTGTTAAGTCAGCTATCACAGTTTTCTGAGATATGCAGCCAAGCCAGGGAGACTGAGGGAAGGATGTCTTTCATTGTAAAATCAACGCACTGTAGGGGAAAGTTCCTCTCTCACCTAAGGGAATATCGATCTTCCTTGATTGTTTGCTTTGGTATTTCTAAATTAGCATGATTTACCAAAAATGTTTGGATCACTCAGTACATGCATGTGATTTTTTCTAAATGGCTATCTTTAAAAAAACTTCCTCATCTGTATTAATGTCCCTAGAGTTTTTACATTTTTTGCCTGTATTTCATTAAAGATGATGTCATAGAAAATTTTTGTCAAATTTCTCATTCTGGTCCGTGCCTGGAAGATTGACAGTGATGCAGTCTAAGAAAGTTCAGGATTTTGAGGTTTAATCATTTACATTCTAACACTAAAGCTACAAATCTGCCGTGCAGTGTTGCTTACTTCTACTGCTCACTGGATGGATGAGTCTATGTGCTTTTTAAATTCCTTATAAAGATGTGGGTCAAAACTAGCAGTGTGGTCAATAAATTAATTTCTTGAGAGTTTATCAGAATTGTGGGATGATTTGGGAGGAGCAAAATTGTGTAAAATCAATCCTCTATTTTTAAACTTATTCTTCTAAAATTCTAAATAGAATTTTTTTATTCATTAATATTTTCTTGATTTCATAATGCTAAAAATTAAGTAAGATGAATGTTGTGTTGAGAAATGGGAGCAAATCCAAGACCAAAAATCAGATGATTTATTAAATTTGCAAGTTAAAAAAATAAATACAGTTTGAAAGATTGCTCTGTTTGAGGAAAGGACATACAATTTTGTTGAGATAACTTAGGGTACAAATCAAGGTCATTTATGTTCATTTGAACATTCATATTCACATCCGGAAATATCCAGAATGACTACACTAAAACCTGCAGGTAAATTCTTTTCTCAGCTGAGCATACCATATTGTTGTAGTTAATCAAGAAATCTACCAAAATTAAATTTGTCCTCCTACTTTTTAGTTTAGAAATTTAGGGGGTCACTGGGACTCAAAAGAAAATTCAATAAATAATGGACCATCCTAGAGATACTTCTTTTTAACTTAAAAATCCCTCTGAGATATCCTCAGGTTTTAAAAATACCTTTGTATTTTCCTGTTTTTGTGTGTGTTTGTGTAGGCCTACATCTTCATATTAGTCATCAGTGTTGTCAGAACCTTGGCTAGAATCATAGTCTAGACCTCTTGAGGTCACTGGGTGGTTGGCTACATTTTCCACCTCTTGCTTTTCATGGGTCCCACTCTGAGAAACATGCTCCTTCTCTCTCTCTCCTCTTTCAAGGTCATCTTTGAGGACATCTTCTGAAGCTTTTTCTGAGATGCTGCCTCTTCTGAGCACGACACTGTCTATTCTTGTATCACCAGTATAGGAGCTCATGCAATTTGTAAGCACTTGCCTTAATGATGCGCTCCCTGAAAGACCCTGAGGAGAGGGATCAGGTGGCGTTCATCTTTAGGATCCCTTCCCTGTCCTCACAGCACATTCATGGTCCACGTTCAGCAAACACTTGTACAATGACATGACTTAGGGTTTCTAGACAATCTGTATTGTAATTTCTGTTGATATAAAGGGATAACATTAGCATCATATGAAAAGTCAGAGTTCTATCAATGTCATCTTGATGAAAATATTTATATCGTTATATCTTATGTCCTAGGTGTCTTCTTGACTGACTACCCAGGGCGAGTTGGAATGGCTATGTGCATCTCTCTGAACCCCCAAATCTTTAGTTGTAATGATGAACTTACATGGAGAGGCTTATTCGAAACGTCATTATAGTGTGGATGATAACCTTCTTAGTTTCCACAGCTGATATTCCTCCAAAGTTTTGTATGCTTTGACTAATGTATTCTCTTTATGCTAAGCTTTCTTTAAAATGATATGAATGTTCCATAAATGCTGATTTTTTTTGTTTTTTGAGACAGGGCTTCACTCTGTCACCCAGGGTGGAGTGCAGTGGCGTAACTACAGCTCACTGCAGCCTCTGCTCCTGGGCTCAAGCAATCCTCCCACCTCAGCCTGTGGAGTAGCTGGGACTACAGGCGTGCACCACCAAACCTCGCTAATTTTTGTATTTTTTTGTAGAGACAGAGTTTCGCCATGTTGCCCAGGCTGGTCTCAAATTCCTGAGCTGAAGCAATCCTCCCTCCTCAGCCTCCCGAAGTGCTGGGATTACAGGCATGAGCCACCACGCCCGGCCCCATAACTGTTAGTTTAATTAGCACCTTTCTGCTTTAGTTCATGTTGACTATTGAAAATCTATCATCCTGTATAATTAATGTTTTTAAAAGATACTTTTAGATAGTGATCAAAAACTTATTTATTAAGTAGAATGTAAATTATTACAAATGATATGAATACCATAGGATAAAGTTTTTATATGACAACTTAGATTATAAAATGCAATTCTAGCCAGGCACATTGGCTCATGCCTGTAATCCCAGCACTTTGGGAGGCCCAGCAGGCACCAACCGCTTGCTTCCAGGAGTTCGAGAGCAACCAGGGCAACATAGTGAGACTCCGTCTCTATAAAAAATACAAAAAAAAAAAAAAATAGCTGAGCATGGTGGTGCATGCCTGTAGTCCCAGCTATTCAGGAGACTGAGGTGAGAGGATTGCTTGAGCCTGGGAGGTTGAGGCTGCAGTGATCCAAGGTTGCACCGTTGCACTCCAGTCTAGGCAACAGATAAATATGAGTACAAATGGCTGATCATCTTCATATTAATATGAAATTGCATTTTTTGATACAGGATCTCGTTCTGTCTTGTGGCCTTCTGTAATAGGTTATCTTGTCCAAATTCTGGAATAAAGTCCAGAAGAATTTTAATCTAGATAATTTATTCTTTAACCTTTGAAATATTGTATCAGCTACATGACAATGGCTTATAACTAGCTCTAAATAAATGAAATAACGTTTGCGAGAGTGAATCACATCACTGAGAACCAAGGGGAAACATGAAATAGTGATTATTTGAACAGAGAGTGTTAGTGGTCTGCATTCTGCCTTGCACCCAAATGGCATCACCTATGGGTGTGATAAAAAGCCCCTGCCTTTCTCTCCCTCCTCAGTGCTTGGGATTTCCAACAACAGCAAAAGAGAAGCCAGGAAGAATGCTGTGTTGTGAGTACCCCCAGGAAGGGTTTTCCTTTATGAAGAGGCAGACCTAGTTAGGAAATACATAACCATGGACTGCAGGAAAGACAGTTGAGTCTGCATGGAGGATAGAGACCAGGGACCCCATAAAAGGAGAGGTGGTGACCGAGGCCTGCAGGATGCATGGAAACATTCCTGACCTCAAGGGCAGCAACTGTGAACACACTCCTACTAGGCAGAACTAGAATGGATGAACAGAGTTCTTTTCAGGGAGACTCACCAGGTAGATGACTACACATGAGACACTTTTTTTTTTTTTTTTTTTTTTTTTTTTTTGAGACAGAGTCTCGCTCTGTCGCCCAGGCTGGAGTGCAGTGGCGCCATCTCGGCTCACTGCAAGCTCCGCCTCCCGGGTTCACGCCATTCTCCTGCCTCAGCCTCCTGAGTAGCTGAGACTACAGGCGCCCGCCACCACGCCCGGCTAATTGTTTTGTATTTTTAGTAGAGACAGGGTTAAACCGTGTTAGCCAGGACGGTCTTGATCTCCTGACCTCGTGATCCGCCCACCTCGGCCTCCCGAGTAGCTGGGATTACAGGCGTGAGCCACCGAAACACTTTCAGTGGGAATATTTTGTTCCATCAGATTTTAGCAATATCGGATTTGAAAATAGGGGAAGCACACACAGATACAATTAGTTTCACCATCTCACTTGTGTATTTAAACAAACCTGTAAACAAAGCTAAGCGAACCAAGAAACAAACAAAACCTCAAACCTAATACAGTAATAATAGGCTGGGGGTGGTGGCTCATGACTATTATTAATCTCAGCACTTTGGTAGGCTAATACAGAAGAATTGCTTGAGCCCAGAGTTCGAGACCAGCCTGGGCAAAATAGTGAGATCCTATCTCTATAAAGATTATTTAAAAAATTAGCCAGGTTTCGAGGCATCCACCTGTAGTCCCAGGTACTTGGGAGGCTGAGAGGCAGGGGGATCACCTGAGCCTAGGAATTTGAGATTACAGCCAGCTGTGATCGTGCCATTGAATTCCAGCCTGGGTAAAAGAGTGAGGTCTGTCTCCAAAGTTAATAAATAAGTAAAATAATAATAATAATTTTTACCGTATCACAAAAAATATAGCCAGTCAGATACAATGCACACTAATTATTGTAAAATTTTCTGAAACACACATACATCACTAACTTGATAATTGTAAATTTAACACTGATTGGAGGGTGTGAACAAAGGTATGATCAAGTAAAATAAATGTATAGGCAATTTCAAAGTCTTAATAATACAATTTCAAGAGCTAATATTAATTGAGCATTTACTATATGCACACTCATGCATCATGGGACTGTGTTTGGTGCTAATATCACAAAACTTTATTTTTTCTTCCACTGGTAATTTTTGTCACTGTTGAAAACTGTTTCAGCCATGGATCCCCACAGTGCGGAGATTGCGGGATGTGGGAGAGAAATGATGGTCTCAATCCCCACCTGAGCCAGTGTCCTATGGCAGGCAGGTGAAAGCCAAGCCACCCAGCTTGAGTTCTGGCTCCACTTTTATAGTTCTGTGGTGTTGGGCAGGTTAGCTAATCTGTCCCTGCATTAGTGTTCTCAACTAATGGGGATAAAGCTCACATATACCTTATATGTTTTTGGAGACAATTAAGAGTTAGTATATGTAAAGAATTCAGCAAGTTAGATGCTGACCCACTATGTACATATTAGCTATTATAACTTATTATTCGGACAAACAGCTAATGCATGTGGAGCTTAATACCTAGGTGACGGGTTGATAGGTGCAGCAAACCACTATGGCACACGTTTACCTATGTAAGAAACCTGCACATTCTGAACATGTATCCCGGAACTTAAAGTAAAATAAAAATAAAAAATAAAAAAATAACTATTATTACTACTATTATTAGAATTGTTTGGATGAGGAGGTAGCTTGATATCTTGAAAAAATGCATGGTCTTTGGAGTCAAGATAGGTCTTACTCCCTGCTTCAGTGAGCTGCGTTACTTAACACCTGGATATCATTTTTTTCCCAATGTAAAATAAGATGTCATAATAACTCCTGCCCTTGGCTGTAGAAGGGTCAGTGAAGATGAATGTTATTATGATTGTTGTTAAATATAAATTCATTTTTACAAATACAGTTTCATCAACAATATTTATGATAATGCCTATTAATAACAAAATGTGCTAGGTGTTATGAGAAATCAAAAACATAGTTAAAATATGATCTTGTCTTCCTGTAATTTAATAATGTGCTGGCTCATTAGCTATGAAACCCAAAGGCCTTATCTACTTTGTATTAATATTTTTTCAAGCATGGAAGTAAGCCCAGAAGGGTATTGAGTGATGTATCCTCTTCTTCCCTTACCATCTTTCCTATAGATGCAAAATCCTGAGTGTGAAAGGCCACGTGGTACTCTGTTAGATATCTCGCAGGTGTTACTTATCGATGGTTCTTGCTTAAAAGTAGAAGGAGGAGTGTCGCATGAGACGCATCCTATAAAGAGAGCATTCCGGGTGAGATGGCAAGAAAAACTCCGAATGGTCCTGAGATGATAACTGATCCAATGGAGATGATATATCTGTTCAGTTGACGCAAACATAATTGCGGTTTATACCCGTGAATGTAAGGCAAAAACTGCAATTACGCTTGCACCAACCTAATATATATATCTTTTGGAGACAGGGTCTTGCTCTGTCGCCCAGGCTGTAGTGTAGTGGTGCGATCACAGCTCACTGCAGCCTCAACCTCCCAGGCTCAAGTGATCCTCCCACCTCAGCTTCCTGAGTCCGCTGGGACCATAGACACATGCCGCCACATCCAGCTAATTTTGAGATAAGTTTTCTTGCAGTAGAGTCAATGGCAGTGTTGTTCTGACCTTCTGCCACAGCAAAACATCTCTGCAGGTTGAGGATTAGTTCTTGCAAATAAGTGATTTCTAAATGATTGATTGGTTCTTTTCACACATTTTGCAGATTTCTTTTATTAAACAAGTTATATCTAATGGAGAAATACAGTGAGTTGATGATCTCCAACAAAACTTTAATGCCACCCAGATCAATGCCAACCAGATTATGAGTTGCCCATTGGAAACCTCAAGGAGTCTTCATTGATTTTGTATTCTCAAACTGCATGTGTGTGCTAAAATGGTTGCATAGAGATTCCACATGCAGCCATGCATGTGTGTAGGTGCTCCCACTAGACTAGTTCCTTGACTTATTAGGGAACAAGTTAAGAATTACTTCATGTCATGATCGGCTAGTTCTTGTAACTACCCATAAGAAAGCTTATAAGGAATGTCACATTGGTTTTGAAACAATATCATCTCTTTTACTGATGGAGAGAGGTATGTTTTTCTTTTTTTTTTTAAATAGGGAACAATGTGCTAAGATGGAAAAAAAAAATCAAGTAGGTTTCCAGGGAGGCATTTTTTTTTTTTTTTTTTTTTTTTTGAGACGGAGTCTCGTTCTGTCGCCCAGGCGGGAGTGCTGTGGCGCGATCTCCGCTCACTGCAAGCTCTGCCTTCCGGGTTCACGCCATTCTCTTGCCTCAGCCTCCCGAGTAGCTGGGACTACAGGCGCCCGCCACTGCGCCCGGCTAATTTTTTGCATTTTTAGTAGAGACGGGGTTTCACCGTGGTCTCGATCTCCTGACCTCGTGATCCGCCCACCTCGGCCTCCCAGAGTGCTGGGATTACAGGCGTGAGCCACCGCGCCCGGCCCAGGGAGGCATTTTTAAAGGCACCATCTCAGAAGGACGAGGCAATGGTAAGTATCAGGAATAGTTATTGGCGAGTCCAGCACAGCAGTCAATGACTGTGTTCTGGACTGCACCGTTGGACTCGGGAACCACTGTGTGGCCAGGCTGTGGGCTCCGGCAGTTGTTCAAAACCCTGAACCTGGAGCTCAGACCAGAGGGTTGTATGGGAGGCTCACTGTCATTCATTGTAACCCTAAGAACCTCATCCTTCCTTGAGCCCGATTGTTCCCATCTGATCAGAGCTTAGATGCAAGATTGGGAAGAAAGGTGGTGGAGTTGGGGTCTGCCTGGAGGACAGCCCAGGTGAGTCATGCATGGCTGGGAGAGCAGTAGGTTCATTCTCACCACCTCATTTTTCTAAGGGGAAACAGATCCACAAGGGAGGGTCAGCCCCAGATCATTGGCCACACTTATGGGAAACATGTGCTGCTGTTACGCAGGCCCCTTCATTCTGTTTGCATGCTCTCCTTGTAACCCCTGGGCCTATCAGGACGCCAGGGTGTCTGTTGGAAGAGGCATCCAAGAAGGATCTTTAGGCTGCAGGATGGAAGCACACACTACAGCATGACCTTAGGTAGATGGTTCATTCATTACCTTTTAATATCTTCCTCTTTCTTTGCTGTCAAACATGGGTAATAAAATACCTAACCTGTCATATTATAAGAAGTAATTGAGGCCAGGTGCAGTGGGTCATGCCTGTAATCCCAACACGTTGGGAGGCTGAGGAGGGAGAATCACTTGGGTTCAGGAGTTCGAGACCAGCCTGGGCCACACAGTGAGACTTCATCTCTACAAAAAATTTAAAAATTAGCCAGACATGGTGATGCACACCTGTAGTCCCAGCTACTTGGGAGGCTGAGGTGGGAGGATCGCTTGAGCTCAGGAGTTTGAGGCTGTGTAGCTGTGATTGCTCCACTGCACTCCAGCCTGGCCAACGAGCAAGACCCTGTCTCAAAGAAAAAAAAAATTAGGTGAAAACAATGTCTATGCAACGCTCAGTGCCTGGTGATGTCTAAGGAATGCCCAAACTTTCTAGGTAAGGGGTAGGGGATGCATTGGGTGAGAGTCCCATTGGATGAGCATGAATGGGAACTCATCAATATTGCTGAAAGTGCCTGATCCAGAATTAAAATATTTCAACAGAAAATTCAGAGGAAACTTTAGAATGCTGAAAAATGCCATATTGGTCAGTCTTACTGGTTAATCGACTTTTCTGAAGTACATACACACTTTTTTTTTATTTGAGATAGAATCTCGCTCTTTCATCCAGGCTGTAGTGCAGTGGCAGAATTTCAGCTCACTGCAACCTCCACCTCCCAGGTTCAAGTGATTCTCCTGCCTCAGCCTCCCGAGTAGCTGGGATTACAGGCACCCACTGCAACGCTCAGCTAGTTTTTGTATTTTTAGTAGGGGTGAGGTTTTACCATGTTGGCCAGGCTGGTCTTGAACTCCTGACCTCAGGTGATCTGCCTGCTTTTGCCTCCCAAAGTGCTGGGATTACAGGTGTGAGCCACAACTTCCTTCCCACCCAGCTAATTTTTGTATTTTTAGTAGAGGCAGGGTTTCACCATGTTGACCAGGCTGGTCTCGAACTCCTGACCTCAAGTGATCCATCCGCTTTGGCCTCCAAAAGTGCTGGGATTACAGGCATGAGCCACTGTGCCCAGCACACACTTCACTTTGGATCAAGCCCCCTTTAGAGCATCTGAACTTCTTTTCCAGTCCCTTGTTCCACCCAGGCAATCCCAAGCCTGGTGCCTTCCTATCTCTAGCCTTTGATTTAGGCTATTCTGTCTGCCTGTGTGCAACATTTCCTTTCCCTCCTTACTGAAGTTCTACCCCATCCTGTGTTGCATGAGTTGATGGATAATTTTGAAAAAATAATTATTGGTAATCATTAACCTCTACTGACTTATTTCATTGATGCATTTTTGAGCCTGGTTAAACCAAGTCTAGCAGTGCTTTCGGATTACTTTGGTGGTGAAAATTGTTTACTTAAAAAAAAAAAAACAATTTGAAACAAATAAAAGTAGAAAGCAGTGGTTTCAAGCTCATTTGGAGTGTCCAAAGTGACATGCCTGGAAATTTAGGATTTTGAAATAATTGTCTGCTCCTCCTCATGGCCACACTTCGGGGTACATCTCATAAAGTAGACAAACACAGATGAAGGTCACCTGTCTGACTCACTGTATGTAAACCTCTCAGAAATTCACCCTTGGCTGCACTGCTCACCGGAAGTCCATTTTCTTCTAGAGTAAAGATTTGCAATGATCTAGGACTCAAAAAGTCCATCTTGGGCCATTTGAATGACCCCAGCATCTCATTTTACCCTTTGTATTTGTAGCCCCTGCAGAGTGGGGTTCAAAATGTCAGACAGGTACTACTAGTACAGGCAGAGGGGACACTCAGACCATGAGATCCTTCTCACTGTCTGGACATTAGAAAGAGAGCAGAGCCCAAGGAAAAGATATGGGTAGAATACTTTTGTGATATACAGCTGTGAGCCCATGTTAGTGGAGATATTTCACAATTGAAAATCTGGACCCTTCCCCACAAACTCAAATTTTAGAAAGGTTCATCTGATGCTTTCATACATCTCAAGTAAATGGCTCTGTCTTTTCATGGTTCAGCTGCAAATCTGAAGTCTTTACAATTTGATTGCTTAAATATTGGTTATTGACAAATTTTCTTATCAATTTGAATGTTGTAGCTTCCAAACTTTTGTCAAAATTTAGACCACAAAGGCCTTTTGAGTATCTCTTTAATGATTGCCAGATAATTTTCCTATCCATGGCTTTCTCTTTACAGAATAAAACTTCAGTATTTTTCCTTGATTCTAGAAGATTGTCAAGGTCATGTCCTTTATGGAACTCTTGTTTCCAACAAAGTTGATTTTTAAACATCTCTCCATATTTCCTGCCATAAACAAATACTAGGTTTTGTTTTTCAAAGATAATTTGTAATTTATAAAGAAAGATTAATGCTGTCCCACCTCCCCCATTTGATCATTAACATACAAATTGGAAGAAAATCATACTTGGAAAAATGATTGATCAGCTGTTTGCTATTTTTATCTAGTATAGATTTATTTGTCTTATCAAAGGTAAAACGAATAAAGGTACACATCATTTTTCATCAGCATATACAGCTAAATAATCAATAATGATACATTATGTAAATCCCTTTGGCTCCTGAATTACACGACTTTCTTTTTTTCCATTTTCTTTTTTTTCAACCTGGATGAGTCTTAATAAATAATCAAGGCCTGAAGTCTAAGAAATGTTTGTCTTCTCTCTCACACTTACAGCCTTTGGAACAGGAACCCAATGCAGCATTGGTTGTAATTATTTCAGTAGCTGCAGTGCAAAGCACATTCAGGTGAATATAATCAGACTGTCCTAGTTCCAAGGAGAAGCAGTAGTAACAGGTCTGGCATCAGGCTCAGAGCTATAGACGAGTCACAGCTTATAATATGATAGACTCACTTTATGAAACCCAAAGGGAACATTATATAAAGTGCACAATCATGAGAAGGAAATGAGAACTTCTGAACCTAGGACTTTTTTAAAATTGTTTTACCATATGCACTTAGGTTCAAACTACATTTGAAACCACTGGGCATTATCAGTATGTCTCTGCAAGAGTCAGCTACTGCTTTTGCTTAATTGGTAGCTGCATTTTCTCTTAAGGGGGGAATGCTTTGGAGTGTGTTTTCCTGATAATTTGGAGTGGTCTTTGCTGAATGGTGATCCTAGGTTGGAATTTCCTACATTGTACACCAAGAATCAGTTGGCTGGATGAAAAACAAGTGACAAAGGGTTTTTCCTTTCCCAGTATTCTCAAAATCCTCAGTAAGAACTGAAGGCATCATGACTCTTCAGTGACATCAGTTGTCCTTGAGGAGGGGTGGAGGATTTCGTGGAGACACACATAGGCCTGATAATGAGGACATCTATGCTGTAATCCAGCTCTGCTGCTAATTAGTTGTTTGCAATTACTAGGTTTTTGGTATGTTTAAAGACTGCAGAGACAGGCATTCATTCCTTTTCACTATGAAGAATGTGTGAATGTAAATTAAGAACCACAGCTAGCTGAGAAGTACAAATAATTTGTGAAGCCTATTTAATACTCGAAAATTTCAATTTATGTCAGTTCATTCAATTTTTCTACATACAGTTGACTGAACACTTTCTGGTTTTGTAACCCCTATTAGGGAAAATTCTTTGCAATGGATTTTCATGATAATCTGGATAGTCTTAGTGATCTTATGTTAGAATTTATTTTATTGCTAGGATGACTTAGTCCAATTCAAAACTGATGATCAAGAAAAATTCCTTTCATGGCATTCCTGAAAACATAATTTTTAAGTCAAGGGATGATCAGGATAATTCTAGGGGCCTGTAAGTTTGAACATTGAGATTGTTGATACTAAGTTCTGAACACATATTACCCAAATGAATCTTTTATTAAACATTTTGTGGTTTCAAAGGACATAGAGTAGTTATGCAAATCAATGTGGTGCAGCAACTACAGTATAACCTTCAGATGTTAGGGAATCAACGACTAAAAAAAAAAAAGGACAGTATTTGAATGTTATTACAAAGACACCTGCGATTCTTGAAGGACATTTCAAAGGCAGACAATGGGGTAAATTGTGATTGAAATACACGCGCAATCTCTATGATATGCTCCTTCCACTTAGAAAGTGGGATGAAAGCTCATCAATTGAAGAGTAATTGCTAAAAAAGATTTCTCCTCTATCTAGCTTGGGAGTATTTAGGAGCTAATCAGAGTATTTCGTCTTCTCGGAAATTAAAAGAGATGAACAGAGTTGTGCAGACATGGGGAAAATAAAGTTTAGTTTAATATTTAGATTTTAAAATTAGTACTTGATGGACATTTTAAAAAGTGTACAATTATCAAAACTTCAATATCTAATCCTTTTATGTAAACTATGGTGGATACATGGAAACACCAGGGACGGGTGCTGGTTCTTGTTAACTTTTCTTTCTCTGTCAGCCACAAGAGTGCCTGTCCCATAGCAGTAAACTAATAAGTATTTGCTAAATTAAGAAGTGGGAAGGGCGTTGTAGGTTATTGATCAAACGAAAATAAATATATTTTGTTGTTTATTCAAAAATTTCCCCGACTTAATTTTTTTAAAATGTAACTTAATTTTTTAAAGCTCATCTGTGTTTCTTTGTTTTGTGTCGAGTCAAAGATTATTTTATGTCAATTACCTTTTCATGCTGAGGCAACAGTTTCAGTTTTCCCATTCTGCAAAACTAATTTCCTGATTCCTCTCTCACCAGGGACCATTCCCCTCCAAAATCCTACAAGGTGGGTCCATGACATCTGCTAGAGAAAAAGAGGGACATGTTGGAGCGATAGGATTCCCATGGGCACTGACATACTGGCCTCTGGGGATAGGAAGATTAATGCTTAGTACAAGAAAGAAGGAAAAGAAGGCCTTGGCGAGGACTGTTTTATCTCAGCATTTCTCAGAAGCTCCTTCAGTGGAGACTTCGCCTGGGACCTTCGCCCCACCTTCTTCTAATGGCACTTCCTCCCTGTGGGGCTCCACGCGGGACATTACGTCGGTGATGCGTAGGGCATCGGGTGCGGAAATGTGTGCGTGCCTCCTGGCGTGTGCGTGCCTTCTGGCGTGTGCCTGTGCGTGTACGTGCGCATGCGTCCGCCTCCCGGGTTCACGCCATTCCCTGGCCTCAGCCTCCGGGGTAGCTGGGGCTACGGGCGCTCGCTTTTTTTTTTTTTTTTTGTATTTTTAGTAGGGACGGGGTTTCACCGTGTTAGCCAGGACGGTCTAGGAAATTTTTAAGCCACTCTGACTAAAGAAGGTGGAGTTGGCCGGGCGCGGTGGCTCAAACCTGTAATCCCAGCACTTTGGGAGGCCGAGGCGGGCGGATCACTAGGTCAGGAGATGGAGACCATCCTGGCTAACGCGGTGAAACCCCGTCTCTACTAAAAATACAAAAAAATTAGCCGGGCGCGGTGGCGGGCGCCTGTAGTCCCAGCTACTCGGGAGGCTGAGGCAGGAGAATGGCGTGAACCCGGGAGGCGGAGCTTGCAGTGAGCTGAGATCGTACCACTGTACTCCAGCCTGGTTAGAGTTTATATTTCCTTTAAATTTCTAGAGAAAACAGATTGTCATGTATTTTTATAGAGACAAAATACTGATGAAGGTGATATACAGGTAGCTTAATTATGATTTTTCTAAGATTTAATTAGATGGTAAATTTACAGTAATTATTAATATGTTCACTGCTTTTATTAAAAACCATCAATTCTGAATCCACAATGACACAAATGGTGAGTAAGGCTTATGTCTTGTATCTGTGTTCTTTCAGTGCTTAAATGTCAAGAGAAAAACAAAGACTTTTAACATGATTTTTAAGGAACGTTTTCATTCTATGGTGGTTTCTAATGTATGTGTTTGTCTTTAGACTTCCTTTATCCTTTTCCTTTCATCTCTTTCTCAAACTCATAAGGTTTCCTTTGTGCAGATACTTTTTTGCCTGTTTTTCCTCCCTAGTTTATGCTGCTTTTCTGTCAAGAGGCTATATTTCAGAATGGGAAAAAAGGGCAAGCATATATAGTTAAATGAATCATTTTACACTGTTTGTAAGTTATTATACATAAGCTAATGTTTGATCTCTGGAGGATAAAAATGAGCTCAAGTTTGAGCAAATGATGGTGCCGCACACATGCCCTACCTTATGGTGAGTCAACTATGGCCTATGGGTGGTGGCCAATTTTTGTAAATAAAATGTTTTGCAACCCAACCACACACTTAAATTTACATTTTCATATATGGTTCTTTTATACTACAGTGCCAGAGTGGAATGGTTGCCCCAGACACTGCATGGCCTACAAAGCCTAAAATATTTATCATGTGATCCTTTACCAGAAAACATTGGCAATGCATACTTTGGCAATTCATGGTGATCATCTTGGGCCTATGAGTTAATGCATCCGTGCATACATTTTAAATTAGAAATATGTAATACATTAGCATTAACAACAGAGCATATGCTTTTGTATTAGGAATTCTATGAATGCATGCACTACAACTCTTAAACACAGAGCAAGTTTAAAGCCTGGCATCTGGGGTGTATGGATGAGTGGGGCCTGGGAACACCCTTGAATTTTACCTGTAAAATTTATGTGCACCAGGGAAAGATTCAGTGGCGTTCAACAACACAAGAAGCTGCAGCTGGTTCGTGTGGGTTTTCATTGGTGGTCTCTAGCTGCTCAAGTGATGGATTCCAGTTGCTGGTTGATCTCTCTTAGGGCTAAGGTTCATTATTGCACAGATTGATCTTGGAGAAACATCTTGACTGTTTTTTTCACACTCCAATCCATTTGTTTTATGATCTAGAAGAAAGGAACGCTTAAATGCAAACAATTATTGTGATTTTTATTCCGCTTCACTGAACTTTTTAATGAAGTGCATTTTGTACAGTTAAAACCAGGGGGTTCCTGGATTCTATTTTTTGTGGGAATTTTTGAGAGAGAAGTAATTCTGACTCAGTACGCTTCCTTGGAGTGGATAATTAATATTAATGGGGAATGGAATTGTTTTGTCTTTCGCTGGCATGTTGTTCTCTGCCACACCTGGCATGCTGTGGACCTGTAGTAAATATTAACTAAATATATTTTAGACACAGATGATTAAGGATCTTTTGCTGAAAAACATTCTCTTAATCTTTTATACTTCCCTTTCCACAGTGCCTGCTGAAAACATGAATTTCAATTGTGTTTCTAAGTCTTGGTCAATTTAAGTGTGACATGGGGTGATGGGGAAATAGCAGTTAGGACTAAAGGTAGAAGGTAACATGATCCATGTGAATTGTGGTCAGTGCAAAGGCCTGGAACAGCGGTCACTCTTTCCTGTCCATGAACCTTTGTGCTATTCCTCTTTGTACACAGTTTAAAATATAAATAAGAAAATGTCATGCTGCCAAGTATGTATCACAGTGCAGGCCACGTAGAAGATGCTTTATATGTGTTGGATGCAGGCCAGTGTTCTCAACTCAGCAGTTTCAGAGGAAGTGAAACAAGCCCTGGCTGGAAACCAGTAGCCGTAAGGTCTAAGTCCTGGCTGAGCAGTCCAAATGGGTTCCCTAACCTATTGCCCATCCCCTCAGCTAAGAAGGGCAGGCAGTGCCCCTGGGCAATGCTGGTTTTATCCAACTCTCAGAAGGCGCCATTCTTTGCCTACGCTCTCCCGTGTATTGGTCCAAAGCCCACCAACTTCCTGAGTGGAGTTCCTTCACATTCTGCAGAAAACCTTCTGTGGTGCTTTAACATTGGATGGGAAGATGAAGTTATCTTGGGCTCTGGGCTATGTTAGTCATGTTTTGGTAAACGAAGCATTCTGTTTTCACCAGGGGATGAGTAGGTATAATTTTCCTTCTTGAGTTTTGCAAACCTGGGTGGAGAAGAAAATCAGTGCAATGTCTTATGAATTTTTTTTTTAATAGAAGATAGCAACTTGGAAGCAATTGAGTGTTGAGTCTAAGAGATTCCCCACCCCCCCCAGCATTTGTTCTGATCTCATATATATGTACAGAAAAATATAAATTATTTAGCATTGACTTATCTGTAATTAAGTCTTCTAAAAGGACTACTGTTTTAGCTGCTATATTTTCTTCTCAATTACTTGGAAAATTTAAACCTTCCTTGGGGAATGTTTAGTCTTTCACTTGTCCTTTTAATGGTAATTGATTGGATTGTTCAAATTATGCTGTTCTGAGAAGAAGTTAACAAATAAAATCTGGCAAAGTAATAAGCAAATGGCATCAGGTAAATGAAAAGAACAGCACACTGTGTCCAGTGATATGTGTCTTCACTAATTTCTTACCTTTCAAAAGTTGAAGATTGATAATCAAGGTAAACTTTAAAATGGAAAATTTGCCAGCTACAGATTTTAAAGTTCATAAAAGGTGGTTTTTTGATAGCTTTTGTTGCTACTATTTCCATTTAGCCTTTTATAATAATTAGTTAAAAATCTCAACTAATTCTTTTGATAAGATATCATAGGTTGTATTTTTCAATGTTTAAGCCAGATACTTGCTTAAAAATCAGTTAATTAACTGAGAGTGAATAATTGTCATTTATTATTTTATATTTGAAATATTAGGTTATAGTTTAAACATTTTACTTAAAGTGTAACTAGAATACTGGACACATTTTGCTAACACTCAGTGTTTTCAGGTGTTTTTAAAATCATCACCATTTCTATGGTTAAGTCTTAGAACAACACTCTGAAATGATGTGGCATCAACCATCTGAGAAAGTAATTAAAAGGGATAAAATAGTACCACATGAGTTGGGATTCCTTGACTATCCAACCAAAAAATTACCGATTTTAGGAAACATTCTATTTAATCTAATTATCCTTCAAAGTGAGTGGACCTTTGACGTCATTTTCAACAGCAGTGCCATCTTGTTTTTGTGTAGTTGAAGATCAGTTCATTGATCTTATGTCTCAGGAAGAAATTGCAGTATTTCTTTTTTGTCTTTTTTTTTTTTGAGACGGAGTCTTGCTCTCTCGTCCAGGCTGGAGTGCAGTGGCGCGATCTCCGCTCACTGCAAACTCCGCCTCCCGTGTTCATGCATATCTCCTGCCTCAGCCTCCCAAGTGGCTGGGACTACAGGCGCCCACCACCACTCCTGGCTAATTTTTTGTATTTTTAGTAGAGACAGGGTTTCACCATGTTAGCCAGGATGGTCTCGATCTCCTGACCTCGTGATCTGCCCGCCTCAGCCTCCCAAAGTGCTGGGATTAGAGGCGTGAGCCACCGTGCCCGGCCAGTATTTATTTTTTTGGTGTTTAAAAGGTTAAACTGCTTTGGAAAGAAATTTCAAAATGATTTGGGTTTTCCGGGCTTAGAAAGCAGACTCCAGCTCTAATAGTATATGCTTTTTTTCTACAAATGTTTTCCACTAGATGGTTATAGAGAATCGTTTCAATTGATTTCTTTCTGATGTCTTCTCTATTTGGAAATGCAGTCGTTCACATCTAATGGACACTTTCTAGCAGCCCTGTTTCATCCCTCCTGTATACTTCTTAACTAGGATTCCAGAAGGAGCAGTCACATTTGTTTTTCCTTACTTTCCACTCCTTCTTCAGCATGTTCATGTTCTCAGCTGTAACACATAATCACAAACTTAATGGTTTGAAGAACACTCATTGGTAAACATGGTTCTGGAGGCCACTTTCTGAAATGGACCTGGTGGAGCTACAATCTTAGTGTCAGCAGGGCTCCTTCCTTCGGAAGGCTCCAAGGGAGAATCTTTCTCCTTGTCGTTTTCCCCCATGGAGGCTACCTGCGTTCCTTAGCTGTTGTGGCAGGTCACATCTCCCTCTCTGACTCTGACCCTCCTGCCTCCCTCTTGTAAGGGCCCTTGTAATGCCACTGGGCTCACCCAGCTAACCCAGGATCATCTCTTTATCTCAAAATCCTTAACTTAATCACATCTGCAAAGTCCCTTTGCCGTGAAAGGTCACATATTCACAGACTCTGGGGATTAAGATGTGGATAGCTTTGGGGACAGTGCATTATTCAGCCTCAGGATGCTATAATCGTATGATTGATGCATCTCAGGGGTCATCTTAGTTGGCCTCTGCAACATCTTTCTCCCTCTTGATACCTTTCCTGGGATGCTTTCCTCAACATCTTTGACAACACTCTTGTTTTCCCTTTTTCTCCCTGATGGCTGCTTTTCTCTTTATTTTCCTTCTTCCCTTGTCTCTTTCCCTCCTCCTTGCTCCATCTCCCTTGGGAATCCCATTGTACATTGTATACTCGATGGAAGGTATGTTTGGAATATTATCACGTGTGTGACCAAAGACTGATGGCCAGTGAAATGGTCTTAGGTGATTTGGCCCTAAGTTCCCTTTTCTATCCCATTTCATGACATCTGTCTACATATCCTGTGTCTCAGGCATGTTGAAGGACACACAACCTTCTGGTACCAGCAGTGTTTAGCCACAGACCTCCGTGTCACTGTTATTGCTACCTTCCTCCCTTGCCTGACTTTTCTCCCTGCAGTGGAGGTCCTAATGATTCCACATTCACCTGAAAGTCATTTCTCAAGGGAGCCTTCCATGACCTGCTCCCCCTCTATAATCATGTATCCAAAAGAGTACCCCCATGATAACCCTCTTTCCTCTCTTGTTAATTTCAATGCCTTACTTCCCTACCAGACTAAAAATTCCCCTGAATACAGGAAATATCTTACGTTATTGTAATCACCACTCCGTCTAATGCAGTGCCCCACTGCTATGGTTTGAATATCCCCTCCGAAACTTATGTTGAAACTTAATTCTCAGTGTGGCAGTATTAAGAGGTGGGCCTTTAAGAGGTGATTGGATCAAGGATTAATGGATTAATGTGTAAAAGGATTAATTGGTTAAGAAGAAGGAGAGAGACCTGAGGTAGCACTGAGCCCTTTGGCTATGTGATAACATGGGCCACCTCAGGAATCAGCAGAGAGTCCCTATTAGCAAGAAGCTTCTCATCAGATGCAGCCCCTTAACCTTGGACTTCTCAGCCCCCAGAACTTTAAGAAATAAATTCCTTTTGTTCATAAAGTTACTCAGTTTCAGATGTTCTCTTATAAGCAGCGGGAAACAGGACTACTAAGACACACAGTCAAAAATTATTTATTAAATTAATAATATTACCATAAAATCATAGTAGTTAAATCTGTGTTTAGAGATAGTTTCACTCCTTTTAGTCTATCACTTTTAAATCTACGTATTCATGTTAGTTCCGTGGTATGAGCGTCTGTGTGCATAGCTGTAATTATAGTGTAATAGATTACTAAAGCAGTCATGAAACACTTGAGGGTTCTTTGTACCACCGCTCAAATTTATTTACATCCATACACACTTGTCAAAAGAGGTAGAGAGTTTCAGATGCCCTTAACTATCCTTATTCCCCACAGGCCTACCCTCATATTTCTGATAGCAGCTGATATACCAGGGAGACTGAAAATTAAGTTCCATCCTAAGCACAGAGACTTAAGAGTTGCTGTCACTTAGAGAGAGAGAGAAGCAAACTATTGGTGCCTCCGAATGCAATATTGGTTTTCCCCAAAGAATGCTTTATCTTCGCTTTACTTAAAGAAAAAAGCAGGGCAGGGCAGTGGAAATGAACTGATAACCTTGTGTCTGTGGATATAACTCTGCTCCAGGGAAGACATTAAAGGGTAATGCTTTGAAAATAACATCAAGAAATGAAAGTTAACATAAAAAAAAAAAAGCTGTCAGTACTTTAGGTGTTCCAAAGTCCTGTGGAGAGTGGCTTAACTGGAGTTTATAGCAACTCTGAGACATTTTTTTTTAGTACAGTTCTGCCACTACTTTCTATGTTTATAAACAATGAACAGATGCATTCAGTGCTAGTTACCTAGAATCAACTCTCATACCCAGCATTACACTCGAACGTTGAATGTTGTATTAGTCCGTTCTTGCATTGCTTTAAGAAAATACCTGAGGCTGGGTAATTTATAAAGGAAAGAGGTTTAATTGGTTCATGGTTCTGCAGGATGTACAGGAAGCATAGGGGTTTTTGCTTCTGGAGAGTCCTCAGGGAACTTACAATCTTGGCGGAAGGTAAAGGGGGAGTGAGCTTTCTTACATGGCCGGAGCAGGAGGAAGAGAGAGAGAGGGGCAAGGTGCTGCACACTTTTAAACAACCAGATCTCATGAGAACTCACTCACTATACAGTACCAAGGGGGCCGATGCTAAACCATTCATGAGAACTCCGCCCCCATCATCCAGTCTCCTCCCACCAGGCCCCACCTCCATCACTGGGAATTACAGTTCGACAGGAGATTTGGATAGGGACACATTTTCATCTTAATTTGTATTTTGGTATAGTTTCATAGGAAAGATTTAGGTTGGTGTTCTCTCGCATGGAAATTCACTTAGAGCTTTTACTTGCTTGTTACTTGTTTTAAAGCCTTTCCAATTGAACCAATTTATTAAGGGCATCTATTTAATTTTCTATGGTAAATGTACTAAAAACTAGAAGAGATCTTACTGCCTTGATACTAGTTTATTGCTTGTTTATTAGGTGCCCTGAAAAGATAACTTTAGCATCCACTGCTTGCTAACCATCCTTGTCTTCAGCATCATTAGAAGATACGAAGGAGTAAGGAACGTGCTTATGAGAAAACAGAAGCTATGGCATCCCCCATCATAGCCACATGAGTCTTGAATAGGCCGCCTGCTTCTCTGTCTTCTTTTTGCAAGTGGGTTGCATCCTAGCTTTGGTGGTGTCCTTGTAACTTTGGAATTGCCTTTGAGAGAAGACCAGTCTGTCTCTTTCCAGCTGCTGGACCTGAGAGATTGGGCTGCAGGTGGCAAATGGTCGCTACTGAGAAAACTGAAAGCAATGACAGCCATATAATATGGTGTGAACACCATATGGATCAAACTGGGACATCACAGTCAGCACACACTCATCCAATTCTCAGACCAAGGCACACCATGAAATTCTGACATTTAGGTTTCCTGCCTCTTAGGAATTCCATCAAAATTATATAAGTAGCACTATTCTAAATTTTAACCTACTATCATTTTAAAAAATGACTTACTCACAGCCCTAACACTCATCGGAGCAGGTTGATATTGTAGAAAACTCTAGCCCTATGCAACTGGAGTGATCTTGATGCTAAGACAATATGACCCAAAGCCTTGTCCTTTCCTCTTGGCTATATGAATATTTTCTAACTTTTGTGAACAAAATATGCCTCTTTTTCCTCATGATGGTGTTTCAAAATGAGTCGATGGGTGTTTTTCAGTTATTAGTGGATAGGAGCTCTCTTAGCTTAGTCCTTCAAAAGCTTGTGTTTGATGTTGTAGCTTTGTAAATTATCTCAATGTATGCATACACACATACTCCCCTACCAAAAAAGGTCAATAGATGCTTAGAATTCCTTCCTTCCTTCCTTCCTTCCTTCCTTTTTTTCAGGGTCTTGCTTTGTCGCTCAGGCTGGAGTGTAGTAGTACAATCATAGCTCACTGCAGCTTTGAGTTCCTGGGCTCAAGTAATCTTCCCATCTCACACCTCAGCCTCTCCTGGGACCACAGGCATGCACCACCACACCCAGCTGATTTAAAATTTGTTTTTTTAGAGACACGGTTTTCCTATGTTGTTCAGGCTGGTCTCGAACTCCTGGACTCTAGTGATCCTCCTGTCTTGTGCTCCTTGGATTACAGGCATAAGCCGCCACGCCCAGCCACGTAGTATTTCTATATTTTACTTTTAGCATAAGTCCGTGAAAGAACTATATTTCTCATGCTTTGTTCAACTGTGCACATCATGATGTTGAAGGATTTGCACGATGGCTATGATGGTGGCTGTCACTGCACTACAATACTTTTTTTGAAAATAAGTGAAATATTCATTGTTCACTAGAATAGTCTTACAGGCATTTGTTTCTTTAGAATTTGGAAACTTCTTTTTATATTCATGGTCGTATTTCATTCTGCTAGCAGTTTAGGCAGATTCAATCTGTCCCACTTTCCAGTGGTAGAAACAGTGTGAAGAAGTGAAGTAGTTGTTGGAAAATCACTGTGGTTTGCTTCCCAGGGGTTGCCTTGTCCACTGATTACAAAAGTATCATAACACATGGCATCTTCCCACAAGGAGTTTAGAGTTTGAAAAGTCAATGTATTAATGTACATAGGGGACCCACTTCCACTCAAAGCAAACATTGAGTCAGGTATCAGAGCTCGGTGGGTGAACACGATGGCATTTAATTATCCTAAATTACTTTATATAATCAATATCTACTAACTGCCTTTGTTATGATGCTACCCATCATTTTTGGAGTCACAAGCTTTCAACCTTTGTCTAACTAAAAGATGGATATCTGCATTTTATATTAGGTGGTCTGGAAGCCATAGTAATATTAGAGAGCACATAGGGAATGTTTTAGTCCATTTGGGCTACTATAAGGAAATACCATAGACTGTGTAGCTTATAAACAACAGACATTTATTGCTCAATTCTGGAGGCTGGGAGTCCAAGATCAAGGTATGGCAGATTCAGTGTCTGGTGAGCACCCACATCCTGGTTTGTAGATGGTGCCTTCTCCCTGTATCCTCATGTGGTAGAAGGGGTGAGGGAGCTGAGTTCCCTTTTATGAGGGCACTAATCCCATTCATGAGGCTCCAACCTCATGACCTCATCACCTCCCAAGGACCTCGCCTCCTGATACCATCATCTTGGGGGTCACAATTTCAACATAGGAATTTGGAGGGGCACAAACATTCAGATCATAGCAGGGAGAGAGATGAGCCTTGCCCAACTCCATGAAGCCATCTAGATTTTTTCAGTCTCAGTCCTATTTCCATTTTTTAATGTTGAGTTTTGAACTCTATTAATGTCTCCTGGTATTTTCAAAACTTTGTAGAGCTTTCATCATCAATATTAAACCTTTCACATTCAAAGGACATGATTATTTTGTGTGAGTAGCGTGTTGTTATTTGACAAATGAGTACAATTATAAATAAATCTTGACCATCTTGATAGAGGAAATAAATGCACGTGTCAAGATATACTATAATGCTTTTGTAATCAAAACAATGATGGGGCCAGGCGCAGTGGCTCACGCCTGTAATCCCAGCACTTTGGGATTACACCCACTGAGGTGGGTGGATCACTTGAGGTCAGGAGTTCGAGACCACCCTGGCCAACATGGTGAAACCCCATCTCTACTAAAAATACAAAAATTAGCCAGGCATGGTGGTGCACGCCTGTAATTCCAGCTACTCAGGAGGCTGAGGCAGGAGAATCGCTTGAGCCCAGGAGGCAGAGGTTGCAATGAGTCAAGATGGTGTCACTGCATTCTAGCCTGGGCAACAGAGTGAGACTCTGTCTCAAAAACAAAACAATCAAACAAAAAGCAATGATGGATAGAACAGGGTATTATTTAAATGAAAACTGTAAGGGGAGTTGTATGCTCTCAAATGTCATTATGCACAGTCTAATATTTTCCCTTTTACTTTGTCACTCTACCTGCTAATTTGCTTCCTTAATTCAGAGTTATGTCTTTGGTTATTAGTTATAATATAGGCTGACAGTTATGTAGCGTTTCTTCTGTGCTAGGACCTGTTCCAAGTGCTTTTTATATTAACTCATTGGTCTCAACCACTCTACCTGATAGTTACCATTAGTATTAGTTTCCTATCTGTGCTGCAGTAACAAGTTACTACAGACTTAGTGGCTGCTTACAGCTCTAGAGGTCAGAAGTCCAAAATGAGCCTTAGGAGGCTAAAATCAAGGTATCATCAGGACACCGTTCTTTTTGGAGGCTCTAGGAGAGGACAGATTTCCCTGCCTTTTCCAGATTCTAGAGACTTCTTACTCTCCTTGGCTCATAAGTTCCTTTCTGCACCTTCAATGCCAGTAGATTGAGTCCTTCTCATTCTGTCATCTTTCTGGTTCTTCCTCTTTTCTTTTTCCCTTTTCTACTTATAAGGATCCTTGTGATTATGTGGACCCACTGGATAACCTGGAATCATCTCCCCATTTCGAGGTCTGCTGACTGGGAACCTTAATTCTACCTGCCTCTTTCATTTGAATCTCTTTTCCATGTAAGGTCACACAAAGTCACAAGTTCTTGTATTAACACATGGTCATCCCGGGGGGTCCGTTATTCTGCAGACCACACAGTTGTTATCTTCATTTTACAGACAAGAAAGACAAACAGTGAGAGTTAAATCACTTACTCAGGGTTGTTGGGCTGCTAAATGGTAGAGCCAGTTAAAATTAGGAGTGTACACAGGGAAGCTAGGCAGTGTTGTGGTCAAGGGCCTTGGCCCCCTGAAGGTTCAATGAAAAATCATGGAGACAAAGTGATTTTTACTGTCCACTCAACTGGATTGCACAGAGGGAGAGAGAGACCAGGAGCCTGGCTGGCTGGTGAGAAATTCTTACCCTTTGGCCAGCAGTGTGGGTTCCTGGGTTCTCTGCACTGTGGCTTCCAAAAGAGCAGAGCGTCTTTGTTGACCCCGCTCGCTGTGTCATAACTGTAGGGGCCAAGGCTCTTTACTCCCTAAAATTTTAATGAAAAATCACTGACTAGGCAGACTGATTAACAGGAGAAATGACATTACAAGTGTATTTAATGCAGATACACAGGAGCCTTTGGAATGAAGATCTACCCTCCAAATGAGGTCCAGAAGCTTATACACCATCCTGAGGTTACAGAAAGAGTGGGGGCTTGGATCCCAGTAAAACAGGTGATGGGAGGGGGAGGTGAGGAATTCTGTTGAGGAGATTATTAGAACAGAGATTAACTTGTAAAGAGTTCTCTTTGAAAATTAAATGATCCTTGGAGACACCCTTGGAAAACTGTCTGCTCAGGTGTGGTTTTATCTTGTTTTTTTTTTTTTTTTTTCTGTAATAGATAATGATATAACTTGAAGGGGTTGAAAAACAACTGTAGGTTGTCAAATGTATCCCATATCCTAGCCCTCACTTCTGGTTCCATCTTACTTTTCTATGTAAGTTTTCACTTCTAGTTCTATTTCTTACTTAGAAATTGTGTTAATCACTGGTATAAGTAGCATCTTTGCCAGATAAAAAGGAAAAACAAAAACAAATGCTTTATGACGATATGTGGGAGAAAAGAATGTAATAGTACTTGAGAAATATTGGAACTGGTTAAATACTAGATGGTGTTGGGTAGTGTTTAATAAAATGATTATATTTCATAGAGAACATTTTCTCTACGCTGAGGCAGAAATACAGAGATAATTTTATACTATACTCATCCTTTCTCCTAATCATATTATTTTTTAAAATTCAAGTTAGAATTTGAGTGATTGTATTGCTGCTGTGCTGTTTTTCTCAGAGGAAAAATCATAGCAAATTATTTCAAAGATAGATGGAGAACATGGTGTTTCTCTATATCCAGGTTGGATTGAATGTTGTATTAGCCAATGGAAACCTTCCTCTTCACCCTCTGGAGGGTCACGGAAAATCATGTCACAAAAGGCAGATTAATAGAAAGCAATACATATTTATTAAGTTGTAGATTTGTGTAACACAGGAGCCTTCAGAATGAGGACACAAAGATACAGGGGAGACTGTCCAATTTTTTTTTTATTTCAACTTATTTTAGATTCAGGGGGTACATGTGTAGGTTTGCTAGATGGGAATATTGCGTGATGCTGAGGTATAGGGTACAATTGATCCCAATCAATGGTGGTAAGCATAGTGACCACCAGCTAGTTTTTCAGTCCTCACCCTACTCACTTCCCATTCTAGTAGTCCCCTGTGCCTATTGCTCCCGTCTTTATTTCCGTGTTTTCTCAAGCTCCCACTTATAAGTGAGAACATGCAGTATTTGGTTTTCTGTTTTTATGTTGACTCACTTAGGATAATGGCCTCCAGCAGTATCCATGTTTCTGCAAGGGACCTGATTTTGTTCTTTTTCATGGTTGCATAGTATTCCACAGTGCATATGTGGAGACCACATTTTCTTTATTTATTCCACCCACCACTGATTGGCATCTAGGTTGATTCCATGTCTGTCTTTGCTATTGTGAATAGTACTACAGTGAACATACAAATGCATGCGTCTTTTTTGTAGAACGATTTATTTTCCTTTGAGTATATACCCAGTAACGGGATTGCTGGGTCAAATGGTAGTTTTGTTTCATTTAAGTCCTTTGAGAAATCTCCAAACTACTTTCCACAGTGGCTGAACTAATTTACAATCTCAGCAAGAATGTATAAGTGTTCCCTTTTTCTCTGCAAACTCACTGGCATCTGTTATATATTTTTTTTTTTGACTATTTAATGATGGCCTTTCTGACTGGTGTGAGATGGTTTCTCATTGTGGTTTTGATTTACATTTCCCTAATGATCAATGATGTGGAGCATTTTTCAGATGTTTATTGATTGCTTATATGCCCTCTTTTGAGAAGTGTGTGTTCATGTTCTAGGCACAGTTTTTTTTTGTTTTTTGTTTTGTTTTGTTTTGTTTTGTTTGAGACAGAGTCTAGCTCTGTTGCCCAGGCTGGAGTGCAGTAGCACCATCTCGGCTCACTGCAACCTCTACCTCCTGGGTTCAAAAAATCCTGCCTCAGCCTCCTAAGTAGGTGGGATTACAGGTGCCCACCACCATGCCTGGCTAATTATTTTGTATTTTTTTAGTAGAGACAGGGTTTCACCATGTTGGCCAGGCTAGTTTTGAGCTCCTGACCTCAAGTGATCTGCTGCCTCGGCCTCCTGAAGTGCTAGGATTACAGGCGTGAGCGACCACTACCAGCCCTTGGCACAGTTTTTAATGGGGTTATTTGGAAACTCAGTTTTTATGCTAAGGTTCAACTAACTGTGGACAACCCAGTAGAAATAGGGTTGGACAAAAAGGGCCTGATCTAAAGCTAATGGACTGAGTGGGGAAACCCAGCCAGGTCTGTCTGCCTAGATTCTTCTTGGCCTCTCTGAGCAGCATTCCTTCTGGGTGTGAGGTAGGACCCTCTGTGGAATGGGGGGTCTTAGGACCTACAGTCAAAAAGGCAGGTCAGAGGATTTATTTATGGCCAGTGTTTACAGAAAGGCAGGGGAAAGTTGAGGTCATCTTTTTTTGGTTTCATGGGTGCTTTGTGGGGAAGGGGTCTGGTTTGTATGACCTGCTTTAGGGAGGAGGGATTCCAGTTCCTATGGCCAGCCTTCGGGGAGAATGGAATTGAGAGACAACAGGTCAGGGGAGGGTCAGAGAAAAACCTTTTGCCTCTGAGGCTGCTGAAGCCTTCATTTTGTGGTATCATTCTCTGAGCCCCAACAACACAAATTTTTTTAACTTCATGCAAAACTCTTAGGTCAGTTGAGCCTAGAATACAGGTTTCTACGCTGTGTGGCTAAAGTACGGTCCTTCCCTCCTCTCCACAGGGAGCAGATGAAATTTATTTTGGAGGAAGTTAACTCAGAATAGAAGGACCCAGAGATGTCAGAGAGTGGAGTGGGGGCGAGAGCCCAGACTCCGTATCTGTCCTGAGAAAGTTAGGACATAAGGACCCACAGACATCAGAGAGTGGAGTAGGGGTGAGGGCCCACGCTCTGTGTCTGTAAGGGAATTGTCTACACTCTGCATACTCACAGCCATCAGCTTTCTTGTTCTTCCTTCCAAGTTGAAAGTCACTGGACTCCTTCAAGTCCATCCTGGAGGATCCCTTTCTTGGTAAACTGAACTGGCAGAGAAAAGTATTCCATAACTGGCATTTGGAGGCCATTTGGGCCTATTACTTATTTACTGTACAATATGTTCACCTGCTGAGGAAGGACCCCTGGCTATCCACACAGACCTGATTCTTAAGTGAGAAAAGACAGTCTTACATCCTAGATATTTTTGAGAAGCTTTCAATAAGAAATTCTTTTTAAAAATTGAAAAAAGAATCATCTGGAGGTAGCACAGACAACACCAACCAAGAAAACAAGAGACAAAATTTCTAATCTGTAACTTGTAGGAGATATGATGAAATAGTGACTCATAAAAAACATGGGAATTCTATTAAAATGTGACATATTAGGCAAATTAAATAATCAGATTGGAGAACGATTATGAGGATATCTCCAATGGACAAAACTTTAATGAGAGAGAGATAGCAAAATGGAAAGGAACGAATATGGAGACTCTAGGAATCTGACATTCGAAGAGTATTTTCAGGAAGGACAACAGAATACAAATAAGCAAAAGTGACTTATGAATAATTTTTAAAATAATCCCAGCATTGAGGGATCTACACTTCCAGGCTTATGAAACAACACTCAGGGCTCACCATAGTGAATGAATTGAAACTCCAAACTACAAAAGCACATTGCGAGATTTCAGAAGAACAAATATATAGGGAAGATCCTAAGAGCTTGGAGGCTGTATTAGGCCGTTCTTGCATTGATATAAAGAAATACCCGAGACTGGGTAATTTACAAAGAAAAGAGGTTTAATTGGCTCATGGTTCTGCAGGCCGTACAGGAAGCATGGCGGCTCCTGGGGAGGCCTCAGGAACGTGTCAATCATGACAGAAGGTGAAGGGAAAGCAGGCACATCTTACATGGCTGGAGCACGAGGAAGAGAGAGAGAGGACGTGCTACAGCCTTTCAAACCACCAGGTCTCCTGAGAACTCACTCACTATACAGTACCAAGGGGTGTGTACAGTACCATTCAAGAGAACTCTGCTCCCCATGATGCCATCACCTCCCACCAGGCCCCATCTCCAACACTGGGGATTACAATTCAATATGAGATTTGGGCAGGGACACAGATCCAAATCATATCAGAGGCAAAGAAAAAAAACTTATTAAGAATCAAGAATTTGTAATGTCATAGAATGCTTCATGTCTTCACTGAACGTTAAAAGATAGAAACTTTCACAATTCTAAGAAAAAACAATTTACTACGTAGAACTCTTGGAGCAAACTGTCCATGGGCAGGCAGGGTCAAGGCATTTACACTGATGTAGCATTTCCGAAAATTTACCTTTTGTGCACCCTTTCTTGGAAAGCTGTGTGATTATGTCTTCCTTCAAACAGCGGAATAAATGACAAATAGAAAGATGGGGAATCCAAGGAACAGTGGCCTTCACAGAAGAGAGCTGAAAGAATGCAGGTCTCAGATTAATGCCCAGAGCAGGCTGGGACAGCTGGAATCCTAGAGTGAGACTTCAAGGAGAAAGTACATAAAAGAAAAGGAAATGAGCCATTTGACCATGTAGAAATAGTACTTGAGATGGGCTTTAGTTCCCTTGGAACATTCAGAAAAATTGAACAATAGACACACAGAAAAGCATGAAATGAAAATGTGAAGTTGTTGTTGTCTCCAGATAAAACAGGAGGCAATTCAATGAAGGAGATTTAATTAGAGTAGAATGCTTCATTCAGGAGTGATTATTAATTGCACAGTTACAATAAAGTTAAAGAGAGAAGGCCAGGTGTAGTGGCTCACGCCTGTAATCCCAGCACTCTGGGAGGCCAAGATAGGCAGATCTCTTGAGTCCAACAGTTCGAGACCAGCCTGGGCAATGTGGCGAAATCCCACCTCTACAAAAAATTCAAAAATTATCTGGGCATGGTGGTGTGTGGCTGTAGTCCCAGTTACTGCAGAGGCTGAGGTGGGAAGATTGCTGGAGCCTGGAAGGTTGGGGCTGCGGTGAGTTGTGACTGTACCATTGCACTCCAGCCTGGGCAACAGAGCAAGACCCTGTCTCGAAAAAACAAAAAGGCAGAAGGGGCAAATAGAGTGGTGGTTGCCCATTGATAATTTATAGGTAATATCTAAAAATAATATATCAAGAAAAAATAGCATAAACTATTACTTAGAAATATCATAGAGCATATATTTGGAGAGGAGAAGCTAAGAAATCTGAAAGCATTTGCTTTCTAAAGCAAGTGTGGTCATGGGATGTTGTATGTTGGGCAAGAAAGTGCTGTTTGTTGTGCAAATAACACTTGTAGTAGTTTGACCTTTAAAACTTCATGCATGCCTTTCTTTATTGAAACAAAATTTTTTCAAAAGAAAAATGATAAGGCCAAGATTGAATGGTATGTGAATGTGAATATGACAGTTAAAAGCATGATTTCTCAAATGTACCTGCCCATTGGAATCACCTGGAGAATGTAATAGGTATTAATGCCTGTGCTGTGGTCCTCCAGAGATTCTGACTTGCTCGGTCTGCAATGCAGACTGGGCAGTGAAATTTTTCAATTCTCCTTAGGGATTCTAAGATGCAGCAGAGTTTAGGAAGCATGGATCTAGGTAGCTCAGATTCTTACTTGAATTTAAAAATCTCTAGCTGGGTGCAGTGGCTCATGCCTGCAATCCCAGCACTTTGTGCTGGGCTGAGGTGGGAGGATTGCTTGAGCCCAAGAGTTCCAGACCAGCCTGGGCAACATAGCGTGCCTGTGTTCCCAGCTATTCAGGAGACTGAGGTGGGAGGTTCGCTTGAGCCCTGGAGGTCAAGGCTGCAGTGAGCTGAGATTATACCGCTGCACTCAAGCCTGGGCAACAGAGTGAGACCCTGTTTCAAAAAAAAAAAAAATCTTGTCCAGTGTTCTCTTCACCAAGATACAGTGGTTTCAGTAATAAACTACTACTAACATGATGATTTAGATTGAGCCAACTTCATCACTCAGTCATTTCTTTGTTATCTGATATGTTCTTTATGGAAAGGCTTTAATTGCTTGAAAATGACCTAATGCTTCTCCCAAGCTTCCCATTTTTTTTTCCCTTTCTTAACTGAAGTCACAGAATGTTCTCGTGTGTGGAATGCTTTGTCTATCCTACGGGAAGCCAATTGTGCATGGCTCATGGCGCCATGCTGGCTTAATTGTTCCAATTCCTCCTGTTTCTCCGACCACACATGAGGTTGAATTAAATATAATTTCCTCAGTTTGCATTTCCCAGGCAGTCGTCCTAAGTGGCTTCTTGGAGGAGCTCTGTGCATTCCACTGGTCTAATTCTGTGATGCCCTTTAACTCGAGGGCCAAGGACATAATTACCAGCTCTAGAAATTCGTTCCGTGGTCAAGGATGCTTGTGCAGAGGCCAAATTTTCTTTCATTATAATTTGGCCTTTGCCAAGCTTCAAAGTGAAGGGGATTGAGTTCCTACTAAAGAGTATTGGCACCTAGGAAGTGAATGCTTTCTCTATCTTTTGCAGCTAGTGTGTTCTACATTTCTTCAATGTACCTTCTGCCTGGTAAATGTCAGATTATTTGTTGATCATCCTCAGGGTGTAGTTCTTTGTGTTGTTAAATAAGAACCCAGTGGCTTAAAAGCATTGGCTTTTGAGAAGTCATTTTTATCCTGGATGATAACTCAAATCCATGCAGTGCTGATATTTACAGCTGGGAGGTGACATGATCTTATCCTTTGGTCTGTTGCTCAAATTATTGATTTCAGTAGGACTTACTGGCTCCCTTCTGTCTTGGGGATACCTTTGATCTGTCTTGCCTTGGGGGACCCTCCCTCTGACCTGGAATAGCAGCCTATTTCCACAAGAAGGGACCCTCTGAGAGAGGACAGTCTTCATACCGCCTCTTCCGATTTTCCTTTATCTTTTATGGGTTTTGGCTTTATAACTTTACTCTTAGAATGTCCTTAAAGCTAATGATTTTTTAATGTTCTCTAGTGTATTACTAAAAGCTCTTCATCTACTTGAAAGACTGGGGCAGGAAGATTGCTTGAGCCCAAAAGGTCGAGGCTGCAGTGAGTTGTGATCCTGCCACTGTATTCCAGCCTGGGTGACAGAGCAAGACCCTGTCTCAAAAAAATAAAAAGGACAGGTGCAGTGGCTCACGCCTATAATCCCAGCACTTTGGGAGGCTGAAGCAGGAGGATTGCTTGAAGCCAGAGTTCTAGACCAGCCTGCAACATAGAGAGACCCATCTCTTCAAAAAATAAAAAAAAAATAGCTGGACATGATGGCACACCCCTGTAGTCCCAGCTTCTTGTGGGGCTGAGACCAGCAGGAGGACTTCTAGAGCCTAGGAATTCCAGGATGCAGTGAGCAATATGTATGTGTTAATACATAGTGAAACCAGTTATTGGAGAATTAGTATATGTCCTCCCACAAATTCAGTATGTTTTCCTAATTATCCAATTAATTCAAAGGGCATAAACATAATAGATGCAAATTATTTTACGTTTTTTGTTTAAAAACCTTTTTGACTGAATCAGTCTATGACGCTTTAGTATTTGAAGTTGCGGACAGAACTTAGTCTTAAGATAGCACTCGCTTTGTTGATAGATTTCCATGGAGGGAATTTTTGCCAGATGATAATTTAGCTTGAAGATGTTATAGATGTGGACAGTCACACCCTCTAAGTTACACAGTCTGGGGTGGGCCAATTGAAAAGAACATGCAGAAACACAGGCTTGTTAAGGGATAATTAAACGTGGGGGAAATAGAACAGTCATGGCAGAGGATTTAATAGGGTTTAATTGGGTTAGGAAGAATAGGCCGGAGTGAAAGAATAGCTCTTAATAGGAGGTCTAGAAATAGCCAAGGAAAGCATTAATTGCAGAAAATCTGTGACATCTGATTACTGTAGTGAAAGAAAGATCCACCTTTAAAAATCCTATCTATACAGAAAGAAGTGATAGGGAGAAGGAAATCTTCCCACGGACATATTTAAGAAAAACAGTGGGGAGGTTTGAGATTTCAAAGGGCCATGGTTCAGGTTATAATTCAAAAGAGAGGCAAATGATAGTCCTACTCTTCTTGAGTTTCAGGAAGGGGGAGGATTTTGCCACTTGCTGTGAAATAATTTTGGAGCTTCTATAACGTTGATCCTTTCATCCTATTTTTTCTTGGACTTGGGATGTGGGGAGTGGATAAGATGGGGATGGAGAAGAAGCAGGGTTTGAAATGCCTCTTTTGATTCTGTTCATTCCCGGAATTCTTCTCCATGGGCCTTAAAGAGTAGAGACTCCTTCCCGGTGCATGACATCCAGTGGCCAATTAATGAAACTTTATTTCCTCAGATAAGTTCCCTTCCTCCATTAATTTGTGGGAATTCAGATGAAAACTTACTTGGACTGTGGTTTTCTATGTGTTTGTGAATGGAAGGACATGTTTGTCTTTGACCTTCCTTTAGTTTCACGTCTTAGTCTTGATATTTAAGTAGCTTTGGTTCAGACAGAGAAGGACCATGTGTGCAGTTGCTGGGACTGCTCTCTAGCTTGGAGGTTCCCTGGTCTTGGGAAAGATCTCCCTGCCCTATGCAGGTGGCATAGATGTTTAATTTTCTACATGAGAGAAGCGCTAGAGTTTTTTTATTCATTACTTGTGTGCACAGCTGTGGCCTCTAGGGAAGCTCAGCTGAGGTGGTCTCAGGTTCCACCAAAGGTTACCGGGGAGAGATGACTAGGAAGACAGGAAGACCTGTCTCACTTGGGAGGGTATGGCAAGAGCTAGGCAAGACCTCCTGGTGGAGATATTTGCCTTTTATTCTTTCTTTTTTTTTTTTTTTTTTTTTTGAGACAGTTTCACTCTGTCACCCGGGCTGAAGTGTAGTGGTGCGATCATGGCTCACACCAACCTCCCCGTCTCGAGCTCAAGCCATCCTCCCACCTCAGCCTCTTGAGTAGCTAGGGCTACAGGCATGCAACACCATGTCCAGCTAATTTTTAAATTATTTTTAGAAACAAGGTTTTGCCATGTTGCCCAGACTGGTCTTGAACTCTTAGGCTCAAGTGATCCTCCCGCCTCAGCCTCCGAAAGTGTTGGGATTATAGGCATGAGCCATGTTGCCTGACCCATTTATTCTCAAGTACTTATGCTCAGGGCAGGTCTTCCAAGGGAAGAGAACAGCCAGATAAGACTCGTATGAGATAGCTGAGGAGGTGGCATTTCATCCTTCCATGCACATGCTCCTTATCCACAAGCAGAAAGCTGTAACCTTTGCTGTCCCCACTAGGTCATGATAGGTAGATACGCAGGTGATGACCACAGACTGGCAATTAGCCAAGGATTCTCAGCTGTGCACGCTACATGTGTGAGTGTGTGTGACAGATCCCTTTGGCGGTTTGGTGGAAAATTGATACATTTTGTAAAAATGATATGTTTAAGTCATACAATAAGGTAAATAACGCATAAAAGGAAATCGGTTTTATTGAAATAGTTACCAAGGTATATTAATATTAATATTTAAAGTTGGTGCAGTGGCTCATGCCTGTAAACACCAGCATTTGGGGAGGCTGAGGTGAGAGGATTGCTTGAGGCCAGGAGTTCAAGACCAGCCTGGCCAACAAAGTGAGACTCTGTTTCTACAATCAATAAAATAAAAAATAAAAATAAAAAGATATATTTAAACTGGGCTACAGTAATACATGTGCATCTTTATTGTGTGCTAAGTACCTGGATCTACTTAAGAGGTTCGTAATAGTCACAATTTCAAAGTACAATAAGCGTAAACAGTATTTTGGGATATCTGTGATAACAGTGTTAAGTGTCCTACCTACACGGGTAATGGAAGCAAATACTAAATTTCAGTGCATGGTAGTGAAACTAAAGATGTAATTACTTTTGCCCATTGCAATTTGTAGAACCCATGGAATCTATCTAAAGACTCCTGGGTGGCAAAGGATAAATGCTTGAGGGTATGATACCCCATTCTTCATGATGTGATTATTACATATTGCATGCCTGTATCAAAACAACTCATGTGCCCCATATATATATATATGTATATGTATATACACCTGCTATGTACTCACAAAAAAATAAATAAAGACACCTGGGTGGGATTGGGGTTTTTGGACTTAGGGTGGAGAACATCTGCATTTAGAATTGTGTAGAGGAAAGGTTTTGATTTATTTATTATACCTCTGTTTTCTTTAAAAAACCTGCATGTGTAGTAGGAATTTTGCCAGAGGTGGGAATGTGAGAGTCACTAGTTTGCAGCATAGAGCATTCTATACTGAGATAATTATTTTTATGTCAAAAAGAAAGTGAAGAATCTGGCAGATTAGAATCTTCATGTTATTTTCATTTAAAAAGCTTGGAAGTGTCAATATCAATTAATATTGACTGCTATTTACTGACATTTTTGGCAAAAAACATTTCATTTTAATGAATTTTGTCTTGTTTGAATGTTTGTAAGGCTTTGGAGGTAGTTTTAGGAGATAGTTGCCTTTGATTCCTGAGGTATATTCTTGGGTCTACCCTGATTCTGTCTCTTGACTTTGCACCTCTTTCCTTCCTGAACCCTGTTTAAAAGAGCCTTCCTTTTACGACTCTTTTCTTCCATCCTATTCTTCCTTCCCATGCTAATGTGAGACACAGAGGTTTTTATGAGAAGCCTGTTGTCTATATGCTGGATCTTGGAAGCCTTGGTTATTTCCTAGAGATGGAAGGTCTGATCTCAGTTAAGTTCTGACCCCAGGACAAGAAGCCTCTCTGGAGTAACTGACTCACTGGGATAGAGCCTGTTTTCACAAATTAATATTCCTGTCTGGGGAGGGCAGAGGAAACATTTTGGGGAGTGGGTGGAGGTGATGAGGTTCAAGCCTGAGGATGAAGCTTGCCTTTCCTGGGAGCTTGTACAGTGTCATACTCAGGAAATAAACTGTGTGGGAAAGGTGGTGTTTAGTAATCTAGAGCCGAACACCTTGTAAGGCCCTCACCTTGTCATTCTGCACTGTCAGAAGCACATGAGAAAAGAGTGTAGGCTGCCAGAGCAAGCATCACACCGAAATAGGAACTTCTCAGATAGAGCCGTCTGCCTAAAACAAAGTAACCTTAGCAAATAGGATCTGTGCTACAGAAAATGGAGCACTCTAGCCAGGGTTGTGAGATGGAGCTGGTCCTGGGGTCACAGGTGGTGTCTTGGGAAACGTTCTGAAGACACTCAGCTTTTCGGATATTGCACAGTTCATTAGGAGAGGTATGGGCAGTGGTTATGAAGCTCCTTATGTAAGAGACATAGAGATACACTCAACAGTATTACTCCAGAGGGTTCTGGCTCCTGTCTTGCACTTGGGAGTACACACTTGTTCTTGTCCACATTAACCTCCAACTGTCCACATGATCAACCATCTGCAGACCCACTGCCAGTTGAGGGTCGTGCCAGGTCAGAAGTACTAACTGCAGGTTAAACTGTGCTATTTAGAAATTGAGTGTTTTTTTCTTACTCAAACTGACAGTTTTCCTTTGTAGAAGAACTCACTCAGCTTCCACTCTGGCTTAAATATTTCCTTTACATGATCAATATTATCTCTGTCCATCAGATACAGCAATGAGAAAGCCTTTTAAAGGAAATGAGGTTAAAAGTGACTGGGTATCTAGAATTCTTTATTTTGTTTGCTAAATTGCAGGCAAATATATTCCCAGAACTAGTTGTGATACCTTTTCAGAAACTGGCTTATTTGACATTGGCTGAAAGTAATACTCTAACACTTTACTGCTGTGTCAATGAGTGAAATTCCTGCAGGCAAAAACAATAGGGACTACATCGTGAAGCCTATGAGAATTTTATGGTGGAAACATGAGTGGAGCAGGTGGTGGAAGTAGCTCATCTTCTGTGGTTGTGGTACCCACAGGAGATGAGCTAAGGAGAATGCCCTGAAACCTAACCTTGCCAATTTTCTGTCTTCTGTGTCCTGGTTCCTTCTGGTTTCCTTGTGTCTCTTTTCTTCCTTTTAATTTAATAGTGTTTACTGAAGACCTTCTGTCTTCCAAGTTCAAGTATTAGTCATCTCTGGGCTTTGCCCTTAGATACTTATCATAGTCTAGCAATGAATGTAAGCATTGAGGAAGTAATGGTGACATAATGTGAATGTTCAGTGTGGTATCATCTTCCCCACTCTTTGTAAATCTTGGTGGTCTTAATTCTTGAATGTCAATGCTTACCCCCTCTATGCTGTCTTTACAGAAGTCCTCTGGCCTAGCTCTCTCTACATGTCTAAAATTGTAGAAGCATCTTCTGGGCACTCCATTGCAAAGTCCATTCTGCAGAAGCCCACCATCCCACAGAAGGAGCAGGTGGGAGGCAGTGGACCACAGGCTGGCTGCATGGTAGCAATTGAAAAGCAATGGAGCACAGGCTGGCTTCATGGTAACAGTTGAAAAGCAATGGAGCACAGGCTGGCTTAATTGTAGCAATTGAAAGGCAAGCTTCATCTCATCAGCTGGAGTGTTTACTACTTGAGGATGGGTACTTGATTGGTGTATCTTTACATTTTATCAAAATGGGTTTCACCTTGGAAGCATTCAGTGGTACCTCAGTGAATAATTGTAATTAGCTAGGATTTCTTTGGGGAATACTTATTGTTCTAAATTTATATGTGTTTACATATATGTACTGTATTAGTCTTTTTTCACACTGCTGATAAAGACATACCGGAGACTGGGTAATTTATAAAGAAAAAGAGATTTAATGGACTCACAGTTCCATGTGGTTGGGGAGGCTTCACAATTATGGCAAAAGGCAAGGTAAGAACAAAGGCATGTCTTACATGGCGGAAGGCAAAAAGAGAGAGCTTGTTCAGGGGAACTCCTCATTATAAAACCATCAGATCTCATGAGACTTACTATCACGAGAACAGTATGGGGGAAACTGCCCTCTTGATTCAGTTATCTCCCACAGGGTCCCTCTCCCTATACGTGGGAATTATGGGAGCTACAATTCAAGATGAGATTTGTGTGGGGACACAGTCAAACCATATCACATACATATGCATATCTTTATGTAAGGTGTGTGAATATAGGTGTGTATATTCATATACTCTTGTACTTTCTCAAACACAAACCATAGCACGTGCAATAATATCCTTGAGTTACATCTGCTACTCTGCCCATTTTACACATAAGAGATGGAAGCATTGATGGTTATATTAGGTAGGGTTCTCTAGAGGAACAGAACTAATAGGACAGATAGATATATAAAGGGGAGTTTATCAAGTAGTATTTGTTCACACGATCACAAGGTCCCACAACAGGCCATCTGCAAGCTGAGGAGCAAGGAAGCCAGTCCGAATCCCAAAGCTGAAGGACTTGGAGTCTGATGTTTGAGGGCAGGAAGCATCTAGCACAGGAGAAAGATGTAGACTTAGAGGCTAAGCTAGTCTAGTCTTTTCATGTTTTTCTGTCTCTGCTTTATATTTGCTGGCAGCTGATTAGATGGTGCCCACCCAGATTAAGGGTGGGTCTGCCTTCCCCAGCCCTCTGACTCAAATATTAATCTCCTTTGGCAACACCCTCAGAGACACACCCAGGATCAATACTTTGCATTCTTCAATCCAATGAAGTTGACACTCAGCATTAACCATCACAATGGTGTATACACCCTTCTCTGGTTGCTGATGGAGTTAAAGTGAGAGCCAGGATTTGAATCATAGTCATAAAACTGCACAAAACCTCTGCCCCATACTACCTCCCAGATACATAATACACACATGAGTAGGTGTTTTTGTGCCTGTTATAGTGCATTTGAGCCTGTTGTTCTTAGTTTGCTCTTATGTAGGACCATCTCTCTGAAAACAGATGATCAGCATCATATGCAACAGGTAGTATTGATTATCTGTAGCATAAAGGCATGGAACACGGGATTTTCAGGGAATGGAGTAGGAAAAATTCCTGAACCTAAGCAGCTTAATAGTTTAATATTTCACTTGGTTAGTTCGAATATATATGTTCATATGCACATGCATGAAATGACATGGATAAAATAAGTTTTAATGTATTGTATCTATATAAATCTCTTTAAACCTCAAAAAATGTATATATCCAAACTAATTATTTGTCAGTCTCTCCCTCTCTTTCTCCCTCTCTCTCTTTCCACGTATTTATATATAAATATTTCTGCAAACTAACCAACTGAAATATTAAGCTCCTATCTATGTTTTATATGTATTTCTGCAAATAGCCAACCAAAATATTAAAGCAATTAAACTCCTAAATATAATATTTCTTTTATCTATTATATTATTTCTTCAAACTAACCAATTGAAATATTAAGCTTCTATGTTTTATATATATAAAGTATTTCTCCAAATAACCAAGCAAAATATTGAGGTATTAAGCTCCTGTGAATGTTTTATATTATTCTATGTATATAGAATAATATATTTTATATGTTTTTTATTATATTTTATATTATTCTATATGTAGAATAATATATTTTATATCCTATATTATATATAGAATAATATATTTTATATCCTATATTATATATAGAATAATATATTATATATCCTATATTATATATAGAATAATATATTTTATATCCTATATTATATATAGAATAATATATTTTATATCCTATATAATATATAGAATAATATATTTTATATCCTATATAATATATAGAATAATATATTTTATATCCTATATAATATATAGAATAATATATTTTATATCCTATATAATATATAGAATAATATATTTTATATCCTATATAATATATAGAATAATATATTTTATATCCTATATAATATATAGAATAATATATTTTATATCCTATATTATATATAGAATAATATATTTTATATCCTATATTATATATAGAATAATATATTTTATATCCTATATTATATATAGAATAATATATTTTATATCCTATATTATATATAGAATAATATATTTTATTTATATTTTATTTTTATAATATATTTTGTAATATATATGTTTTTTATATATAGAATAATATATTTTATATTATTCTCTCTCTATATATAGCAGGTTAGTTTGAAGATATCTATACGTATAATATATTAAAATTTATTTTTGGCCAGGCGCGTTGGCTCACGCCTGTAATCCCAGCACTCTGGGAGGCCAAGGCGGGCGGATAATGAGGTCAGGAGTTCAAGACTAGCCTGGCCAATATGGTGAAACCCTGTCTCTACTAAAAATACAAAAAATTAGCTGGGCATGGGGGCATATGCTTGTAGTCCTGGCTACTCAGGAGGCTGAGGCAAGATAATCCGGGAGGCAGAAGTTGTAGTGAGCCGAGATCTCACCACTGCACTCCAGCCTGGGTGACAGAGTGAAACTCTGTCTCAAAAAAAAAAAAAATTATTTTATAGATATAATTTCATATATGATAAGTTAAAGTACAAACTCTTGAAACAACTCCTCTTATATATGAGGGGAAAGAAGAAGATTATTTGTACAGTACAATTAGTACAGTGAATTCTGGGAAAAAGTCAGTAAATACTCATTTCAAATCCTCATGTACAATTCAAGTAAAGAAAAATCTGGTGGCATTTTTATATCCTGCTAATAAAGGTTATCTGGTGTTGGAAAACATATTTTATTTTTACATGTACATAGTAGGTGTATATATTTGTGGGTACATGAGATATTTTGATATAGGCATATGTGTAAAAATCACATTAGAATAAATGGAGTATACATCACCTGAAGCATTTATCATTTCTTTGTGTTACAGACTTTCCAATTATGCTTTTAGTTATTTAAAAATATACAGTAAATTAATGTTGACTGCAGTCACCCTGTTGTGCTATCAAATACTAGATCTTATTCATTCTGTCTATATTTTTGTGCCCATTAACCATCCTCACTTCTCTCTCTCTCCCATTACCCTTCCCAGCCTCTGGTAGCCATCATTCTACTCTCTGTCTCCCTGACTGCAACTGAAAGAAATATTTTTAAAGAATAGGCTGGAAGGCCACACTGACTCTCACTGTTTCTGGCACACTAAACCTTGCCATTTTCTGCAGTAGGGATTGTCTCGCTTCAGTTATGCCTTGCTACTTCAGTGAAGGACTTTCTGTTCCCACTGGGCTCCTATACTGAGTCTGCTTTGGAGATAATAGTCTGAGATGTCAGAGCGTCTTAGTGGTGAAAGCAACTTAAGAGGTCACTGGCACAAGCCCTCGTTTTGCAGTGGAGGGAGTTGATGGCGAGGGCACTTGGCTAATTAGTGACCAGGGCTATAGCAGGCTCAGGTTCCATGACTGTGCTTACCATGGCTGGCAGGATCCCAGGGCTTTTCTGTGTAATATGTGGGTGGATGGTCTATTGCCTTGGGCTTGTCGCATAATCATGGAGAAAACAGTTTATATTTTCCCTTCAATTTTTAAATCCAAGATAGTTTGATAGCACATGGGAAAATAAAGTCATTGAGTAAAACTTATACGGATGAGAATCTTTTGATTAAATTTTCATTGTAAAATAATCATAGTCATAAAAAGTGTATCAAAATGTGTATTTGGATATTCATTTTAAAGAGTAAAAAATAATCAGATACATAGTATTGTACCCACTGACAGACAAGGAAAGAGAACATTCCCACTGTTTTTATATATCAGTGTGAGTTGCTTCCCTCTCTCCTACCTTTCAGTGAAATCTAATCCCCCAAGATTTGGTTTTCATACTGTCCTTGCTGTATATTTCAGGACAAACATAGCTCTGAGCAATATATTGTTTAGTTTTACTATTATGTAAATAAAATCACACTATTTGTAGTCTTCTGTGACTTGCCTTTTATGTTTGAGATTTTCCCATTTTCCTCCATATATCTGTATTTTATTCATTTTTGACTGTTTTGTAAAGCCTTCTGTTTTAATATGCCAACATTTATTTATTCATTATCCTATTTATGGATATCTGGATTGTGGCAATATTTTTTGCAATTATAATTGGGGCTTATTTATCCTCAGCAAACTAACGCAGGAACAGAAAACCAAACACCGCATGTTCTCACTCATAAGTGGGAGCTGAATGATGAGAACACATGGACACATGGGGGAGGGAAACAACACACAGTTGGGCCTGTCTGGGGATGCCCGGAGGGGAGAGCATCAGGAAGACTAGCTAATAGATGCTGGGCTTAATACATAGGTGATGGGTTGATTTGTGCAGCAAACCACCATGGCACATGTTTACCTATGTCACAAACCTGCACATCCTGCACATGTACCTTGGAACTTAAAAGTTGAAGAAAAAAAAATGGGGCTGCAGTGGACATTTCCGTGCATGTTTCCTGATGCATGGGAGTTCTAGTTGCTCCACATCGTTGCTCAGTACTTGGTATCATTGTTTGTTTGTATTTTTATTAATCCTATTGTGATTTCATCTGCATTTCACCAATAATGAATGACATTGAGCCTCTTGTCCTATGTTGAGGCTATCTGTAGATTTGAGGACTCCTTCCTGGATGTGGATTTATGGTGGAGAAACCAACAAAGATGGCTTTGAGTGTAGGCTGAATTACTAGAAAAGTAATGATCTAGTTATCCAAATATGAAACAAAAGCATGGAAGCAGTTTGGGGATTGGAGAATGAGATTTTTAGGAGCACCATAAGATGTCTATCTGACTATATTCTTGAAGAGAAAATAGTCATGGCACTACAGGCATGGTGGCACATACCATGTTATCAGCTGGCACTACAGGTGTATGCCTCCATGACCTTGAGGACATATGACTTTGAGTTCGGTGAGAGAGATGAACACAAAGCCTAGAGAGATCTGCAAATCATTTGATTTAGATTTAGAAATTGTGTCTGGAAAACATTTAATTTCACACAGAAAATCAAGCATTAACGCACTTTTATTATTTGCCAGTCCTTGTGCTAGCTTTAGATATGCAGAAGATGAATAAGAAGAAAAAATGCATCACAGGTAGGGATAGATACCTTCATGAGAATGTAAGCTCCTAGTGGGCAGGAACTCCTTCTTTACCCCATTACGTACCCTTACCTAGCATAGTGATCTTTACGGGATACTTCTGTGGTCTGAAGGCTTGTGTCTTTCCAGAATCCCCATGTTGACGTTGTAACCCCAAAGTGATGGTGCTAGGAGGTAGGGCCTTTGGAGCTGATGAGATCATGAGGGTGGATGCCCCAGAATGGTATTAATGACATTTTAAAAGATACCCCAGGGAGATTCCTTGCCCTTTTCCCCTTTTCCAAAGTTATAAGGAAAATACAGCCCTCTAGGAAGCAGGCCCTCACCATACACTGAATCTACCATGCCTTGATCTTGGACTTCCAGCCTCCAGAGCTGTGAGCAATGAATATCTGTGGTTTATAAGCCCCCCAAGCTATGATATTTTGTTACAGCAGCCTGAATGGACTAAGCCAACTTCTAAGTTTTGGTGTTGTCTTATTTCTTTGGTCGGTGTAGGATCTTTCTGTCCACATAGTTTACTCTAGAAAGATGTATGCCCTATTCCTCATGGTATATTTGTCTTTCCTATCTGTGGAATATCCTCTTATCCAATTCGTCTTGGCTGGGCAACATATAAGCCATTAACTCTTTACCCTTGGGTTTAGTTTGGGTTCTGCTGAGGCCCCTGCTGAAAATTCTGGTTTCTACAATTATGGCTCATGCATGTTCCTGACCCATTAAACTTCAGTGGAAGAACAGAAATGGTGAGGGAGGTGATGGAGTTGATACCTTGAGCTGCCATATGGTGCAAGATCATCTTGAAGATAGAACATTTGGCATCCTTTTTTTTTTTAAGAGATGGGGTCTTGCTAATTTGCCCAGGCTAAACTCAAACTCCTGGGCTCAAGTGATGCTCCTGGCTCAGCCTCCCAATTACCTGGCAATACAGGCATGTGCCACCATGCCTGGCCACATTTTTACTCTCCAATTGCTTAATATATAGTAAAGATAATGGTTCAAAATGGTAAATTTTTTTTGTGTGTATACCAATAACATTTTTTTTTACCTTAAACATATTCAATCTTTATTTGACAATTTTTTAAAATTTCAACTTTTTTTTTTTATTCATGGGATATATCTGCAGGATTTTTTACCTGGGTGTATTGGATGGTGCTGAGGTTTGAGGTACAGTTGATTCTGCCACACAGGTATGGAGTATAGCACCCAACAGGTAGTTTTTCTACCTTTTCCCCCTCCCTCTCCCTGCTGTAGTAGTCCCAAGTTTGTTATTGCTTTATGTCCATGAGTACCCAATGTTTAGCTCCCACTTCTAAGTGAGAACATGTGGTATTTGATTTTCTGTTTCTGCATTAATTAACTTAAAATAATGGCTTCCAGCTGCATCCATGTTGCTGCAAAGGACATGATTTCATTTGTTTTTTTTTGTTTGTTTGTTTTGTTTTTTTGAGACGGAGTCTCGCTCTGTTGCCCAGGCTGGAGTGCAGTGGCGCGATCTTGGCTCACTGCAAGCTCCGCCTCCTGGGTTCACGCTATTCTCCTGCCTCAGCCTCCTGAGTAGCTGGGACTACAGGTGCCCGCCACCACGCCCAGCTAATTTTTTGTATTTTTAGTAGAGATGGGGTTTCACTGTGTTAGCCAGGATGGTCTCGATCTCCTGACCTCGTGATCCACCTGCCTCGGCCTCCCAAAGTGCTGGGATTACAGGCGTGAGCCACCGCGCCGGCTGATTTGTTTTTATGGCTGCATAGTATTCCGTGGTATATACGCATCACATTTTCTTTATTCAATCTACTGTTGATGGACTCTTAGATTGATTCCATGTCTTTGCTATTGTGAATAGTGCTGTGATGAGCATACATGTGCATGTGTCTTTTTGGTAGAACAATTTATTTTCCTTTGTATATATACCCAGTAATGTGATTGCTAGGTCAAATGGTAGTTCCTCTTTTAAGTTCCTTGAGAAATCTCCATACTGCTTTACACAATGGCTGAACTAATTGACGTTCTCACCAACGGTGTATATAGCCTTCTCTTTTCTCTGCAGCCGCAACAGCATCTGTTGTTTTTTGATGTTTTATGAATAGCCATTCTGACTAGTGTGAGATGGTATCTCATTGTGGTTTTGACTTGCATTTCTCTGGTGAAAAATGGTGGATTTTTAAATGGGATTTCATTTTTAGATTTAATAGAAACTGCATAGGTGACTGTGCAAAGAACTCTTAAGATTTGACAAAAGGCAAATTAGATTGTAATCTCCTTTATGTAGGAGGGGAAATAAAAACCAGAATATTAAAATATCTACATGTACAAAAATAGACAAAGTGGCAGATTGCTGGTGTTGGATGGATGTTGAGCAGGGATGGAGGACTTGTGTGTGCATGCATGCATGGCCATGCGTGGAGAGTGGTCATTCATTTTGGTAACAGCATAGAGCTTTGGGCTTCAGAACAAAAGATAAGCCACATCCCACTCAGGTACCCTAAAATGTTGTCTCCACTAGACACAAAAGAAAAGGAAGCCAGAGATGTCTGTAGCTTATGCAGAGTTTTGGGAATAGCTATTCTAGACTTTCTTAGTGAACAGTATAGAAGGATTATTGTACAAGCCCAGTAATTTGGGCAAGGATCAGATTCTGTTGCTTTTGTTTTCTGGATGCTCCGTAATGAATGTGAGATGGAAGCGGATGTCTCAAGTGCTTCTTGTTCTCAGAAACCTCCTGGCAGCAGACATCTCAGTGGGCCCAGACGTTCAGCGTGGCTGGAAGTAAAACACAGGGAAGGGTGCTCTTTCTCAGTTATCCTATTTTTTTTTAAAAGCATCTACAAAGCTTCCTGTTTTCTAATATATTCCCAGGCCTTTGAAAGACAAGGCCATAAACACCCAGGAGATGTGACTTTATTCTTTTTAAGGTCCAGATACCAAAATGCCTGTCATCAGGGCTCACCTTAATTAAATACGTATCTTAAAATTAAACCAATCTCAATTTAAGGAATGTATACTTTGGGGAGAAATTTATTACAATTTTTATTCAGAACACTTTAAATTCTGATAGGCCTGAAGAGTGTGAGCCTCACCTTAATTGCAACCTGAGTCAGAATAACTGCCCTGCAGAGAATCATTTAAAATACCCAATCAAGTTATAAATTAGTCAAAATGCCATTCTGAGATATTATTATTTTATGCAGTCTTTGCAGAGAATACATGCTATATAGCCCTTCTTCACTCCCAAAGTATATGTATATATTTAATGAAGTTTTCACCTTTTTTATTAAAATTTTTAATCCATTAACAATTTTAGAATTCATTTTGTAGCATATCCTCTTTATCTTAGAGATATTAAATATCTACCTATTTATGAATAACTATCAATAACCACGTTTCACCCTTTGTGAAATCCTTTTCAGTTTTTGAAACTCACATGGGAGATCTTGTTTTTTTTTTTCCCCACAAGGATGTAGGTTGGTTAAATTTACAGTGGTTCTTTAATGATGATAATGCACATTTGATTGATATCAATAATAAATATTGATATCTTCAATATCAACATTTCTTGTAATGCTAAAAATTTACAAGTTGCCAATTTTTTGAATATGACTATATTTTCACACACACACACATACACGACAGCACTAATTATATTCACTAAATATACCTACAGATACTTAATCATTTACACAGCCACTATAATTTTATACTTGATGCCTTAAACCAGTAATTCTCCCTTGAGGGTGGTTTTGGCCCCTGGGCTACCTAGCACTATCTAGAGACATTTTCCATAGTTAAAACTGGGTAGGAGGTGCCACTATCATCTAGTGAGTAGAGGTCAGGGATGCTGCAAAATACTGTACATTGTACAGGCGACGCCCCCACAACAAAGAATTATATGGTTCACAATGTCATTTATACTGAGATGGGGAAACGCTGGGCTTTAATTATAGCAATTTTGTGCAAATTAGCCAAATTTCAAAAAACAAGGGAGTGAAAAAAGATAGCTCTCAACCTGTGAATATTGTGAATGCCCAATCTAGACCTAGTAAGTGTACAGATGCCCTTGGGCGCGTCTTCTTAGGTTGCTGCTGCTTCATAATCGCTCACTGCCCATCAGGACCTTGTGGGATGTAGATTTAGGCAGAGGAGGGTTTTGATCATACAGCTGGATCAGTCATAACCAATAAGTGACTCATAGTCTCATTCACATTGAGTTTGAGAATTTAAGGTGTGGGCTGGAATTCCTTATGGAACTAACTTTATATACCTTGGAAGAAGTCCACCCACTGAATTCTACATTTATTGAGCTCTGTGTTTCAGGGAATGTGCAATACCTTGAGGATACATACTATCTCATTTAGTCCCAAGTAGCTTTTAAATATTTGAGAGTGGTTTTGGCCCCCAGGCTGAAAGTAACAGCTACCTCTGGTTAAAAATCTTTCAGGAAAGAAGCAACCAAACAGGACATCACCTCTTTGTTTTTCTTGTCTGTCTCTTAATTATTCAGAAATGGGATTGCTGTATGGCAGACATCCAAATGTTGTCTACAGTAGAATTCAGAGATAGAAGCAAACACCTAAATCAGTCATTGGTGAGATGCTATTTGTCACTTTCAAAGTTATAATCCAGATTTTCAGTGCGTTTTCATCCAACTCTGGTGAACTTTTCCCAGGATGTCATGTACTATGGAATTTCCCCCCATTGTATTATTGTTCTGTGATAGATCCAGCTCCAATATGTTTTATTTAAAAAAAAAAAGCCATGTGATGTATTCTGTTCAACTGATTACTTAAATGAAATGGATAATTATTTTCTGATGCAGATGCTCTGAATAACCCACAAAATCCTTAGAAACACATTTGTATATTTTGAGTTGAAGAACATGCTAAAGGCACCCTCCTTGCAACACCTAGTGAAATATTTTCTGTTCCTAGGGGATCATTTAACAACATAATGTCCATTCCTGCACAGCATTCTTTTATTGTCACAGGAGCAGCGACTTATGTAGGGATAGTTATATTATCTATGTAAAGACAAATTGAGGTGGTGACCCTTTAAAAGTTGACTCCAGGCTCAATGGGAAAGTAACTCAAATGCAGCCTCAGCTTTTTAAATGGGCTGAAGGGTGAAGAGGATACCCTCTAAGGCATGCAGTGGCTTACTGGAAAGTCAGGATAATTGTATCAACACTTTTAATTATGAATGAAGTCTTCAAGAAACTAGCACTACAGCATGTACTTGAAATGCACCATCTTGTATAGTGTTTTACAAGGAAACTGAGATTCAGAGCAGTGAAGTGTGTAGCCTAAATATATATGCACTTGACCAGACCAAGGAGAATTTGTGTCCAAAGTCTACACTCTTTTCATTTGATGATGTTCCCTTTGTGGCCTGATAAATATCCACATCATGATGCCAGATTGACTTGGATGCATGCTTCCATCTTTCTCCTACTGGAAAACTTTTAGAGCTCCATGCATGTCTCCTTAGGAAAATGTGACAATTTCCTTAAACATTTGAGAAACAGTGTTTTGGAAGTACCCATGTATTGATAACCAGTCTGGTAAACAATAGCAAAACTGGGAGGTGTTGTTACTATAATCTGCATAACCTGTATAACTCTTGAACATCTGTTTGATCATTCAACACAGATTTGTTTAGTGTTTTCTAAATGTCAGGCATTGTTCATGGTGATAGGATGTACAGAGGAATTAAGACAAGTGGTGGCTGCTAGGCATGGTGACTCATGCCTGTAATCCCAACACTTTGAAAGGTCGAGGGGTAGGATCCCTTGAGGCCAGCCTGGACAACATAGGGTGACCCAATGTCTACAAAAAAATCCAACGAATTAGCCGGACATAGTGGTGCATGCTTGTGGTCCCAGCTACTCGGGAGGGTGAGGCGGGAGGATGGGTTGAGCCCAGGAGTTGGAGGCTGCAGTGAGCTATGACAGCACCACTGCACTGCAGCTTGGGCAATATAGCAAGACACCATCTCTAAAAAAAACAAAATAAATAAAGACAGGTGATGTTCTTGCTGTTGCCTACTATGTGGAGATGGCACTATACACATTTCTATACAAATGAATAGGAATTTCATAGAGAGATGTTGTGGATTTCGTGGAAGAGCCAGCCAGTGTTCTAGGTGGTCGTTGTGTGGCTTCATTATTCTTGTCTGCTTTCTTCCTCTTTTAGGCTGCCTTGGAGTTTTCATAAGAAATTGTCCCTGGAGGTGTTGGATGATCACAGCTTCCTTGGAGCATTGCAGTTGCTGGAATCCAGTTTCAGGATTAAGGGAGGGCTGCCTCCTTGCAATGGGCTGCCAAGAAAACGGCTGTGCTTGTTCTTAACCTCAGGCTCTGTCTGTGATCAGTCTGAGAGTCTCTCCCAGGTCTACTGCTCCCTGGAAAGCCCTATCTCTCTGCAGGCTCGCCTCTGGGCTTTGTCTCCTTGGAGCCACATCACTGGGACAGCTGTGGATGTGGATGCAGATTTGAACCATGTCACGGCCCCAGGGACTGCTATGGCTTCCTTTGTTGTTCACCCCGGTCTGCGTCATGTTAAACTCCAATGTCCTCCTGTGGTTAACTGCTCTTGCCATCAAGTTCACCCTCATTGACAGCCAAGCACAGTATCCAGTTGTCAACACAAATTATGGCAAAATCCGGGGCCTAAGAACACCGTTACCCAATGAGATCTTGGGTCCAGTGGAGCAGTACTTAGGGGTCCCCTATGCCTCACCCCCCACTGGAGAGAGGCGGTTTCAGCCCCCAGAACCCCCGTCCTCCTGGACTGGCATCCGAAATACTACTCAGTTTGCTGCTGTGTGCCCCCAGCACCTGGATGAGAGATCCTTACTGCATGACATGCTGCCCATCTGGTTTACCGCCAATTTGGATACTTTGATGACCTATGTTCAAGATCAAAATGAAGACTGCCTTTACTTAAACATCTACGTGCCCACGGAAGATGGTGAGTACCTCACTGGAACAGAAAACAATACCTCTTGTGCAGTGTGTAGAGAGATTTGCTAGGAGGGTTTTATAATGTCTCATGCATGATCTCTTCTATAACCCGTTTATTTTATTTTAATTTATTTTTCATATTCCAAATGCAATTCTTGCAGCAACTTACCACATGTTCCACTTGTATGTATTGGGCCATCTACTGACTGGACAAAACTATAAATAATAACTTTAATTATTTTCATATATTGCCTTCTTAACTTTTTATAATGCTTATTTGCAGATGAAAATAAATATGAGCATATAATGTTGCATGTTATACCTGAATCATCTGTAAAGGAATGAATCTATAGAAAAATAATAGAATTAAGTACACTATTATGCTCCAGTTTGCAAACTGAAAGATAGAGAAAATGGTTCTTTCTGCCTTAATGACTTAAGATATTAGCACCTTTTTTGAGTTTTCAAAGAAAAACTTGATTGTTTTTAATATACAAGTAGGGGATAGTTCATACAATGGTTGGATTTCATTGTTTAGAATCGGTTTTCTTAACGTAAATTTGGATGTTCTTTTCTTCCAATATTCGCTGCAATCAAGTGGCAAAATGTAATCAGATGATTCTAGCTACATTAGAGATGAATGCGTTTGTATTTTTAAAAATTTCCTTTTTTATATAAAACAACAATGAAAGTCTGTAGACACAATAACGTTTAATATATTAACCTAATGTTAGTAAAACATGAATAGTTTTATGTCTGTATAGATTTCAAATTCAGATTTCCTTGGAAGAATAACCAGACTAAAGTATGCCATAATGGTATCACATTTCCCAGTTAGCATTTCCATATGCCGTTTTTAGATGAGGAGAAAGAACAACAGAGAATAAAATATACCTGGAAAGAAAGGAAGTTAATTTGTGGGAATGATAGATGTATCTAATGTAGAAACTAGAGTGTGTCCTTTGTATAAAGTTCTTCGTGGAAAGTGTGATAAATTTCTTTTATGGAGAAATTTCTTCTTCTTCTTTTTTTTTTTTTTTAAACTTCAATCCCTGGAAAACATTTTTCAGTAAGATTTGGCTGAAAATAGTAAATCAACAACGACGTTAATCCACTGATCTCCAAAATTGTTTTGCATCTATCAGATTACTCTTTCTCCATATAAATGCCAGATAGTTTAAGTAGAGTGTCATGAAAAACCATACCAGGGTTGTGTGTCACTGAGGTTACAAATTGTCATTGAGATTACAAAGAACAGCCCAGAGAAAGAAATTAAAGGATTCTGCTTCATTATATTAGTGGTTTCTGGCATATTGCCCTTGTCGTTATGGTGACAGACCTCTCAATTATCTCATAAAGTCCAGGTCTGAATGTGATTCAAGGAGTTAAACTGACATTTGGACGCTGTACTTCCATGGGGTGTTCTGAGCTGTCTCCGTGCCTAACAGTCCCTCTTTGTGTGTGTGTGTGAGATGAATAAGAGCTCTCAAAAGCAATTAGGGTTCTCATTTGAGCAGCCACCTGGGTTGAGATCTTTCTCATAATGAACTATTCAAACAAAAACCAAAAAGAAAGGAAGACAAAAATGGGGAGAAAACCCCCCAAACAGGACAAAGGGTTAAAATTGCTTTCATAATACTTTGGATGTGCTAGAGTCTGGTGATTTTGTAGAGCTAGCCTTGGCAACAATGAATGCACTTCAAATAGAAGGCCTCCTCATATAGGAGTTGGACAGAATGAGACCACCCATGAAAAAGAATCAATAGCCTCCCTGACTGCAGAGCCCTGTATGTACAATTGTGTGGATGGAGACCACAAACGGTGTGGCCGTTTCATTGCAATTCGGTATTGAATTAAAATTTGAGGAATGTAAATATGTGAAAAATGCTATTCAGTGAAAAAGTAATCCAAACTTCATAATAAACCCAGTTCCACTTGTTTAGATCTTTAGGCTTTTTGAAGCAATATGTGCATATGATCTTGACAAGGGAATCAGAAATCTAATAGTGACTGAAAAGGTAGAATCGATCTCCCCACGATGTGTAAACTTTAGAATTTTGCTGGTGAGAGTTCAAAGCTACAGCCCTGCATGTTTGTACCATCCACAAGTCACAGCCTATTGGGTTAGGAGTTTTTATTTTTGGTTGCTTGCTTGTTTTCTTAACTCTATCAACGAAGAACCAGTGCAGGCCAGGCGCGGTGGCTCACGCCTGTAATCCCAGTACTTTGGGAGGCCGAGGCAGGCAGATCACGTGGTTAGGAGATCGAGACCATCCTGGCCAACATGGTGAAACCCCATCTCTACTAAAAATACAAAAATTAGCTGGGCATGGTGGCGCGTGTCTGTAATCCCAGCTACTCAGGAGGCTGAGGCAGGAGAATTGCTTGAACCAAGGAGGTGGAGGTTGCAGTGAGCCACAATCGCGCCATTGCACTCCAGCCTGGCAACATAGCAAGACTCCGTCTCAAAAAAAAACAAAAACAAAAAAAGAACCAATGCAGAGCTTTAGATGTTTAATTATTAATTATTCACTAAATGAATGAACTCCGCATCCACAACATATTGAAATGTTGGCATCATGCTGATTCTCTCCAAAGGCCTTCTCTTAGGGAGTATCTCAGTTCAGATCAATGCTTTTATTTAGCAGGAGAGAGAGCAATATTATTATTTGGAATTCAAAATTCCACTCTGACCAGTCTGACAAAGCCAGAAAGACAAATCTAAACAATAACAACAGCAAAAATCTACTTTTTTTGTTTAGCTTTGTCTTTCTGCCTTGATCAGATTGGCTCAAATTTCTATGTTTCTACTTTCATAAAATGTGTAGGTATATTAAAAATACAAAAATAGACTATTTTAGATACGTACTTATCCTTACATTTAAGAACTAACTTGCATGAGGAAAAGTGTTGGAAATTTCTTCGTAGTACAATAGTTTATGAAACATATATTTTTTTTCTGTAGAAAACAATACTTTTTATAATTCCCTTTAAAATAAATCAGGTCTTGCTGAAGGTGAGTCTTTTCATTTAAACTGGCATCATGATCTACTAAACTTAGGCTTGGGTCTTTATAACTATTTCCTACCTTACAAATTTCTTTATTTAAATTTTCATAGGTTATTAATTTCTCTTTGTTGTTAGACAACAGGCTAATTAATTAACTTGAATTGCATATTTAACCTTTTGATAGGTGCTCAAATAAGGTCAAAGTCAGTCAAGCCAGTCGGAAGCTCTAGTAGGACACGTGGGCCATTGTTGACAAGGAACAGTTGGAGACCGATTGACCGAATCTGCATGGTGTGTGTGTGTGTGTGTATGTGACAGAGAGAGAGAGAGAGAGAGATAGCAGAGAGAGTGTGACTGAGTGACTACTTTGAGGAAGCAATGCAGAATATGGCTTGGTAGCTTGATTAAACATAAATTGTGAAAGTCAAGCCGAGAAGTTCCAGTCTCACATACTAAGTCCACTTGAGTTCATACATGAGGGGATGGCAGTACAGTTCGTGATTCGTCTTGGTCCCCAAGGAGACTGAACACAGAAAGATGAGTTATGGAAACACTTAAGGTTTTTAATGAGAACCAGTGATACTGTTTAGAAGTGAGGTTAAAAAGTAAGGGAAAAATAAAAGACACATTTTGAAGGAGTTGCTCAGACAAGATATCATATTAAATATAAAGCTTGGAGGAGAAAGAGCCACAAGTGAGTCCAGATTGCCTTGGGAAATGGACAGACCCATGGAACCACTTCCTGAGTGACCTACACCTGTGCTTTTTCTCTGGATCCTTGGACATACATCTTAAGGTCTTATTCTTGAAAGATTTCAGGGGCGAGAAGCCCTTCCATTCTTCATCATGGGACTAAAAATACTGGGAAATATAAAGGAAAATATAAATGAAAGTCATTATCGCCCAGGCACAGTGGCTCATGCCTCTAATCCGAGCACTTTGGGAGGTCATGGTGGGTGGATCACTTGAGGTCAGGAATTCGTGACCAGCCTGGCCAATATGGTGAAACCCCGTCTTTACTACAAATACAAAAAATTAGCTGGGCATGGTGGTGTGCGCCTGTAATCTCAGCTACTTAGGAGGCTGAGGCAGGAGAATGACCTGAACTCGAGAGGTGGAGGGAGGTTGCAGTGAGCCGAGATCGCACCACTGCACTCCAGCCTGGGCAACAGAGTGAGAATCCCTCTCAAAACAAAACAAAGCACCACTCATTATCATTGTATTTTCATTGTAGCATAACAGCAAATGCCATTATGATTTCTAGAAAAGTGAAATTTTGGGTTGTTTTTTTTTTTTGCTAGCAATACAATTGAAAAAGGAAGATATTAAAAAAGAACAGATTATTGGATGCAAGGTGTCCCTATCATCTTTTTCCCCCAAGATGACACCTGACTCTTTGAATACTATGACTTAAGTAAGCTTGCTATGATTGTTGATTGAGGACCTATTTGGTGAAAACATGGAGCTTTATGATGAAATATAAACAGACACGACATGGACAATGACCTGTAGGAGTTTGCACAGTTAATAAACCTAGAGGTAGATAATAAGCCAGAGCATCCTAGTTAGGGAACAAAGAAAGCTCTGTGACAGCTCAGGGACAGGCTATTTTTTGAGGAAAAACTTGATGGAAGCTGTTAAGTTGTTGAGCTGTGCCATGAAGAATATATGGGTGATGGAAGGGATTCATCTATTAAAGCATCTGATGAATGGAACATTTGAACACAGAAATCTATGTTAAGCAGTTTGGTGTCAATCGTTGCTGTTGTTACTACTTGGGTGTTAAGTGTGGCGTGGTAACAGAAGCTGTGCTTTAGCATGGGCTGTTTCTGGCAGTGCCATATCATGAAAGTTCTTTTTTTTTTTTTTTTCCTTTTAGAAACAGGATCTTGCTCTGTCATCCAGGGTGAAGTACAATGGTGCACTCATAGCTCCCTGCAGCCTCAACCTCCTGGGCTCAAGGGATCCTTCCATCTCAGCTTCCTGAGTAGCTGGGACTACAGGTGCACTCCACCATACCTGGCTAATCTTTTTAGTTTCTGTAGAGATGGGGTGTCACTATGTTGCTCTGGCTGGTCTTGGGTTCAAGTGATCCTCCCACCTCGGCCTCCCAAAATGCTGGCATTACCAGCATAAGCCATTGCACTGGGCCCATAAACTTTTTTATGTTATCCACAGCTGCTGACCCTATACTTTCTAGGGTAGACAAGCTACCTAAGATGAAAGGGTGGCAGGAGAACAACAGGGAAAGAAGCTGGAAAGTCAACCAGCTTTGCTAGCGATTTTACAAAAAAAAAATGTATTCGCTTCTTTTATAGATACCACTGGATCTAATTCAAGATATAATTTATAGCATGGTTTTCATCCTTGAATAGCTCCCATCTTTTCTGAGGGTCTTACAAACTTTTCTGGCATTCTGCATTAGTCAAGAGATATTTGTGTTCAAATGGTAGAAGGCAACCTAGCCTCAATCTGACTTTGAGGGAAAAAATGGAAATTTATTAGAAGGGCTATGGGATATCCAAACTTACTGTAAAAGTTGAGAAATCAGATTGGCAGAATGGCAGGGATGCAGCTAGACTTTAGACACACCTGGAAGCATTGAATCCAAGGACATCACCAATCTTCATATCTCGTTCTTTGCTTCTTTCTGGAAATAGGCTTGCTTTAAATGGCAGTAAGAGGGTTCTCTGCAGTTTTTGTTAGTTGCATTTTGTTTTTCTCAGTACCACCAGTGAGGGACAAAGTTCCATAATTCCATACTAAAAATCCCAGGGCGGGGTTTTGATTGGCCCACTTGACTCAGGAGTAAGAAGAGATAAAACTGGGCTGTTCTTGTGTATACCAGTTGGCAGGGGGAGAAGGACAGTTCTCACCATAAGGTGTCTGGAATGAGCAGGCACTACTTCACTTCACTGTCCAAAATATTTTTGAGCATCGATTATATGCCAGACATGCCTTAGAGGCTGAGATTGTGAGAGATACAAGCATTCCTAATTTTGAGAGATAGGTACTTGTAGGCAGAAAAGTCATGGTCCCTGAGAGATGTGCAAGCACCGCCCTCCACCCCTACCCCCCAGCCAACTCGCCCATTCCTGGAACCTGGGAATAGGTTGGAGGCATGGCACCTGACTTCTTCAATACTCTGCCTTAAATAATGACTTCAAATGGCAAAGGGGAATTAAGGTTGCCGATTGAATTAGGTTTGCTAATCAGCAGACCTTCCAATAGGGAGAATCTATCCTGGATTCTCATATATATTAACAGAGACCCTCCACTGTGGATGCAGAAGACTCAAAAGGAGATCAGAGTTGGTGTAAAGCAACGTGAGAAAGAGATACCTGGACATTGCTGGCTTTGAATATGAGAGAGCCAGGAGAAAGGAACGCAGGTGGCAGTCTCTAGAAGCCGGAAGAGACAGGGAAACAGATTTTTCCTTAGAGCTTCCAGCAAGGAGCCCGACAGCCCTCCTGATACCTTGATTCTAGCCCCATGGAAGAAACTCTGACCTTAGAACTGTAAAAGAATAAATGTGTGCTGTTCTAAGCTTACTAAGTTTGTGGAGATTTGTCTTAGTGGTAATAGAAAACTAAGGAAGAGTTTTATCACCCTGTAATATTATTTGAAATTCATAATGAAGTATTACTCTGAAAACAAAAGTTCAGAGTCTCTGAAGTTGTTTGGTTTCGGGCCTTCTGGACCCCTCTCCATTCTGGGATTCTACTTCCAAGAATTTCTAGTTGAAAACACCCTTGGGCACTTAGAGCTTTCTACCTTGCTCAAGCATGCTAAGGAGATCATATCAATTCTTATTTTAGGGCAGACATTTTTCAGATTTTTAAAAATGTATTTTTTAAAAATTTGAGAGATAGGTACCCTGTCTCTGAATGGGGTCTTGCACTGTGGCCCATGCTGCAGTGCAGTGTCACAGTCATAGCTCACTGCAGCCTCGAACTCCTGGCCGCAAGTGATCCCCCAACTTCAGCCTCCTGAGTGTCTGGGACTATAGGCTGAGACTACTATATTGAGGTTCAGAGAAGAAGCATGTCCAGGTGTCTGCAAATTAGAAAATGGTGGCAGATTTTTTAAAAAAGAAACGATGAAAAATTATCCCTGATTAGATTTACATTACAATTTTCAGCCACCATGACTGGCTAGTTTTTAAATTTTTAAAGAGTTGGAGCCTTCCTATGTTGCCCAGACTGGTCTGGAACCCTAGCCTCAAGTGATCCTTTCATCTCAAACTCCAGAGTTCTGGGATTACAGGTGTGAGCCACCACGCCCAGTGACATTTTGCAAATTTGACATTTTGCATCATGTTAATATAGCCTCATGGCCAATTGTCCTAAATGGTATATTCAAAAGATAATACTGTTTTGACACAGAAAGGTACCAAAGGGTCATTTAGAATTTTTTCAGGAAGCTATAACAGATTTCCAGAGTAGATGGCTTTGAATGACATATAACAAAATACCGAAATTGTTCTTTCCTCATCTGTCTCCACAGAGTTTCACTCAAGATCGCGGCTGCACCTTTACATGTCTTATTTTCCTACTTACAAACACTGCTGACAAAATCCTCTGTGTTCCCCACTCCTTCCGGCTACACCTTAAGCTGTGGTCTCTTCTGGGCAAAGTGATTCTCTGACCTTTTCAAGCTACACCTTGTTTCCTCCTCCAACCAAAACTTGTTTGCTGGAGTTGAAATGCCAGTTTAGCCCCTTAGCAGATCAGTCATTATGGGCAAGTGACCCAGCTTGCTTGGGCCACAGTGTCCTTATGTCTAAAATAGAGGCGGCTGAGAGGTTTAAGGTTTTAATCCATATAAAGTGCTTAGTAGCCAGCACGTACAAGCACCCTGTAATCTGATGTTAGTGCAGCATCATTAATAACAGAAAAGGGAACCCGAAAATTTCAGCAAAATTGCATGTGCATAGTGGGTCTGGTATGTATATTAGTCTAGGCATAATAAATGTTGAACGTCTGTGACATAACTATTGTAGTAGTAGAGGGGTAAGCTTAAGAAGTAAGACCAATAAATAGCCCATCATTTCTGGCAGTTTCTAGTATGGTTTTAACAAAAGGGAATTTTGGGAGGAATAACATTTTTAAAAAGAGCCCACTATTATCATTCTGCTTTATTCCTAACTTTAGTCCTTTTGAGCCTGTGTTATCAAATGGATTTTGAGCATATGTGAATTAGAGAAATTAATCACTAGGAAAGGATTAGAATTAACTTTTTTGGAAAAGTTCCTTAAACCGTGAAAAGGCAGTAACACCATTCTTTGTGTGTGAGATTAAAGAGAAATTAATTTTCTTTCTCTTCTTGTCTAGACACACAAAGTCCAATTGTACGCATACAGTCACAAAATATAGGTGAAAAACGAAAACTGTGTTAACACGGTGAGACAGATGTTTTAACCAATCAACATCAACATGCAACTAGGTGAAAATAATTAAATTACTCCAGTTTTCATCTGTCAGTTGGATGTTTGACATTGTGTAGACACAGCTTATAAGTAAAGATAATTATGAAAGATTATTAAATAAAGATCTCCCTGACACGGATTAATTGAAAAGTATTTAGTATTTTTTGTAAGCACAGTTAAACTGGAGTGGATTTCCGATAGCATGTGTCTCTCCCCCAGCTCAAAAAGCTTTCAGCAATTTGAATACTGAGTAATAATCTTATTGAGGGTTTAGAAATTACATATGTTTGGAATAATACTATTTAGTAGTATGAATTATGCCTGTTTGAATAATTAAGAAATATCTTTTCCTAACAAAGAACATTTTCCCTTATGTACATAATCTTCCAATACATGAATTTTAATTCAATTCAATTTGCAATTTAGATTCTTGTCATAATTTGAACAAATACAGATTACCTAGAATATATTAAAAATCAAATTTTCACATAGTGCATATCATAAGAATTTTTTTTTAGAAATTGTCAGAGATAGAAACTTTAGGTACAACTAGTCCACTGGAATATTTGGCCATTTAAAACAATTAGCTCATTATTTATTTGTGGAGTCTTGCTTCCTAAGATGTTGTAGTCTTATTTGTTGTCAATTAATATTGCTGGTTTGAACATGGTTATTTATTTTCCGTACTATTTTAGCCAAGCTATTAATTTTTATTATTTATTTTTTTAATTTTATTTTTTTTATGTTTGAGACAGTCTTGCTCTGTCACCCAGGCTGGAGTGCAGTGGTATGATCTCTGCTCACTGCAGCCTCCACCTCCCAGGTTCAAGTGATTCTCCTGCCTCAGCCTGCCGAGTACCTGGGACTATAGGTGCCCACCACCACACCCAGGTAATTTTTGTATTTTTAGTAGAGATAGGGTTTCACCATGTTAGCCAGGCTCAAACTCCTGACCTCAGGTGATCCTCCTGCCTTGGCCTCCCAAAGTGCTGGGATTACAGGTGTGAGCCACCGTGCCTGGCCTAGCCAAGCCATTTAACCTTTAAATATTTAGTGTCCTCAGCTATTAAAAATAAGAGTAATATGATTATACATCCTATGAATTTGTTTTATAATTATTGTGATTTGGGAGTAAACAACTATATAAGAAATAATTATAAAAGAGATAAGATTAGTGCATATTAAGACTTTGATGTCAGGTTAATTGAATGTTAATCCCATGACTTTATCTTTCATTGCAAGATTCTTTGCCTGAGTGGGGTACTGGAAGCCATTGTTGAGAGTAGATCCGATCTTACTAGACTGTTGGCTGGTTCTCCTAAAACCAGGCTGTTTTCATAATGAGTTAGTTTAACATTTTGTCTTTATGTTTAAGCACCCCTTTCCTTGGTGCAGTCACAGCCAAACTGCAAACAGAAATCGAGAAGTTGTGAGCTCCAGATTTGAGAGCCACAGAGAGTTTGTGAGATCAAAAACATCCACTCTCAGTAAATAAATCAGAGCTACCTAAATCACACAGTCAGCTTAAAGGCAAGGGAACCAGAGGGAAAAACTCCAAAGGAGTGATCTCTTCATGCAATTGCTACTGGTAAAATAAAGCAAAGATGAGACAGTGTAGTCTCCACCTTATTATTTCAATCTAATATTCTATATTGAGGTTCAGAGAAGCAGGTCCAGATTTCCACAAATTAGAAAGTGGTGGCTTGCTCTTGTAATCCTAGCACTTGGGGAGGTCTAGGTGGGTGGATTGCTTGAGCCCAGGAGTTAAGACCAGCCTGGGCAACATGACAAAACCCTGTCCTTACCAGAAAAAAAAAAAATTAGCTGGGCATGGTGGTGCTGGCCTGTAGTCCCAGCTACTTGAGGGGATGAGGCGGGAGGATCACTTGTGCTTGGGAGATCAAGGCTATGGTGAGCTGAGATCACAGCAGTGCACTCCAGCCTGGGTGACACAGTGAGACCCTGTATCTAAAAAAGAAATAAAAGAGAAACATTTCCTTGTTAGACTTTACGTATCTGACGATGACTTTTGATGGTGAAGGTAGGCATTGGTATGTGGTCTGTGGTGTGTGTGTGTGTGTGTGTGTGTGTGTGTGTGTGTGTGTGTCTGTGTGTGAATGCTATTGAAGGAAACCCGGTAGGAGAAATATCCACAATTCAGTTAAGATCAAACATGTTACAATTTTCTGGGAAGTGCCAAGTTTTACAACACCTAAACTATATCCTCTTCCTCTCTGAAACCCCAAACATCCCAAAGTCTCCTTCAAGCCAGACATCCTCTTGGTCTACTGTGCATGGTGTCTGCACGGTCCTCAAGTTTGCCTCAGGGAAAGTGCCTGTTGCCATCAGAAAGAAAGAATGCAGCAGGTACTGATTTATCTCAGGCAAAGGAGCTCTTGTGGTGGGTTTCAACAAGATATGAAAATTGTAGGTTCTTGAACACTCCTTTTCTTCTTCCTTAAAATGGATGTCTTTAGCTACATTCTACTCTCTTCTCTGTCTTTTATGACATAATCAGTCATTCACTCAACAAGGGAACATCTAATATTCACCTAACATCCCATTTGCCTGTCACATATGGACTTTAGCCTCCAGTCGGGCCAATGACACTATTGATCTCCTAATTCCAATCTAGACTCTTTGGGTATTTTTTTCTCTTTTCCATTCCTTATTTTCTTTAGAGGCATTTTAGATAACTCATTTAAAAATTATTAGTAAATAAATCATTATTTGCAATCAGCATAGACAAGGCCTTGGGTGAGTCTAAGTGGATATCTGGAGAGATCTAAACCCGCTGCTGGAAAAGTGAGTGGGAAAGCCCCATTGATATGTGACCCAACTAAACCAACGTTTCATCAAAAGCAGTGTCTTCAGGGACTGCTTTAGGATTTCAGGGAAAAGAAAATGGAGGCAAATCTGAAAGTGGATGTTTTCTATGGAGGATCCTTGATAGAAAAGTTTTCACCCAGCCTTGAGTGAATATGCAGAGCGTAAACACATGTTTGTGCAGTGAGGAAATGCTGTCTATGTTTCCTAAAATGGAAGTTCTTGTTTATTGCTTCTTTAGCTGCACGGAGACATAAAAGATGCAAAACTGGGGAGAAGGGAGAGATAAAACTAAGACAAAACTGGAGGAGGGTGCAATGATGTTGTAATTTAACATGCAAAATACTCACTTGGGTATTTTTTAAATTGTTACATTGTGACATTGGAGGGTTCATAAATGGAATTCCATCCAAACTAATTCTAATGCCTATCTTTTCTTTTTAGCAGACTATAGAATAAAGTTAAATCAAAGAACATGAGGTCCCATTCTTACCAAATTCAAATATACTTTTTATCACCTGGTGTTTAAATCATTAATACAAAAGCTTTCAGTCTCCTCCAAATTTCTATTCTAGTAAAGTACTTTCATAATTTTATATTGGAAATGTACTAATCCAGATAACTAGTATGAAATCAAGTTATAATACTATTTTGCATGTTTCTAAAATGTTTACATTTAAAAATAGAGAAGTAAGCCTTAGGGAGAAAACTTCAGCTTTCCCAAGAATATTAAAATGTTAACAAATTATTTCATTTTGAGCTAAAATCAGATAATAATGAGAACAAATTTCACCATCGCACATTCTACAGGGATCTTTGCATTTTATACTTTTTTTTTTGTTTTGCTTTATAAGAGGGGATTTTGGTATATTGAATATCATACTGGAAATTTACCTGGACGGAAACGATAGAGTCAACTTAGACTTTAATCACAGAATGATAACATCTTCCAAGGAGAAGGAGCTTTTGAGGTCATTTCACCAAAACTCTTTCACCATACAGTATTTTCCCGTTCATTAACCTTTTGGCACTCTAAGCAGAGATGAAGTATCCTCCCCTGAGTTCCTAGAAGTTGAATTTAATCACCATTTTACGAGTCTGCCCTCCCCAGTAGATGGTAAACCCTTTGAAGACCCAGAGCATTTTTGAGATAAAAGAATGAATCATATACTTCAGTACATGGAACAAATGAATAAACCTGTAGTGCCTGGCCACCCAGCTTTTTTTTTGAACCTGACCGATAAAGACGTTTACAGCTTTTTAATTTCATTATCAGAGAAAGGGTTGGCAATATTTACCTGAGCACTCTCTACAAACAGAGATGAAGAAATTTGGAATGTTTCCTTTCTCTCCTAATACATAGCTTTGGAAGTCTTAGAAAACATGTTGGTATGTTCCTTCTAGGTAGTCTTTTGCAAGCATCCTCTTCAGTGTCAAGCATCTATTCTCATGCATCACATTACAGGTTATGAATATACCCAGAGTTTATGTGAGATCTTTTTTTGTCAAATGCATTAAACCCTTGGCTTATATATATTGAGCTGGAAGCCACAAGTTTTTGTAATATTTTAAAAGTAATATATTTTATAATATGCCTTAGAAATTAAAAAGAAAATAGAATACCTCCACTTCCTATGACAAAATGTCAGCATATACAGCAAGGCAAAGCCATTTGTTGCTGAAGCTCAGTTTTTCCCACCGGATGCTGAATGCACAACAATCACCAGCCAAGCCAGGAGTCTGTTTACTGCACGTTTCCCTGAAATGCCAAGCCCCTGAGGTGTTACAAGGAGGGAAGGCAGCATACATGTGTGATAGAATGGCCAATAAACTAATTGGTTTATAGTTTTGAGAAAGCAGCTGGTTGCCTGTTTTTAAATGCAGTGGTCTATAATTTGATAGAATGCAGAAGGAATCATTTCCAAGAAATTAATTAAAGTTCATAGGTTGGAAAATAATGGAGCTCATCATTAGGGAAAGCTTATTCTAAGACTTAGGATAAAATGAGCTTCCTCTTGCATTTCATTCAACTTAAGGTTTTGTAGTTACTTGTCATCATCAAAAATATCATCAGAGTCATCGCCATCATCATTATCTAAATTTGAGTAGCTATGAGAAGGTATTGTGAGGTCCTAGCTTTAGAGGAATCAATTTCTTTGAGATTTGATATTGTTATTTTAAGACTGCAGAGCATAGGTTAGAATCTGTGTTTTAAAAACTTTGACAGGCCACGTCATAGGTAGTAAAGTTTTCTCTTGGCATGAGTTTTGAGTTGACTTGTGTTATGGTTGAATTGTGTCTCTCAAAAAAATTGTTTATGTCTTAACTCCTGGTGCCTAGGAATTTCACCTTATTTGAAAATAGGATTTCTGCAAATGTAATCAAGGTAAGATGAGTTCATACTGTGTTAGGGAAGATCCTAAACCCAATATAATTGGTGTTCTTGTAAGAAGAGACACAACAACAAAGACAGAAACAGGGAGAACACCATGTGAGGATGGAAGCAAACGTTGAAGTGATTCATCCCTAAGCCAGGGAGCACTGTTGGAAACCACCAGGAACCAAGAACAACTCAATCCAAGACAGAAGCATGAAATGGATTTTCTTTAAGAGCCTCTAGAAGGAATCATCTTAATTTTGGACTCTGCCCCAGAACAGTGAGACAATGCGTTCTTGTTTCAAGTCACCAAGTTTGTGGTAATTAGTTACAAAGCCCCAGAAATGAATGCAGTCTGGATTAGGTATATTCTGCGTACATATGCTGCCTAAGAATGCCAGAAGCCAGAAGAGGTGATGTCTGCATTTTTGGTTCCTAAAATCCTCTCTCAGTACCCACTGCTCTGTCCAGGGCAAAGCTCCCCTGACACATTTTTAGCCTTTAGGCTATGTCCTATCTCCCCTGCTCACCAGAGAAGTAGGTCTTGGATTCCAGTCTCTCAGGGCTGGCATTTTCCAAGTGAAAGACACTGCCTTTGTGTAAATCCTTCCCCCTTGAGTGTAGGCAGGACATTGGATTTGTTTGTGTCTCATGGAATATGGTAGAGATAATGGAACACCACTTCCATGATTATGTTACATAAGCATATAAATTGTGTCTTACTAGTATACCCTTTTTGTTGCATTCTTGGTTTCCATGCTTTGATGAAAGAGCAGCCATATTAAACAGGTGCATATGGCAAGAAGCTCAGAGCTGCCTCTGAAACAACAGCCAGCAAGGAACAGAGGCTTTCAGTCCAGCAGTCCACAGGGCATTGAATCCTGCCAACAACCACATAAGTTTGGAAGCGAACCTTCCTCAGTTATTCAGCTTTAAAATGAGACCCCAGCTCAGGCCAACACCTTCATCAGTGAGAGACTTCAAAGCAGTGGACCCTGCTAAGGTTGTGCCTGGATTCCTGATATGCAGAAACTCATAAAATAAATACATTACTTGAAACTGTTAAGTTTTGGTTATTTGTTACATAGCAGTCAATAACTAATGTGGCATAATATGCAAAACATGGATTTCAGCTGAGCACAGTAATCCCAGCTCCTTGAGAGGCTGAGGTGGGAGGATTGCTTGAGGTCAGGAGGTCGAGGCTGCAGTGAGCTATGATAGCACCATTGCAATCATAGCTCATGGCAGCTATGAGCCTGGGAGACAGAGCAAGACCTTGTTTCTAAAAAAAGACATGGATTTCAAATTTGGCCAGATTGTAACCCAACTTCTACATAGATATTATGTCTCCATTGGAGGGATATATATTTTGAGACTTTGCAATCCTTAATTACTTAGGAACAATTAGTTAGCAAGTGAAAGAAATTCAGGTTGAATTCACTTAAGGGAAAAGAAGAGATTTTCGGGTTCCATTTACTAGCGGTGCATTTAGTTTCGAAAATGGTGTCCTCAGGTCTAATCATTGCTGTTAGGAATCTGGCACTTTGGCGCCATGTTTCTTCTTTGGCTTTCTTAGAGAGGCTTGTCCGTGTGTGGTGGTAGGCAGTCAACAGCATTTCCTAGTATGTCATCCTTTTCTCAGAGAAGCACATTGGCCTAGCAACTATGCGTACTGGCCTAATTTTAGTTGCATGCCAACCAATGTCTATATCCAGTGGAAAGAGATACTTGAATTGATATGGACTGCTTGGGTTATGTATACTCTTCAGAAATGAGAAGAGATTGGGTAAGTCCAGTAGGCTTAGGGTAGATGGAAGTAAGATTGCTCCCCAGAGGAAAATTGAATGCTAGGTAAGCAAAACTCATTGATGTCCATTGTTGCTTATATTACAAATAGTACCAAACAAGAAAGAATGGCATGGCTGCTTCATGGAAGAGGAGATGAACTTGGGGCAAAACCTTACCTAGGATATTTCCTTTTTTCAGCTAAAAAGAGGAACTTGGACATTCAGAAATGAGAAAACTTGTATATCAGTTGCTGTTGTTGTTGGTTTGTAAACAGCTGTAGCTCTTAGTGACATAGAGAGATAAAGTGACAGGAACAGATGAGGATATTTCTATTAGGATGTTATCCAGGCAGTTCTATGTTGGGAGTCACCCTCCTGGGACACTCCTGGGTCTGGAAGCTGTCAGCTGGTGGCAAATCAGAGATAGTCTGAGATTTAATGCCAGATGGGAAACGTGACCTCAAATGAATGAGGCTGTTTAGGAGTGGGCGCAACATGCTGTGCTTGCCATCTCTTTTAAGAGTTCTAACTGAAAGGTTAGGTTTACTGAAGGATAAGCCAATTTGGGGAGCTGATCTGGTGAACATGAATTTGGCCAAACTTCAGCCTAAGCGTTTAGCAGGGTGAAAGTTTGGGAAGAGTTTCGTTGTAGAACATTAGGCAAATGGCTGACAAAAGAGCTTCCAGTTCTCTCACAAGGAATTCTTCAAAAAGCAAAGGAGGTCCTTCTCAGTCAGCCTGCTCTTTCTGCTCAGTAGACTTCTTTGTGAGACTATGCTGTGAGTGAGTTCTCAGGCTGGTGATATAACCTGGTCTTCAATTCTTGTGCAGCTCTGTAAGTCCACGTAGGCACCACTAAATATCCTTACGACATTAAGTGTCATTGGATTGTTTGCTAACATTTGCTTCCATATGGGCCCCAGGCATTAGCAAACATGTAGTTTATTCATTTATTTATTCACTCAGTGAATATTTATTGAACTTATTCTAATTGTCAGGCCACTTTGCTAAATGTTGTTCCATCACTTTCCTTGCAGAACATACAGGGGAAAATGCACAACTAACTGGAATCATCATTTAGTGTAATCCATGCAATGATGCAACAAGTTGGGGAGATGTGAGAACATCTGGGAGAAGCATGTGTCCCAGACTGAGAGGGTGAAAATGCACTAAGGAGAAATTTGAAGAATCAGTAACTGACCAAATTGCTGGGAGGAGAGTCATTTCAGACAGACAGAGGAGCACGTTCAAGGCTGAAGTCCACAGCCTGACATTAATATCGATTCTCTTAGCTAAGTTTTGTTAAAGAAACCAAATGACAGTGAATTTGAAGTCCTGCACTCAGCCAACCGTATGAAGTGTAGTCACTGTATGGTCAGTTAATTACAGGGCAGCATCCTTCAGTCATCAGTCGAGCTAGAGAGAATATTGACAGATGTGCTCTTATGAAAGCTGAGAAGCTCAACCAGGACAAGTATTTAGCTAAAAGGGGGTCTGACCTCCTTTTAGAGATGGGAAGCAAGGGTGGACAGCATAACCTGTAGACTAAATCTATCACACTGCTGTTTTTGTGAAGGGTTTAATGGAACACAAATAAGCCCTTTTATTTATGTATTGTCTATGTCTGCTTTCACACTACAAAGACGAAGTTGAGTAGTTGCAAAAGAGACCATATGGCCTGCAAAGTCTACAATATGTACTATCTTACCCTTTATTTTAAAAAGTTTTCTGACCCCTGATGTAAAGGACCAACTTCATGAAGTCGCATGTGGATTTTCTAGTTACCATATAGACATGAATGGAAGAGTACAGAAGTTCCATGTCAGACAGCAATTGTTTTCAAACTTGCTATGAATTTTTTCCAAATGCAGATTCCTGGGCTCCATCCAGGCTTCCAGTGACTCAAAATCTGGGTATAGATTCCAACAATTTGCCTTTTAGTGACCTTAGAGGTGATATTGATGGCAAAAATTTTATATATGTACATATTCATGAAACAGAAAATTGGACGTGAAATATTTTTAATCCACATATAAACAGATACTCCTTTCTGTCATTAAAAACCAATTAGGAAAAAATGATAAAAGCCTGATTTTAAAACCATGGTCCATATGGCTTATGCAAGATAATTTTCTGAAGTGACCTTCAAGATGAAATAGTTGCAAAGTATATCTGTGTTCAGTTAAATTAGGAGGTGTGTGTGCAACAAGGAATTATTAGCCGTAGATCTTTAAAATCAAATCAATGTAAACAAAACACTGTCAGCCCAGTGGCCAAAGAACACAATCAATCAAAATATGAATAAATATACACAATTATACACTACTACTACTAGATGATGATGATGATGGTGATGATGATGGTTATGATGGTGATGATGAGGATGGTGATGGTGATAGTGATGATGGTGATAATGATGATGGTGGTTATCGTGATGACGATGGTGATGATGGTGATGGTGATGGTTATGATGATGATAGCAATGAAGATAACAATTATTGTGATGATAATTTATGGCGATAATAATGATTGTGGTGATGGTCTGTTTCTATGCGTCAATCTCAGTTGCTCCCCCAGACTCCATACAAACAGAACCACCTTAGAGATGTTTCAAACTTACCATGTTCGAAACTCAGCTGCTGCTTTTGACACAATGAATGCCCTCCTGTCTCCATTTTTACCATCTTAGGAGAACTCACACCATCCCCTCATCACTCAGTGAGCCAAGTGTGCTAGCTGCTGATCCACATGTCTGAATGGCCGCCTTGAGGAATTGACATTACCTTGGGGACCTACAGGGAGCAATGATGCTGGACTGGGGCAAGGATGAATAAAGGAGGGATAAGTCCAAGTTGTTGGGGGAAGACAGGGCAGCCAACTCTATCTGGAGCTCTCAGATGGGTTTAGCGGTTGTGGAGATATTTCCAATGGCATTTTGAAGACGTGGAAGAATGTTATTAGGCATAGCAGAGATTCTTAACTAAGAGCAATTTTGGCCCCACTGTAAGGGACATTTGACAATGTCTAGAGATATTGTTGGTTGTCACAGCTGGGGAGGTGCTACTGACATGGAGTAGGTGGTGACCAGAGATGCTGCTGAACATGGTAAAATGCAGAAGAACGACTCACACAGCAGAGAATTATCTAGTCCAAAATATCAGTAGTTCTGATATTGAGAAACTTGGCTCTGTATTGTGCATGTGTAATCGTTTTTTACTTACTGATTCTAGATTCAGCTGGCAAGGGGGTGTCAGCAATGTCTGGAGATATTTTGGATTATCCCATCTGGGCAGTGTGTGCTCCTGACATCTAGAAGGCAGAGGATGCTGCTAAACATCCTACAATGCACAGTACAGCCCTCACAACAAACATAATCATCCAGCCCCCAAATGCCCACAGTGCTGATGTTGTGAAACCCTGCTCTAAGTCAAAGCATTGTCTTACTCAATTTTTAATTCCTAGTGTATATCAGTGGTTCTCAACTTTGGGGAGGGGACAGGTTTGCTTCCAGTGTACATTTGGCAATGTGGGAAGACATTTTTGTTTGTTGTGAGTATGGAGTGTGTTACTGGGAATGGAGGCAAGGGATGCCACTAGACATCTTAACAGTGCATAGGACAGCCTCCACACCTCAGAATGATCTGGCCCCTAATGTGAACAGTACTGAGGTAGAGAAAACATGAGGTAGACTGTAGAAGCCTATAGAAGAAGAGAATCTGAGAAAATTGTTGTGCTTGGGGAACACTGAAGAATGTGGAGCAATTGAACAAATGCTTGTGCAGACAGATTGGCACCAAATTGCAATGGAGCACCAATGGGACAGTGAAAAGGGACAAGTCCTACAATGCACAGTTCTTGACCATCCCCAAAGTGCTCCAAAGCTACAGAAGTTGGTGTGCATGTATTATCTCATTGATCCTATTTGGGAATTATCATGTTGACAGCTGGAGTCCCATGAAGGAACATTTTTAAGCAGCAAAGTGACAAGCTCTGATTTGCCTTTTGAGATTAATGACTCAGAGACTGCCAGTTATTTGTTAACTTGCTTGATTCAGCCTAAGCAGACATCTAGAGGGTGTAATTTGATTTATTCTGCAGAGGGGTGATTGGCCCCTACATTATCTTGGCACACTGCCTGAATTTCTGAACACCAAAGACTTATTTATTTAGTGTATGGCCATCTCATTTCCAAGAGTCACCAAAGAAGTGAGAATGGATTAGATAGGGAACAAGCTGACCATTGGATTAGTTTATCAGATGATTAGCATGCCATGCTAATTTATCAAGACATGGAACATTTAAAGAAGGGGAGAGTAACATATACAGGGAAGATAGGAGATCTTTGTCCCAATTATTTCTTTTTTTTTAATGCATGAATAGTCTTTTGGTAAATATAGTTTATGTTTGTTTCTGCTTTCTAAGTTAGGCTGCAAAATATTATTTATCGGTGGTATTCTTTGAAATTGATTGGCATGGCAAGACTGTAAAAGAGTATCCATAGGTGTATTTAAAAATAAAAGATCGTCTTTTCATCTTTGCAGAAAAACATGTATTTACTATTGCTTGGAATAGAAAGCAGAATTTTGCTGTAGCCATTAGGAAGTGACAAACACTACGCCATAATTATAGTGAGAAGAAAGCATCAAAAAGAAATGTTTTGGTTTTTTTTATATACAGTTGGCACAAAAATGTCCACATATATGAATACTCTAAAGAATGCACCATAAAAAGAACCTTCCACCACTATTAACAGGATTAATCCGTGCTCATTACCATGGGATTGGGGATACATTTTTACATGTTCTTGATTAGATTCAAGAGCCAAAGAATAAGGCCTAATTGATGAAAGTGGGCTCTAATTTTGTGCTTTTAAAATAATGGCCTCTGGCCAAATATGGGCAAAAGAAACAGCACTTGATTTGTTACTTTACATTTGTTTCTTGCATCCTGCTCGAAAATAGAGATGATTTACAGTTTTAATATATTTTTCATGCACAATTAACATCATTGTTGCCAGTTTTATAGAAGAGGCAGGAAAGTGGGCCTTCTATGATTTATTGTGAGTGCATGAAACAGAAGTAATGCTACTAGCAACAGAGTTTTAGTAGGAAAAAGTTAAAGCACACAGTCTTAAAAAGGAAAGGTTGGTGTCAAAATTATGTTTGCTTTAGGTAAGCTTTATACCTCCATGGATGGCTTTTTTTATAGTAACAACAACAGTAACTGTATTTACATTGGGGCCTTTTCTCTGTTTCAGAGGCTTTCATGTGGAGTGCCAAAATGGTAAAATATATAACATTGTTATATGAAGGAGTGAGGGAAAATCCAATCAAGATTGGCATTTTTTAAAAAAGAAAAGGAGCATGGGGAATATTTTAAAGATTTGGGGCCAAGCCTCGTGGCTGATGCCTGTAATCCCAGTGTTTTGAGAGGCTGAGGAAGGAGAATCACTTGATCCAGGAGTTTGAGACCAGCCTGGGCAACATAGCGAGACCTCCACCTCTATAAAAAAGACTAAAAAGTTAGCTGAGTGTGATGGCACGTACCTGTAGTCTCAGTTACTAGGAAGGCTGAGGTGGGAGGATAGCTTGAGCCCAGGAGGGCCAGGCTTCAGTGAGCTGTAATCACATCACTGCACTCCAGCCTGGGCAACAGAGCAAGACGCTGTGTCTCAAAGAAAAAAAAAAAAAAAAGATTTGGTATCTTTCTTTCCCCCACAGTTTGCATATACATTGAAAACTGTGCATTTAAGCCAAAATAGTTTTTTTTTTTAAACATTTCACTATAAAAAAGGAGTCTGGCTTTCACATGGGTACATGATTTTGCTTTGGCTTCTTCAATTCCCACCTGCCCTGTTGTGAGACCCATGAAGTAAGCAAAGCATTCTTTTTGCCACGGAAATGAAACTCCTAAACATATTGTTTATTGTCACATAATGGAAAGGAGAAACGTTTCAAAAATAAGGATACATGAAGCCCTTATTGAAAAGCAATCATACATTGGTGAATTTAATGTTTTGGAGCAAAAACTGTTATGTTGGATACCTATTAGTCTTTTTAGCTAGTGAAATATGTACAAGGCAAAATCAAGCATCAATAGAAGGGTCTAACTAAGCTTGTTTCTCATATGGTTTCTCTGCCAGCTCACACCTCAAGGGTGCCTCCTGCCTGCAATGTGTACTCTCTGGTCCACACACTGATTTCCCCTTTTCTGTTTCATGGGGTGACTTGCTGACCTTCTCTGTGCATGGCTAGTAGTACTCTATTGACTGGCAAGGGTTGTGTCTTCCACTTGGGTCTTCCAAGCTGCTGAAGAAAGCAACACAGAAAGTATAGCTGACAATAATTATCTGTCAAATGTATGTGAATCACAGTGTGGATGGTCGACCTGTTGTTTCTTTTTTCTCTTTGAAAGGAAGATTTCAGTTTTCTCTGCAGCCATGGTACTTTATAAATTATTTCCTCTTCCATCTCTTAAAAGTCACTGTTATTTACCACCCCATTAGCTGTGGATGGGGTGAAATGCCCACTCATGCAGCACAGGAGGATACACAGATTGTCACACATCTTTTCAGGAGACCACACAGCAGTGGGTAGTGTAGTATTAAATAAATGCCTGAAATATGAGCTGGGAATGCATTGCACTTCAAGGAATTTTATCCATAGGATGTAACTGGGAAAGTGCAGAAGAATGCATATATATATAGTTGTTCATTGTTACATGTTTTATGATAGCAAAAAAAAATTAAAAAATATTCAACTTTCATTTTAGACACGGATTTGCAGGTTTGCTACATGGGAATACTGTGTGATGCTGAAGTTTGGGGTATAGATCCCATTACCCAGGTAGCGAACATGGTACCCAACAGGTAGTTTTTCAACCCACATCCCCCTGTCTTCCTCCCCTTCTAGTAGTCCCTAGTGTGGAGTGTTCCCATATTTATGTCCATGTGTACTCAGTGTTTAGCCCCCACTTATAAGCGAGAACATGTGATATTTTGTTTTGTTTTCTATTCCTCCATTAAGTAACCAAAATTTTTAACAATGTAGAATCCATTACATAATTAGAGATACAATACAAGCATTGAATACCAGCTGTTAAAATGGCATTACAGGATAATATTTAGTGATATGGAGGAATATTCAGAGTGTATTATATACAAACATTTTCATCATATCGTTTTTTACTAGAGTGGACTGTCATTTTCTTGTGGGCTCCCTTGTATTATTTACTCTATTGCATCTCAGTTTTGTTGCATATTATGTAAAATAGAAGATAATGATAGCTTGGCGCATTCTCTGCTGAGACTATTTACAGTGGTGTAAAAAGATGTTGCCAGGGGTGTGTGCCTCAGTCTGTCCCAGCCTTCGTAGGGCCCCATGTTTCAACTCCCTAATGACCCATTGAAGACACACGGGCACACAGGGGAGAATGCTCTGGTTTAAACAGTCAACCATAAGCCAGACACAGTGGTGCAACCTGTGTTGCACCTTGTGGTAGCCTCTTGCTACCCAAGAGGCTGAGACAGAGGATCTCTTGAGGTCAGGAGTTCAAGACCAGCCTGGGCAACATAGCAAAACTCCCATTCTAAAAAATTAAAGCAAACTCAACCATTTTGAGTTTTACATGTTGTAAATATCTTCTCCCACTGGCACCCACCCATCATTCCTGGTTTTGATTGAAACAAAACCATTAGTTTTAATGTAGCAAAATGCCATCAACATATTTTTCTTTCTAACGGTTTCTCCTACGTAGTGCCTGTTAAAGAAATCCTGTTCTACCCCAACATCACAAAAACATTTTCCTATAAGTATCAGAATTTCATTGTTCATACAGACAGTTTTTAATCCATGCAGAGTTTATTTTTATATATGAAATGAGGTGGGAATCTCATGTTATTTTTTTCCCCAATAGGGGAACATTGCTTTGACACATGAAGGAAGCAATGTATTCTTTTTTTTCTTTTGAGACAGAGTCTTGCTCTGTAGCCCAGGCTGGAGTGCAATGGTGCAGCCTCAGCTCACTGCAACCTCTCCCTCTCAGGTTCAAGCGATTCTCCTCCCTCAGCCTCCCAAGTAGCTGGGATTACAGGCACACGCCACCACGCCCAGCTAATTTTTGTAATTTTAGTAGAGATGGGGTTTCACCATGTTGGCCAGGCTGGCCTCGAACTGCTGACCTTGTGATCCACCCTCGGCCTCCCAAAGTACTGGGATTACAGGCATGAACCACTGTGCCCAGCTACAATGTATTCTTTCCCAATGATTTGTGGTGTCAGCCAGGACCTTGATAGGGATAAATGGCATGCAACTTGAGAAATGTAATTAAGATGGGGACAGGATAGTGGAGTCCTTATGTGAAGTTGCTGATGCCCGCTGAGGTTGAACTGGACCTACCTACCAGGGAGGGAACTGGAGGTCATATATACAGGCCTTACTCGCCTTCTGCCCTCCGGATTACCTGCTAGTGTCTTCCTTGGCTGAAACCCAGGAGCAGCCAGAAGGCAAGAGTGAACCTGTTTATTTACCTTCCACACCAGAGAGGAGTGGAGATGAGGAAAAGTCTTGAAGGGGACAGACTCCTCCCCCCACAAAATAGTACAAGCTTTTAAAATTCATCATATATACATCAGCCAATCCAAGGGCTTTATATTTGGTCTTGTTGATTTCCTGATCCATTCCTGCAAGATTAAAGTATGACTCAAATAGTACAAATGCCCATATATTTTTCATCTTCAACATTCTCGTTGCTTTTTGTAGAATTTATTCTTTCATATACAATATGGAATCAATGTATCAAAATCTGCAACATTCTTCTGTCTTTGCTGGGAATTGTATTTATTGAAATGTTGGTTTGAGGAAAAATAAACATCTTCCAAGCTCATGTTATCTCATTTGTAAACTGGCATAGTTCATTACTTGTTGAGATCTAATCATAGCTTTATTAAAGACTTTGAGCATTATGTGTTAATTGATTATTATTATTATTTTGCAAATGATATCTTCAATTACATTTTCTACTCCTGGTATAAAAGAATGTCGATCTTTTTTATACATTGATTATATGTTCAGCCATCTTTTTTGATTCCCTATTATTTCTAGTAGCTTTTCTGTTAAATTACATGGTTTCCATAAAAATGGTGACATTATGTACAAATAATGACCATTTTCTCTCTTTCCTTTCAATACTTGTAATTTTCATTTCCTTTATAACTTGTACCATTGTATGGCCCACTGACGTCCAGTGCGAGGATGAATACTGTTGGTACAAACTTTTGTTCCCATTCATGATTTTACAGGAAATGAGTCTAACATCTTTTTTGTAAATGCAGCGTTGAGGAGAGATTTTAAAGCATGCAGTCATTATCAGATAATATGAATTACTTGCAATTCCCAGTTTTTTCTAAGTTTTTAAAAAATGTTTTCTTTTGTTCATAAATGTTGATTATGACCAAATAATCAACTGGCATTTCTACAGCTGGTTATATGATTCTTCTCTTATAATTAATGTGCTCTGAAAATTAATATATTTTTAAATATATATTCAATTTCGGGAATAACACATTTTTAATCTTAAAAGAAACATTTTTAAAATGGCCATTATTCTATTATAGTGGAATATATTGTATATGAAAAATAGCTACTATTCTACTAAGTTTGGTTTGTAAATATTCCACTTAGGTTGTCTACATCTACCTTCATAAATGAATTTGATTTATAATTTTCTGATGTTATACACTCTATACTTTTGATATGAATGTTAAACTGTCCATACAAAAGGATTTGGGTAGCTTTCTTTAATTGTATATTTTCTGAAGAAAACTTAAATAAGTAGAATTACTAAAATTTTTGTGAAAATTATCTTGGGTGGTGAGTTTTTATGTGGGAGATTTTTAGTGATTCTTTCATTACTACTTATAGCTTTTAGTTTATTCATTTCTTTGCGTAAAGTTGCTTTGTTTGTTTTTTTCCTCAAATATTTCAATTTCTTTTTTTAATACCAGGGCTTATACTATTAAAATAGTATTTTGTATTTTTTATAACTTTGTTTATTTGTTATTTTAAAAATGATTTTCCTCTTTAAAGACTATTTGTTCTCATTATTTGTTGTATATTATTTGTTGTATATTGTTGTATATTATTTGTTTCATTATTTGTTGTATATGTTACTCTTCCTTGGTCAGTCTTGCCAGAAGTTTGTTTATATTATTAAGCTTTTCGATAAACTAGCTTTCATTTTGGTAATTAGCTCAACTGTTTTTTCTCTGTTTCGCTAATTTCTGCTCTTACCTTGATCATTTCCTATTTTCAGATTTATTTGGATTTATTCTGTTTTCTCTTCTTCCTGTTTCTTGACTTGCCTCCATGGCTCGTTTATTTCCAATTCTTCTTGTTACCTTGTAAAGATATTTGAAGTTTTAATTATCCCTTTTAAGCACTTCTTCAGTCCCATCTGACAAATTTTCACATGTGACATTTGAACTATCACTGGACTCTGACTGTTTTGTGTTTATACGGTAGCATAAAGGCACATGCACACATATACATACACACATAGATGTGTGTGTGTATATGTTTAGTGTTCTATCATTATTTTGAATGCTTTTTACTATTGATTTCTAATTCTGTTGACCGATAGAATATAGTGCTGAATGCTGCTGTTTCTTTAAAGTACTCTTTATGAAAGGCAGATTTTGTAAACGTTCGGTGTGTGCTTGAAAGCTATGGACACATTTACACATACATAGACATATTCACAAATACAAATACAGATATACGTGTATATGTGAGAATGTGTGTTTTGAGGAGCATAGGTTTCCATAGATACCCACCAGATCACATGTATGGGTTACTTCAGTCTTCTATATCTTATTTGTTTTGGTGGGTGGGGCTAGGGACAGAGTCTCGCTCTGTTGCTCAGGCTGGAGTGCAGTGGCCTGATCTCGGCTCACTGCAACCTCGGCATTCTGGCTTCAAGTGGTTCTCCTGCCTCAGCCTTCCAAGTAGCTGGGATCACAGGTGCACACCACCACGCCCAGCTAACTTTTGTATTTTTAGTAGAGACGCGGTTTCACTTTGTTGGCCAGGCTGGTCTCCAACTCCTGGCCTCAAGTGATCCACCAGCCTCGGCCTCCCAAAGTGCTGGGATTACAGGCGTGGGCCACTGCAACTGGCCTATATCCTCAATTACATTTTATTTCCTAAGTTTATCACTCCAAGAATGTTGTGTTTTATTCTACTGTAACATTTTATCTTTTCTTATCTGTCCTTTATCTTATATATTTAATGTATATGGATATACTATGTTATATATATGTAGTATGTATATATAAAATGTACTTATATACCTTTTACATGTTTTGAAGCTGTATTATTAGGATGTTACATGAAAGTGTCAGTTACACCTTTTTAATCTTCCATTCCTTTTCTAGTATTTATTATCCATTTTTGACATTTACAATTTTTGTTTGATACTAAATTTGCTTCCTGTGATATTTTTTCATTTATATTTTGTTTTATATTTAAAATTTTTAGTGTCTTCATTTTCAAGTTTATGTATCCATTTATTTTAAATATATCTTTTCAACAATATGTTGCTAAAAGTATTTTAATCAATATTTTATCTTTATTCTAATTTTATTTCTGCAGTTATCATTATTATAGATTTCACTTCTGACATTTTATTTTATATTTTATATTTATCAATCATGCTTTTTAAATTTTACCTTTTTTTTTTTTTGCTTTACCTGACTTCCATTATATAATTTTAAAAGTTTCTTTTACTGACCTTATTATTATATTTTTCTTTCTTCTGTTTTTTTTTCCTTATAGTTGGGATTCATCAAATTTCCCTCTTCCCATTTTATGCTGCACTTATATTTTAATGAAGATGTATCTAGTCTTATTAGCTATCAAACATTTCAGTATCCATAATTTTCCTCAAAACAAGATATTGATTTAGCATTTTCTCTACTCTTCGGCATCTCTCTCTCTCAATCACCCCACACTGTGTTAGATTCTAAGAGAATCTGGGCTCTAGATCATGTTAAAAATTTGATTTTAGATCATTGTTTCTTCGGAATAATTTTTTGTCGTTACCTGTATTATGTTGCTGTGTTCTGGGTTCCTCTCCTTGCAGAAATATATTGTGTCAAGATTTCTGTGATGTAAGTGGATTTGGATTTAAGCTATCATTTAAATGACAGTTTCACTGGACATAAAATCCAGGCTGATTTTCTTTCCCTTGTACTTGCTGGGGGTGAGAAGCCACTGCATTTTGTATCCTACGTTGCTTTGCAATTAGCCTGGTTTTCATTCCTTTGCACATCGCCTGCTTTTTCTCCTTGGAAAAATTAGACATATTTTGTTTACATTTGAGGTACTCAAAAATTGGAATTTGTTTTTGCTTTGTTCTGTTTTAAATCAACGTATTATTTACTTTGTGAGTACTTTCACTTTTAAGCCTTTTTTTTTCTTTCATTCTGGGAAATTCTCAGCCTTTCTGTCTAATGTAGTTCTTCCTAGTCTTTTTCTCTTTGTTCTCTTTCTGGGTCATTTTTTTTTATAGGACTGGTAACACTTCTATTTCCATCTTCCATACTTTAGCATTTGGAGGATGTTTTTCCACCATTTTTCATCCCAGATCCATTTTGGGAAAATGTATCTCTGTCTTTTGGCTCCTATGTGCATTGTTTGTGGGTATCCTTCCATTTCAGTCTGTTCTTTGTGCTCTCCAGTTCAACAATTTCATTTCTTCTCCCCGGTATCTCGTGTGACTTCCTTTGAAACCCTTTGTTCCAACTTTATATCGCTATCATTGTCTCTCTGTCCATTGGAGGGATCTGCTTCTTTTGAATCCCAGTTTGTTTACTTGGGTCATTTTATTATTATTATTTTTTAAATAGGATGTTCCTTTTCTTTTAAGTGCTTTGCTTTTTGACTGGCTCTTAAAAATTTCTTGGGAGTTCTTTTATTTTCTTGAGGCCGGTAGAGGTCTTGGAAGGTACCAAGTGTCCAATGGGCAATCAAAAGCCCACCTCTCTGCCTGGCGCGGTGGCTCACACCTGTAATCCCAGCACTTTGGGAGGCCGAGGCAGGTGGATCATCTGAAGAGTTCAAGACCAGCCTGACCAATATGGTGAAACCCCATCTCTACTAAAAATACAAAAATTACCTGGGCATGGAGGCATGTGCCTGTAGTCCCAGCTACTTGGGAAGCTGAGGCAGGAGAATCACTTGAACCCGGGAGGCAGAGGTTGCAGTGAGCAGAGATTGTGCCACTGCACTCCAGCCTAGGTGACAGAGTGTGACTGCATCTCAAGAAAAAAATAAAAAACAAAAAATAAAGGCCCACCTCTCGATTTCATGCCTCTGGGTAAATTGGAGGGAAAAGAGGGTCCCTCTGTGAAGAGCCCTTGGAACTCGAGTTCTAATTTCTAAACCAAGAACTTTATATTCTTTCCTCCCTCCCTATCACTTCCATCCACTGGCTGGCTCTTATCTGAAAACTGTCGTGTGCAGTTATAAATACTCAACACTTAGGGAAGGAGAAGGAATTCTGAGAGATTTCGCCAGCCTGATTCTTTTCATTGCCATAAAATTCCACTGCTTTACCAGAAATCCTTGGAATGTGGCTTTCCTAGCTTTGCACTGTGACCTTCTTCATTCGGAATAACGAAGATGAGAAAAGCATTGATCCGCCCAGACAGTGAGGAGCGAAGAGCAATACCTAGGTGGAAAGCTCTATCTCCCCTGACTGTCCTGTGAAATGCACCTGAGTCTCAGAGGACTCCACTGCCATCTGTCTGTCCAGGAATTTCCCATTTTGTATGGCGACTTCAAAGTAGGTAAATACTTTGATTAAAGGAATAGAGAACAGAATTTGGGTAGCTTGTTCAAAAGATGGCATGGAAAATTCTGTGACTGGAGTAGTTGTGAAGCATCACTCTTCCCGTAAGAATAAAGGAGGCATTTGCCAGATGTCTGAAAACACACAGACACACACACAAAGGAATTACTTCTGGCTGCAAGAATATTCTCTCTCAGCATCTTCCTGCATCTCCATGGGCAAACAGACCCACAACAGCCTGGGATTTTTTAATTGCCAACAGTTTTCATTGCATGAGAGCCTGACATGTCTGTTGCATGATAGGGTGTGTTTTTATTTTTGGCTTCCTATTGGTTTCAACATATCCCTCCTTCCATGTCATAATGACAATTACAAAGACCTGAGTTGAACCTAGAACGCTTTTTTTTTGTCAGACACAACAATGCAGTGGATGTTAGTCATAGGGTAATTCAAACAGAGATAATTTTGTATATTCTAGAATATTATGTTTTCAAACGTAGGTTTTGATGTACCATAAGATTTCTTCTGCCATTGAGGCGATATATATGTGTGTGTGTGTGTGTGTGTGTGTGTGTGTATGTATATATATGTGTGTATTTTAAATTTAAATTAGATATTTTTTAGAGGCCTTAGCCCTTAAGCAGAATTCCCTCCTAATTTAATGATTTTGGACGAAGCTCATTGTGAATCATTTAAAAACACATTCATGCTTCTTCAAACAGAGGTAACAAAGGATACAGCACCTTGACTTGTTGACTAAGTGCTGTCATGGTAGATGTTATTTAGCATAGAAGATGCCTGCAGGGTCAGTTCTACTCTCTAAAGTTTCTTGAGGCTGTGTTAAATGAAATCAAACACCTGTGGATTTTTTATTCTTGTTCACGCTTTTTATACCTCTCCTTTCTTCTCCCTGGGCAACCTGCTTTCACACTAGTGCCTACCTCTGTTTTCCCTTCAGAATGTGATCTATGCTACACAATCTGATTAACAAGCTCAACAGAGTTCTACTGGACATAGAATAAAGAAACCAGTATAGTTTTCTCTCTAGGGACAAGGCAGTGAGGAAGCCAGTTTGAATACAGGTTCTTGCTCTTGTAAGCATTGACATTCAGCAGGTTCCTTACTTTCTGAACACTGCAGTTATATGATGGGCAGACAGGGACTAAGAATAACACCTACCTCAACGGGGCTGTTGTGAGGATTACTGAGATAATTTATGTAAATCCCTAGCACAATGCCTGACTCATGCGAGATCTTTAATTCATGGTAGCAGTTACTAATTTCATTTATCATAATGAGCTGCCTGAGCTACCAAGGAGCTCTGCCACTCCCAGTACTGTTCTACAGTTCTTTAATTCAACAAAGAAATTTTTCTTTAGTTCCAAATAAGTGCCAGGCATCAGGCTAGGTGCTGGGTGTATGATGATGATCAAAACAGTGTTCGTATGGGGGTAGTCATCATTTTGTCGATGGGCCATTTTTTATGATGTCCCTCTTCATTATAGGTCTTGATTCTTGCCTCTGTTTTGTATACATATGTGTTGCGGCAGGGGCTTGCTATAAAAATCAGAATTGCCCAGGCTGAGCGCAGTGGTGCAATCATGGCTCATTGCAGCTTCGGGCTTCAGTGATCCTCCCACCTCAGCCTTCTTAGTAGCTGGGATTACAGGCACACTCCACCACACCTGCCTCTGTTTTGTGTAGCTGTGATTACGTAGCAATTTTCTGAATCAGTGACAAGATGCAATGCATATTTTTTTCAGTAGGTTAATTAATTTATCTAATCTACATTTGGAGCTATTTTTTGGAGTGTTAGTCATCATAATAAATATGGTGGCACTGTCAATAGTAATATAAATATAATGGTACCTTAATTCCATAATACAAAGATCACGTCTTCATGACTGATGGGCCATTTCAAACCCATAGGTACATTTGCTCGCTCTGTAAAGTATACAAAAGTAAGAATTCTGGACATCTTTAAAAGTTGTAAATTTTTACATGAAAACTTACATTCACACCATCTTTTGAATATTGAAAAGATTTGGGAACATGGGGCCTATATGTGACTGTGGATGAGGTGTGGCTGTTCCCTTTAGACACAGCACTCACTTTGCCATAGTCACACTCCCCACCGCTCCCTATTGTGTCTCCAACCCCCAGGCTGTTGTCTGTTTCTTTTCCAACGTTATTACCCACTCATAGATGGTCAACCTTATGATCATTGTTACTTTCTTTTCCTCAGAATCTTTCTAGTATTTGTGATTTTTTTCATGTGGTTATTTTGAGCTTTTTGCATTAAGAATTTGGGATCACATACTCAAAAGTTTAGTATTTACCAGTTTGTATTATTGAGCACTTCAGAAATTTATTTCTGTTGCTGTTATCAACTCATAAAATATCTGTTTAATTATCCAACTAAAGACTAGATAGGATAGTGATTCCTATTTTCTCCAAGCTCATATCTGTGAACTCCTTGATTGCCCAACATAGGCATTCAATCATTCATTCAACAAATACCCATTGAGGACCTACTATGATCTGGGCACTTTTCTAGGTGCTGATAATTGTAGTGAAATAGTAGACCACAGTGGACAGTGTTTCTTTATGGAATTTAAGTGAATAAGGAAGTTATTTTGGAGTATTTCAGATCGTGATTCCTGCTACGAAGAAAAATAATTCAGAATAAAGTAGATAAGGAATAATAGGAATGGACCCACACAGTTATTATTTTTATTGCTGTGGTCATACTGATATCTGAAGCAAGTAAGAGAAGAGTTTCCTATGAGGATGGAATAGCATGTGCAAAGACCCTGGAGTTGTAGAATCCTTGATGCGTCCAAGGAATATGGAGAAGACCAGTTGGGCTAGAGTTGACAAAATGAGGGTGAAGTGGGGGTATAAGAATAGAGAGGTGCTGGACAGTAGGCCGTTGAGAGGGCTTTAGCTTTTCCGTGATGAATATTGGAACCCACAATGTAATTTTGAGCATGAAAATGAGAGCCTTGATTTACATTTTTATCAGATCACCCTGAGTTCTGGTTGGAGAATGAGCTCTAAGGATCTGTGGGTATATTTAGGGAGATACTTAGGTGGCCTTTGCAATAATACGCTCAAGGGAGGATGCTGGCTTCACCAGAGAGCTGATAGATAAGCCATGGCCAGATTCTGGGAATATTTTAAAGGAAGATCCAACAAATCGATTATTCCTAGAATGCAGAATGAATGAGAAAGAGACAACTTATGGCCAACCCCAATTCCTTTGGCCGCCGTAACTGGAAGAATTGCGTTGCCATGTGCTGACAACAGGGAGATTGTGAGAGGAGCACTTTAGGGTGAGGGAATTAGGAGACTGCTTTTGTTTAAGTTAAGAACAACCAAGGAGAGATAGATGTCTTAGAGACAGCTGGGTACAGTAGTGTGGACATGAAGAGAGAGGTCTACGCTGGAGATACAAGGTCAGGAGACATGAGCATGTAGATGATATTTACAGTTGTGAGACTGAATCGCATTTCCAACACAATGAATGTAGATAGAGAGGAGAAGTAAGTGTACTAGAAGAAAAAGAAGGATGAAGAGGAGGAGAGAGAGAAGACAGTGAGGAAGAGGAAAGAAGCAGCGTGCATGTGTGCACTTGTATGAGAAAGAGAGAGAGAGAGGGAGAAAGTGGAAGATATAGATAGAAGGAGAGAGAGAGAGACTGGGGGAAGAATTACATCCACCCAAAACCCAAATTTTAATGACTTACAATATGAAAGCTTCATTTTTTTTTTCTCTTATGTTGCACCTCACTGATGGACTATCATCAGCCCCACTTCTCTTCCAAGTCTTTATTCCAGAATCCAGGCTGGAGGCCATGCCTGAACTGAGGAAATGGTGTTCATGTACAACAGTTCTTTCAGCTTCTGCTCAGATGTGGCATTGCACATCCACTCATATGCGATTGTCCAAAGCATTTTTCTATTCTCTGGGAGATACTTCAAGGGGCACAACAGTGGCTGGGGATTGAGGGGGCTGTGAATAGACTTTCAGGAAAAAGGATCAGCTGTGCTAAATGCTGCTGATGAGTGCAGTAACACAAGGATGAGTAACTTGAGTAGCTTGTAGAGAGGTATAGGCCATTTGTTTCATGCCCAGGAACAAGGCAGGACCAGGAATCCTGGTTGAGATGCTGCAGTTTGGGCTAGTTGGAGGTGGGGGCAAGTTTTTCTCTCACTGCTGGGACTTACTCAGGTTAACAGATGGGACGTTGTGGAGGAGCTGGAGACGGAGGAGAAAGTGTAGAAGAGTTAACTAGGAGATGGATTGAGAGTGTTTGATGTGAGAGGCAGTAGAGCATGCATTGAACCTAGGCTGTATGGTTGGAGGGTTTTTTTCCAGCCATGTCCTGTCTGCTCAGGTTCAGAGGAGGTAGGAGGTAGATTGAACCAGCCACAGGTGATGCTCCATGAGTAAAGAAGGGTTGAGAGTCAGGAATTGAGGAGTCCAAGGCATTAACTGAAAAGATGGTTCATGGAATTTAACAAAGATGCGGACAAATATGAGGAGAGGAGGCAGTCAAGGGAGAGAGAAAGAGTAGGGTTGGGATACAGGGAATGAAAGTGAGCTCCTTAAGATGAATGGCTAATCCCACAAAACTGGCCAATTCCCATAAGGTGAACGGCTAATCCCATTAGTGCATTGTTGACATGAAAATGTCCTCACCAAATAATGAAGAAAAATTTGATTTTCTTATGTGGAAAAAGCAGGACCAAAAGCAATCAACCAAAATCGTATCTACTACCTGGCAGTCCATTAGAACACACTAAACACACACATAAAGAGAAAAATGAAGTATGTTAATTGTGAAACTTGTATCTCCAAAAACTGGAAAGCTTCTTGGCACTTAAAAGCACTTCTTGGCACTTGGGATTACTTGCCTGTAATCCCAGCACTTTGGGAGGCTGAGACGGGCGGATCACTTGAGGTCAGGAGTTCCAGACCAGCCTGGCCAACATGGTGAAACCCTGTCTCTAGTGAAAATATAAAAATTAGCCGGGCATGGTGGCGCATGCCTATAGTTCCAGCTACTCGGGAGGCTGAGGCAGAAGAATCACTTGAACCTGGGAGGCGGGGGCTGAGGTAGAAGAATCACTTGAACCTGGGAGGCGGGGGCTGAGGCCGAAGAATCACTTGAACCTGGGAGGCGGGGGCTGAGGCAGAAGAATCACTTGAACCTGGGAGGCGGGGGCTGCAGTGAACTGAAATCGTGCCATTGCACTCCAGCCTGGGCGACAGAGTGAGACGCTGTCTCAAAAAAAAAAAAAAAAAAAAAAAAAAAAAAAAAAAAAAAAAAGAAAGAAAGGTTCAATACCTACTTGTTGAATGAAAGTGGACGTGTGAATTCAAAGTTTCCGCTCTTTCACAGTGTTTTTTTTTTTTTTTTTTTTTTTTTTTGACAGAGTCTCGGTCTGTCGCCCAGGCTGGAGTGCAGTGGCACAATCTTGGCTCACTGCAAACTCTGCCTCCCGGGTTCACGCCATTCTCCTGCCTTAGCCTCCCGAGTAGCTGGGACTGCAGGCGCCCACCACCACGCCTGGCTAATTTTTTGTATTTTGAGTAGAGACGGGGTTTCACCGTGTTAGCCAGGATGGTCTCCATCTCCTGACCTCCTGATGCACCCACCTTGGCCTCCCAAAGTGCTGGGATTACAGACATGAGCCACCGCGCCCAGCCTCATTCAGTTCTTTATTACATTTGTAAAGGTAACTCTAACTCCGTGAGAGCACTTTCTCGCTCACCTCTTAATTCTTGAGCAAACAGAGAAGCTGTGCATGATAAAGCTGGAGAATTGGGTGGTGTCTTCCTATTAAGCTTACAGGAAAGCACTGGGCATTTGGAACAGATGTTGCATCTTGAGAGCCACAGAGTCAGGTGTGCACGTTAAAACGATGCTTCTAATTGTTGCATAGAGACAGAAGACAATCACAAAGATTCTGCCTTGACCTCCTTACCTCTCCAGTTCTAAAAACATTTCTCCCACTACAGAAAGCATCCATCTATGTGTTTTTTGCCTCCACGTGGTCCTATTCCTGAAATGCTCCTTCCAAGTCTGTACTTTTCCAAGAGCTACTATTTCTGGATCTTTTGCAGTTGCTTCAGCAAGAATCAGTTCTGGCTTCCTTGGTTCTACCATGCCAACTTTACCTTCTCGTCCCTCAGTGGGATGCTAGGGCTTGGGTTAATTCATCTCTCTCCTTCAAGGCGACATGAAGCCCCTGAGAACAGGGGCATATTTTTGCCCAGCCATTACCTACAATGATACAGGAGTCCTGTAATATTCGTTAGAGAAATGTGTCCACTGAACATGAATTTCCTATCCTGTTCCTTCTAAAAAGGATGCATGAGTTATCCTATATTCCCAAGGCACAACATGACTTTGTTCTGATATGTGCCACCGTGATCCTGTAGAATTTGTTTTGTTTCCAGTCCCTAAGAATAAATGTCTCTTAAAGTATTGTAGTCATTCACTCTACATTTTTATGAGTTATTACTGGCCCACCTACAACCATATTTCCTCCGAAATTCATCCATCCTCCTGGAATTACCTGATTCTGAATTATTAAGTGGTTCTCTTGGCCATTTGCTCAAAAAAAGAGCACACTTATTCCAACACACAGGCATTGTTTCTAAATTATTATTGTTTTTTCTTCCTAGAAACCATTTAGAGATGAAGATCCACTTTAGAACATGAACCCATTTAGTTTAGACTATAACAATTGAAGATATGGTGACTACTGTTTATTTCTGTTAGGGATATATTTTTTGTAGATTTCACAAAAGACAGAACCTGCTGTGTGACAGCTTATCTGCAGGACACCGATGGTTTGTAGGACGATGGTGAGGCTTTGTGACAAGGCAGAAATGTGGAAGGCTGGCAAGATTGTTTACTGAGCTTCCCCTAAGGATGGAATAATTCACCAATCCCACAACTCCTCCACCCTCAGTCACTACCAATAGCTGTGCCTCAGTGTTTTCTTTTTAATGATTGTATGTATTAAGAAAAAAATCCTCATATGTAGTGTTTAGTTTATCTGATTTTCGTTACTAAAATAATAAAGGAGAAAAGTAAATAATTCATATAAAAGTAAACTTTCTTATTCCAAGCAGGTGTATGTGTGCATGTTTGTGTGTGTGTGTGTGTGTGTGTGTGTGTGTGTGTGTGTTTGCCACTTTGATGGAAAGAGGCTGACTTTGCAGAGACTATTTTTTGTTAAGAACTTTCCATTAAATTAGAGCTTTAAGTTATAACACTGATTGCATAGGCCAGGGAAAATGGTAGGATGTGGCTTAAAAGGCAATCTCACAAGAAGTATGACTTTTATCTTATATTATAAACAACAGCACAACCTTGGAATTTGTCCCAATAAATTCCATAAGTATAAAATAAACTAAATAAGTAAAGTGACTAATATCCTACTAAGTCTTTTCCTTCACACATGCTTTTTTGCCTAAAGCCATTTAAAGTCTCTGAGGATTTAAATCTATGATTCTTTCATGGAGTAGAAGAAACCCAGAGAATATAGAAATTTAGAAAAACTTTAAGACTTATTGGTTTAACAGAAGTAGGCCGGGTGCGGTGGCTCATGCCTCTAATCCCAGCACTTTGGGATGCTGAGCTGGGTGGATCACTTGAGGTAGGAGTTCAATACCAGCTTGGCCAACATGGTGAAACCCCCTCTCTACTAAAAATACAAAAATTAGCCGGGCGTAGTGGTGCACACCTGTAGTTACAGCTACTTGGGAAGCTGAGGCAAGAGAATCACTTGAACCCAGGAGACAGAGGCTGCAGTGAGCTGAGATTGCGCCACTGCACTTCCAGCCTGGGTGACAGGGCAAGACTCCATCTCAAAAACAACAGCAACAAACAAAACAAAACAAAAAACCCAGAGGTAGATCTAATTCTGCAGACTGCAATCACTCAGTTATGGATGGATAAGTCAGTCCTTAAGTCCATCTGCTATTTGTGTATCGTGCATTTTTTTTTTTTTTTGAAACAAGCACGTTCCCACCTGGATTGAATGTTAATATTCACTGAAAGCCAGGGCATTGCAACGAGCCCTTAGGATGTTATAATTCTGGGCCATTTTTACAGTTCAGGATTTCAGATTTATTGCAATGTTGTAAGTTTTTAGTTTCTTGTCTTTCTCTAACATCTAGTAAGTTCCAAAACTTAAAGAACTACAGGTTTTCTTGATAAATACCTGTGTCACTACTTTTTATTTTTAGATTTTTCTTTTTTACTACATGATCTGAGTTAAAAGTTAAATATATATGAATTATTGTTTTGAAAAATATTACCTATAATAGTTTTTTAAAAGAAACTTTAATTTTAGATTTGTGCTAAATTGGCGAAGATTGTGTAGAGTTTTCCTTATACCCCACCCTCAAATTCCACTACTAGAAACACCTTACATCATTATTGTACATTTGACACTATTAATGAGCCAATATGTGTGCAATTTTTTACTAAAGCCCACCCATTCTTCTGATTTCGTTGGTATTTTCCTTCTGTCTTTTTTCTTTCCTCAAATCCTATCCAGGATCCCACATTACATTTAGCCGTCATGTCTCCTTGAGCTCCTCTTGACTGTGACAGTTTTTCTTCTTTTGTCTTTCATGACCTTAACAGTTTTGAGGAGGGCTGGTCACGGGATTGGTACCTTGTTTGGTTTGTCTGATGTTTTTCTCATGGTTATACTGGGGGGCTATGGATTGTGCAGAGGAAGACCAGAGGTGAAGTGCCACTTTCATTACATTGTATCAAGGGCACATACTAGCACCATGACATTGCAGTTGATACTAACCTTGATCCCATGGATGAGGTGATGTTGGCCAGATATCTCCAGTATCACGTTCGTCCTCCTGCACACACACTTTCTATACTGTACCCTGTGGAAAGAGGTCACTACGTGCAGCCTACACTTAAGAAAGCAGGAGGCCGGGTGTGGTGGCTCACACCTGTAATCCCAGCTACTCCAGAGGCTGAGGCAGGAGAATCACTTGAACCCGGGAGAAGGAAATTGCAGTGAGCCGAGATCGCGCCATTGCACTCCAGCCTGGGTGATAGAGCGAGACTCCATCTCAAAAAAACAAAAATAAATTAAAAAAAAAAAAAAAAGAAAGCGGGGACTATAATCCCCTCCTTGAGGGCAGAGTATCTACAGAAATTATTTGAAGTTATTTTGCATGAGAGATGTGCCTATTCTCGCCTACTCATTTATTTATTCCCTCATTTACATATATCAGTATGGACTCATGGATATTTATTTTATACTTTGGGTTGTAATCTAATGTGATGTTGTTTATCTGCATAGATTTTGTGTTTACGTAACTTTTTTTCAAATTCCTGAGGGATAGCTTTTTAGAAAATCCCTGTTTTTACTTTAGATCCAAGGATTACGTCTGCAGGTGTGTTACAAGGGTATCTTGTGTGTTGCTGAGGTTCAGGCTTCCGTTGATCCCGTCACTAGGTTATTCTGTGCCCAGATAATGAGCACAGGAAGTTTTTTAGTCCTTGTCCCCCCTCTGCAACAGATTGTAGGAAATAATCTGAGACTGATCATTTTTAATTTTCAAGCACTGAACATGCAGTTATTTTATCTAGAAGGTAGACCAGCAAAACAAAATTATATTTGACATTTTAGCATATAAGTATTTTCTAGTTAACTTTGACATACAAGAAGCCAGGTTATGAATGTATTTGTTCATGACTCTAGCTTGTTTGGTTAAAATTATTCTCCTGCCAACCAAATGCTTTTTTGCTACCCTGAATATTTAAAAAATTTTTACAATATTTCATCTTTAAGAGCTATAAATGTATGTTTTAATATCCCAGGGTAAGATATAGGGATATTTTTTAGTCTGTCGAGGCTGCTATAACAAAATACCTTAGACTGGGTAATTTATAAACAATAGACATTTATTGTTATTATTATCATTAAGACAGGGTCTCTTTCTGTTGCTCAGGCTGGAGTGCAGTGGCTTGATCATGGTTCACTGTAGCCTTGACTTCCTGGGCTCAACTGATCCTCCCACCTCAGCCTCCTGAGTAGCTGGGACCATACGTGTGTGCCACCATCCCTGGCTAATTTTTATTTTTTTAATTTTTAGTAGCGATGAGGACTCACTACGTTGACCAGGGTGGTTTTGAACTCCTGGCCTTAAACATTTCTCCTGCCTTGACCTCCTAAAGTGTTGGGATTACAGGTATGAGCCACTTTGCCCAGCTAACAACACACATTTATTTCTCATGGTCCTGGGAAGTCCAGGATCAAGGTGCTAGCAGATTCAGTGTCTAGTGAGGGCCCATTCCCCCAAATGGCATCTTCTTGATTTATCCTCACATGTTGGAAGGGACAAGGTGGAAGGGCCTGCAGCCTCTTTTATAAGGACACTCATCCCATTCATGAGGGTAGAGTTATCATGTTGTGTATTGGATTTCAGCATATGAATTTTGGGAGGACACTACCATTCAGACTATATAACAAGATACATTAGGTTTGGGGTGTTCTGCACTTGAGTGAATCTATGTAAGCCCTTTCACATATTTTTACTTTCACTGAAATAAAACTAAATAAGGAAACCAATGCTATCCTATATCTTAAAATGAGAATGGTTTGTAACAGCTCATTGCCTTGCATCATGGTCTTTTAGGGTTAGGGTTCGGGTTAGGGTTAGGATTAGCTTCGCTTTGCTGGGCAGAGTAGGTATTTCCGCCTCGAACCACCTCTAAGGGCTTCAGCTTTCAGTAACGCACCTGTCACTTCTAATGCAAAACCTTGAGTCCTCTGTCTGTGTGCAGATTCAGGAACAGGTTTGAGGTCTAAGAATTTTCTTATTATTGCCTTCCATTTCAATTTCTAGTTCCTCCAAAGTCCTTCACAATGATGACCGAGAGGAGACACTCAAAAATTTGTTAGCCAGAGTCTCAAAGTACATAGAAGCTGTTTCTCTTGGGTGGATATTACAAGTGCCTCTACAGGCAACTGCATTTCTTTCTCTTTCCAGGATTTTTGCTTATTGTCCAGATATGCTCCTCCTAGTGAGAGGGACACTTCTGATTTTTCCTGCCTCCATGGAACAGGGGCTTCAGAGAAGAAACTCTCTACAGCCCCTTCGTTCCATTAATAATTTATAATTAAATGCATTTCCAGCATGAAGGCTGCCTAGGAGTAGAGAAGCATATTAGAAGAACCAATCTGCTGCGTATCTGCTTATAGGGTTTGAGCCCAGTCAAGGAGGGATGCACAGAAACTCAGGATTCTGACAGCCCAGCCCCCTTGCAATTGGGAGGGTCGCCAAATTTCTTTCTTGCAAGGGGTACTTACTGTCTGTGAGTGGGAGCCTCTTGTGGATAAGGAGTGAGGGCAGAGAGGGAACAGCAGAGCCCTGGGAAGTTCTTTCCACTTGACTCTGAGCGTCTAGACAGCAGCCTGCCCCCACCCCCTAGATTGGCTTTGTACCTGTGAGCAAAGTTTCTGACTGTGCCATACATCTCTGGAATACATTTAGTTGCTAATGGAGATATTACTATAATTCCACATATGTTTTTAGTCTCTCCTTGGGGCTGTGCCCTTCTGTGTGGCTTGGCAGAAGAGAAAGGAGAGAAAGATTATACATGGCAGCCTTGCTTTGGAGGGAGTGAAACCTGTGATTTTCCTTTTCTGTGTCAGGAAAGCGTTTTTCTGCTGCTTGACTAGCCACCTCCCAGGCACATTAACCAGTCAGGTGATGCTGACATTTGTACCCCCTAATCTGGCTTATTTCTGAAACCCTCCCTTTGAGCCCTAACTGCTATAATTAGGAGACTGGATCCTAACAGGTTTGGAAAAAGGTTTGCAATCTCAAAATAAAGTAGTGATTTTGAAAGAGAAATGTATAGTAGAGTTAGCTATGGGGTTTGCACATTCTACATTTATGTTTGTTTGTTTTTATTTTTTCGCTCAGACTGCTCACAGATGCAGTGAGCACACCCAAATGCATGTGATCAATGCATGTCTGACTTCTGCAGCTATGGAAGGTCTGGGTTTGTAAGATCACTGCTGTAGACCCTTGTTTGACCTTTTTGGATTGCTGGATCAGAAAGTGAGAGATTGCGAAAGTTTTCTTAAAAGAACAAGTCAGTGAATCAATTCATTAATTCTTTTGTTCATTAGGATTAGTTAATATACTGCTACAGTAAAACCTTTTGTTATTGTCTGTAATAATAAAAGTTGGATTATGGCATGGCTAACCCCAATCTCCATACAATCTGCTCATAGTTTTGACCTCATTCTAATATAACCCTGTATTTCACGTGATTGAATGTTTTGCACCATATTTATAATATTACATCCAGGTATTACTTGGTTTCTGAAGGTTTATAAAATTGTAAATGCAGTACATAGGGTATTAGAGATTTTGTTGTTTTATTTTTTTAGAGACTGGGTCTTGCTCTATCAACCCAGGCTGGAGTGCAGTGGTGCAATCATAGCTCACTGTAACCTTGAACTCCTGGGCTCAAACGACCCTCCACCCTCAGCCTCTGGAGTAGCTTGTATTATAGGTGCATGCCACCATATCCGGCTAATTTTTTATTTTGATTTTTGTAGCGATAGCATCTCAGTGTATTGCCCAGATTGGTCTCAAAATCCTAGCCTCAAGCAATCTTCCTGCATTGGCCTTCCAAAGTGCTGGGATTACAGGTGCCAGCCACTGTGCTTGGCCATTACCTAGAGTTTTTGTTAGAGATAATGAAATAAGAATGAGATTAAAATGAGGTTAGTCTCATGCTGCTTAAAACAGTGATATGCTTAGGAGCAGCTGCAGGAACATCTGATCCAATCTTGGAGGCAGCCTGGAGGGCTTCCCAGGGGAAGCACAATGTAGTCCAAAACCTGAGAGATGAGCAGGGATTGACTAACTAAAGAGCAGACCTACACACCAAATTCTGCCATCAGTTCCTTGCATGGCATGGAAAATTGATTTCTACAACTACGCAGTATTTTTCTTCCTTTTTTTTTGAAACAGATTCTCGCTTTGTCACCCAGGCTGGAGTGCAGTAGAGCGATTTTGGCTCACTGCAGCCTCGACCTCCTGGGCTCAAGTGATCCTCCCACCTGAGCTTCCCTAGTAGAGTAGCTGGTACTACATATGCACACCACCATGCCCAGCCAATTTTTTATTTATTTATTTATTTATTTTTGTAGAAACAGGGTTTTGCCATGTTGGCCAGGCTGCTCTTGAACTCCTGAGCTCAAGTGATCAGCCCACCTCGGCCTCCTAAAGTGCTGGGATTACAGGCATGAGCCACCATTTTTATTTGGTATGTGTGCATTCATAGTTATTCTACAAAAAATAATATTTAATAATAATTCACAGTATCCTGCAGATTCCAAAATAAAGTAAGCTTAAGTTCTGTTGGAAAATGAATTTCTGTGAGAAGGCTTTGGTGCTTTGACTTGAAGCTGACATCAACATTAGTGTTGGGCATTTGGCTACACACCTGTCACATTCAAAAGCCAATTCACTTTGAGTCTTTATTTTGTTGGCAGTAAGGGCTGCACATTTCGATCCACTGTGTATTTTCCTAGCCCAGATTCCACTCAAAGCAGAGGTTTAGAGAAAACCCTTGTTTATTGCAAATATTATGCCAAAAATAGGGATGAGGAACCAGCACTGTGTTGTGGGAAGGAACGAGAAATAATCACTATTTACAATAGCCGAGTTGTGGAATCAACCTAAGTGTCCATCAACAGTGCATTGGATAAAGAAAATGTAGTACATCTACAACACAGAATACTAGGCAGCCATAAAATAGAATGGAATCATGTCCTTTGCAGCAACATGAATGTGGCTGGAGGCCATTATCCTAGGTGAAATAACTCAAAAACATAAAATCAAATATAGCATGTTGTCACTTATAACTGGGAGCTAAACAATGGGTACACATGGATATAAAGATGGAAACAATCAACACTGGGGACTCAAACAAGGGAAAGGCTGGGAGGGGGTGAGGGTTGAAAAATTAACCTATGGGTACAATGTTCACTCTTTGTGTGATTGGAACCCTAGAAGTCCATATGTCACCAGTGTGCAATATACCCATGTAAGAAACCTGCACATGCACCCCTGAATCCAAATTAAAATTTAAAAACAAACAAAAACACAAAAAAGTGTATTGGCCACAGAGGAGTGACTGCTGCTTGACCCAGTGAGGTTGTCTGAAAACCCTTATGTTATGTGTCTCCAGACCACCTTTACCCGGTGAAAATGGAGGACCCATATTCACACCATCTTTCACCTCTTATTAGTTTACTGGGGGTAACCTCTCCAGGCTGCTTGGGGAGTGCTAAGTAGGTTTTAGTGTGCATCCACTGTGAGGCATCAGAGAAACTTCAGGAAATCAAGAAAAAGGCAAGTTTGCAGGTATGAAGTGAGGCTGCACCTGCGTGAAGCTGGCTGAAGTCTAGGCAGAGCAGATCACCACAAGAGCGGCTGGAATAAGCCATGTGGCCGAATGGCATCCAGCACAACGATCAAGTGAAACAGAGCTCCTCCAGCTGTGGTAGAACTAGGGCCAAAGTATGTGAAAGTGTTCAAAGATTCTTCGCATTGAATTCAAGCTCATCATTGTCCACAAATCAATGAGACCATGTCTATATTGGTAAAGAAAGAATAAAGCATAAATTCATATTTCAATTTTTAGGTTATCTGAATAAATGAATTTCAAGAGTGCTTAAGGTTTTTGCTAGATGTTTGCAGGTTTTTGCCTGGAGAGGCACAGGCAGTTCTTTGTCCTATCATTCTAGCCTTCCACTTGTAGGGATTCCCTGGAAAGTTGACATAACCGCTGATTCCTAGTTCTGTTTTGTGGGAAGTATCAAGATTAAGAGACCCTCTGGGTGAACAAGATGTCTTTCAATAGATGAATGGGTAAATAAACTATGGTGTATTCAGACAATGGAATATTATTCCATGCTATAAAGAAATGAGCTATTAAGCCATGAAAAGACATGGAGGAAAATTAAATGCATATTACTAAGTGAAAGAAGCTGATGGGAAAAGGCTACATACAGTATGATTCCAACTATAGGACATTCTGGAAAAAGCAGAACTGGGGGACAATAAAAAATCCATCATTGTCAGAGTTTCGGTTGGGGATGGGGAAAGAAAAGATAAATAGGTGGATCATAGAGGATTTTTATGGCAGGGAAGATATTCTGTGTTATACTGTAATGGTGGATGCAAGGAGGTTCTTTTTGTCTAATTAACTGTTCACATTCATCATAATTGATTCCATACAGTATGCATGGATTTTCAGGGTCCAAGTGTTAACCAACTTCAGTGGACTTAAACCACTCTGTAAATGGGGTGCTCTTTAGTGTTTGTTTTGTTTACTGTTCTAGGACTGGTTAATAGAAATCAGAGGACATACAGATCCAGAGTCCCTTATCTACAATTTGAAAGTCAAAAACAGTTCAAAACTTTACAGTGATATCAAAACTCATTTGGGGGCAAAACCTGATCTGACAGATGACTATTTGTGTTCTTTCTTTTCCACCTCAGGGTGGACATTTAGATATTTTCCTGCAGGAATATTAATGAGTTTGATTTGGGAGTGATGTTCCATATTCCTCTGAGGGTGCTGCATAAAACAGATGTAAAAAAATTAAAAAGTTCTGAGTCCCCTTCCTCTTGTCCACAAAAGCATACTCATTCCCAAGGGTTTCAGATCCCCATTGGTGGATCTGTGATATCAAAGGTCTCATTGATAATGTTGGTGGTCAGTGGAAAATAGTTGTGTGGAGAGAGATGTGTTAGTCTGGACCTCATGCAATGACTGCAGAAATAATTTTATGATTTCCAAAGAACAACAGACAATCTAACCACCTCCCTTACCTTTAAAGACTGACATCTGTGTTGTGTTCATGGATGATTATGCAAATCAAGAAAAGTGGCTTCCATCAAAATAATGTCATTTCTTTTTGGAGAAAAGAGCCTGGGACTGAGTTGTGTTATGTGTGCAGTTTGCCAGCTAAACTCCTGGCTTAATGATTGGGATGGGTTTCCAAGGGCTGGTTCTGAGACTCAGTGGCAGTTAGTTAGGTGGTAATTTCCCCATTAACATTAATGAGAAATGAAATAAGTTACTTAAGAAAACGTGCTAGACGATAGTCTCTAAGTACTGAAAAGTAAATGAACCCACCTACGTTTGTTCACATAAAATTTCTTAGTATATTTTAAATTTGCTAATCTAATGTACTTTTTTTTTTGCTTGTGCTTTAACTTTGTTAAATTATGTCACGTAAAACATTTTATTCCATATTCTAAATTACATAAATGTGTCACACACAATGTCATGAATCAAGTTTGTCTAAAGAGGAGATAGGCCAAGGCAGGTGGATCACTTGAGGTCGGGAGTTCAAGACCAGCCTGGCCAACATGGTGAAACCCCATCTCTACTAAAAATACAAAAGTTAGTGGGGCATGGTGGTGCACACCTATAATCCCAGCTACTCAGGAGGCTGAGGCAGGAGAATGGCTTGACCCTGAAAGGTGGAAGTTGCAGTGAGTCAAAATCATGCCACTGCATTCCAGCCTGGGAGACGGAGTGGGACTCCATCTCAAAAAAAAAAAAGGAGATAATACACTTTCACGTTTGTAAAATAATGTTGATTAAATGGTCTAATGTGATTTTATCTTGCTAATCCAGTTACCGTCCCAGTATCTGAATTATGATAACAGTTTACGCAGCATAGTTTTCTAACAGTTTTGGTTCCATCTCTGCTATTAAATTCAGGCCACTGGATCTGTTTGGTTCAACTTGGATTAGGGTGTGAGGTTCTGTTTTCCTACCTCTAACTCCATATACATTGTCCGTGCTCCTGACCTTCCATGCAGGAGGCTTGCAGGTATCTCCTTAATCTGTCTGTCATCTGTTTCTTTCTGCCATCTCAGGGACTCCTGATCTTTCCAGACTGCCCATCCTCTCCTGTCCCTTTGACTCTTCCTTTTTTGTTCACTTTCTGTAACTCCAGTCTGATCATCTAAATAGTCTGAGGGGAAGATGAGGTACTGAAGGCACTCTTGTGAGAATATTTCTCAGGTTCCTAGGTCCAAGTTTCCGTTGCATCTTGGTTTCTATTTCAGTCTGAGCAGAGAGAGAGAGAGAGAGAGCAAAAAAGATCTTCAGGATAAAAGTGAGAGAGAGAGAAGATGGAGAAATAAATATAAATGAACAACTGATAAATGCCTTGAGCTATAACTCTGCCAAATGAACACAGAAACTCATGTGCAGTTAGATATTATCCACCTGAGAATGTAGTTGATAACATATTTCATCATAAATAATATCGTCTAAAGCCCTTACTTGGGAAGATTATGAAGCAAGCCAAATCTTATGCAGTATGTCCTTCTGTTCTCTTGACAAGCATAAGTTTCTATTTCTGTATTGCTAGAAATTTTTAGTCACATGCAATTCCAACAGTGCTTTAAGCTGGTTATTACTAAGTAGAAGGTAAATGTTTGATGATGGAAGAATTTGCGGTGGAGGTGAAATTTAGGATAAATATTAGCAACTTTGAAAAGTAAGGTGTAGATCTGTGCGGTACCAGAAAACATTTAACAGATTCAGAAGTTAGTTTATGTGTACCTATATGTGCACACACATACACACACAATGCATGCACACTTATGCAAATCACACACACATGCCTCACGCACAAGTGCAACACTCAGGTGCACCCAATTGCACATACGTATTCTATTACTATTCTTTGCAATGCTTTGAATGCTCATCATGTACCACAAAGTTATGGTCTAATTCATAATACCATAAGGTGCGTGTGCTTTAGAGATACTGTGTATTTCCTTTCAACATCGAACTAGTGACTATTAATGTTTTAAAATCAAATTTGATAACATTCTGAAATAAAATACTGATGTATTAAGTACCAATGCGTTGACATCAGGTTTCATAGGTGTTGAACTGTAGCGAGGAAAACAGTTATCAGGTGTCCTACTGTAACTCTACCCAGCAGGAAAGCTCTATGTAATGATGGTAGAATATCCAAATGATGGTGTCCACATCTGCACAGGTACGATTTGAGATTCACTGACTTATTTAGGAGGATTCAGTAAAATTTCGCAGATGTTGTTATGTAGTAATATTTGGCTCATTCATATTCTGCACTCCTAGACATTGCAGAAAGACATGCAACTGTGATTTCCATCTCATCCCTTTCACCCTATTTTGAAACATTTAGTTATGTCTACTAGTTACCCTAAGTTGTATTTTTTACCCTCTAAAAAGGAACAAGAGAAGTTGGAATCCATCCCAGCTTTCCTTCCAGAAAATGGAGGGGAGGAACAATTGGAATGGAGAGGAACTCCAGGGAGAAAAAGACAAAAGGCACATGAGTGAGTTTGTCTAGGCTGGGAGAGTGGGCGATCACATGAGATTTGTGAACTAATTTTGTTCTCCTTCTGTTTCCACTGATAAGCACTTTATGAGTGCCACCAGTGTAAGTAAATATTAAACCTCATCTCAATTAGTATCTACTCTTTTCCAAATATATGCTTATGTCAGAAAATGAGCAGTAGAAAGCAACCACAGGATACCACCTGCACACCCACGGGCTGAGCATTGCATACTTTCAAGGAGTGCTGTTGTGTTTTCAAACTTAGTAATTTCCCAAAACAGAGAATTCACAGCTTCCCTAATCACCTTCCTCAGAACCCTGAATCTTGTTAATTGAGTCATTTTTCTGATGATCATGTACTCATACAATTGACTAAATGTCTCACTATGCCTTCCTGATAAGTAGTGTCTCTACATGTGAAGTATCTATTTAATCTATCTACCCCTCTCTCTCTATCTAATCTGTTGATTTCTTATCTATCTAATTTATATCTATCATCTCTATGTATCTATGTATGTATGTATGCATATATGTATGTATCTATATATATATCGATCTATCTTATCTATATGTATCTATCATCTCTATGCATCTATGTATCTATCTGTCTATGTATGTATGTATGTATGTATGTATGTATATATCTATCAATCCTCTCTCTCTCTCTTAGTTCAGCAAATTACTTACAGGTTTTTGTTATGTAACTGAGCAAAATTATATACACACACATAAGAAGGCTGGAAGTTCAAGATCAAAGTGCTTACAGATTCAGTGTCTGGTGGGGACCCACTTCCTGATTCATAGACAGCGCCTTCTCACTGTGTCCTCACATAGTGGAAAGGGCAAGGGAGCTCTGTGGGATCCCTTTTATAAGGGCACTGATCCCATTCATGAAACTCCACTGTCATGACCTCATTACCTCCAAAAGGCGCCCACCTCCTAATACTGTCCCGTTGGGGATTAAGATTTATATATTTTTTCTTTTTAATTTCTAATTTTTGTGGGTACATGGTAGGTATATATATTTATGGAGTACATGAGATATTTTGGTGTAGACATGCAATGCATAATAATCATATCATAGAAAATGGGGTGTCCATCTCCTCAAGCATTTATCTTTTGTGTTACAAACAATCAAATTATATTATTTTAGTTATTTTAAAATGTACAATTAGGCCAGGCACGGTGGCTCACGCCTGTAATCCCATCACTTTGGGAGGCTGAGGCAGGCGGATCACGAGGTCGGGAGATTGAGACCAGCCTGGCTAACACAGTGAAATCCCATCTCTACTAAAAATACAAAAAAATTAGCTAGGTGTGGTGGCGGGCACCTGTAGTCCCAGCTACTCAGGAGGCTGAGGCAGGAGAATGGCGTGAACCTGGGAAGCAGAGGTTGCAGTGAGCCGAGATCATGCCACTGCACTCCAGCCTGGGCGACAGAGCGAGACTCAGTCTCAAAAAAAAAAAAAGTACAATTAAATTACTATTGACTATAGTATTGACTATAGTCACCCTGTTGTGCTAGCAAATACTAGGTCTTATTTATTCTTTCTGACTATAATTTTTGTACCCATTAACCACCCCACTTCCCCACATCCCACCCCCACTACCCTTTCCAGTGCCTGATAACCCTTTTTTGACTCTCTATGCACATGAGTTCAATCTTTTTGATTTTTAGCTCCCACAAATAAGTGAGAACATATGATAACAGTCTTTCTGTCCCTGGCTTATTTCACTTAACATAATGATCTCCAGTTTTATCTATGTTGTAAATGACAGGATCTGATTCTTTTTTATAGCTGAACAATACTCCATTGTGTATATGTACCACATTTTCCTTTATCCATTCACCTGTTGATGGACAGTTAGTTTGCTTCCAAATCTTGGCTATTGTGAACAAAGCTGCAACAAACATGGGGGTGTGGATATCTCTTTGATATACTGATTTCCTTTCTTTGGGGGTTTGGATATAAACATATGAATTTTGAGAGGACAGAACTTTCAGACTATAGCATACTGTACCATCTATCTATCTGTCCATCCATCTGTTTATCTGTCTCCCATTCCTGAATATTGCATGGCATATTTTGTTAATTATTTCCAATGTCATATTGAGTTTTAAAGTAAGATTACATTTCTGAGAGGCCTCACGTGGGGGCATCCTGAAAAGTACATTCTCTTTATAGTTTAAATGTTTTGGTTTTTTTCTTTATTTTTTTCATATTTAATTATATTTCTTTCAAGTGACTCCTTTGGGAGACATGATTTTCCTACCTCCTGGGACTGCCACAATTCCCCTGCCTCTTGGAATGCAATCGATCTCTAGTCTGCCTCAAGTATAAAGATGATATTCATGTTGATGACATTGAGAAGGATGAGGAGAAAGGAGTTGATCAGAGATCTATATTCATGGTATATATGTTTATCGTATATATATTTATCTGCTTATCGTCTTCAGAATATAAACTCCAAGACTGTGGGTCTTTGTTTTCTTCAGTACTACCTTGCAGAGTCTAGGCCTATTTATTCAAAGCTTAATATTTGTGAAGTGCATGAATGAATAAATGAATTCTAATGTTATCACTGCCGTTGGTATGGTATCTGTTTCTCTATCTGTATTGTCCTCTCTACTTTTCATTATTTGTTTAATTCCCACTCATTGAGACAGATTGCAGAAGATTCCTTTGCCAACTACTTCTGGGTAGAGATAAATTTCCCTCCACGGAGCTCCCACTGGACTCTACCTGCAGCTATATGTTATCTTGTATTTTCCAACACTCAGCTGTACCACATAAGACTTGATTGAGTGAAGACCCTGACTTAGCTTTGCATAAAACCAAAGTAAATGCTTTCCACACATAGCCATTCACAGACATTTTCACATTTTATACAGCAACTGATGAACTAGGCTAGTGTTGGGAACAGGCCCCCTAAAATCTGGCCATAAACTTGCCCCCAAACTGGCCAAAACAAAATCTCTGCAGCACTGTGACATGTTCATGATGGCCATGACCCCCATGCTGGAAGGCTGTGGGTTTACCAGAATGAGGGCAAGGAACACCTGGCCCACCCAGGGCGGAAAACCGCTTAAAGGTGTTCTTAAACCACAAACAATAGCATGAGCGATCTGTGCCTTAAGGACATGCTCCTGCTGCAGATAACTAGCCAGAGCCCATCCCTTTATTTCAGCCCATCCCTTTGTTTCCCATAAAGAATACTTTTAGTTATCTATAATCTATAAAAACAATGCTTATCACTGGCTTGCTGTTAACAAATATGTGGGTGAACTGTTTGAGGCTCTCACCTCTGAAGGCTGTGAGACCCCTGATTTCCCACTCCACACCTCTATATTTCTGTGTGTCTTTAATTCCTCTAGCGCTGCTGGGTTAGGGTCTCCCGGACCGAGCTGGTCTTGGCAGGCTATAAAGACATTTTCTACTGGCTTAACAGAGAAGAAAAACAAAGCTTAGGGAGACTGATTATGCAGAATTTAATTTGCAACAAGCAAAGACAAGTCTATTGACTTCAAATGGACATCATCACATTGTCATCTGATAATTTTTCCAGCATCCTTTGCCTCCTCTGTGTTAAATTATAAATTAATGCTGATTTATACAGTTCAGTTCAGCTTCACAAATATTTAATGAGCACTTGCTGTGTACCAGGTATTATTATATAAGTAGTTCTTTATGGTGTAAGAATGGATAGTAGATACTTTTTTATCCATTCAACTTTAAAAGGTTGATGCCTAGTCATAGATACCAGGAAACACTTAAGTGAATGAGGACAAGTTTTCTGCTGTCAAAGAGAGAGATCAGACACCAACTAGAGTCCAAGAAAGAACAAAGTAATTTTGATCAACAAAACTCATAGAAGAAAATAAGCATTCTTTGTTGTTACATATACTTCAGAGCCATTTTAGTGCTCAAAGTTTGATAGAAATTGATACACAGGACTTGCTGCTCTGAATTGGCTATCCCAGAATATTCTACGAGCTACAACCAGACCTGACATTAACCTGTAGTTACTTGTGGTTTATTCATCTATCCATCTAAATGTTATGAGCATCTCCTATGTACTCTTCATGGTACTAGACTTTAGACATTGAATACGGAGCAAAAAAGACATAGTTTCTTATTTAATGTGGCTTATACTCTGATGTAGCATTTCTTCACCAGGGGTAATTTTGCCTCAGGGGACATTTGGCGATGTCTAAGGACAGTGTAGGTTGTCATGACTGAGATTTGTTGCTGATGTCTAGTGGGAAGAGGCCAGACCCCCTTCACAATAAAGAATTATCTGACCAAAAAAGGTCAGCAGTGCCAAGGTTGAGAAACTCTTCCAGCAGTTGAAGAAAAATAATCATCAGATCACCCACAAGTATAATTACAAACTGAAATACATGTTAGATGCTGGTAGAGCTGGTTTCCAAAGTTTCTGATCCAGTTGTGAGGATACATATTGATATTGAGAACGGGCGGTTGAAGGGGCAGTAGTAAGTTATTAGGGTAAGAAGGTCTTGGTGAGCAGAGGGACTTTCATGCGAAGACTCCAGGGCTCGAAGGAGCCCAGTGCAGTCAGGATCTGAAGTGACAGGTGTGGCTTGAGAACAGCGGCAATGGGGAGTTAGGCAGGAGGGGAAGCTGGAAATGCAGGCAGGGGTAGACAATAAAAGTACGCAGGCCGTTTATATTATACAATCCTGTAGACTTCTTTCTTCTTTCATTCTTGATACTTTTCTATAATAACATTCAAGCATTGGATCAGCACCCTTTGTTGTCTTCTGTCATGTAGCCCAAAGGTTTACCTTGGAGACACAAAGGCAACTAAGACAATGGTTTCTGCACTAGGGAGATCATATTCTCACTCAGAAGACATTTGCAGGGTGTGATTAGTGAGTCTCACATACATGTCAATTTCTTCCTAAGACCTTGTGCTTTTCTAGTTTTTATTTTTTTATTATTATTTTTATTTATGTATTTTATTTGAGAGAGCCTCGCTCTGCCACCCACACTGGAGTGCAGTGGTGTGATCATAGATAGCTCACTGCAGCCTCCAACTCCTGGGCTCAAGCAATCCTCTTCCCTCAGCCTCCCAAGTAGCTAGAACTACAAACATCCACAACCACACCCAGCTTATTTTATTTTTTGTAGAGGCAAGGCTGTCTCTACAAATTCCGTTGCCCAGGCTGGTCTCAAATGCCTGGGCTCAAGCGATCCTCCGGCCTGGGCCTACCAAAGTGCTGGGATTCCAGGTGCGAGCCATCGCGCCCCACCCTCTAGTTTTTAATTGGTTTATTTTCTTCTCATATTTCAGTTGAGCATTATTCATTTATTGCTGTTGAGGTTTTACTTTTTTTTTTCTTCCCAAAGGTAGATTGTAGACAGCTCACCTTTGTTACCAATTTGAAATGCTAGATGTTAATTCTTAATGTTGTAGCTGTAAAGGGCCATGATTTGAGGACGTGTTATTTTTTTAAGCCTGAGTTTGGATTGGTCTGAGTTGAATGCAGTTGCTAAGCCATCGAATGAGGGAGTGTCCCTGAACTAATGAGTGACATGGACCTTTTCTTATAGGTGAGAGTCCATTTGTGATAAAGGCATTGTTTTAGGATACATAAGGGTCATGGTGTATATTCTTAGCAAGTGTTATGAATACATTCGATCTATTTCTTTTGAATTTTAGTGTTTCTCTACTCTCCATCTTACTAAACCAGGTGTCCCAGATTTCGGGTTCAGCACATTTGTGTCTGGGTTCACATAGAGGGACTAACTAGGTGGAGTTTAGGGTAAGGGGGTATTCAGAGTCCTGCCCTCCTGCAACCACAGCAACACCCCCAAGTCTCTCTCATTAGATTGTATTTGTTCTCCTACTTATGTTCTTTGGCCTCTGCTATAAACATTTTCAAAAAAGTATCCAATGAAAACAATGTTGTCAATGACTGTCTTTAGTAAGTCTGTAGTCAGATTCATATCTTTAAAATATGTACACTGTGTGAATATTTCAAAGTATGTATCATGAAAACAAATAAGGAAAAAAAAAAAAAAGCCAAGAAAGCTGAGATGGCTCTATTAATATCAGGCAAAGATACCTTCAAGATAAGGATTATTTCCAAAATAAAAGAGAGACATTTCATAATGATACAAGGAAGAATTCACCTAAGAGAACTAATAATGTTAATTTGTGTACACCTAATAAGAGAGCTGTTAATTATACAATTAGCAATAAATGCAAAGAAAGACTCATCAATAATGACAGTTGGAGATGTTAAGATGTTACCACAATAGATGAAAGATGAAGATAGAAAACACACACACACACACACACACACACACACGATATGAAAATTTTCAACAGCACCATCAATGTCCTTGGCAACTTCGTACTTCGAGTCCAACCTCCCTTCACAATCTAATACAGAAACAAACAACCCATGATTTTTCTGCATTTCGTGGTTAGGTTCCCTGTGGCTCAAGGCCTCTGGCGCAAATGATGTTGTCTTTTAGATTTTCATGCTAAGAAGATACTCATGTTCGTATGTGTGTGCTTTTTCCTCTATAGCATCCTTAATGTTGGCCTCCAGATGAGAGTCTCTGACAATGGGGCTTTAACATCAAACAGCCAAAGTCTCTCAGCGAGTTAACCTCTTTGGCCTTAAATTTCTCACATAATGACATACAACAGTCCGCTCTTCTTCAAGTGGCCTTTGAGGAGTCTAGGGACACTTGTGAATTCACTTCCACAACTCAGCTGCATTGCGAATTCAATTATTGTGCTGGGAGATGTTGTACCATTATTTTTTTTTAAAGGTGCATATTCTAAAGGTTAATCTTGAGGCTATCACATTAAGGGTTAACATTTTATCGGGGGCATTATAGAGTGCATTTTTGATGGCTGTGATTTCAGATAACAAGCTTGTTGTTTCTATTTTTCAGCTCTAGCTTGGCCTCTAATCTGTAGGGAAGGCTGGTTCCTAAATGCAGGAAATGAGGCTCAATAGAACATGAAAAGCCAGTGTTAATACACCATTCAATCTCAAGAAAGAGTGGGAGGAAGAATGACAGAGCTGTTTTTTGACAGATGAGTGGTTAGGCATCCCCCTAGCTCTCCAAGTCACCACTAGGATGAACTTTCAGGATGCAGTGTCCTGTGGAATTTGGCTCTGAAACATAACTTCTTCATAAGGCAGATATTGTAACGCAGTTCTGGATTTTGTACCTACAGACAGCTCTGTGTTATGGTAACTGTTTTCTGTTGGCACAACAAACAATTAGTTAGCTTCATGCTGTAGAATATTTCCAGATGCCCTGATACTCCAAACCATTGGTCATTGCAGCCTCCATATTCAGATGTAGCGGCTATAAACAGGTGATGCATGCATCCTGGCCAGGGACCATTTTGATTTTTCCACCTTTTTCTTTCCCAAATTCAGGGTTTGTCCACATTAGCACTATTAAAACTTTTGGGGCGCTTCCTGTGCGTTGTAAGATGTTTAGCAGCACTCCTGGCGTCTACCCACTCCAAGTCTTTAACACCTAACGCCCATCCTTAATTGTGACAACCAAAACTACCTGCAGGCATTGCCAAGTGGCTCCTGAGGGGGCAGCATTGTCTTCATTGAGCACCAGTATGGTAATCCTAGCCTAATCTATTGTGTTACCTTATTGTTCCTTAACATATATGGGGTAGAATCAGAATTACAGGAACGTGAATTTCTTTCAACAATTATTTCTTTACAATTATGTAATAAAATCATAAAAGGTAAAACTGTATCTTTTTAGAAGCCAAGAAGCAACAGTTTATGAAACAAAACCTCTTTTAGTATTTCATATTAATCAATAGATATTGTGGAAAGGCTAGTTCTTCTTTAAGGTAACAGTTGCTTAAGAGTTGAAGTGCAGCTTATGAGTTTTACAAGCCCTGATTTATGCACAGCTTGAGGCATTGTTGTTTTGCAACTATTGTTTTCCAGCAGCACTGCTATTTTATAAAAGCATGTATCAGCAATAGTATAGAATTGCATATATGCTTCAGAGTCAATGCAATCATTAAATAGCATGCAATCTGAGTAGAGTCTACCCAAAGCTGGAATTCAGAGCGCATATTTATGCACTTAGCAACATTGCCATAATTACACACACACACACACACACACACACACACACACACACACACACACACGCACGCACGTACTTAAAGCCTTAGCCATTTAAAAATAGAATTCAACAACTAAGGCTCGTACACATGGAACTCTTTTCATAGCAGGATTTCCAATGTGCAAATTTGATAAAATTACTCTTTTTAAAAAAAAAATTGCTGCAACGTTTTTCATTAACACCATAAACATTTACACATGATTCACCCCAAATTGCACCCTAGATGTATTTACCCTGACTTGGCAATTTCATACTTCATGTCTCTACTTCCCTTCATGCTTCAATACAGAAACAGACAACCGATGACTTTTCTGTATTTCTGTGGCTCAAGTCCTCTGGCCAACCTGATAAATGGCTTAGGCTATTCGATAACCTGCAGCAGATCCTCTGAGATCTTCTTTAGAAATTTCCTCCAAGATCCTAACTACATTCATTTGTAGAAATATTTGAGATGCAATGCATACCCTGTCTAGTATCCCCCCACCCCATAACAGAAATGTGAAGTAGGGTGATCTGTCATCTTTGTGCAGGTCATTGCCAGCTCTAGCACCAGAATCTCCTCACCTGGGGAATATCTCAGTCCCAGGCCAACTGGGACTTGGATACTCTAATTCTAGGTGTGGTTGAAGCATCGGTGGGTTCCTATAACACTGGCACAGGGAAAAACATTAACAGTGGGACAGAATAGAGAGTCCAGAAGCCAGAAGTGCATATGAATAGAGAAGCTGGTCCCAGCTGGGACCAGCTTTTTAACCTTGCCAAATCTTGCTATTGCATCTTTAGCTTTTCTTCTTTCCTTTTTATACCTTCTTCCTTCTACTTTCTGTTTAGTTTCTTCTGTTTTTCTCCACTAATTTCTTAAGTGGGATGATTCACTCATTACTTTTTGCCCTTGTGTTTGTTACTGATGTCAGTATTTATGGCTTTAAATTTTCTCTACTGCTAATTTTCCTGCCTCCTGTAAATTCTAAAACACAGTATTTCAGTATTTGTCTATTAAGTGTTAAGTGAGATTTGTGTGACGTTCTAATAAACAGTTAATTTTTAAGTGTTTTGTGTGTATTTTCTAATGATGAGATACAAAATTATGTAATTGTCTATCAAATCATCGGTTAACTGTTTATGGCATCTGTTTTTCCTATTTTTTGATCTATTAAAATTGAAAATAGGTTTCTTTGTATCTTCCATTAATGAATGAATTTATAAATTCTTCCTATAATACTACTGATTTGGGGTTTTTTAAAGAACGTATGTGGCATAAAATATATAACAAGTTATCTCCTTGAAGAATGAAATATTTTACTATGTAATATTCTTGCTATCTCTTAAAATGCTTTCTGTTTTACAATAGATATCCAATATTAGTAGAAATATGCTTGTTTCTTTTTTACTTTTGGGTTGGCTATTGCTGAGAATATATTTTTTATATTTTCACCTTTAGTAATTTCAGATATTATGGTTGTATCATTTCATATGACAGATATCTATAATTTCTTTTTTTCAATGTGACAGTTTCAGTCTAGTAATTGCATAACTTATGCTATTTATGAGTTTGAAGATATTTGATATAATTCAACGTATTTTAATCTTTCGGATTTCCTTTTTTATGCATTCCTTTTAATAAATGAGTTTGTTCTTTTTCTGTATTTTCTTCTTAATTTGCCATTTACTTGATTTCTACTTTTCAAGAAAAGCTTGCAGTTGTAAAACTCACATTTAAGTCATTAAAGTCTAAAATTAAGCAAGACCTTAGCTCCATTCTAGAAAATACCAATCACCTGTCTCCCTAGTTACAGGCTATTATTATGTATCATGAATATTTGTTATAAACTCTTTCAGTTTTTGTTTGATTGAATACCTTTGTTCCCTGCTCATTCCTGAAAGATAATTTTGCTTATTATGCAAATCCAGGTGGACCATTATTTCACATTTCACTGTCTTCTGGCTATACAGATGTCAGTTGGTTTTGAGTTAAACTTTATGCACAGGTTGTCTTTGGCAAGGGCTAAAATTTAAGATCTCCTGTTTATTTTTGGCATTCATCAGTTTCATGTCAATATTGATTTTTTTTTTGCTTTATCCATTCTTTCTATGGTTTCTGTGCCTTTGGATTCATATATTTAATCATTATTTGAAGATCTTAGGGATCACCTTTCAAATACTGACACTTCTCCATTCTTCCTGTTTTCTCAAATTTTGATTTGATATATGAGATTCTCATTTTTGCACCCATGTCTCCTAAATTGACTTTTATATTATTAGTTTCTGTCTTCTGTTTTTTGTAAGATTTTCCCAGACATATCTTTTTTTATTGTCTTTTCTTCTGTGTCTAATCTCTTTAGCTAATCCATTAATTTCTATTTATTTCAACAAATACAGTTTTTATTTATTTCATTTCTATGTGGTCATTTTTCAAATCTTCCTTGTCCTTTCCAGTAATTTCCTGTTTTTTGTTTATTGTTTCCTGTTTCAAACTTTATTTTTTAAATAGCTATTTTAATACCACAAGTTTTGTGTGCAGCACCTATAATACCTCAGTGTTCATGGGCTTAGTGATCTTTGACTGTGAACTCATGTTTGTTTGATCTTAATCTGTGGGAATTTTCTGGCCTATGCTGGCATTCTTTCCCCAGGCAGGTAGGTTCGCTTTCCTTCTGATAGAAGCTAGAGTGTAAGACTTGAGCCCTTTCAAGGGTCCAAATTCTCCACCTTACTGGAAGCCAAGCTTGGGTTTCTGGCCCCAGCCCCTTGTCTTACACATCTGGCTGCCCTTCCAGCTACCTGCTCCCTTTGTCTGAGGTCAGTGCTACTATGGGTGTGTTACATAAGGGCAGACTTCCCTTAGGTCCAGTTTTCCCTTTGCTCAGGACACCCAAATATTCTTTTGCTTACACTGTTGGAGGAGCTTTATGTGGGAAAGCTTAATTTTGGATATTTCTCTTACTTCCTTGTGCCCAGAAGTTCACTAGCAAGTGCATCTTATCAGGAGGTAATTGTTTTGTTCAGGGAAGGTCTCCCAGAGTGATGTGTTACCTGCTGATGATAGGAGTGGAAGCTTTTCCTTTGAGAAGGTTTCACCAATGGAAAAACAGGAAGGAATGAGGGAGGGAGGGAGGGAGGAAGGGGGGAAGAAAGAAAGGAAGAAAGGAAGGAAGAGAGAGAAGGAAGGAGTAAAAAAAGAAAGGGAGGAAGGGAGAGAGGGAAGGAGTGAAAAAAGAACAAAGGAAGAAAGGAAGGAAGGAAGTAAAGAAGGAGAGGAGGAAGAAGTACTGAGGAACATCTTACTCAATGGTGAGACCCAGTTCGTACATGTTCTTATCCTATGAGCTAATTTTTTCTCTTTTGTTTTTCTTAAGAGAATTGGCTGTCTCTTACTCTGTAATACAGATCTGTGAGAAAATAGCTTTTATAAAAAGAGATTTTGTAGTATTACACACTTGGCAGGAATATAGTTGTCTGTTGTAATAATGAATACTAATCTAGAATAGGAGGCTGAGAAGAAAAATATAATTAAAATGGTAATGGCTTTTTTTTTATGTGAATGAAACTCATCCAGTATTGGTTTTGAAAGATATCTAAGTTCTAGGAGCAGACTGTAGCAGAATCTCCTTTAATACTCTAAGGAAAGGACGCTTTTAGAAAGTAGGCATTGCCTCCTTATGTGAAAACTGCATTCCTTTCATGAGGGTTCCATTTTCTGGAACACAGGATGTAAGACAGGAGACATAAGAAGGGATCTTGTAGCAGTGCAGATGAATCAAGTCACTGCACTTTCTTATTTGATCTTATTTTAAAAAGATGCTTCCAGGGAAGCAGGACCTTGGAACCCACAAAGTCTGGAGCAAGTCATTGACCTCGCAAGGTATTCACGTCCTCACAGTAAAATGGAGAATAAAATTGCTAGTTTTTAAGGATACTCTTAGGAATAAATAACTTGTTATAGCACATATCAGACCATCAGTCATGCCAGCCTGTTTTCCTTTCTCTCTTACTCTCTCCCTCTGTTCATTTTCTCCATCTTCTCTCCAACTATTCCTCCCTCTCTACCACTGTTGCTCCCTCCCTCCCTCCCTCCCTTCCTTCCTTCCATTTTTTCCTTCCTTCCTTTCTACATCCCTCCTTCCCCTCTCTTTCTTTTCCTTTGCTTCCTTTTCTTTTTCTTCCTCTCTCTTTTTCCTACAAAACAGTATTTGTCAACTTTGGCACTCATGACATGTGGAGCTGATCACCCCGTCTTTGTTGTAGGAGGTGTCCTATGCATTGTAGGAGGTTTAGTTTAGCAGCATGCCTGGGCTCTGCCCAGTAGATGACAGTGGCACCACTACCACAAGTTATGAAAACCAAAAATATCTCCAGACATTGTCAAATATTGCCTCTGAGGCGAAACCACCCCTGGTTGTGAACCACCACTCAAAAATACACTTCATATCAATAAAAATCCTGCTTTATATATATATGTTTTTTGCTCAGTTCAGGGTTATTAAGATTGTAAGACACTAGTGTTTTTACAAGATTTCTAGGGATGTTCTTTGATTGAGTCTTAAAATCTTACTGTTGATGAAAAATTGAAATTATGTTGTTATTTTTATATTCCTTCATATAGCAGCATAAAACTTGGTATTTTATGGGAATGAGTATGCATCTTGTTCTGATTCTATGGTCTACTTTTATGTGTCTCAAAATGAGATTCAGATCAAAGAAAATTAAAACGAGAGCAAAAGTGAATATTAAGGTAAAGGTATAGCATTCTGATTATCTGCTGCTTGTCCATCTCAGGTATGCAATACTGACACTGTGCCACTAGTAGCTTCTTGACATTCTTAAGATGAAAATAGTTTAGTTTTTATCTAAATATATTAATAGAGAATATACAATATATATTTATTCATATATTAATACTGGAACAATAGAGTAAGGTTAAACACTCAAAATTTAGCTCAACCCTGAGATTATTATGAAGTACTTACAAAAATAAAAACTAAAAAGACATTAGTAGCGTACTTCCCAGCTTCATCTCTGCAGGAGGTGTTACCTTAGCTCAGGGCTTGGAGAATAGGACATGTGTTTACGTGATTGACTCTTGTTGGGATTGTTCTCAGAGCTCTCCTGACCTTGGTCCACACACTTGGGAGCACATGATTCCTAATACTGATAACCACAGTCTCATGAATTTTTCTCATTTTGCAGAGGAGGGAATTGAGGCACTAGATGGTAATATCTTTTTCATTTCACATAGTTGCTGGTGGCTAAGGGAAGCTGGTGCTCAGCTTGTCCCAGGCCATATCTAAGACATTTGTCTGGCCCCTTGCTTTCCTTCCTTTCATGCATACAGCAAGCATATCCAACTTTTCTATGCTGGTCTATTTCTAGAAGGTGTTATTTGACATGGCATCACCTCCTTTGTAGCCCTCTGACTATGAGAATGATAGAATGACCTCTCTTTTAAACCTATCTCCTTATCCGCCCCAACACATACCCCTTTGGGGTGGGGTCATAAGGGGGTATCCCTTCTCCACACTAACTTTACCGACTTCTCTCTTCATTGTCTCTCTGCAGCAGATAATGTAAGCAAGAAAAAGATTAAGTTAATTACATGCACCTCAAGTTTCAGTAGGAATATCCCACAATTCCTCTGTCTCTTAATTTAACTGTTATTTATTGAACACCTGCTGTGTTCTTGGGAAAATTCCAGGTGCTGGATGGAATTAGTTTATGATGATAGCTAAGACTTGCAGAGACATTAATGTGCTGTTCTTCTTCTTCTTCAGAAAGTATAGCCATGTACAAACTACTAAAGGGCGATATCAAATGTTGGGGAGATAAATATCAAAATACAGAGCTTCCATACCTGTAGTTTTGGTTAGTTTAATAGGCGTTAACATTTACTCATTTTCAGCTACCTACATTTATTGAGCAGTGCCTATACCACTCATTGTAATTTAATTGCATAATAAATTACACTGTATTTGCTGTTTATAGAAATTTAGAAATTTAGTTTAACGATATGTTTATAATTTTCTTACTACTATGGATAATACATTTAATGACTATAATTAAATTCTTGCAAAATTTTTGAATTGTTTTTAGTAATTTGCCAATGATTTTCCCAGGTATTAATTTAATATATTGAAATTTTGTCTTTATAGCATAGAGGTTTTTTATTTCATTCATTTATTTAACAGGCATTTATCATTCATCTGCTTTATGCAAGGAAAAAAATGGTCAAGACAAGGATGCCAAGTCTTTAACCTCAGGGAACTTACAGTTTATGTACAGGGACACATACTTATCAAATAAACAGAGAAAGGAATGTATATTCATATGAACTCGGCATCATATATTCTTCTTTATGTTATCATTAATAACATCCAAATGTCAACAACACATCTATTGTTACTTTGGTTAAAAAGCTACACAGACAGTAGTAGATATGGTACTTGGATGAAGAAAGCTGAAGTTTATTATTTTCTCTTTCTAGTTTTAATCCCTAAGGGTCATTGATAAAAGACTTACACAAACCCCCCTTTAGTAACCTAATAATGTATAATAATCCTGTTCTTAAAATGGTGATAGAGATTTGCTTGGTTTCTACTACATAACACCATAATACCATATTAAGACTTGAATCTCTTTATATCATGGAACAACTCAGGTAGTGTTACAAACTGCTGTTACTGAATAAATGCGGAGAAGAACAAGCTCTCCAGAGCAGTGCCATGCCTGTGTCTGATGTTTCCCAGGATAGAAAACTGCGCAGATGTTGATGGTTTGTTTCAGGTGCTTTGACAGCCTGATCATGGGCTCTAGCCGTGGACCATGAAAAATGGCTTCTGCAGGGGCTTAAGAAAGACAATGAAGAGCTTCGCATTTTCTCTTGGCATTTCCTGCTATTGTTTAAAAGGTCACATATGCAATTTAAAATGTTCCATGCATGGAGCATGACAAATGCCACGTAGAAAATGAAACTGCTTTCGTTGACATTTTTGGCCAATTTCCAAAGGGTACCATTTTCCGCCTTTTCCCTTTTGTGGATTTGCAAAATTTGGCTTGTGCAAAATGCGTGCCCCACGGTGCACTCTAGGTTGGGAAGTGCCACATGTTAGGTAGAAAATCGTGTGTAGATGAGAATGGCACATTCAGAATAAAAGTGAGAAATTAAATGACATCAAAAAAATAGAGAAAAATAGAGAAAAACTTGTAAATGAGTCCATCAGAACTATCAGAAGCTCAAAAAGAAAGAAAGGCTTAGAACTCATCAATAACAATGTCCAGTCTCATTCATATGTAAAGAAAGTGAAATCAACTTTATTTTAGTTAATTTTACTTTATTTTATTTTATTATCCTTTTACCTAGCTGAATGGCAAAACTCAGTTCAGTTATCTTTGGGCATGGAAAAATGAGCACTCTCACAGTTTGCTAGTTGGAGGAAGAATTGAAGTAGAGTTTTAGAAGACATTGGGTATTATACAACAAAATTTAGAAAGAGACCCACTTTACTCCTCTGGAAGCATTTTTGCTTCCAGGAATCTATCTTACAGATATATACACAAAGATATATGTACATAGGTGATCATTGCAACTGAAATTTTTCTCATCAGGAAGATGAGTGAATTATTTTAAGCACTTAGAATATTAAAACTATCTTTCCCTTGAAATTGAAGAGGCAGAGCAAAATGTGAGGACACAGAGTAATATTCACATAAACTCCTTAAACCTATGTATGCACGTATAGATACTTGTATATATACATAGATATGAATGCACAATAGTATCCATACACATATGTGTACATATGTGTGCATGTGGGTGAATGCTTATGTGTAGATTTGTATACAAATGTGTGTATGTTGCTGTATTAAAAAAAGTCAAAAAATAAACAAATTATTAACAATGTTTGCCTCTTAGAAGGTGACTATGGTACGGTGCCCTTAGAGAGAGGCTTTGATTGGCAGAGAAAATGAAAAACCATAACTGCACCTATATTTAAGATTTTAAAAAATTCTTTGTAGTGAGTTTGAGTAACTTTTAAAAGTACATTGACATTTCATTTATGCAGATCTTCTAGGTGTGTATAAAAAGCCATGAGAAAAAGATGATTTCATGTGATAGAGAAAACTAGCACAGGTTAGAATTTGGACTCAGCTGATGAGACAGTATCTGCCCAAACCAATTTAATCAAAGCTTTGTTGCATGAGCCGGGTGTGGTGAGTCACACCTGTGACTGCAGCGCTTTGGGAGACCGAGGAGTGAGGATCACTTGAGGCCAGGAGTTCAAGACCAGGCTGGGCAACATAATGAGATCCCTTCTCTACAAAAAGTTTAAAAAATCTAGCCAGGCGTGGTGACTCAGGCCTGTGGTCTCAGCTACTCAGAAGACTGAGGTGGGAGGGTTGCATGAGCCCATGAGTTTGAGGCTGCAGTGAGCTATGATCACACCACTACACTCCAGCCTGGGGGACAGAACAAGACCCCGTCCTTAAAAAAATTTGTTTTAAACACTTCATTGTGTGGAAGAAAGCTGTATATTTAAACAAATATAACCAAACCCGTAATACTGGGGAGAAAGATTGATGGATTGTTGAAAGGATTATACCCGTTAGGCCAATTTTGAGATGTAGGCAAGGAATCTCAGAAGTTCCAAAAAGTTCTGCTGTGGTTCAGTGTTACAGGGAAATCTACTCAAGGGAATAATATATGGCTTGCAATCATTTTGCTTTTTTGTTACATTTCCTATTATTCATTGCTTCATTGGGCTTGAGAGAAGCCCCACAGAGGAATAAGAAATACCCTACATCATTCACATCTTCTTGGCTTTTGAAAATTAAATTTTATATACTTAAAAGCAGCCATGACACATGAAAACATTTTCTTTCTTCCTCAAACCATCTTTACCTAGCCTCACCCAAACCAAACTTTAATTTTTACATTAATTTTTCTTTTCCAAAGCTATGCAGCTGACACTCATCTGCTCACTTGGCATAATTCATTTGGTATCCAGTAAGTTTAAGAAATTCTGTCTGGGCTTCATGCAATCATAACCTACATCCAAATAGCAACACTTATAATAACAGTAATAATAGTATTTTTTAGTGTTCACATGGATTTTCTCCCTTAATTTTCATGACATCTCAACAAAATAGACAAAATACATGGGCTTCTCCTCAGCCCTGAGCTTTGCCTATCGTTAACCCCTTGAAGAAAAATGGCGCTGAGCTATCAGTCAGTCATTCCCTGGCAGAAAGGGAACAGAATCAGTATAGATGGCTTTCTGAAGACATTGACTTGATTTCTGTCACCAACAATGGCATATTCAGGCTGTGCTCCATGCCAGGTGCCGTGTGGGCATGGAGTCCACCACACCAGGGGAATTCTCAGAAGCAGTATTGAAAACACATAGGAAAGCATTACTTAAGCCTGTATAAACATAAGCTCTGTCCAGACATGGAATACAGTGGGAGTTCTTCCTAGGATAATCCCAAAAACTAATACATCAGAAAGCTTACCTATAACATGAGAATTCAAGGCAAAGGCATTTTTGGTATGTAAGTAAAATATTAGGTTGAATCCATCTCTTAATGCGGATGTTGAAGAATTAATGTTATATCCATGAAGCCAGTGTTGACTGGAAGGACTCAAAAAAATCTGAAGAATATAAATTCCTTGACCTTCTTTATTGAAGACTTCAGCTCCATTACACGACCACCTCACAGTCCTCATTCGGTTGCCTTTTGCCTGTTTCTGACTTACTGAAGGACAATGGTGTGGAGCTACGATTTATCACCCAGAAAATGATTACTAAAGTCCGTATTCTACTCTGAATACTGAAAACTCTGAAGTAATGACCCTAACCTAAACCTCCTCTTCTTCTGGCTATCACTTCTTCCTTCCCACTTTGATCACTCTTCCATGAATCCTGGCAAACCTCCTAGTACTGAGTATCCTTCCAGCCACCAAACGTCTGACATAGATCGCTGGATCTGACTTTAATTCTCTCACTAAGACCCTCAATTTCCTCCTCTGCTTGTGGTGGGCTCACCCTGTTGTTTCTCAGCTAAGGGTGCATCCAGATATCAATTTCTTGTGTCCCATAGCACTGCTAGCATTAAGTGAATTACTGCATGGTTTGGTCTCATTAGTGTGTGGTTTCCAGAAACACTTGAGATCTTACTGTTGGCTTGTAATCTGTCTTAGTCCATTTTGTGCTGCTATAACAGAATACCTGAAACTGGGTTGTAAAACATATAAATTTATTTCTCCTAGTTCCAGAGGCTGGCAAGTCCAAGATCAAGGCACCATGATCTGGCAAGACCTTCTTGAACATCATCAAATGGCAGAAGGGCAAAGAGCTTAAGAGAGTGAACCCACTCCTGCAAGCCCTTTTTATAATTACACTCATCTGTTCATGAGGGCAGAGCCTTTGTTACCTAAACACCTGCCATTGTCCCCTCTCCTGCAACACTGTCTTACTAGGGTTTAATAATATTCATGTCAACGCATGAATTCGGGGAACACATTCACACCATAGGACAACCCATTTACACTCTCTCCTCATCGGGGTCAAAGGGCATCAATTTAAGGTTTTTTGACCTTTTTTGTTTTCATTATATCTCATTTTTATACTAACAGATTCATTTGTTCGTATAACTCTCCTGTCTTCCAGAATCTGGGACAGTTTTCCACCTCCCAAGTGGGATCTAGGAGTTAACCCCCACCATCAACCCAAGTACTCCTCCTGTGTCCAATGGCCAGTCAGCCTCAATCCTGTCTTCTCTTGAGTTATGACATATTTTTCTCCTTCCATTAATAGTGACCATTACTGTAATAGGAATTTATAGTTCTTTGTCCTCCAGTTCTCCAAAACTGGTTCTCTATCCTTTCAATTTTATGCTAACAAATCTCATTAAAGTATGACCAGTGATTTCTACATTGCCAAAACCCAGTGGTGTCTTTTTAGTGATGATCCTATATCAATTTGATGGGCACTTTATCACTTGCAGAATTCTTATTCCTTTTCATTTTATCACTATGTTCTGGTTTTATTCTACAATTGTGAGAAGCTCTTCTGTATTTTCTTCTCTTATTATTCTTAAATGTTGACTTTTCCTAGGATTTGTTCTTGACTTCATTCTGTATATTGTATGTCTAGGTAATTCATTGCATCTTCTTATCTTCAACTATCTGCCTCTATGTGGATGATTCTCAAGTCTTTATTTCCAGCTCAGGCCACTAGCTTCAGTTACAGTGTTTGTAATTTTAGCCCCTATTAGAAATCTCTAGTTGAGTGTCACATAGACACTCCAAACACAACACATTCAAATATTAAGAGATGCTCTTCCTCTAAAACCTATTCCTCTCTGCACCCTCCTGTTAGTTAAAGGTGCCCCATATACCAGTGTGTCCAAGATACAAACTCTGTTGGATTTTACTTCTCTTTTCTCAGCACTTATGTAAATGGATGTCTACTTCTCATTTCTGCCCTGCAGAACATTCCTAGCTATGTGCTGTCTTCCTGTGGCCCACTGTGACAGCTTCCTTATCTCAGTTTAGATTGTTATGCAGTCCATTACTCTTCTGCCTCCTACCTTCAAGCTACTATTGGAGTCATCTTCCTGATTCTCACATCTGATGGCTTTCAGTGGCTAAGTGATGCATTCCAATCTTTCTTAGTTCATTTTATGCTGCTACAACAAAACACCTGAAACTGGGTTATAAAAAATAGAAATGTATTTCTCATAGTTCTAGAGGCTGGGAAGTCCAGGATCAAGGCACCATCATCTGGCAAGACCATTTTGCACATCATCAAATGGCACAGGGGCAAAGAGCTCAAGAGAGTGAACCCACTCCTGCAAGCCGTTAAAAACGCATCATGGGCCGGGCGCGGTGGCTCACGCCTGTAATCCCAGCACTTTGGGAGGCTGAGGCAGGCGGATCATGAGGTCAGGAGATCAAGACCATCCTGGCTAACACGGTGAAACCCCGTCTCTACTAAAAATACAAAAAATTAGCCGGGCGAGGTGGCGGGCACCTGTAGTCCCAGCTACTCGGGAGGCTGAGGCAGGAGAATGGCGTGAACCCCAGGGGGCGGAGCCTGCAGTGAGCCGAGATTGCGCCACCGCACTCCAGCCTGGGCGACAGCGAGACTCCGTCTCAAAAAAAAAAAAAAAAAAAAAGAAAAAAACGCATCATGGCAAAATCTCTTTTTTTACCACCTGGGAAAACCTAAGACCCTTGGGACAGCACAGAAGACTCCTTAATCTGCCCATGTGTCCCTTTCCAGTGTTAGCTTCTTTTACTTTTTCTTGTACACCTCGTGCCCTTGCCCCTTGGAACAAACAGCTCACAGTTCCCTCAGCACACCCACCCTTCTACCTGCCCGGGAGCTGCCTTCCGATAAGTTGTATCTCGATGACTTCCTCCCCACTCTCCATCTGGGAAGATCCCAGTCATTCATTTGTTAAGGCCCAGTGAAAAAGATTTTATTTATTTTCCTTCATATAATATTTTTATGTATACATATATATGCATATGTATGCTATCTATCTATTAGATACATCTTGTTTTGGCTTATTTTTATTTTTTATGTTTTGAGACAGAGTCTCAGTCTGTCACCCAGGCTGGATTGCAGTGGCATGATCACAGCTCACTGCAACCTCGACCTCCTGGGCTCAAGCAATCCTCCCACCTCAGCCTCCCGAGTATCTGGGACTACAGGTGCATACCACCATGCCCAGCTAATTTTTGTATTTTTTTTTTTGTGGAGACACAGTCCCACTATATTGCCCAGGCTGTTTTTGAATTCCTGGGCTCAAGCAATCCACCTGCGTCAGCCTTCTATAGTGCTGGGATTGCATGCCTGTGCCCCTGTGTCTGACGTTATCCTTGTTATTTTAATGCCTACCTCATTTGTCTTTTTCAAATAATAATCAACAAATGATTTCTGGATTGATAAATGCATGAATGAAATGATAGTTTGCCAAAATACAGAATATTAAAACCATAGGGTAACCTTGAGACAATTTAGGTAAAAAATAGGGGATTATTTTATATTAGAAGATTATTCAATGTATTATTAAAATGTTTGTTTATTGCATGTGTTTTAAGTGTTGAGAATTTAACAGAGAACGAGACATGAATGGTCTAAGTGTTTATGCATCATAATAAAGTTGAAGAAATGTAGGGTTCCCATGGTGTTTCTTTTCAAACTTTGATAATAACACTTCTTTATTGATCGCAACTGTACATTGGCAGCACCGCCTCCAGACTGGAAAATAAGATCGATTTCTCCTTTGTGTTTCTTTTATAACCTTGCAATTTTATTCCTCTTGGGCTTACTGTTATGAGTTTGGTTTCTAGTTTCTAGAGCATGAGTTCTAAGAAGTGGAAATCAAGATGGAAGGAAGTTACTATAGTGAGAGGGTGTCATGCCCTGCAGGCTAGGTATCTTAGAGTCTGACTGCAACTCCCTTGACACAGGCAGTTCTTTTTCTTGCCTGCAGCCCTTTCCAAACAAATATCACCAGCCTCATATTCCCCTCCCCTTTATAGATGGAGCCCCTTTGTCAAGCAGGCCAGTTTACTGGGAAAAGGCCCTTCTCAGACATGCTTTCTCATCCTGATGCTTTGCCTTTACCAGGAGTGAGGCCAGAACCTTCAGCATGCATTTATATCAAAAAAGAGAGATGTGCTGTTTTCATTTAAATTCCGCATTTCCACTGGGCATAGTGGCTCATGCCTGTAATCCCAGCACTTTGGGAGGCTAGGGCAGGAAAATCGCTTGAGACCAGGAGATCATGACCAGCCCAGGCAACATAATGAGACCCCGTCTCTACAATTTTTTTTGAGAAAGGGTCTCAGTCTGTCACCCAGGCTGGATTGCAGTGGCATGTCCACAGCTCCCTGCAGCCTCAACCTCCTAGGCTCAAGCAATCCTCCCACCTCAGCCTCTGGAGTAGCTTGGACCACAGGTGTGCACCACCATGCCTGGATAATTTTTGTTTTTTGGTAGAGACAGGGTTTTGCCATGTTGGTCAGGTTGGTCTTGAACTCCTGACCTCAGGTGATCTGCCTGCCTTGGCCTCCCAAAGTGCTGGGATTACAGGTGCGAATCACTGCGCTCAGCCTCTATAATTTTTTTTTTTTAATTAGTGTGCTAGTAGTCTCAGCTACTTAGAAGGCTGAAGCAGAAGGATTGCCTGAGCCCAGGAGTTTGAGGATACAATGAGCCATGATCACATTCCACCCTGGGTGACATAGTGAGACGCTGTCTCTATTAAAAAAATAAATAAACAAATTATAAATTTTCACATAGTCGTAAACCTCTGAAGATGTGGATACTTCATTTGTCACATTTAGGTCTTTAATACACTAATACCTTCTCTTGGGAAACAGTGTTTCTCAGTCTCTCCCGTATTGATAATGTTTCCACTTTGCCCTTGAAGATTTTGTGGGTTATGGGGAAACAGTTTATGGGGTGTCTTTCAGCAGAACCACAACCCTTTTTAGGAAGAAGCTAATTATGGTGTGAAAGGGACAGGTGCTCTTATTAGGTAGTGATAGTAAGAGTTAAAACCCAGTTCTCTTGAGCTGTTACTTGGATTCTTCAACTGAGGGTGATTTTGCATCTTTGGCACTAGATGTCATTCAACTGACAGTCATGGACTCCCAGGGGACCCCCAAACTCTATGTCACCTTTATGAGTAGGCGAGAATGGATTTTTCTTGGAGAGGAGTGTCTCCTCAAAGAAGTCTGTGACCTAGAAGAAAAGATGAAAAATCTCTGCTTTGGATTCGGAATGTCAGGACTGTTCACTTGGAACTTAAGGAGAGTTTCTTCCTAGTATATACGAGACTGAACCTTATGGGGTTGCCATTTTCTTAGACCCAAAGCTTTCAAATACAGTCATTTTCATATGACTTCTACTTAGACAATAAGATCATCATGTATTCCTTTTTTCCTCTTTCAGCATCTGGCATTTTTCTCCTCTTGGGCTTGTTGTTCTGGTTTTTTTTTTTTTTCTGGTTTCTAGACCATAAGCATTCATGCATTCACATTATGTTGCCTCCTAAGTTGTAAGCTCTCCAAAGAGAGGGAATATAGCTGCTTTATGTCTTCACCCAACTTTGAGTAGAGATGATGGCAGGAAACAGAGAGCATTTTCACAGAGAAGATGGAGTCCATTTGAGTCAGGGGATCTTGTTTGAAATCTTACCTGTGTGATCTGGGGTGAATTAATACAGCTGTCTGGAAAATTTAGAACAGAGACCTCAGAGGATTGCAGTAAGGAGTCCTAGAAGTTAGGATCTCCTCAGTAAATATAAATACTTATTCTCTTGGGTAATGAAGCTGACCCACAGGATGATGCCAATTATTTCCTTGGTATTATAAGCACATAAACAATAGTTCACATTTATTGAGTGCTTACTATGTGTAAGATACAATTATGTGCTTTGGGATATGGGTTCACACATGAAACAAGTGTTTATTTAGTGCCTACTCTGTGCCCAACACTGGAGATGCAGCTGTCATGAGCACTAACACCATCCCAATATCATGGTGCTCATGTACCCATGTGGGAAAAAGTAAAGACAGGCTCAAGCATATAAAATAGGGAAGGTGGTCTTAGGATAATTCAAGCTGGATTGGGATCAGTAGTGATTGAAGGGCTAGATTAAATGAGGAGTTTAGGACATGCATCTCTGCAAGATGGCATTTGAGCAAGAAACATAGGCAAGACTTATCTACTTTAATTTTCACAGTAGGGTCATGAGATTACACTGTTTATTAACTCTGTTACAGAGATGTGGAAACTGAGATTAGGATGATTGAATAACAGCCAGATTAGTAATAGGGCTGGTAGTCTTTAATGCAAGTCTCATGGGCTATGCTGCACACAGTCTTAACAACTTGCCACCTTCCGTGGTATAAGAGAGGAACCAACCCAATTCCCGTTGCCTGCCTTCCCTGCTATATTAGTCTATTCTTACACTGCTATAAAAAATACCTGAGACTGGGTAATTTATAAAGGAAGAGGTTTAATTGACTCACAGTTCCGCATAGCTGGGAAGGCCTCAGGAAATTTACAATCATGGCAAAAGGTGAAAGGGAAGGAAAGCACCTTCTTCACAGGGCAGCAGGAAGGAGAGAAGTGCTGAGCAAGGAGGAAGAACCCCATATAAAACCATCAGATCTCATGAGAACTCACTCGCTATCATGAGAACATCGTGGGGGAACTGTCCTCATGATCTAATCACCCCCCATGAGGTCCCTCCCCCAACACGTGGGGATTACAATTTGGATTACAATTCAAGATGAGATTTGGGTGGAGACACAGAGCCAGACCATATCACTTGCCATCTAATTACCTTGATCAACTACCCTGCAACCATTCCTTAGTGAGTAATAGGGCCACACTCAGGAATGGTTTTAATAGAATTTAAAAGTTATCAGTATTGTAGTTTAATTGTAATTTTAAAAATGGTGAACCTCACATCAGTGGCTAGGATCAGCACATGATATGCTGCATCTTGGGGTCAATAATTGCCGCAAGCACATTATTAGAGTTGCTGTTAATAGTCATGGAAACCACCCTGTACCTTCTTCCCCCAGTGCAACCAACCTGGCAGTGATTGACCTACTCGGTAGCGAGTTGCTAGACATCAGGAGAAGTCAGAAGTAAGTGGAAGAAGGCCAGGTGTCTAGAAGACCCCCCCACTACCCATAGCAGTAGCAACACATATGCATAGGAATAGGTTAAATGAGTCTTCACTCATTGATCCATTCATTCATCTTTCATCCATGAATTAACTATTCATGACCCATTGTTGTTGACTCTGAAGATACGATAGCAAACAGGATGCACAAATTGTCCTGCTGTTACTTTAGTTATGGGGACAGAAGATAAAGCAGTGATCAAATGCATGAAGGACAGAATTGCTGATGGTGATCATAGCTTTGAGGGAAATGAAGCAACGATAACATCTAATGTGGGTTATGAGGATCTTTGAGATGGAGTGGCCAGGGCATGTCTTTATGAGGGTGAGGAATTTAAGCATCCCAGACACAAGTTCTGACTCAAACATCAGCCTTTTAATTATGTGAAAGGGTCTCGCAAAATTTAATAAACTTAGTGGTAGGAGTTCAGGTAACACTACAAGAAACCAAGCTTTCTTTGTGAATGGTGAGGTTAGAAGGGGTTTGTTGCTGAAAATCCCATTTGCAGGTTCTAAGGCTGGGGATGAAGTAGAAGGAACAATCTCTTGTCATTTGCCAATCAAAGAACAATCCCTGTATCTGGCAAAAGAGACATACCTTTCTATGAATCCTGGTTTTGGTCATAAGCCAAACTTCTATATTAGTTTTCCCTTTTTGGTTGAGTTAGTGAACAATTGGATGATTAGCTAAATGTTGCTGAAATAGGAGGAAGGCAGATTAAAAATACAGAAAGTAACTCTTATTTAATGATTTGAAAAAATGAGGTTAATCCGACAAAATTTTAAGGAAAAGTGAGATAATTTTGGTGTATAAAACTATGAAATTTTAGGCTGGGCATGGTGGCTGACACCTGTAGTCATAGCACTTTGGGAAGCTGAGGCAGGAGGATTGCTTGACCCCAGGAGTTCGAGACCAGCCTGGGCAACATAGTGAAACCCCGTCTCTACAAAAATTACAGAAATTAGCTAGGCATCCTGGTGTGTGCCTATGGTCCCAGCTATGAGGGAGGCTGAGGCAAGGAGAATTGCTTGAACCTGAGAGTTCAAGGCCTCGGTGCACTCTGTCCTGGCTTGTAGAGTGAGACCCTGTCACACACACACACACACCACACACACACACAGACACACACACACACACACACACACAAAATAAAATTTTGGAATGTAATAACATTGATGCTGAAGTGAATTGTGGAAAAATATCATATAAAATATATTTTAATCACATAGTATAAATTTCTCTCTGTGCATTAGTTACCAAAATTTGAACATAAACATTTTCAAATACACACTTGTGCAAATGTCAGGGATAGCAGGTGGTATATCACTTTTTATATTTAAAATGCATGTAGGAATGAAAGGAAAAAGGTAAAAATATGTTAAGTGTAGAATTCTAATGAAAGAACATATTGGAACTATGAAAACATTATGGAGGACTTTGTTCATTTATGGTCTGAGCACAGATGATGCTAAACATGGTCCTTCAACTTTAGCTGGCAGCCATTTGAAATGAACACACTAAACACCATGAGAAGCAACTGCATGAAAAGCAAAGAGAGTTATCCAAGTGAACTTCATATCTCATCATTTGCCTGTGTTTATGTAATAGTAAAGACCCAAGGAATTGGTCTAATTAATTGGTATTTTATTTTAGTGATGAAATAATGAGTGCGGTTGAGCATGCCAGATGTATTCATCTGATACATTCTTCCAGTCACATGGTAGGCTGCATTAGGTGATAATGCTTCACCCTGCATTCATTTATAAGTTAGTGAAGGGAAGTCCACAACTCTGGTCTCAGAGCATTTATCCCATTGTTGATCAGCTAAGCTGTTGCTCTTACTTAGCTGCTAAGGAATGAAGCTAATTGGACCATTCCAGCATGTAAAATATGTAAAATATGTCCTTTCATGGAACTCTGAAACAAACAATGAGAACAACCAGAAAAATTGCCAGAGTCATACAAAAGCTGTCTATTTCTAAATGATCATTCCTCAAGCTCTTGTCATCTACTGGGAGCCCCTAGATGGATGTATAGTTGTTGCTGTTGTGGCTGATTTTGATAGGACTAACATAGGACCAGTGTATGGAGCTGTTTATTAAGATGCTTTTGTTGCTGAGTATTTACATTTTGGGTGTTCTCGGATAACATACGTTAATTCCTACTGCAGTATTTAATAAAGTGTAACTAGTGCCTGTCTCACCTGTCTGAAGACATTCAAATATGGAGCGTTTGTTTCTTTCTCTAGTGCAGATACTAAATATCATATTGTAATTAGAGCTATACAGAGATTTAGCATATAGGACTGGCAAGTCTTGGAGGCCAATTTTTATGATGTGGGAAGAGGGGGGCGTGATTTAGAGTGGACAAATAAAGTGTGGGAAAATTTTGTGTTTCTGGCTTGAGTGACCAGCTCTTACCTCTCCTCCCCATATTCTCTTCCTTGCCTCAGTGCAAATTCACACTGTCTTCATTTTGTATGATCACCCTCTGTCTTAGTCCATTTAGTTTTGCAATTAAGGAATCTCTGAGACTGGGTGACATATAGAGGAAAGAGATTTATTTGGCTATGATTCTGCAGGCTGTACATGAATCACGGCATCAGGATCTGCTTCTGGTGAGGGTGTCAGGAAGCTTCCACTCATGGTGGAAGGTGAAGAAGAGCTGGTGTATGCAAAGATCACGTGGCAAGAGAAGAAGCAAGAGAATGGGGGGAAGGAGGTGCTAGGCTCTTTTAAACAGTCAGCTCTTGGGGGAATGAACAGAGCAAGAATTCAGTCATTACTGCAAGGCTGGCACCAAGCTGCTCATGAGGGATCCACCTCCATGACTCAAACACCTCCCACTAGGCTTCATCTCCAACATTGGGAATCAAATGTCAGCTTGATACTTGGAGAGGACAAACATCCAAACTATAGCACTCTGTCTCCTTAGGTGCACCTTTCTTCTTCAGTGACTAATCTAGAGTTCTCTTTGGAAAATGCAAATGTAGTTATGTTTCTTTTTTGCTTTTATGCCTTACTGGTTCCCTGTTCTTTATAGCATCAGGTTGCATCTTCATCAACTGGGGAACCAGTTGATGAAGAGAAGATCAGCATCCTGAAGTATCTTGTAACTTCTTGAAGTATCTTGAAGTATCTTCAAGATTCAGAATGCATGTTACCTTCTCTGCAAAGTGCTCTTTGCACCTTGTCCAGTGTAGCTGTGTTAACTCCAGTGCACCTTCCTGATGATCTTCCTAAGGCTCTTACCTTCTTGTCATTAGTCGTTTCTGTGACCATCTTGCCTATAGGAATGTGGGCTACTGTGGGCAAGTACAATGCCTGGCATGCAGCAGGCTTTCCAGAAATGCTTGTTTGGCTTCTAGAGTTCTCTTTGCTGTTACCACATCCATCCCTTTATCATCCTTTTTTCCCTAGTCATCTTTCCTCTGTACCTTTGCCGTTGGTTCTTTCTCCATGAATCAATATAAATAATACAAGCTTTGTGCATAGCAGACCTTCACTCTTGTCTCATGATTTCATTTCTTTCTTCGGCATACTGAAAGGCAAGTACCTTTCTCTCTCTGACTCTCAATTTACTCATCTGTATAATTTTGATGGTTCTTTCAATTGTCTGCTATTGCTGATGATGGCACGAACTCAGATATGCAAAGTATCAGACTTTCACTCTTGTCTCATGATTTCATTGCTTTCTTCTGCATACTTAAAGGCCATTACCTTCCTCTCTATGACTCTCAAGTTCCTCATCTGTATAATTTTGATAGTTGTTTCTACTGCCTGCCATTGCTACGACAATGGCACAAACTCAGATATGCAAAGTACCTCTGGGTTAAATGTGAACAAAACCTTCAACCTGCTGCAAGATAATCTGACCTCTGCTTGACTGTCTAGCTCTGTTTTCCTGGCAGTTGGATGAAGAACATGGCAACAATATTCTTGGCCACATTGCTTACAATACAAACGATCCCCTATTTGTAAATAGCATCATGACCAGGAGAAACCATAAAGACCTGAAAGAACCTAGTGGTAATACCACCCCACCTCAGGCTTCCCGGAGGGCAAGTTTTGGAGTCACTTTGCAGCTGCTCTGTTCACTCTAGGAACCATGGAAACTCTGCTCATGGAGTATTTACAGGGAATATTGGCTGCTGTGAAGGCTGGGACTTCAATGCCAAGGAATACCCAATTCCCGTGGATATGGACCTTGTAGGGATCTTTGCATCTCAGCTGTCCTTTGTGGAGCAGATGGTTCCCATATGCCTGCTGCAGCCTTCCTGATGAGCTGAGCTTCTTGTCTGTATTGTTTTGAGTCGGTTGGCACCATGGTAACTTTGGGGGGGTCTTGTGATTCTGCATGTTTAATGGAACCTGAGAAGACCCTTACTGGGCATTAAAGAACAAAGACAAATGTCCCTGTGACAGAATACTGGCTCAACAATTGGTTTTCTCTCTGATGCCTCTTCCCTGCTTGGAAAGCCCTTTTCTTTTATCCTTCATAATCACTTCTTACATCTGGCACAGCCTTCAGCTTTGCATTATTCCTTCATTATCTTTTCTCATCCCACATTAAAAAAAATTCTTTAAATTGTGGCCAAATGAACATGACATAAAATGTACCATTTTCACATGTGCAGTTCAAGAGTATTAAGTACATTCACATTGTTGTGCAAACATGCTTTTTTTCACTCTGTGCCCTCATTTTGCTCTTTCCTGGTTTCCAATGCAGTATCTTATATATGATCTAATAAATGTGTCCTGGGCATCTCAGTCTTGTATATTTTGGTCCTCTGTTATATCAGGTACACCTTAAGGATAGACATTGTGCCCTACTAATCTTCCTCCTTCATCACATGAAATATTGTGCTTGCATAGTACATTTTCTTCACTCCCCTCCCTGTTATTTTTTATGTATATCATGACACTTATTTGCCAAGGATGGCTTTGGCCCTCTATGCAAAATGTCACCAATGGGAACAATGCTAAAGTCTGCATAAATCTTAAGTTTAATTCTAATTTTAAATATTTGAATATAGTGCTAGTGTTGTCATTCTATAGGATTCATTAATTCATCCCATCAACAAACACTTATTGAGTTCCAAATTTGTTCAAAACATGGCCGTATGTGCTGCTGTAGAAAAAATGTAAAAAGTCAGTTTCTAGTGTAAGGGAAATAAAATATGGATATCATTAAGTCCTGGAGAAGGCAGGGGGTGACTGATTTCAGGCTTGTACCATAGGGATTCCCAGGAGGAATAAGTAGGTTGCAGCATTTAAGAAGGGATCATGAAAGACATGCCACTTTAACTAGTTCCAAATGGAATTTTGGAAGCAGAGCCATTGGATGTTATAGCTGAAGTAATATTTTAAGCAAGGTGTCAGAACAGGATTGAGGCATAATTTCAGAAGAACATGAAGTCCTTGTTTACTAATGCAGAATATGTTTTATGATAGGCTGGAAAGTGAATCTGTGACTAGATTTGGGAGTGATTCAGTGTACAATGAATATGGCAGTAAAGAGCTTGGACTTAATTCGGGCTGCTGGTCTGGTCAGCCCTTGTGTTTGGAGAGATGAGTAACATTTGCAAAGGTGGAGAGAAGGAATTGGAGATTCTAGTTAGGTGCTTTGGGCATATGTTCAGTGAGGGATGAGGCATTAATGTTCATCAAGGCAGCATTCACAAGGGCTATGGCGGCACTGAATGGGAGAGCAGACAGACACAGGTGTCATCCCAGAGGTGGACTCCGTATGGCACAGCGGCAAGGGAGTGTGAAGGGTTATGACAGATGCTGAGTAGGTGCTAGCAACATATTTTTTAAAATAGTGGCAAAATGTATGTAAGATCTATAATTTTTGCATGTACAGTTTAGGGATATTAACAATATTCACACTGTTGTGCAAACATGCTTTTTTCACTCTGTCCTCATTTTACTCTTTCCTCATTTACAGTGCAGTATCTTATATATGATCTAATAACTGTCCCCTAAGCATCTCAGTCTTGTATATTTTGGCCCACTGTTCTATCACGTACACTTTGAGGGGGCATTTTCAGATAATTCCAGGTAAAACGTAAACCTCACGATGGCAGCTAAGAAAACAGGGGCGTTCTCTGCATTGGTTAGTTGCAGGGCTATTAGTCAAAATTCCAAATCTCATATGCAGAAGGCCAGGATCTGCAGTCTTAAGTAGTTCAGTTTGTTTCACGGAGGTAAATAAAAGAAAAAAGGCATGCTGAAGATACATATCCCTGGCCTCTAGATAATCAGACAGTAAGATCTCTCCCACACACCAGAGAAATCTATTTCCAGCTTTCTGTTGCAGTCCATGAAAATGACAGAAAATACATGCCCTGCTTGGACCACAGCCTAGCTCATGGGAAAAAAAAGGAAAATAAAAAAGAACCCGAGCTTGCTGTGGATGGTTCCTATGGAGTGTTTTTGGCACTGTCAGAGTGCACACTCTGACAGGCTGGGCATGGTGGCTGACACCTGTAGTCGTAGCACTCCATGGCACTGAATTTACGGTGGAAGGATCACATTGGCAAGTCAAATCCTTGGGCTACAGGAAAGACTCCCATGTGCTGCTTTTATGCTCCCCAGCAGCCAGGCTGTCGTTCACAAAGCACTCTCCAAGCATCTTCATTTAATGTTGTTGGGCACAAGGCCCTGGTGACCCCGTTAAAATTTAAATCTTGCTCATACAAAGTGAGGGCAGGTTTTCAGTTGACATTTGGAGGTTTCTCCAGCCATGTTAGAAACAAAATGCATTTAAGTGATGAGCCCTTGATACATAAGAAGGTGTAGAGCCAGCTGGATTTCTCCGGGACCATGAGGGGATCCATCTGATTAGGGCTTCTGAAGCCGAAGGAAACTACAGAGAGATGTAACTTGGCTGACTCTCAGTTCATTATTTTCTCTTGGTAAGAGCACTTCTCATATTGGACAATCTTTTCTTCACTGATTTAGATATTATTTTAGATGCACCTTTTCTTTTTGTTATGGAAGCTTTATTTTAAAATAAAGTTAACCTAAAATGGGCGTATTACTCTCCCCCCGCCCCACCGCTAATGATTTAGAACATGAAAATAATCCACAAGACCATGGGTGCTGTCTTCAGCTACAATTACTACTTTCTTAATTGTCATGGAAACATGATTTATTATTGGATGGTTTTTTACTGTCTTATGCAAAGATTTCATATGAGCCGCAATACACACTGTTTCATATGGGTAAGTCTCAATATTATCTGACAAAGAGAGCTTCTCTGCCCAAGTTTATGAAAAGTACATTTTTTTTTAAGTCACTGTCTTGCCCAGGCTGCAGTGCAGTGGTACCATCATAGCTCACTGCAGCCTCAACCTCCTGGGCTCAAGCAGTCCGCTCACCTCAGCTTCCTTAGTAGCTAGGTGTTTTGGTTTGGCTTTTTATCCCCACTTGAATATCATCTTGAATTGTAATCCCCAGATGTTGAGGGAGGAATCTGGCGGGAGATGATTGGATCATGGGGGTGGTCTCCCTTATTCTGTTCTAATGATAGTGAGTGAGTTCTCACGAGATCTGATGGTTTTAAAAGTGTCTGGCAGGTTCCTCCTTCGCACATTCTTCTCTCTCTTCCCACCATGTGAAAAAGGTCCTTGCTTCCATCCCGCCACCTTCTGCCATGCTTGTAAGTTTCCTGAGGCCCCCCATGCCATGCGGAGGTCAATTAAACCTCTTTCCTTCTTAAATTACCCAGTCTCGGGTATTTATTTATAGAAGTGTGAAAACAAACTAGGACACTAGGACTACAGGCACATGCCATCACGGCCAGCTAGTTTATGTTTATTTTTTAATTTTTGTAGAGATGGGGTCTCACTATGTTGCTCAGGCTAGTCTCAAACTTTTGGCCTTGAGCAGTCTTTCCACCTAGACCTCCCAAAGTGTTGGGATTACAGGCATGATCCACTGCACCTGGCTGAAAAGTTTCTATTGAATGGAAAGAACAATGCTGTGAAAATATATTTTATTAATGTTCAGGAAATTGTGGAACTTGAAAAACTCTAGCTTTTTAGCAGTTTTAATGGCTACTATGTGCTTCTAAAATTTGTACCTGCTTTTTTGAAGTGTTATATGCATTTTTGTTTGTTGATGGTGGTGATGTTTTTGCCGTTGATCTCACCTGCTAACGTGGAAACATTTCAAGAAGTGGAAAAATGTCTTATTTTAGTACATACTATGGTGTCAGCTACATTAAAAAAAAAAGCCTTAAAGAATGTAGCTTGAATTGAGGGTTGCTATGACTTTTTGTTGTAGTAGATTTATGAATTGTGTATCATCATTTTCCTTCAGTGGAAAATTCAGTAACTAGTATGTTACTGGTTCCTGGATTCCAAGGGAGGAGAACATGAAACATTGCAATGGAATTAAACTCCAATGAGCTTGACCCAGCTACGATGTTGAAGTGAGGGAATACATAAAGACTTGGGTGTATGTGTGTGATCTGTTGGTATTAAAGTGCCAGGATTACAACATTCTATGAAAATGGCTAATCATATTCAATATTTATTTGAGACGCTTAAGATGCATGGTTTGGGTGGAACTAGGGTTAGGGGGCTGCTGTTTTGAACAGCCAAACTAGAATTCTGCTCAATTATCTCACACAGGCACACTTCTGAGGCATTTTTTACATGATGCCTCAAGAAAGCTTTGCTCCATTTTGTATTTCAGCATGAATACAAATTTTTGAAATTTCCACAGTAAAGTGTTTAGACTTACCAAAAGGTAGGCCTTGTTATAATAACACCAGTAGGACCGATGTAGTCATTTCTAAAATGATTCAAGCACTTTATGTTTCTGGATGAGCTATTAGATCTTACCTTATGTGTCTGGATAAGCTATTAGATCATTACATATTTTAAAGTGAATTTTTGAAATTGTTGGTTCATTGTTTAAATTTTCAATTTTGTTTCTGTTGCATTAATCTCTGAGATTTGAAAATGAGAAAAGAAAAAAGATGGATACACATTAATGCTTTTATACCTTCCTTTGTAACAGCAATTGATTGTGCACTTGCTTTTGGCTGTAGTTAGTCCTTTTCTTAAATTAGTTTCTGGTATGGATGTCTACTTTTATTTAATTTTTTTTTTTTTTTGAGACGGAGTCTTGCTCTGTCACCCTGGCTAGAGTGCAGTGGCGCGATCTCGGCTCACTGCAAGCTCCACCCCCGAGGTTCAAGCAATTCTCCTGCCTCAGCCAGCTGAGTAGCTGGGACTACAGGCACCTGCCACCACGCCAGGCTAACTTTTGTATTTTTAGTAAAGACGGGGTTTCACTGTGTTAGCCAGGATGGTCTCAATCTCCTGACCTCTTGATCCACCCGCCTCAGTCTCCCAAAGTGCTGGGATTACAGGCGTGAGCCACCGTACCCGGCCCCACTTTTATTTAATTTTTATTCAATTTTACATTTTATATGCCTTGTTACTTCATTTCTTAGCACCAGAACTACAAGTTTAATTCTTCAGACATCTTCTCTAGCACCTCATAAGGTATTCTTTGTTACTTGGTGATAGAGAACTATGTAATTTGATTTTCTTCTTTTGCAATGGAGTGTTCAAATACGTCGTTGCTTTTAGGTGAGGGATGTGATTAATTAGAAAAATGAGTGGATCTTAGCTCAATGAAATTTAATCAGCAGAATGGAATTTTCCATTCAGAGCAAATGAGTTCCTAGGACTGGACACACCTAGATCTGCTGACCCAAAACCCTTTATAGATTTCATTTCTGAATGAGCTATTAGATCATTGTATATTTTCAGGTGAATTTTTACAATTGTTGATTCATCGTTTAATTTTTAGTTTTATTTTCTGTTGCATTAATCTCTGAGATTTGACATATAGAAGAAACTCTCATGCCAGCCCCAAACGCTTTCCCTATCTCCTCCTCCCATGCCTTCCTGGAGTGGAGGGAACGTCAGGCATAAGCAGAGCCCAGGAGACACTCATAGACATTCTGAGAAAGCTTTTCTCTGTAGAAGGGACCAACACATCTTGCACCCTCTCCCTCTCTTGCCCCCTGCCTGCATGTGGGTGCAGGTGCTTTTGTCAGGACCCCACTGCTTATCTCAGGTCAGGAGCTGGCAAACCTATGAACAAGATGGAAACCCAACTGCTGACCAGGGTGGTGTTCTGACAGGAGAGAAGACTTGAGCCCTTATAGACACTGTTGAATCACTAAGCTGTAAACAATTTTCTTTGGTCTTCTTGTCTGGTAAAATCAATTCTCTTTCATCCTTTTTAAAGACCTCAGTTTGGGCTTTAGAATCCATACTGGCAAATGCTTCCTCACTAATATTGTGAGATTTAATTAGAGATAGCATTTTATGTGCTCACCTAAAACTATACGGTAGACACAAAGGAGTCTGGGTCTCAGATCCCAACACGTGGATTATAGAGAAGGCAGAATGCTATAATGCCTTGAGGGTGAGCCATCCATTATTTGGGGATTTGAAAAAGGACAATTTCTGTTTTATGTTTCTGTCCTCCTAAATGGAGTTGAGAGACAGCTTCTTTTCTCCTTAGCATTTGGGCAAGAACAGAATCCAGTAAAACCACTGAGGAAGGTCATCATTGCAGCGTTTATTTAACATGAGTAATTCTAGCATGAGCTGGCATGCCATTTACATCCATCTGTTTTAAGTGTTTGCAAGCAGAATGGTAATAAGAAACTGGGGTAAGTGTTAAAAATAATTATATGGAATATAGATTGCCCCAGATGCACTATCTAATGCTGATGGGAAAGGAGAGAGCAGGGGGTACCTGGAACCTGGACTTCTCCTTGGAAACATGCCATGACCGGGTATGTTACTGGATTGCATAGGTGCAGAACATGGAACATTGCAGTGGAATTGAACTCCAATGAGCTCAGCCCAACTACGATATTGGAGTGAGGAATGCATGAAGACAAAACCTTTATTATAAGTCTGTGTGTGTGTGTGTGTGATCTGTTGGGATTAAAGTGCCAGGATTACAGCATTCTATGAAAATGGTAGTGGAGAAAAGGAAAGGTAGAGGAAAAGAGAAAAACCAAAGCAAGAGGAAAACCACTGGAAGAAAAGAAGATGGGAAGGAGAAAGGGCATCTCTGAAGAATGTAAGGAGTACAAGATCCCTTACAGGCAGTGAACACATAAGAAGGCATCATTCACCAGAAAGTCATACCAGTTTATGTATTAAAACTGGGAATGGCAATGATAGGCATTAGTTAGAGATTATGCTTTAAATTGTATGCATTTGCATATTTTTATATGTTTTATTTAATTTTGTTTTGGGGGGGGGACTGTATCTCACTCTGTTGCCCAGGCTGATGTGCAGTGGTACAATCCTAGTTTACTGCAACCTTGAACTCCTGGGCTTAAGTGACCCTCTCACCTCAGCCTCCCAAGTAGCTGGGACTACAGGCATGTGCTACTATGTCCAACTAATTTTGTTATTTTTTTGTAGAGACAGGGTCTCAATGTATTGCCCAGGCTGGTCTGGAACTCCTGGGCTCAAGTGATCCTCCTGCCTTGGCCTCCCAAAGTGCTGGGATTACAGGCGTGAGCCACTGTGACCAGCCCTTTTGCATATTTATTGTTTTTGTTTGTTTGTTTGTTTTTTGAGACAGAGTCTCACTCTGTCACCCAGGCTGGAGTGCAATGACGCGATCTTGGCTCACTGCAACCTCTGCCTGCTGCGTTCACGCGATTCTCCTGCCTCAGCCTCCCAAGTAGCTGGGATTACAGGTGCCCACCACCAAACCCGGCTAATTTTTTGTATTTTTAGTAGAGACAGGATTTCACTATGTTGGGCAGACTGGTCTCGAACTCCTGACCTCATGATCCGCCTGCCTCATCCTCCCAAAGGGCTGGGATTACAGGTGTGAGCCACTGTGACCAGCCCATTTGCACATTTAGTGTTTATTTTCTTAATCAGTATCGAAACTGTGAAAGGGAATGTTAAAACGGTGGAGCCAGGTGAAAAAGAAAATCCAAGAGTCAGAAGAGAGCATCCAAAGAAGAAGGCAGAGGCAATAACAAGTAGACTCTGAGACTGAAATTAAACTGTATGGCTAGAAGATGGGCTAGCATAGGACAAGATGAGGTAACATGCTAACATGGAAGATTGAGAAGAATTGCAAATGAGAAATCACGGATAAAACACTGACCGCCTAATAGGATAAAAGCAGAGGATGTTCATAAGCAGCTGTCATCACCAAGGAAGAGGAAAACATGGGAAAGGTTTTGCCCTCTGAGCAGAACAATCCTGCATGTCAAGGGGGAGCCTCATATACCATGTAACCTCATGTTAAACCATAAATACTTACCAATACCTCTTACAGTGTGACAGGACACAAACTATTAAACCTGATGCAGATAATGCCTTTTAAAATGAGTATTATATTTGATTATTATTTCTAATAATGTTATAACTATGTTTAAACCATCCACTTTATTCCCTAGATGAAATATAATTGAATTAAATGTTAAACATATTTGACATGCATTTCTCGGGGCTTTTGATTTAACATTTTAAAATATGCAATTTAGCTATTTTAAAAAACAGTCTTAAAAAATAACATAGTATATCAAGATAGGCAGAAGGAAAATTTAGGCACCAAATAATAGAGTACATGTTTCCTATTATGTGTTTTGGTTGGGAGATGATCTTTGGAAAGTGCTGATTCTGTTTTTGTTTCCATAAAACAAAATTTCCAGAGATTATATATTGGATTCTGCTTGAAAGAGTTCAGTAGACATTGCACTTCTATCACACTGATAGCCCAGGAGGAATTTTAACTATGTAATTATTTAACCGCAAAATTTTCCACCTTCTCCCCTTAAACATTTGGCGGATAAATTATGATAAAAGCAGTCATGATATGCAGTTCGGTTTCATAGTTTCCTTTCTCTTCCTTTTTGCTATATTTCCTAAAGTTCTATTATGGAGAGATACCAGTTTTAAATGTCAAGCAATGTTAACATCTTTGCATCTTTATCTTTTCCTATCCACTCTTCTCTCTTTTCTTTTCTTTTTTTTTTTAAGGGCCAGAGAGTGACACTTAGCCAATACTTAACCAGTACTCTCTTTCTGTTTGTTTGTGGGAATTTTATATCTATTTTTTCTTTTTCAATTTTTATTTTAGGTTCAGAGGGTACATGTGCAGGTTTGTTACATGGGTAAATTGGGTGTCGCTGGGGTTTGGTGTACAGATGATTTTGTCACGCAGGTAGTGAGCATAGTACCTGATAGGTAGTTTTTTGACCCTCAGCCTTTTCCCACCCACCACTTTGAAGTAGACCCTTGTGTTTATTGTTCCCCTTTTTGGGCCCGTGCGTCCTCAATGTTTAGATCCCACTTGTAAGTGAGAATATGCAGTACTTGCTTTTCTGTTTCTGCATTAGTTCTCTTAAGATAATGGCCTCCAGCTGCACTCTTGTTGCTTCAAAGAACATGATTTTGTTCTTTTTATGGCTATATAGTATTCCATGATGTATATTACACCACATTTTCTTTATCCAGTTCACCGTTGATGGCCATCTAGGTGGATTCCATGTCTTTGCTGTTGTGAATAGTGCTGTGCTGAACATGCAGGTGCATGTGTCTGTTTGGTAGAATGATTTATATTCCTTTGGATAGATATCCAGTAATGAGAATGCTGGGTCGAATGGTAGCGACTTGTCTCTTAATAGTTTTTACTTTGCCTCGATCTCCTGATTCTCTCCCTTTTTTTCCTGGCCATTCCCGCTGCACTTGCCTCATTTGCTATTGATGACATGCTTGTCCCCTGCTTCCATAGATGTGTCCACAAATGCATGTGCACACGTGCTTCAGCTAAAGATTCCTCAGCTAAAGATTCTCCCTCTCCATCAGGGTTTCTCTCTTTAGCTCACCTGCCCTTCTCTACATGGTTTTAAAGTGAGATGATTGTAAATGTGTTTTTCACAATGGAAATTCTCCCAGCGGGCGGGGAGGAAAAAAGACATCTTGAAATATTTTCTGAGAACTATGAGGACCGGCAGAGTTTGACATGTTTTTGAGGCGATAAAGTCATGTGTCCATCTGTGAAAGACAGGCATTGGCTTTATCCACATCCACACAGCCTTCCCCGCTGTGTGGCTTCATTATTGATTTGCTGTCATGTAGAGTCGATAATGAGAAAACCTAGGTAGCCTTGAACCCAACTTTGCAAGAACCTTTTAGGACTCTGGGACTTCTAACCCTCTAGGAAGGTGGAGTTAAGGGGATATAGGCACAGAATGGGGCAGAAGGGAAAGACATTAAGAGACAGCCTTTAGCAGACCAGAGAATACATGCCGTTTATCAAATTGTTAGATGTCTGTGCACCAGGAATGTTGATTCAATTATGGTATCTAAAAATAGGACAGAAATAAGGAGGAAATAAAAGGAAATGAAATAGCAGTTTACCTCTGGCAAAAACAAAGAGCCCAATCAGAAAAACTAGACAAAGCCACCTGTAGGACTGGAAGAAACCATGTGAGTTAGGTATCACTAACCTTGGAAGGACAAGGACTTCCTAGTATTTTTGTATTTTGTGAAGCACTTTCTCTGCATTTTCTTAATTTGTCCTTAAGTGATTATCTCTCAACCAACCCCAAAATTTGACTCTTCAAATCATTTATTCTCTAAGATTTTTAAGCATTCAACTGTAATGGCTTATGTATCAGCATAGTCTTATATAATTCTAAAACAACATTCATAGCATGGTATCTTGTAATATTTGACTTTCACTATTAATTCTTTCAGTTATTATTTGAGTGCCTGTCACATGCCAGGTATTGTTCTAAGCTTCAGGGATGCATCCATGTACAAAATAAATAAAATTTCCTCCCTTGTGCCACTGATATTCTATAGGTGGATGGAAAACAAACTTAAGAGTTAAATAAATTAGGTTTTATTTAAAGACAGGGTCTTGCCCTGTCATTCAGGCTGGGTGCAGTGTTTAATCATAGCTCACCGTACTCTCCAACTCCCGGGCTCAAGCAGTACTCTCACATCAGCCTCCCAAGTACCTAGGACTACAGGTGTTGCCACCATGCCCAGCTATTTATTTTCTGTATGTTTTTCTTTTTGTAGAGATTGGGTCTTGCTATGTTGCCCAAGCTGGTCTGGAACTCCTAGGTTCAAGCAACCCTCCCTCCTTGGCCCCCTAAATTACTAGGATCACAGACATGAGCCACCATACGTGGCCAAAGTTTTGTATTATTTTATAAGGTGATGAGTGCTGTGAAGAAAACTAGAAGAGGATAAGTGGAATTAGAATTGCTAGGGAAGTTGCAGTATTTTAAGTAGGGTGGTCAATGACAACCTCAATGAAAAGGGGATGTGGGAGTAGAGAATTGAAATAGCTAAGGGAAAAAGCCATGATGATATATGAGAAGGATGTTCCAGGCAGAGGGAACAGCCAGTGCCAAGGCTCTGGGGTAGGAACATCCCTGTTCTGTTTAGGGCAGAGCAGTGTATTAGTCTGTTCTCAAGCTGCCAATAAAGATATGCTCAAGACTTGGGAATTTATAAAGGAAAGAGTTTTAGTGGACTCACAGTTCCACATGGTTGGGGAGGCCTTACAATCATAGCAGAGGGCAAGGAGGAGCAAAGTCATGTCTTACATGGATGGCAGCAGGCAAGAGAGAGCGTGTGCAGTCCCTTTACAAAACCATCAGGTTTTGTGATACTTACTCACTATCACCAGAACAGCATGGGAAAGACACACCCCCATGATTCAGTTACCTCCCATCAGGTCCCTCCCACGATTATGAGAGCTACAATTTAAGATGAGATTTGGGTGGGGACACAGCCAAACCATATCAAGCAGTAAGATCCACATTTCTAGAGTATCAGAGTATGCCATCAGAATGGCAGGTATCAGAGTAGGGTGGTGCTATCGAGAACTTTGTAATTCTGAGAACCAGGGAGAACAAATGGAAGGATTTCAACAGATAATTCATGTGTCAAGGTGTGTTTTAAAGGAGCACTTTGCTTAGCTGAGGCTTGTCTGTAGGGGCAAAGGTGGAATGTGGGAGACCAGTTAGAAGGCTGATGTAAGAGTCAAGATAAGAACCTACAGCTGGGAGGTGAGAAGTGGTTGGAGTTTTTTATACATTTGAAGTAAGATTTGCTAGTTATATGGATGTGGAGTGTGGGAGATCGAAGGAAGTCCAGAGTTTTTGGCCTAAACACTGGAAAAGGTAGAGGTGGTCACAGGTGACATTGGAGGATGGGCTAGTAGAGACATTCTTAAGTTATCATCAAAGTTTAAATGTTTGAGTTTGAAATGTCTATGAGACATCAAACGGAAGATATCCCATAAGGAGATGGATGTCAGAGTCTGAAGTTCAAGGCAGAAATCTGTGCTGAAGAGAAAAAATGTCAGCCTAGATAGTGTCGATGGTATCTAAAGCTATGAGGCGGAATAAAATTATCAAGAGAGTTCTGTGGACAGAGAAGAGAAAGGACCAAGGCTGGAGCTTGCCAACAATTTGAGATTGGTAATAATACGAGGAACCTGGAAAGGAAATGAACATAATTGTCCAGGGTGTAAAAGAAAGTCTGGTAATGTGGAAGTGAAGGGGGGAAAAAGGCATTTCAATGACAGAGAGGTAGTCAACTGGGTGTAATTCAAATAGGTCATAAAATGCACATCTGCTGCTATGGTTTCCACTACAGATGCAAGGAAAAAGTGTCCTCGTCCTTTTGTCTGTCTGATTGTGGCAGTTGAGATTGAATAGAGGTAGACAGAGGGGAAAAAAGAATGAGGAAAATTGAGAACATAGCAATGCAAATGTCATTTTTGACCTTTAGTAGAAAAGTAATAATTTTGGTGGAGTGTTGGGGGTAAAAGCCCCAATTGGGGCAGGTTTCAGAGAGAATAAGAGCAATAAAATTGGAATCAATATCAATAAATATTTTCAAGGATATTTTCAGAAAAGGAACAATATAGACACACTTTTTTTTTTAAGATGAGAAAATTGTTTTATTGCTTTTAAGATGGAAAATCTAACCACATTTCTGTGTGCTGTAGGGTTGATCTAGAGGCGTGGTGTTATCAATCAGTACAGTGTATAGTGTGCTACATTAACAAATATCCCTAAAATGGCAGCGACATCCACAGCCACTAAAGTTGATTTCTCGCTCATGTTCAAAGTTCGCTAAGGGTTGACTGTGGCTGTTTTCTGTGTATTCTTAATTCTGGGACCCGGGCTGATGGAGAAGACTCATTTATTCTTATTATTACTAATTATTTTTGTTATTTTAGCAAAGGGGGAAAATGGGCAGAACCACATTATAGCTCTTAAGGTTTTCGCTTGGAAGTAGCCCCACTAATTTCTGTTCATGTTTCATCTGCCAAAGCAAGTCAATTAGCTATAACTGAAGTCATGGAAGTGAGTCAGTGAAATTCTTTCGAGTTAGGGACAGGGAAAGTCTTGCAAGTGTGTATTTGTCCCCTTGAGAGGTGTGGACAGTTTTTTACACAATAATACAACATACAAGAGGAAGACAATTCTGAGGATATAGCAAGAGCAAGGTGTTCTATTGTTGGGTTGTCAAGAGTTGATGGAGTTTGATGGGTGAGAGTCAGCCTTATATTGGGTTCCTATCATTATTCTCTTATGAAAAGAGGAGGCACAAAAGATGGGGCCATTATTGTCACATGGGTAAATGGGTTAGTGGTGGTTTGTGCATGTTTTCTTGAGATAGAATTTCTTCAGTGTAGTAAGAAGCCAGGTCATATTCTAACAGTGAAGATGGAGCACGAGGGATTGGGGATTAGAAGAGGAAGAAGAAGGTGCTATTTAGCAGAGCCTTTAAGGGAATTCATCAGAGAAATTTAGTATGATATACAGGCATCTCGATTAACCTACTGGAGGTTTGTGTTCATGAATTTAATGTGAGATAAGTCAGCATGATTAAATATCTTCTTTCATCTGTGCTGATCAGTAAAGGTGAGGCGGATGCATGCTGGGTGGGGAGGTGGATTTCACCAGGGTTGGAGTTTTGCCAAGGAAGAATCAAGAATTAAGGCTGGATTAGAATTGAGGGTGTCTAAAGGATCGTGGATCTGCTATGACTCCACAACTCTAAGAAAAGAAGATTCGGTACCACCATCCTCATTATGGAAATAACAAACGAATGAAACAAAACCATTTGTCACTTTCTACAAGATTCAGAGGGCTTGTATGTCTATGATCTCAGGCCTCAAAAAGAGTAAATCAGTTACCTTTTTCCCACATAACTCTGTGTGTGTGTTAGTACAATTTTGTATGTTTGCCCTAGAATGTGAACCATGAATTTGTGAAATGAAAGCAGTGAATAGGAAAAAAGGTAAAGATACAGTTTTGTATTATCTGTAGCAAAAATATTACCACAGCTATGTAATCCACAAAAATGGAAGAAATTTATTAGGTATTTAATTTTTATCCAAGAGTAGTAAAATGAAGGCAGCTATATAATTATGTAGGTGACTGTTAAAATATTAGACTTTTTGTTGAAATTTTTTGGCTCAGAAAACAGGTTTCATGCCATGCTGAAAAATTACTTAGTTTGATGAAAAAGTAAACAAGACATGACAGTGAAATCATACAGTGTTGAAACAGGAAATAGCTAAAATGTATTTTTCTCAGTAAATAAGTGGCTGGCATAAGTTGTCCTCATTTTGGGGTCAAGATCTTATTTTGGTGTCTCAGCTGAAGATGACCTCTTCACAATCCATTAGGTATTGTGACACTGATTAATTATTATCAAGCAGAAAGTATTTTTTGGAAGTACTTTGCACTAGGCAGGTAAGGCAGTCGCTACCACAGGGGCACAGGTTTCGAAGCAGTTCAGGAGGAGCCAACGTCTTGCTGAGAAACCCAAGGCAGACAGCAATTAGAGGATAAGATAATGTATAATTAACTGCCACCGTGTGTGGGGTAGACAATTAGAGAACAAGGCAACACAGATGTTGTAAGGTGCTGATTATGGGTTTTAACAATAATGAAAAATGGAAGACAACATCATCAGCGTGGGCTGACGCTGTCAGGGGTGGTGTGTTTTCTCATGTGCTGTTACCCTCTAATCAGTGTTGAGTTGGATAGTATTCCCAGGAATGGCTGTTTGGCTTCGCTTCTCTTACCAGAGAATTGCTCTGCCTTATAAATGTAGAGACTGACATGTAGACACACTTGGATCATGAATTTCCATTCTACTCTACAAGAAGTACAGCTGCAAAGAAAATCAAATCATGTTCAGTACCTTTCTGGAATTTTCCCAAGTACTCAGTAGTCATTCTAGCTCACATCTTAACTCTGCTAGGGTTCAATAAGTATACCAAATGCATATTTTTTTTTAGCTAATTCCAAAATCTAATTCACTTTGATCAATAGTCATCTCCTATGAATTCCTTGTGTTTTCTTCACTATAAAATATTTTTGTGATTCATCTTTCAGTAGACGAAAGGTGAGGTACTTTGAGATTATATTTCTACTAAATCATGAATGATTCATTATTTTACTGAAAGTAAACACATCCATCATATTAAATCCATATCATGTTCTGTTGTATATTGTCACTTAAGTGTTTTTATTATTTTTAAACAGGTTGTATAATTGCATAGAGCTTCAGGCTATCTACATAGACAAAATATCTGAATAAAAGTACAACGATCATATTTTATCTTGTCAGTTTAAATTATGTTTAATGATTTTAATTCCAGGGAAAACTCTAATGTACCAAGTTACCAACTGAAATGTGCCCAGTATCAATCCTTTATTTTTAAATATAACATTGTAAGTTGTTAAGTAAGTTGTTAACTCTTATCCCTAAAAAGACATAATGTTCCCTTTTCTTATCATATGCTAAAATAAAAATTTCTAACAATGAATGTGCCATTTTTATAAGCCAGCAAACTATGCAAGTAAGGATCTCAATAGAAGATTTAAACAAAATAATTATTTTGCTCCATATTCTGTTGCTTTTGTTTTTTGATGAGATAATTAATTTTCATGGAATTTTAAATGATCAATTTGTAGTAAATTTTGGGAAATATGTCCATTATTTAATCACAGATTTAGTATCTTAAACACATTGACAACGTCAAACTTGTCTGCAGCAAATGGTTACTGTTAAAAATTTGCCATAGGGGTGAGAACTGCAATTTATACTATTTCTAAGCTATCAATGCTTCAATTATTACATGTGTTTATATATATATGTGTGTATGAACATGTGTGTGTGTGTGTGCATGTATACACAAATTTTAAAGTAATGGCTTACTGAAAGGCCTTTTTTTCTCTTCATATGACTAAGATATCTGAAATTCTGCCCAAAATTGCTAAGATTATATACCCTTCTGAAAAATTGCAATGTGTTTATGACGTATTTTTATGATATTTCAGTACCGGATATGTTCATTACCCCATGTATGAAGTCTTATCTTGTGATGATGAGTTGATCAGACCTATTACATTGAGAATATTTTTAGGTATAAACTTTATATAGTCTCTGATGGTGAGTGTGTAGGTAAATTGCTTTGGGCTCACCTGATTGTATTTTCATTGTTGTTGACTTTCATTATTTCACTAATTTGGGAGCAAGGGCTTCTTTTTTATGGTCTATTTCTAGATCATCTTCCCTTAGATTACATCATGTAATGAACTGGCAGAAGATATTAAGTAGATCTTATTCAAACAAGAACTTTGAACCTAAATGGAGATTTATCAAGCTAAATTAGCCTAATTGTCTGTAACAATGACCACAGCATATTAATAAAACCTGTGACCCTTACATATATACATGTGCATTTTAATGTTCTTCCACTATGAAAGGCATTTTGTGATTTAATCTGCTTGATGAACGATTAATATGATATTCACTAATTTTTACTCATCTTATTCTTAATTCATCTAATTTATCTAATTCTTAGTAATCTAAATGATTCAAGCCTCTTACAGATTTTTATCTCTACCCAGTTTTTCATCCAGCTGTCCGTGTGGTCATCTCTGCCTTGGTGTGCTTGAGAATTATTTCTGATTCTATGACACCAATGCACTTTGCAGTCTTTGAACTTGAATTGGCAGAATCAAGCTTCCTCTAGACAAATCACTGAATCTCTTTTCTCACGTTAAGGTTTGTAGGAACCCTATTCTCAAAGCTGCCAAAACACTACTGCTTAGTCTATGCAAATCAACAACTACAAATGCACGTCACTCAATCAACATTATGAAACTCCTTTTTGGAATGATTGATGATCACAAAATGTGATCTTGTGACAATATGATATATTCATTTAAGCCACATTGAGGTTTCAAATTGGCACCATTGACAACGTACCTCTTTCATGCTAAGTGTAATAATTTGTTGCCTCTCATTTTCCTATGCTGCTTCACTTCATTAAATCTGAATAATTAAAAATTTTCGTAGCATCGCCAAAGTCACTTCCCAGGAGCTAGGGAATGTGTCGATCTGTACACTGATCCAGTTCCTGCTGACGTTTGCTTGGATGCAGAGGCCATCCATCGCTTTCCATTGATTTTTGTCAATTGATGCTTTTCTTCCTTCTTTCCTGGTGACTTAGGAAATGTTCTGAAACTGTGCATTCAAGTCAACACATGTTAGATTCATAACTAGGATTCACCTTCACAGTGGACTGGTCCCAATTTGCTGTATTTTTATTCAGCCTGTCAACTCACACTATCTGACTAAAAGACGCTAATGCAGTGTTGGCCAGTCCCCTGTCATCTCTTTCTAATTGTTTGGTCTCAAAGCAATGGTGCATGTTACACATATCCATTTAACTGTCCAATTAACGCATGTTTCTAGACAATTCTGATAGAAAGGGTCTCTTTTCTTCCTTCAGCCCAAACAAAGCAAAACAAAACAAAAGGGCACTTACACGATGTTGATCTATGTTTTATCTTTTTTTTTTTTTGAGATGGAATCTCCCTCTATCACCCTGGCTGGAGTGCAGTGGCGCGATCCCCGCTCCCTACAACCTCCGCCTCCCAGGTTCAAACAGTTCTCCTGCCTCAGCCTTCCGAGTAGCTGGGACTACAGGCATGCACCACCACACCCGGCTAAGTTTTGTATTTTTAATAGAGATGGGGTTTTGCCATGTTGGCCAGGCTGGTCTCAAACTCCTGACCTCAAGTGATCCACACACCTTGGCCTCCCAAAATGCTGGGATTACAGGTGTGAGCCACCACCCCTGGCCTGTTTTTGTTTTATCTTAAATCTCTTAGGCTGAGACTCATATGGTCCCACTTACCCATCTTTTTACAGCATGAAATTGTCCAGTTAAAATTACAGCTCTTTATTAATGGCCTTAAGACTCTTCATTTTGAATGGATAAAATAGTAATAGGCTGTGAGCACCAACAGTATTAATGTATCATTCATGCATGATATAGTAGTGTTGACATCTTTCTTTTCCTTTTCTGTTTTTAAATGAAGTTCAGGAAACCAATATGAAAGGTAAGAAATTGCCAACATCTTGGACTATCAAATCATGGCAGACAATGAATTAAAGAATTCAACAAATCTTTGGCAGCATCAGTTTCAAAGGTATTTAGATACAACCACCGTGTAATTCTACACAATTTAATTAAATCATTTATCAAATCCTCTACAACTTGAATAATTTAACTGATATCAGAATAATCCATTTTTCAGATAATTATTTTTATATTTAATGTGTTAAATATAAAAATATGACACTTCTCTTGCATAATTTGCAGAATGTTATTTATTTCATTATTTTATTATTATTTTTAAAATTTCAACTTTTATTTGATACATGTACAGATTTATTAAATGGAAATATTGCCTGATGCTGGGGTTTGCAGGAAGGATCCTGTCACCCAGGTAGTGAGCATAACATCCAATAGGTAGTTTTGTAAGCCCCCCCACAACCAGCACCCTATAGTAGTTCTCAGTGTCTTGCTCTTTTGCCCAGGTGCAATCAAAGCTCACCACAGCCTCCAACTCCTGGACTCAAGTGATCCTCCTGCCTCAGCTTCCTGAGTAAATAGGACTACAGATGCCACCATGGCCAACTAATTTTTTAATTTTTACTTTGTAGAGATGGAGTATTGCTATGTTGACTAGGATGATCATCCACTCCTGGCCTCAAATGATCCTCCCGGCTAGGCCTTCCAATGTGCCAGGATTAGAAGTGTGAGCCACCTCGCCCAGCCCCAATGCTTGATCTTTAAGAGCTTCAGGCAGTTGAAGGGTTTTGTCTGCCTGCCACAGCCTTCCATCTTTTTGAGATGTGTTTACCTGAGACAGCTAAGTAGGTGACAACCTGAACTACGGTTGCTGGCAATTGGAAAACAGAAGATTGCTCTGTTGATCCATTGGGAGAAGTACAGTAGTCTGTAGAGGAACAGAATCCCAGGGTTTTTTTCTGGCATGGAATCACTCTAGAGAGCCACATTAAAAATTTAATTCCTGCTGAGCACAGTGGCTTACGCCTGTAATCCCAGCACTTTGGGAGGCCGAGGAGGGCGGATCATGAGGTCAGGAGTTCGAGACTAGCCTGACCAACATGGTGAAACGCTGTCTCTACTAAAAATACAAAAATTAGCTGGGTGTGGTGGCGTGCACCTGTAATCCCAGCTACTCGGGAGGCTGAGGCAGGAGAATTGCTTGAACCCGGGAGATGGAGGTTGCAGTGAGCCAAGTTTACACCATTGCACTCCACCTTGGGCAAAACAAGCAAAAAACTCCATCTCAAAAAAAAATTAATTCCCCTTTGACTGTTGATTTTATTTATTTATTATTATTTTTTTAGAGACAGGGTCTTGCTCTGTCTTTCAGATTGGAGTGGTATGATCATAGCTCACTGCAACCTTGAAATCCTGAGGTCAAGTGATCCTCCCACCTCAGCTTCCCAAGTAGCTTGGTTGACAGGCATGCACCACTACACCTAGCTAATTTTTCTATTTTTATTTTTGTAGAAACAGGGTCTCGCTCTGCTGCCCAGTCTGGTCTTGAACTCCTGGCCTCATACGATCCTCCCACCTAGTTCTTCCGAAGTGCTGGGTTTATAGGTGTGATAGTGCCGAGCCATTTGGCTGCTGTTTTTACATTTATACCATTATCTTCATCCTAAATAGGAATTCTGATAGTATTGTTGGCAGAATAGGGTCAACTGGAACACACATTTTTGTTCTCTAGGTAAAGATGATGAAACTTAAAATGTAGCTAATGTTATTCCTGCAATGAATATGTCAATTTCTAATCTGGGGACAAAAATAAATAAAAAAAAAGTTGCACGTATTAAACACCTTCTTGACTAAGTGGCAGCTGTAATGATTTCACTTGGGGATAGCCATTGCTTCTTAACTCATGCTAACAGTGCATTAAAGCTATTGATTTTTAGTGGCTGCTGTGCTTTCGTGATTGTAGATCATTTCTCTCTTTGGAAACTCTATTTGATGACAAAGCTGGCTCTGTTGCAGAGTAATGATAAAAGAAAGGACCTACCAGAATTTCAAGTGAAATGTATAACATATGTGATAATGCATGGTGACTGCAATGATTATTTCCCGATGTTGCTGTTTAATAGCCATGAAAGCATCCTACTGAAATAGAGTATTTCTGCTTTGAATGGCTTAGTTAGCTCAAAAATTTTGAAAGCTTTCTCAGTAAAGCATGGTGCCAGGCACTGAAAGATTCCTTTTGGAGGAGCCAGAGTCAATTTGGATGATGTTTATAAAATGCTGCTGGAAAATTGGGTGGTGTTTTCTAAATGATCTTCCTAGTAATGATTTATGCTGTAAATCAGAAAGGTTGCCATCTCTCTGGATGGAAATGCATAGTCATATGCCCGTAAATGCAGGGATTTGACCTCCTATAAAAAAGCTCTCTCTTCCCCCTCATTTATGTGATGATTGTATACCATCTGAGCGCTGAGAAACCCATTGGCCATCTTCCACTTGTGTGTGGCTGGAGGTGCTTGCTGCAGCTCTGTGATGCCCTGAGCCAGCATGCTCGTGGAGTTCCAGTCTGCTGCATGAACAAGTGGAGAAACATGATCTTCCTAAACTGCTCACAAGCTGCTAAATGAGTGATTTGTGTTCCCTTTGAATTCATGCTGTAAATGGAAATGCTTGCTCCTTCCCGGGTTATTACTCTGTGTACACGCCATTTGAGGATGCAGATAATTGTTGCATCTTCACTGAAGCATCCCATCTTAGTCCAGATTTCCGTTTTCACAGACCAAAAGGGCAAAGTCAGACTTGGCAGACAGCGCAGCTTCAGTCTCATGGGGGGATTTCTTTGTCTCATCAGCCTCAGTCATGGGCTTTCCAGCCATTATAATTTCACATGTAATATGGTGGGTGTCCATCTGAGCAAGTGTGGTGCCTCAGTAGGGTTGGAGGAGGCACTTGGAGCTGATGTAGAGAAAGGAGAGTGAATTAAAAGTGGAAGGAGGCAAATTAAAAGAAGCGAGGAAACATTCTTTTTCACACCAGAGAAACGTTTTCAAAACACCAGGGAAGCCTCAGAACCAATCCAGGTACTGCTTTTATTTCTGAACTCTGTTATAATTTGTGATGTCAGAAGCTTCTATGGAATCTACTGATATGTGCAGAAATAATGTGCTGCTGTGCCCATTCTGTGTTATACATTTAGAAGCAGTTGCGGTATCATGGGATACATAATATTCTTTAATCCCAATAGGGGCTTCAATTCTAAATATAACAAAAACAGTTGGGAAAGGCACACATACACAGGTTGGCCTGTAGAGATGGAGGTGGCCAATTTGGTGTGTTTTGAACAGACGGGGATGCTCTCTGCGTACTGCCCCCACACCACAGGACAGCTGACAGGCAGCCCAAATGCCCGTGCAGACTGCTGAACTCCAGATGGCTTGCTGGTGCTGGCTGGCACGCCTTCAAGTCCTGCCTTTCTTGGGTCCCTAACAGAATTCACATTACCTGAAATTTCAGGGAATTTGTGGGGCTGGCTAAACAGATTCCTTACATAACTGGTGATGTGCGGTCAGAAAGAGAATAGATGAGTAAGATTGCATTGGCTGCCTGTGTGTATTAGTTTTCTTTTGCTGCATATTGAATTACTGCAAACTCAGTGGCTTAAAATCACACACATTTATTATGTCACAATTTCTGTGGTCAGGCGTCTGGGCATGTCTGAGCTGGATTTCCTCCTCAGTGCCACACAGAGATGCTATCAAGGTGTCGGCTGGGCAGCATGACTCTCGGGAGGCTCATGGTCCTTTTCCAAGGTCACTCAGGTATTGGCAGAATCTGGTTTATTTTGGTTGTAGGATTGAGGTCCCCTCTTTCTTGGTGGATGTCAGCAGGGGTCGATGTCAGCTCCTAGAGGTCCCCCAGGCAGCTTCTTGCCATGAAGCCATCTCAGGGACTGTCTCCCAATACGGCGACACGTATCTTCAAGTCCAGCAGGAGAATCTCTTACTTCCAGTCGGCTAATAAAATAATCTTAGATAACATAACCTAATCAAGGCAATGGCATCCCATCCTATTTCCTAGGTAATGTAATACACTCAAGGGATGACTTCTATCAACCTCATAGGTCCGGCTCAAATTCAACTTCCTGGGATTACGGGAGGGCATGGCTTATTAGGTCCTTCTGAGTCATAAATGCTCTAATGTATAAACTTCCTAGGGTTTCTATAATATATTAACACTGGGTGGTAAATGGTGTAAACTGGGTGACTTACAACAACAGAAATATATTCTCTCCCGGTTCTGGAGGCCAGAAGACCAAAATCAAGGTGTTGGCATGGTTGGTTTCTTCTGGAGCCTCCGAGGGAGAATTTGTTCCTTGTCTCTCTCCTACTTTCTGGGGGGCTGCCGGTTAACTTTTGGCTTTTCTTGGAAGCGTCACTTCAATGTCTGTCTTCATCTTTACAAGGCCTTCTTCTCTCCATATGTTTCTGGATCCTCTCCTCTTCTTAAAAGGATACTAGTCATTGGGTCTAGGGACCACTGCAAATCTGTGATGATTTTATCTCCAAAGAAATTACGTGATCACATCTGCAAAGACCCTGCAGTAGTACCTTTTTATCCATGGTTTTGCTTTCCAGGGTTTCAGTTCCCTGTGATCATTTAATCTCTAGGCTTAGTCAGTTAACTCTTGAGATATTAAGAGTTAATCTCTTGCTGTGTATAATTTATAAATTAAACTTTATCATAGACATTAATACATAGGAGACAACATAGTATCTATACAATTTGATACTAGCTGCAGTTTCAGGCCTTGAAACATATCCTCATAGATAAGGATGTGGGGTGTTATATATTTCCACATAGGAACACATTCTGAGATTCTGGTGGATGTGAATTTTTGGGACATTATTCAACACAGTACACCCCGTCAAGCTTTGCCCATGACCTGACACTGCCCAATCCTCTGGTCTCATCTTGTGGGGACTCTCCTTCACCTTTTCTGGAATATTTCCTTACAACTTCCTTTCTAACTCCTTAACTCCTAATTCAGATCATCTTGGGCTAGGAGTAATATTCAGTACTCAATCATTAGAGAAGATGGGGTCACCAGGAGATAAATAGGTAAGCAGATAGGTAGGTTGATAGATATAGATAGTTAGATAGATAGATAGATAGATAGATAGATAGATGGACAGACAGACAGACATGGGTGAATAGATGATGGAGATGGATAGATAGAAAGGTAGATAGATGATATATGTGTAAGAATAGATAGATAAATAGATAGATATGAATAGGTGGATAGATGATAGATCGATGGATAGATACATGGATAGAGATGATAGATATAGGTAGATAGAGATGGATAGATAAATGATAGAAAGGCAGATAGATACATAGATGCATAGACAGATATGGATACATGGATAGATGATAGATAGAGATGGGTAGACAGGTAGATATATGGTAGATATAAAGATGTTAGAGATGGATAGATGATAGAGATGGATAGATAGGTAGGTAAATAAGTAGATATAAATTTAGATAGAGATGAATAGACAGGTAGATAGGTAAATAGACAGACAGGTAGGTAGGTAGAGGACAGAGATGGATAGATAGACAGGTAGATGATAGATGGTAGAGATGGATAGATAGACCTCTTAATCCCTATGTATCAATCCATCTCTATAGCTATCTGTAATCACACATGTATATGTCTACATGCTCATTAATAACATTTTCACAGCAGGAATTCAGTGATTTAGTGATTATTGAATTAATTGTTGCATAAGGCTCCCTGAGGGCAACACTGGGTCTTCTTGTTCACTATCCTCAGTGCTATCATTTTACAGTGGGAGGAAGCTTACCTTCCTACCAAAAGCATTCTGTGGCTCTGAAGTGGGAGAAAGATAGATTCTCTGCCACCTTTCCCAAACCAGGGATCCTGGTTCCAACATCAGGATTTACCTGGCGCTGAAAGGATTCATTCCATTGCATTAATTGTATTCATGCACATGAGTATTTTCTGAGCATCTCTGAGGAAGGCAACAGTTTCTATGGTGAACGGTGTGGAGAGCACAGTCACTCCTCATTACAGCACTGGAAGTAATCACAATGATGATAACATACCCTGCATTCTATCCAGAGCCATTTTTAAGATTTAAAAAATTTACTTGGCATTATTTTCTTCATTTGAGTAGCTCTTTAAGGTATTTTGTGACCGCCCCCCCCCCCCATTTTATTTTTCCTTTTGTAGAGAAGGCATAATTTTACTTTCACCCTCTTAAGAGTTTTTTCTGATGGTCCTGAGAATTAAATGGACAAAGGACAGATCAGCAGGAGAAAAACATACAAACCCATGTAATTTAAGGTTTCTGTGACATGAGAAAACCCTCAGATGGAAACGAAGACTCAAAGAAGTGGCGACACTTCAGTGCTTTTAGAGAAGGTTGAACAAAGACAGACGATGATGGAAAAGTAGCTAACCTATGTGGAGGCTAAAGAAATATGTGGTTTATTTTAACATGGTCTTTTAGTACACAATTCTCTTATTTCAGCCTCCCCTTCTCAATGACAAGAATGCTTTTTCCTTCTGGTATAGGGAGGGCACAGTCCATACAGGAGTTTCATCTCTTGCTTTCAGAAAGGAAAACAGGATCAGAGCAGCTTTCTTGTACCTGCTGTTTTTTTCCTCCCCTCCCCTCCCCTCCCCTCCCCTCCCCTCCCCTCCCCTCCCCTTTCCTGGCCTGGAGCTTAAATGACCATACACCAACATAGCATTTCTGGGGTGGCAGATTCTGCCAGCCTTTCACTTTACATCCTCCTGTTATCATCTGAATTTTTGAATTATCACTCACAACTTTTGTACATGGTTTCTTAATATTTTACAAATATCTATATGCAAAAATAATGTTCATTTGGCATACCCTTATTCTTTTTTAAAATTTTATTTTATTTTATTTTATTTTAAGTTCTGGGATCCATGTGCAGGACATGCAGGTGTGTTGCATAGGTAAACGTGTGCCATGGGGGTTTGCTGCCCCTACCAATCCATCACCTAGGTATTAAGCCCCGCATCCATTAGCTATTTATGCTAATGCTCTCCCTTCCCCCCGCCCTCCCTGACAGACCCTAGTGTGTGTTGTTTCCCTCCCTGTGTCCATGTGTTCCAATTGTTCAGCTCCCACTTATACGTGAGAACATGTGGTGTTTGGTTCTCTGTTCCTGCATTAGTTTGCTGAGGATAATGGCTTCCACCTCCATCCATGTCTCTGCAAAGGACATGATCTTGTTCTGTTTTATGGCTGCATAGTATTCCATGGTGTATATGTACCACATTTGCTTTATCCAGTCAATCATTGATGGGCATTTGGGTTGATTCCATGTCTTTGCGATTGTGAATAGCGCTGCAATGAACATACACTTGCATGTCCACATTGAGAAACCATCTCACGCAAGTCAGAATGGCGATTATTAGAAAACTCATATTCTTTAATAACATCTTTGAAATGATGATTCTTCAGTCTTGAATCATCAGTGCTTCCAGGCCATACCTTCCCCATTCTTAACTTGAATCCTGACTTCATTCTTGAGCTTGTTGGAGTTGCCCTGAGCTTGATTTCTTAGAGTGAATTATCCTGTGATTTTTACTCTATGCCTAAGTTAGATGGACTTTCTTAGCATGCTAATCTCTAAAAATACCTTTTCAAAGGAGAGATTGGGAAAGGTTTTGTACCAAAACATGGTAGATCTTGTTCCATTATCAACTGCGTCTCGTGTCAGAGAGTTCTAAGGTGAGTGAAATTGTGCGTGTTTGTAGCGTGGTCATAAAGACATTTCACAGAGTGGATCGCAAACAAACCAACAGAGCACAGAGGGCTTGAGAGCAATGGCAGCTGGTGGAAGCACAGGACAGGGCACAGCGGGAATTTCATGGGACCACGAACCAAGAACAGAACCCATGACCAGGCTGTTTTTCCTTCCAGGGGCCCAGGCTTTCTCAGCTCAGCCTTCACTTGCATGCTGCTTTGAGCATGTTTGGCTTCTTTGAGAAAATGAGCCACCCAAGAGGCCTACATCCAAGTCACCTGCACTCAGATCCCAGCCAGGAGTATGGAGGGCCCATGTGGGGTGGAGTGGTGCACGTCCTCACCACCTTAGACACAGGGACCACCTACCTCATTTTAGATGGAGTGGGCAGATAATCTGCACACATACCTCCAAAGGTGTCCTCTATTGTAGAGACACCTTTTGTTTTTCTCCCTCAATCCTGGACATTTTGTTTGTTTTTCTTTATTTCACTAATTTTACAATAAACTGCCAGGATATGTCTCCATGTCTAGCTCTTTTTGTGAATTATTCTGGAAATAACAGCCTCTGCAAGGCTGCTAAAGTGACAAAGGTATTTTTCAATCGCGTCTGATTCCTTTCAGATATTTCCATCTTCCTACTCCATCATCCATCTCTTTTTAAAAATTTTGTTTTGTTTTTGAGACAAGGCCTTGCTCTGTCACCCAGATTGGAGTGCAGTAGCATGATCGTAGCTCGCTGCAGCCTTGGTCCCGGGCTTAGGTGATCCTCCCACCTCAGCGCCCCCAAGTAGCTGGGACTGCAGGTGCACACCCCACGACCAGCTAATTTTTGTGTTGTTAGTAGATACTGGGTTTTACCATGTTGCCCAGGCTGGTCTCGAACTCCGGGGCTCAAGTGATCCGCCTGCCTCAGCCTTCATGTTTTCTTTACCAGTTGGTTCCCTCTCTTTCCCACACTTGCTAAGACCACTACTGGTTCACTGTCACGATGTCACTTACTTTTTTGACTACCTTCAGTGATCTTTCTTTTCTGATTTATGTATATATTTCCTGAGTAATGTCATTCTTTATTAAAAATGTATATGTATATATGTGTACACAAAAGTATACATATATGTGTATATATCCTAAATGATTCTATTATTTATTGAAATAAATAATGTATGTATAATTATATATTTATATATAATGTAAGCATTAGTATATAATGTATATTATGGATACATTATATATACATTTTATACACAATTAGGTTCTGTGTATACTATATATGTATGTATACAGACATGTGTATATATATATGTGTTTATAATATATACAAATGATTGTAACAGTGTGTGTATATATGTGTTTATGTGTATATATAGTATATATATAACATTAATGTGATAAAAGTGTATGTGCATATATGTGTATTTGTGTTTTTGTACATACTCATGACCACATTTAAAGAATACCATTGTAAAAGCTGACCATATAATCGTCTATGCGCATATATATATGCAGCAAAAATGCCATCATCTTCATTAATAAATGCCTTCTTTATTAATAAATATACATTGGTTCACAATATCAACCTCAGCATTATATACATTTCAACAAACATGCTCATTGTTTTAAGCATACATTATTAATTCATATTTATTTTGTTTTAAGTTGAGATTGTTATAACTCCCTCTTTTTTCAAATTTTTAGCTAATGGTACTTTTTAAAAAGAATGACTTTATTGTATTCAAATTATCACTAGTGGGATAAATAATGTAATGATGGGAAAAAGCTTCCTTTGTTCCAGCTATAATTATCTGTAGTTGTTTATTTGTTTTATTCAACTTAACATTCATGTTTTATTCAAATCATCAATATATAATGATTTTGTTCTGTTACCAAAGATCTTATTGGGAATTCTAAAGTAATAAATTATTTTGAAGAGGTATCGATACTATTACACTCTTGATTTATACCTGGATCAATGAATGTTTTTAAATATGTAAGCGTTCTTTTATGTTTCTTGTTATTTTATATATTTTATGTAACATGTGCTGTACACTTCTTAGAGTTATTGCTAGAACATTTATCATGAATGTGCAAAGAATTTTTTCAAATATATTTATGTGCATATATATGACAAATCATTTTGTGTTAATTTTATACAATTCTAAATAATAAGTGACTCATTCTAAATTATTTAGCTGATTCTCTAGATTCTCTTTCTCTTGTTGGATAGTCATATGCAGGAGTGACTTTATTTTGTCTCCTTCTTTCTGATATTTTCAGTTCTCAATACTTTTTAATAAAAACATATAGGCTTCGAGTCTGTAGAAGTATCTTGAAATATGATGGTGATGATGAACATCATTGCCCTGTTTATACTTTTAGTGAAAATTCACTTAGTGCAACATTTCTTTTCCTATTTGTTGATAAGATTAAAAAGGATTTCCTGCCAAAATAAATATTCCATGTACTCTACTTTTTAAATTAAATACATTAATAGTACCAGATACTATTTGCCATCTTTCAAATAGCTTTTTTCTCCTTTGATCTTTCCCTCAGCTATCACCTGACTTCTTTCCTTCAACTGTGAATGAGACAAAGCAAAACACCCTACTTCTTCCCATTGAACCATCTTACTGTATTTGTAGAGTCAACCTAATTCCTTATTAGGTCACTGCATAGTTTTTTTTTAATTTAATATTTTACGCTATTTATTATAATGATCATTGGAGGAATAATCAGAACGTGTTAAGATTCTTTACAAGTAACTTTTACATTTTAGTGTTCTTGGCCTTTGAACTGCGTTTTGGATGAAGAACTTTTAGGATTTTCTGTGCTTGGGGGTGCTAAAGGTGTTTACACCTGAGTGAATGCCCAGAATTTGATCATATAGATTTTTCTATTGACAGTCTCACCTTCTTATGGTTATTCTCTTGTAAATTATCTTTACCTCAAGACCAAGATTTGCAAATATATTGATTTTCAGTAGATGCAGTGTTCACATAGTATCTCCTGAAACAATCACTTTTTGCAGTGTCTTTTGTATATCACTGGTTGCGTCCCTTTACTCAGATCTAAGGTACATCTGTTTCTGTATTTTTCCTTATGAGTGGTCTGGATTTTAATTCTTTCAATACACTTTATATTTTATTGGAGTATGCTTTGCCAACGCATCCTTTTTATCTCAGACTGTTCTTATGTCTCTGTAATAAAGAAACTGCATCTTATTTTACTCCATGAAAAATCACAAATGATTCCCTAAGTGTTCCTTTAGAGTGTTCCTGAGAGGACTGTGGTTGTCTTTTATTCTACATTGTGTGTCTTTTTTAAGACTTTATTAGCGCAGTTTTAGGTTCACAACAAAATAGAGGGGAACGTACAGAGAGTTCTCATATATCCCCTGCCCCCATACATGGACGGTCTTCCCTATTTTCCACATCACCCACCAGAGGGGTGTGTTTGTTACAATCCATGAACTTACACTGACATCTTCATCACCCAAAGTCCGTCCTTTACAGTAGGCTACAGTCTTGGTGGTGGTGTACATTCTGTGGGTTCAGACAAATCCGTAATAACATAAATCCACCATTACAGTATCACACAGTATAGTTCTGCAACCCTAAAAATCTTCCATAAAAAAACCTCCACAATTTTAGCAGTTTGTAACAACAAAGGCTTATTTCCTTTTTCTGAAGTTCATGTCGGTTGTGGGTGGACTTGCTTGTTACTTAGGTAGACTGATATTAGAAGGTGGGAAAAGAATAATACCTCTCCAGGAAAGGATAGGAACTATTTTGAACCAATAATACAGCTCACTACACAAAATGAGTGAACACAGTCACACTGAAAGAGAGATGAGTGACATATGCTTAAGTTATGCTTATGTTGACAAGGTCTCACTCACCTAAACTGGAGTGCAGTGCCACAATTATAGCTCACTGCAGCCTGCAATCCCTGGACTCAAGCAGTCCTCCCACCTCAGCCTCCTGAGCAGCTGGGACTACAGGCACACACCTGTGTGATTTTGTTATTTATTTATTTATTTATTTATTTATTTTTAATAGAAACAGGTTCTCATTATGTTCCTAGACTGGTCTCAAACTTCAGCGTTCAAGCAGTCCTCTTGCCTTGGCCTCTCAGAGTGCTGGAATTACAGGCATGAGCCACTGCGCCCAGCCTCCTTTAGTGTTTAACTGAACAGAATAAAGAACCTCTTCATTATGGTGAATTGGCTAAGTTCAAAAGAGTAGCAAAAGCCTTCGTGGGCAGTAATAATTACTCTATCTTCCAAATACTTGAGTGACCTTATGCTTCTTAAAATATATATTTTAGGGCTCTTAATTGAAATCAATTGCCTTTATAGCCTCTATTACAGCATACTCAGAAATTGAAGAGCGGGATGATTTTGTATAAATCTAGACTAATTTTGTTTTTCTGGAATGACTAGAACCATTTACCATGTCAGGTACACACACAAGAAACGCTAAGGGCGAGTTGTGAATGATTTGACTAGGAACAATAGTTGGGCTGCTTTTAGATGTCTCCTTTTGCTACATAGACAGCAAAAGGAGAATTCACCAAAGGTGCCAGCCCTTCAGAATCCTTGTCCCACACCACCAAAAAGTCCTGTGACAGAAATTCCACCTATTAATCAGCTGCTGTGTCCTGACTACGGAGAAAAGTATGATGCAACAGAACGCAAACTTTTCCACAATCTCATAACAAGGAAAAAATATATGTATGTATAATATGTGTACATATATAAGAAAATGTATATTACATATATAGTAAATACATACAAATACACGTATGTGTGTATGTATATATACACACATATTTTGTTTTGTTAGGTATTTTTTATGACTATTTATTTAAAAAAGTCACATTGAAAATAAAATTGACTTTTATTTGCCCTAAGTTACCTCTTGAAATATTGTGTTAAAAACCTAATAACTTCTGACAGGTATATATATACCTGTAGAGGTTAATATATATACGTGTGTTTGTGTGTGTGTGTGTGTGTGTGTGTATGCGCGTGCATAGAAGTTATTAGGTTTTGTTTGTTTGATGGTTTTGTTGTTGTTTTTTGAGATGGAATCTCACTCTGTCGTGCAGGCTAGAGTGCAGTGGCGTGATCTTGGCTCACTGCAGCCTCCGCCTCCTGGATTCTAGTGATTCTTGTGCCTCAGTCTCCCAAGTAGCTGTGATTACAGGCATGTGACACCATGTCTGGCTATTTTTTGTATTTTTAGTAAAGATGGGATTTCACCATGTTGGCCAGACTTGTCTTGAACTCCTGGCCTCAGGTGATCTGCCTGCCCTGGCCTCCCAAAGTGCCAGGATTACAGGCGTGAGCCACTGCGCCAGGCATTATTAGGTTTCTAGTACAACATTTCAAGAGTTATATGTATAGATATGTGTACGTGTGTGTGTATATATATATATATATATATATATATATATATATATATATATATAAAACCTCTATGGGTATGTTAGGTTTTTAATACAACATTTCAACAAGCATCTTAGGACAAATGAAAGTCAATTATGTTCTCAACATGACTTTTCTTAATAAACATACATTTAAAAATACCTAGCAAAATACATTATTTAGTACCTATTTTTAAACACACTGTGGTTTAATCTCAAGCTCATAGATTCTTCGAGATAATATTGTCTATCAGCTGAAAATTCTAAAAAAAAAATGGGAAAGGCTCATGTAAATATAATAGGATTTGTATTTCATTTCTGAGGACAGAAACATTTCAATAGTAAAATTTGCAACAAAAAGTGCTTATGGAAAGTTAGACAATGCTCTAGGACTCTAATAGTAAGCACAGGAATATGTCAGAGACCCATAAAATCTTTAGATTTATTTTGATTCCTACCTGTAAAAGTGTGAAATCAATTATTGCTAAATCCAGCAAAACAGCAAAGGAAAATTACTATTCACCTTTTTCTCTCAGTCTGTCTTCCAAAGCTACTAAGAGAAAAACAAGAAAAATACAGAAAATCCTACTTCCATTATTACAATGAAGCATTTTTGAGCTAGTAGAAAATTAGAATTAGACCTTGCTTTTACTGGCATCACAAAAGCATTTCATCCTGTTTTTTGAAATGACAAATGGCAGAATTCTTATATACAATATGCTAACCAAAATCATGTTATTGCCACGTCATGAATTATAATTTAATTTCTACTCTCAAAGTTAAATAAGAAGATACAATATTGCATTTCCCTGCTTGAAGAGGAGAATTAGTTACACTTGTTACGTAAAGGCTGTATTCATCACTGGTTGTCATAGCTGTTATGACTGTGACTCTTATAATAGAGGTGGGCTTGCAGCCAAAAATATATGATTCATCCAAAAGATATTTACCATGTAACTTATATTATATGTGCTGAATATTTTGGTAGTCATTGCAAATTAAGGAATATGGTGTTGAAAAATCACAGGTAACACCTTTTTCTTGTTGCTAACAATCTAACAGGGAGACCTTATTTAACAAGATATCATATTACACATTACAATTCATCTTGTGAAGAAAAATGCCAACTACAGTGAATAATTGAGGAACCCAAGTTCATTTACGAATGGAAGGTTGGGATGAACAGGGAATGCCTTTCTGAGGAAATGGAATTTAAGCTGATCAGTAAAAATGAATCTTCCAGGAGCATATGGGCTTTGCAGATGGGAGAAACAGCAGAGAATGCCCAAAAGTTCTAAAGGAAACCTGATGATGAAATGAGTTAAGCCATGTTCCTGGTAGTGTATCAGTTAGCTTTTGCTACATAAGGAACCATCTCAAAGCCGAGCATCTCAAACCACCTTTATTTAGCTAAGCATCTCAAACAACCTCTATTTAGGTTATGATTCTTGGCTGGACATCTGGGCTGTGCTCAGCTGGGAGGCTCTTCAGTCTAGAGTCAGCTTCCAGGTCTGTTGGGTGCTCATTGGCCAAGCACTATCTTAACAGGGTGCTTGACAGTGCTCCATGTGGAATATCATCCTCTAACAGGCTAGTATAGACTCTTCATGGAAGCTTGTCAGGGTTGCATGTAGGTGTGTTCAAGTCCTCTTATAATGAAAGCTAAGAATAAGGACAGTGTGTCACCCCCCACATCCGGAATGTCCAAATAAGCAAATCCAGAAAGACACAGATGAATGGGTAGTTTCCAGGGGCTGAGAGTGACCACTAAATGGTACCATATTTTTTTGGGGGGGATCATGAAAATGTTCTGCCATTAGATATTGTCAATTATTGCACAGATCCATGAATATATTAAAAACCATTGGATTGCATACTTTGACACGGTGATGTGTATGGTATATTAATTATATCTCAATTAAGCAATTATATCTGTCTATCATTTATCTGTAAACCAGATAAAATAAGACAGGCTAGGTATATAGAAAAATAGAACAGAACAAGGTAGGCAGAAACAGAATCTAGCAGATATAAAACTTGGCATGTAAGTAAAGAGCTGTAATACCTATGTAGCTGAAAATGGAACTGTTCTCTAAGGAAATAATTAAAATAATCTCTATGCTCTAGCATCCAGATAAATAAATTCCAGGTGAGTTATGACCCAGATGTGAAATAAAACCTTAAAACTGTTAGGAGAATATGTAAGCAAATAAAATGTCTTTATGTTTCTGGATTAAGTAATCCTTTTTTTTTAAAAAAAGCAGAAATTATAGAGAAAATAGTGATAAATTATAATACTTATGCATTTTAAAGCATTAGTTTAGATAATTAAAAATCAATAAAATGGTTAAAGACAACAGACTAGATATCACCAATGCTCAACTGTGTAAACTTGGGCAAATTATTTAATATCTGTATACCTAATTTTCCTCAGCTATAAAATGATATTAGTTACACATCTCATAAGGTATTTATGAAGATTGCATATTCGGAGCTGGACACAGTGGCTCACACCTGTAATACAGCACTTTGGGAGGCTGAGGTGGGAGACTTGCTTGAGGCCAAGAGTTCAAGACTAGCCTGCACAACATAGTGAGACTTTATCTCTACAAGAAATAGAACAAAATTAACCAGGTGTGGTGGTGCACACCTGTAGTCCCAGCTACTCGGGAGGCTGAGGTCGAAGAATCACTGGAGCCCTTGAGTTGGAGGCTGCGGTAAGCTACAGTTGTGTGACTGCACTCCAGCCTGTGTGACAGAGCAAGACTTTGTCTCTAAAAAACAAACAAACAAAATGCATATTCAACATGCATAAAGCCCTTAGAACCATACGCAGCACTGCTATGCACTGTTAAATGTTTGCTTTTACATGCTCAAAAAGAGGCCAGCATCCATGAATATAAAGATTTCCTACAAATCAATAACAGACATTCAGCCAGTCAAAAATTGGATTGCTATTCAAGATGGGAATTTAGAATGGGAATATAGAAATGCATCTGTACTAGTTTTAAGGAACATGCAAATTGAAATATAAACTGTTAATATTTTATACTCATCAAAGTGGCAAATGTATTGTCTGATAATGTCAAGTGTTGGCAACAGGGTAAGGGCCAGGAAATTTTCTTACCTGCTAGTGGGTGTATAGCATAATACAACTTGTTTGGAAAGAAATATGCCAGTATCTACTGAAGATAAAATTAGTATTACCCTATGTATCAGTTAGCTACTGCTGCATAACAAAGGACTCTAAAAGTCAATGCCTTAAGACAATAAGCGCCTATTACTGCTTATGAGCCTCTGCATCTTGTTAGCTGGAAATTTATTTTGGTCTTGGCTGGGCTCATTCATGTGTATGCATTGTTGATTTGGAGTGAGTTCTCTTAGGTAATTGGGGGTTGCTGGAGGTAATTTTGCCTAGGTTAGGGCCAATGGGTTCTTCTCTATGAGATCTTTTGTTGTGCAACCTGCTAGTCTGATTTTTCACAGGACAGTGGCAGAATTTCAAGAGAGTAAGAATAGGTACAGGGGATTTGAGTCCCAGTCTTGGAAACAGCACATCATTATATTTTTTCTTTTGAAAAAATGCAATCTTAAAGCCACTCAAGATTCAAGGGGTGAAAGTACAGACTCTCTATGTATGAGGAATAGTAAATTCATGGGGAGGATTGTAGAACTGGGAACCTTTTGCCTGTCAGTGGACTACACCCTGTAATTCAACAATTGTCTATCTAGTAGTTATGTGCCCTGGAACTGGGGTCTTCAAACTGGCAGATGTCTTTTCAAAATTTTTCAAAGTATGACTCTGCTGATGATTTTAAAGAAACTAATTTTCAGGTACTCAGCCCCCAGATGTTCTCCTTTCTAAGCCTTCCTGGTCACCAAAAGCTTCTTCCCACATCACAAAAGGATGACCTTCAGTAGGCATGACACTTTGTTACCAACCTTTTCTGCCAGGGTTTATAATACAAGAAATATCTTTTTGAATGCTGCTTTCTGGAAAGCCCCTTTGCTGAAGGCTCCATAAAATAAGCCTCCTATCTTATACATATTTCCATTAAGAGTGAAGTTTGGTCCTGTTCAGGTGTTCTGATTTCAGAAAAAGAAAAAAGAAGCCATAGGTCAGCTATGGCAGTTCTTTCAAATGCAGAAACTGAACTTTTCTGTTGCTAACCAATTTTTCAAGGTGCATATACATTGGGTGAAGCCCATCGGTAAATGATCCAATCCGAAAATCATCTGAAGGTCATCTTTCAAATTCATTGTGGTAGTGTTATTCAAGTGGAGGCTCAAATATATTTCAAGTGTATGCATGGAATATTTTCCCCAGCTAGAGTCTGTTCTCCAGGTGTATGGAGGAAAGAGGAGTTGTCCAGGTTGTGTACCTGTTCTTCTCATCTTTCTGGGGCTATTCATGTCCTTTCTGTGCCCTCAGCCTCCAACCCATGCTTCTGCTCAGAGCAGCCTGTTTTCTTTGCTCCCATAAATGTATTCCTGGCCCCAGATCTTCTGTGCATATTTAGAAGCCCTAACCCACTTCCTCACCAGCCACCCCTCTATCCCCAGACTCTCCTACCAGGAACAGCAGAGGATCCTAAATTCATGCATGCATTTTCCTGCCCCGTTGGAATGATCTGTGTGCATGTCTGTCTCTGATGTTCATCTCCTTCTTCAGTGTGGGTGTGTCATTACCTCTTTTAGCCAGGACTGCATGGCATTACCTGTCTTAGTCGGGACTGCATGTTAAAAGGGTCAACACATATTTGTAGAAGGAATTGGCTTCTGAGTGAATGAACCCATGTGTCATGGGCAGTCTGTGAGGACATACCAGTCACTTCCTTGCTGCCGAGAGCTGGGGATATTGCATTGGATTAGAAGATTAAGCCCATATTACTCTATGGCCAAGTGACAAAATAATCAATCACATCCACATCTGTGATAGCCAGGAAAACATTTCTTTCCGTGCCCCTCCCCCACCCCCCGCCGTATGCAACTTTCCCTGTGTGGAAATAATGTACTTAGCTTAAAAAGTCTCTTTCTCTACTTAACAAGACTAAGTTGAAAATTAACCTTGCCCACTTAAAAGAAAACGAATATGCAGTAAACTATGAACTACTAATACAGTTCAATATGATATCTCATGCAGAACAATAATGCTGAAGGTTCTTTTTGGTTCTATTATTTCCTTATATTCTTGCTTAGATAAGATCACATTTGTATCTATTGACTTTCTATGATGATTTAGATACATAAGTGGCAATAATTAATATATATTAAAAATACAGATTTAAATTGTTTTTCTGACTTGTAATGTTAACAGCAGTATATGTGACTGTGAGGTTTTCCTTTGATGTTAATTTTCACTTTGACAATAGTCTTCGTTTTCCAATTTTTTTTAATTTTTTTATTTTTATTTTTATTTTTTTTTGTGATAAGGTCTGGCTGTTTCACCCAGGCTGGAGTGCAGCAGGGCGATCTCAGCTCACTGCAACCTCCACCTCCCAGGCTCAAGTGATCCTGCCACCTCAGTCTCCCGAATAGCTGGGACTACAGGCATGCACCACCATGTCTGGCTAATTTTTTGTAATTTTCATACAGAAGAGGTTTCACCATGTTGGTCAGTCTGTTCCAGAACTCCTGACCTCCGCCCACCTCGACGTCCCAAAGTGTTGGGATTACAGGCATGAGCCACCGCGCCCATATCATTTTCCAAATTCTTTACAAAGTTTTTCTCTTACATTCATAACATAAAGTGCTATTTTAAATAGACTAACTTTTGAAAATAACATAGATAAAGCACTAAATGGGGACATCAGAGGAACAGGCTAAAAAAAAGCTGGAATATTCTTCAGGATTAGGGACATTGAGATTTTATTTATAAAATGATATTTAAATTTTAATAATAGAATTGTTGTACTTTTGCTTGGAGTATTTAAATCTTCTCTTTAATATTTAAAGCCAGTTCTGCACAGAGGTTTTACGGAGATGCTAATTGTTGTATGAAAAGGAATATTATTCTGGAATTTTGAGGAAGGGTAGACATAGAGAAGATAAAGGAAACTCACAGCCTACCTAGGTTTTATTTGGGCTGTGTGTGTGTGTGTGTGTGTGTGTGTGTGTGTGCGCCAGCCACAAGCTGGGTTTATTCTTGAATAAACTGTAGACAAATTGTTTTTCCTGAATCTTCTAAAACCTGCATTTACATAGTCCATGGTTGTGTCTAAACTAGATACTCAAGAGAACTTGGTTTGTTTTAAAGGCATTTAATTAGTTATATTTACATGGACAAATAGAGCAGCAGTTTATTAAAAAAGAATGAAAGGATAAACAAATTAAATATACGTAGAACAGGAAAGACAGCATCTAATTATGTTTCTGGGTCAGGCTCTGATATACAAGATTAATTTAAAATTGGGATTTGGCAAGTAATTTCTATCGAAATCTCAGCAGGAGTTTTTATTGCAACTAACAAGCTGATTTGGAAAGTTTCATGGAAAGGCAAAGGATCTAGAGCAATCAAAAAGACCTTGGAAAAGGGGAAGAAAGTTGGAGGGCTTCCATTTCTCTATTTTAAAAGGTACTATAAAGATATAGTAATCAAGATAGCAGGCAACTCACATGGGTATAAATTTAGACCAATGAAATATAATTAATTACAGTTGGCCCTTGAACAACGTGAAGGTTAGAACCCCTGCACAGTCGAAAATTCACTTAAAACTTTTTACCCCCCCAACACTTAACAACCAATAGTCTACTGTTGACTGGAAGCCTTACCAATAACATAAACAGCTAATTATCACATCTTTTGTATGTTATATATACAATGCACTGTATTCTCACAATAAACTAAGTTAGAGAAAAGAAAATACCATTAAGAAAATCATAAGGAAGAGAACATATATTTACCACTCATTAAATAGAAGTGGATCTTCTTAAAGATCTTCATCCTCATCTTCAGGTTGAATAGGCTGAGGAGGACGAGGGAGAGGAGAGGTTGGTCTTGCAGTCTCAGGGGTGGCAGAGGCAGAAGAAAATCCACATATAAGTGGATCTGCACAGTTCAGAACTGTGTTGTTCAAGCGTCAATTATAAGGGTTTAGAAATAAATCCTTCAATTTGTAGTCAATAGATTTTTAACAATGGTGCCAAAACAATTAAAGGAGGCAAGGATAGTCTTTTCAATAAATGGTGCTGAGACAATTGGATATTCATATGTAAAAAGATCAATTTCAACTCTTACCTCTTATTGTACCCAAAAATTAACTCGAACGACAGGTGGCAATATAAGAATTAAAGCTCTTAAACTTTTAGGAAACTTCAGCAACACAGGAGAAGGTCTTCAGGGCCATGGATTGGGAAAGATTTCATAAATATGACCTCAAAAGTACAATCCTTAAAAGAATTGATCAAGTGAAACTCATCAAAATTAAAAACTTTTACACTTCAAAAGGCACTATTGAGAACATAAAGTGCTATTTGTTGAGAAAACCAAAAGACAAGCCATAAACTGGGAGAGGAGATTTGCCAACCATATTCCCAATAAAAGACTTTTATTTAGAAAATATGTAAACAAACCACTTACTATTCAATAATAAGAAGGAAAGAAATTATTTTTTAATGGGCAAAAATAAATTAATAGACATTTCTGCAAAGACAGTGTACATGAGAAGATATTTAATATCATTAGTTACTAAACATTAGCTAAATGCAAATGAAAACTACAATGAGGCCAGGTGCAGTGGCTCATGCTTGTAATCCCAGCACTTTAGGAGGCCAAGATGAGTGGATCGCTTGAGGCAGGAGTTCAAGACCAACCTGGCCAACAGGGCAAGACCCATGTCTACTAAAAATACAAAAATTAAACAGGAATAGTGGTGCATGCCTGTAGTCCCAGCCACTTGAGAGGCTGAGGCACGAGAATTGCTTAAACCCAGGAGGTGGAGGTTGTCGTGAGCCGAGATCGTACCACTGCACTCTAGCCTGGGCAACAGAGCAAGACTTTGAAAAAAAAAAAAAAAAAACCTATGATGAGACACCATTTCACATCCATTAGTATGGTTATAACAAAAAAGGATATTAGCAAGTGTTGGCTAGGTATTAGAGAAATAGAGACCCTTTATACCACCGTTGGTGAGAATGCCAGGTATTGCAGCTGATTTGGAAAATAGTCTGTCAGTTTATTAAAACATTAAGCATAAATTTGCCTTATGAAACAGCAATTTCACCCCTAGGTATCTATGCAATAGAGATGAAAACATATATCCATGCAAAAAATAGTACACAAATGTTCATAGCAGCTTTATTAATAATAATCAACAAGTAGAAATAAACCAAATGTCACTCAACAAATAAATGGATTTAAAAGATGTGGTATACCCATACAATGGAAAATAATTTAGCCATAAAAAGGAATGAAGTATTGATGCATGCTACAGTATGAAAGGACATTGAAAACATATGCTAAGTAAAAGAAACCAGACACAAAATACCGCATATTATATGAGTTCATTTATATGAAATGCCTAGAGAAGGCAAATCTTATAAAGACAGAAAGTGGATCAGCAAGGCTATCACACCCACGCACCACCCAGGTCTGGTTTTAAAAGGTATTAAGCCCCCATGAAATGGACATTACTTGACTTTTGTTTGATATATGGAAACAGCATTATCAAGTCTTGGTTTCAAAATATGTTTAAGCTCTTCTGAGTTATGTAGAACAGAGGAGTGTTTTCCATTCACAAGTGTTGGAGATGACAGTATTTTCCCTTTGCCTTAATCCGCTTATCCTAGAACCCTATAGGAAGGCAAAGACTGTCTTGATTGATTGACGCAGTTAAAGTTATTGATAGTGGGATATGCACATATGGGCTGCATCTGTCTATGAGAAGGAAGCAATGGAGCCAATTAATTAATTCAAGCAAAATTAAATGTTCACACCTTTTAAATGTGGAAACTATAAAAACCAAAATGGTGCTCTGTGCACTAAGAGCATAAGCTAGTTTTTTGCTATCCTTAAGGGCCTCTTCCTGCATTTTGCCTATATTAAAATTCCTATGCAGATCTTATTGAGGTGATCAAGGTAGATGACTTCGATTTTTATTTTCTTCAACAAATTCACGTACCAATAACTTTCAAATGATATTTAGTAACTATTTTAAACACAGAGGACATGATCTTCAAACGATATTTAATAGCTATTTTACACACAGAGGGCATAACTTTCAAATGATATTTAATAACTATTTTAAACACATAGGACATGGTCTATAATGTTTTGTCCTGACTTAAATATTTATTGCATGTAGTAGATTTTAATAGAAGAAAACAAGAGTGAATAGTGGGTAGTGCTTCTCTAAACACAGAGTAGAGGTAAATCTTAGTGATTTAAATTAGTCACAATTCTGACTTTTTGAGATTGCATGTTTATAAGTTTTTAATGCATGAAATTAATGTCAATTATATAATATTTTGAATAAAGTCCTTCCATGTTTACTGTGTTTTTGCTTGCCTTATGAAAATTTCTAACCATAATGTGTCAGTAACATTTCAAAAATTTATTTAAATTACAACATGTTAACATCAGAGGACCATTGAATACGCCATAAGCATTTCTTTAAAGAATGTGGGAAATGTCTTTTCTAATAATTTAATTTTTTCTTTTTTTAAAACAACTCACGTTAGCATTTTTTTTTTTGCAGTAGCATCATTTTAACCCCCAACTGCATATTCACAGGATATCTAATATTTTTTGCAAGTAACATTTTGAATTTGTTCTTCTTGACATCTTTATGTTTATATGCATTTTGCATTTCCCTATCTCATTTTTTTGAAATCCAAATGTAACAAATTTCAACTTTTTGTGTTACATTCTTTTCTTTTTTTCTTTTTCTGGGTAGCATCTCTCTCTTTTCTGAATTTTTTGAAAACCTGTTGTTTTTGAATTCTCTTTTTTCCCTTTATTTTCCTTCTCAATATGACCCCAGGAGCCAACACAAAGAAAAACGCAGATGATATAACGAGTAATGACCGTGGTGAAGACGAAGGTATTTTTTGTTTTTTCAAAGCTCAACCCCAGTGCATGATTTTATATCTATCTATCTCTCTTTTTTTTTTTCATTTCAATCTGTTTTTTCTCCCCTTATTTAAAACTAGTACACTTTGGTGTGCTTCCTTAATTATTTTCTTCTTGTATAGAAACCACTGTCATTTTTTAATCCCAGTTACCATGTACAGGAAACAAATCACTGTGAGAAGTATAAACATTGTTTCTAAACATGAAAAGAGTAATGAACTACTGTTTACAGAGAAGCCCTTTTTTTTTTTTTTTTGGCTTGGTCGCAAGAAGAGAAAATGGAATTTTAAAACATGCATGTATAGTCTATTTTCTCCCTTCCAAATGTTATTTTGTAAGTTAATATACTACTTTGGAGCTTTGGTCTTCTTAATTATTTTTATGAACTACAAAACTGTACAGCACCTTAGAAGAATTTTTTTTGGGGGGGGGGGGGCTGAAATATCAGTTTTTTTTTTCTTCACAAACATATTGATTCCAACATAGATTTCTGATAATCTGCTCACAGTGAAGTACACCAAAAAGTGTTTTAATGAGATGCTGTTGTTAACGAGCCCTGATGCATTCAGGACTGCCTTTTACAGCATTTAAGGGGGGGTGGGGAAGATAAGAGTATCTCAGAACTGAAAAAGGACAAAAAGCTAGCTATGTTCATCTTTCTTTTCACACCACGGCTTTTTTGAAAACGTTTTTCTCCTTAAAATGTTTTGTTGCTGTGAAGTTTCTTCTTAAGGCTACCAAATTGCTCAACACATTGTCTACCAGAAGTGAAAGGATTTTTTTTTAAAAGATGGTAGGTCTGAGGTACTCATGCAGACAACTCGCATGCTGTTTTTCTGCCCTTTCTGCACAAGAAATGATTTTTTTTTTTTTTAAAGAGGAGAAGCAACAAAAAAAGTACTCAAGCAAGCCCTTCTTCATTGGTAAGGCTCTATAGGATTAGCTAAAAGCACATTTTTCCCATCTGGGTAGCAAAATGCATGGAACTCCATTAAGGTCCTGGCTGGACCTTTGGGTCTCTGTCTGAAAGGCAATTTAAAGCCCAAAAGTGAGTCCTGAATTATCCTTGCTGGTCAAGCCCAACGTCCATGACAGGGTCTTTTGACCAATTCTTGTAGTTGCTCCCCTCCTTGCTTATCTTCATAAATCAACTGTTCTCCAAGAAAAGAAATCTTGCCAACACCCTTGCTGTGCCCAGTCTTCCCTTAACATTTTGAGTATTGTTACTTTTACTGAGCTCATAGAGCTGTCACTGTCTCAAGTAGCTCTCTGAGAGATCTCCATTCTGATGGCCATAGGAGATCAAAATCTACACCTGCTTCAGGTAGCCCCTTCTTTGATAAGGGCTTCTGAATGCCTGACATTTTATCAGTATTGAGCAAATACATAAAAATGAAATAAACTTTTGTCTCATATCTTATACTGCTCTAATTTGTATCCTGTTTGGCCTTCTCTTTTTAATACATTTCCTCTCGATAATTAGAATCTGTTTTCACAGTGTTCCCAGTGAATCTTTATTACCATTAAAATGCCATCTAATTTTCATTTCATATTGTTAAGTTATGATTTTTTGACTTTGCATTAATATAACAGCTGGTTATTACTTCCACAAGTTCAAGAGAGTCTTGTTCTATATTTTATGAAAGGTAAGAGATGTTAATCTCACATATTTTCCAAGGGAGCACTTTAAAGCAGCCCTTCAAAATCTCTACTTACTCTTTTTTCCACAATTTACTAGGCAACCGCTGGTAATGGTAAAAGAAATGAGGCCAAAAACAGCAAATTAGGAACCAGAAAGAAGCAGTGGATCATGAGAAAAGCCATTTCTTATTCATATAGCAGAAGACATTTCCCGTAGTGTATGATGAATAAATGATTAATAGAAGATTTTTACTTCATATTTGAATTTTATATGAGAAAACAAAAGACACTTTTCTGCCGTGGATTAAATATCTGCAAATAAATACTTGGGTAACTTGACACTCTTTTGTGTGCTTTACTGTGACCAATGGGTATGTCGTGTCTTCTGTATGCACCCAGTAAAATTGTGATCATAATTCATTCAAATTGGAGCCACCATCCAAACGATGGTAATTCATATCCTCAGAATTCCTTTGTGGTATTTCAAAAGTGTCCCTGTGGATTATGAGGAAAAAAAAACTTTATTGATGAAGAAATTGAAAATAAATATGCATAAATACTTGAGTTTTCTTTTAGTTACAAAGATATTTAAATTGTACACACACACACACACACACACACACACATATCTGTATCCAGAAATATTTATACGTGAGGTCAGTCTTCCAAAGATTAAATGCAGCCCTAATGGCTGATTAATGTTATAAAACAGGTCTTTTTCACAAAGCAGGCCCTACAGATGGTCTCCAACTTTCTATCATCACAGATCATTGTTTTTACATCATTGTTAATTTAAATAATAAAGTAAATTACCAAGAGGAATCATTGGTTGCAAGTCACAATGGGAGTTTATATTCCCTGTGAAAATATAAAGCATTTAAATAGTTTGGATTCTTTTGCCATTTTTTATTACATCTCTTTTATTTTTGTCACCTAAGTATGTTAGTATGTTACTGTAATCACTGGAACAAAGACATTTGCTTGGACATCTTTTCTTTTTTTTCCCTATTTCTGTTCAGTTAATAATTTTTAACTGTTGATTTTGCTTTCTTGTCATTATCTGTCCCTTATTGATAGTTTATAGCTTCACTACTACTTTTATGTTTTTATTGTTAAATTGAAGATGAATCTGTACACTCACCTGCGAATTAAGATGCAACTATATTAAAATTAATTATAATTTTGAAGTTGATTTTATACTTAATTAGAAGATAAAATATATTTCATCAAGGGTCCCATGTGTTTATTCAATTTAAATCACATTTTAGGGTTTGAGCAAAATTTAGGAAATGTGTACTTTACCTAAAACCATTTCTTTTAGTGCTTTAGATATATATAGAAGCTTAGATGAGCAGAGTACGCTAAATGTCTGTATGCTTCTTAAAATACCATTTCCATAAATAGAAAACGTAATAGCATTGATCATTTTCCTTAGACACTCTTATCAAGGGTCATATCATCCATAAAAATAAATGTGCTTAATTCAAGTCAAAATAGGGAAATCAGTGAATCTCCTTTTTTCTTAATTTAGCATTGGTGAGTCAGTGTGATTCTTTATTGTGTTTCCTTACTTGGCTTTTTTTTCCAGATATTCATGATCAGAACAGTAAGAAGCCCGTCATGGTCTATATCCATGGGGGATCTTACATGGAGGGCACCGGCAACATGATTGACGGCAGCATTTTGGCAAGCTACGGAAACGTCATCGTGATCACCATTAACTACCGTCTGGGAATACTAGGTAAGTGATTTCATCATGTGAATGACTGAGCAAGAGGAAACATGAAAAGTCCACTTCTCGTTTTGACGGGGCTCGTGGATTTGAATCCTGTTATTCCAGTTCCTGGTTAATTCCACTTCACGGTATTTACTTTATGTGATTGGATATGTTTATTCCTTTTACTACCTTTGTGCAACATGGTCATGAATCCCTTCTCAAACCAATGCAGACTTTAAGATCTTAAAGATGAAATGAAATTTTATTTATAGCATGTTTCTCCCTTGGAGTTCAATGAATGTATGTTTGTCTACATAGACCTGTACAATGAACACATATTTGGTGATATTATAGTTGGGAATGGCCATAGATCTTAGCTTTCTTTTCTGATTGTGTCATTGTATGAATCAGTATATTGTGTGGAGGAAAAGATTTTATCCAATTCTCTAACTGATTATGTTGAGCCTTTGGAAGATCTGTTGTTTTGGTTCCATTGCATTTGCATGCAGGGAAACTTAGCTGTTAGTTGACTTTTGTCCATTGATGATCTACGATTAAAGGCTAAATACATGGAAATTCAAGTTTAGTTCCTCCTTGTTTTGATGTTTCATTTCTTTTCTTTCTTTCTTTTTTTTTTTTTTCTTTGAGATGGAATCTCACTCTGTCGCCCAGGCTGGAGTGCAGTGGTGCGATCTTGGCTCACTACAACCTCTGCCTCCCGGGTTCAAGTGATTCTTCTGCCTCAGCCTCCCAAGTAGCTGGGACTACAGGCGCATGCCACCACACTCAGCTAATTTTTGTGTTTTTAATAGAGACAGGGTTTCACCATATTGACCAGGCTGGTCTCGAACTCCTGACCTCGTGATCCGCCTGCCTCGGCCTTCCAAAGTGCTGGGATTACAGGTGTGAGCCACTACGCCCGGCCATCATTCATCTTCTTCTAATTGTAGGTTGGAAAATTATACATCTTCAGAGTCAGATTTCAGTACCTTCTGAGATGGCCTTTCCTGGTGTTGGTTAGTTTGTGAATAATATTCCTAAGACCTATGTAAAAACATTTGTTTTCCAGGCAAAAATGCATTAAAATGGTATAGAAGATAAAGTTTTTAACAAGTTAGCCATGAGAGAGATGTGTATATTGGTTCCAGTGTGATTATGATACAATATGAAATACAAAACAAAATGAAGGCCAGGTGTGGTGGCTCTCGCCTATAATCCCAGCACTTTGGGAGGCCCAGGCAGGCAGATCACTTGAGGTCAGGAATTAGAAAACAGCCTGACCAAAGTGGTGAAACCCTGTCTCTACTAAAAATACAAAAATTAACTGGGCCTGATGGCAGGCGCCTGTAATCCCAGCTACTCAGGAGGCTGAGGCGGGAGAATCTCTGGAACCCAGTAGGTCGAGGTTGCAATGAGCAGAGATAGCGCCATTGCACTCCAGCCTGGGTGACCGAGTGAGACTTTTCTCAAAAAAAAAAAAATAATAATAATACTAGTAATAAATTAATTAAAATAAAAAGCAAAATAAGATGGACTAAAGGAGGTCTGTCAAACAAGAAATATGACTGAAAATGTTTTCTTCAAATATGGCCAAGAATATTTTCTTTTCAATCAGATGACTTCATTTCATTTTGAGTGGGTTTTTTTTTTTCCTATGTGAAAACATTAACCTGTAAGAAGCCCTAAAAGGTGGTGAATTGCTGAGAAACCCTAAGAGGTGTTGTAAGAAACCCTAAGAGAAATGCATTTCTTACTTTGAAATGCAAATCAGTCACAGGTGTTGCTAAAGTTGTATCTTTTGAAACATTGATAAAGAACTCAAAATTCCAGGTTGGTTTCTGCATTAAAGAAAATAAACACCACCAAAAAACCTTTTAGTGTCAAAAAACTTATTATGTCGTTGGCTTTATTTCCTATATTTTTTGTAGTTTTCTGTGAGCCACATCTTGGCGGAATAATGTCTCTGAACTTTTGCATAGCAGTAATTGCACGCTTCACTGAATAGTTTTCAGAGGCGCTGGATAGTTGCTTTGGCTACTAGTGTTGGAAACAGGAAATTGTGCTTCTTGATGTTTTACAAAAGGTTCATTCTGACAAAGAGGTGGAAGGAGGAAAGTATGTGTGAGGGCATTGCACAGGCCCTCTTCAAAGGGAGCAGTGTGTGCACTGCCTGTAGCACGGCCACACGGAAGAAAGCTTGGGCATGCTTTTCTGAGGGAAGCAGTGGGCATCAAGAAAATTCTTGCTTTGCTGGAACCACACAATATTCTGTTGCATGCGTGATGAATTGATGTGTCTGATAAGATAGAGTTTCAAAATAAATTGATCTCCTTTTCCCCCTAAAGCTCAGTTGTATCAAGCAACTCTACACTATGATTTTTTTTTTATCAGTTTTGTCCCTTCGTGAATCAATTGCACATCTTGCAAATTAGCCTGGAAAGTATACACACTTTTTTTAGAGGAAAAAAAAACTAATTGAAAAATTGTTAAGTCTACTTTTTGTTATGGAGAGTTTTTAAAAGTCATAAGATAACAGAGAGCTGTAAAATTGGTGGGGAAGAAATAAAAGAAGCGATTTAGCATCTCTATGCCGGTCTATTTACATTCCTCCAATGAGCTAGTGTGGAACAGCCAAGCACACTACAGACCCCCTTTCATTTGATGGAATGAAATGTGCCAAGTTTGCCGATTTTACAGGACGATAGAGACTTTAAAATGTGACTGCGTTGGTTTTTATCATGGATCTTGCATTTACTATTGTCCTCTTGAAAACAGCTAGGCGGCATTTACTTTTTGCTTGCAGGAAACTCCTATTATCGGTCTTGAAAAAATGTTTTTAAACCTTTGGCATCCAGATATTTAAAAAGATGATCAAATAAAATACACAGCAGGCACTGCAATGATCATTTCAGTGAGTGCATTTCATACAAGTAGATACAATTTTAGGCAAAAAGTTGAAATATTCTTTGAGTTCTTTTTCTTCCAGTAAAAGTCATAAATGCATAAATGTTATCTTCCTACCTGAGGAATGGAAAAATATTGTTTTAAGATTTTTTTTTTTTAATGGAGTAACAAATGCTATTCTCTGTTACCCAAAAGAGAGGATTAAAAAGATGAAACATGCCCATAATGGAAGCGGAATGCTGGCATTGGAAAGAATGTAGATCGCAGCCAGAGACAGACAGGAGCTAACAACTTTCCTCTACCTCTGCCTTGAGAAAGTCAGCTAGCGTTTCCTCAGACTCTTTCCTTAGATGTAGAAGGCAGTGGTCTCTCCCTTGCAAGGTTGTTGTACAGTATAAAAGTTCCATGGTTCAAAATACCACACTTTACCTCATTAATATATAATCTGCTTGTCAATAAAAAAATAACTTTTTTCTTTTCTTTTTTTTTTTTTTTGAGATGGAGTCTCGCTTTTATTGCCCAGGCTGGAGGGCAGTGGCATGATCTCGGCTCACTGCAACCTCTGCCTCCCGGGTCCAAGCGCTTCTCCTGCCTCAGCCTCCGCAGTAGCTGGGATTACAGGCGCCTGCCACCACGCCCCGCTAATTTTTGTATTTTTAGTAGAGACGGGGTTTTGCCATTTTGGCCAGGCTGGTCTCAAACTCCTGACCTCAGGAGATCCACCTGCCTTGGCCTCCCAAAGTGCTGGGATTATCAGCATGAGCTACTGTGCCTGGCCAAAAAATAACCTTTTAAAAAAGATTTAATGGACTCATGTAGATGAAGTTTCATAGGCTCTCAGCAGCAACCATTATACCCAGTCACACTACAATTTCTAGTGTTATTAATACCATTATGCATTGTATTAATACTACTGTTTATCCACAGTAAGAATTGTAGCTGACCCAACCTGTAATGGCTAACTAATATCTATCAAATATTGGCATCCAGACTGAACCATGTTAATTTAAAATAACATTACAAGACACTTGTAGACATTAAATAAATCAGAAGATCATCATGTTTGCTATTTTTTAAAAAATAATCAGAACTGTGCTACACAATCTTGCTAGCCATTGGCCATATAATTTATGATCCAATCCAGGACATGTTTGAGAGTTGCTCATGTGCTATGAATAAACTGGGATTGTCCCAGGCAAATTGAGATGTATCATTATAGCTATAAAGTAATTATTTATATCTACATGAAGTGTCTTCTGATTGAATTGGTGTTCAGTTTGTTTTTAAAGAAGCTGCACTTCTATAAACAGATTTCCTATGTGTTCTGCTATACACCCTTGTCACTAGGAAGGTGTATATGTTACCAGAAAGGGATCCTAATCCAGACCCTAAGAGAGGGTTCTTGATTCTCGTGCAAGAAGGAATTGGAGGCAAATCCGTAAAGTGAAAGTAAGTTTATTAGGAAAGTAAAGGAATAAAGAATGACTGCTCCATAAGCAGAGCAGCCCGAGGGCTGCTAGTTGGCTATTTTTATGATTATTTCTTGATTATATGCTAAGCAAGGGGTTGGTTATTCATGAGATTTCCGGGAAAGGGGTGGCAATTATTGGAACTAAGGGTTCCTCCCCTTTTTAGACCATATAGGGTAACTTCCTGACATTGTCATGGCATTTGTAAGCTGTCATGGTGCTTGTGGAAGGGTCTTTTAGCATGCTAATGCATTGTAATTAGTGTATAATTAGCGTATAATGAGTAGTGAGGATGACCAGACATCACTCTAGTTGCCATCTTGGTTTTGGTGGGTTTCGGCTGTTTTTTTTTACTGCATCCTTTTATCAGCAAGGTCTTTGTGGCCTGTATCTTGTGCTGACCTCCTGTCTCATCCTGTGGCTAAGAATGCCTAACTTCTTGGGAATGCAGCCCAGTAGGTCCCAGCCTTACGTTACCCAGCCCTTATTCAAGATGGAGGTGCTCTGGTTCAAACGTCTCTGACATATATATTCAAGAATTTGGAAAACCTCAAGTTCACCAATGCCTCTCAGATTAGTCATTGCCAGGGTGTGTGGTGTTCCTATCTGCTCAGAAGCCAGAAGCCAGCAAAATCCTTGCTGAGCTGTACGTGCCAGGGCATTTGCCTGGTCTCACCTACCCACTTGAGTACCTATGCCCTATCACCCATTCACCTCACAACATCCATACGTATCATTTACCCCTAAGAAGATTAGACATTAATCCAGGTAATAAACTTTCAGAACAATCACCTCCAGACAGAAACTGCAGAGGATAATCTGATAAATCTGAATCCCTGTAAGGCCATTACTGAATCAATAAATACTCTTTTCTCCATCTTAGTTCCTTACTTTAGTATAACTTGAGTTCTCCCCAATCTGTTTTTTTTTTGTTGTTGTTGTTCATGATAGTCCAAAGACCTTCGATGTAAAAGAGAATGCATCTTGCTCATGCTTTTTGATGGAAATACCTGGAACTTATTTATTCCTTCCCCTTTCCAGTTGTCTCCAAGTGCAAGTCTGTCTGTACCTGCAGTGGATTTCATCTACCTCCATTTAAATATGTATTTCCGTTTAGCTCACATGGTACTATCACCTTTTTGGTGATCCTATGACTTCATGCTTCATGTATGCTGAAATTAATTGTTGCTTCAAAAGAGTCCCAACTATGTAACATCAACTCATTGTGTGCCTCTATGTGGCTGGCAGATATTACTTCATTTAATCTTCGTAAACTCCCTTGGAAGAGTTAACCTTATGTCCTACCTATGAGGAGATGAATGCTTTGAGGTAATGGGATTTACTCATGGCATCACACCTTCTAGCAGTCAGAGCAGGGACTGAAACCCGGGTGTAACTGAAGCCAGAGCTCTGACTTACCACTCAGAACTCATCCACAGCCTTCTTAATTAATGTCAAGTATGAATTAGTAAACCATGGAATGAGTGAAGAAATTGAGTATCACTTTAGCATCAGATGTAGCTTTTATCATTATGCAAAAAAGTTCTTACTGCTGATCAAGATACACAATTGTGATAAGATGCTTACAGTGTATTTTTAAGTTCCTCAAAGTGGGTCCTTGAAGGCTGATTCATTTCCATTCAATCGATACTGGTTTGCTTTGGTTCACGGTGATGGTGGCATTAACCACAACAATGGCATTTGTCACATCAAAGCTCTTCGGTGCAGTAGAACTAGTGTTTCATCAGGAAATTTGGTGTCCTACCCCCAGTTCCCATGTCATTGCTGGCTTGCTGTGTCGTGTGCATAAATTGAGTCAAATGATCATTTCGGTGCATTTCTTACAATCTTTCACATATTATAGCTATCCTGAAAATTTTCATCTGAGGGTAGATTGCGTCATGGTCTTCTGAAGTTGTCTTTCTCTTTAAGACCATTCATTGAATAAACCTATTAGACGCTTTGGAGTCATAATTGAATATAAGACAGAAATGGTTTGATATAAAAGCAACCAACATGCATAGCAGAAACAGCATTTGTAGTCATAATTTGGGTGACTTAACCCATATGCACGTGCTCAGCCTAATAATGTGGTCACTTTCCCTGTTCTGGTGTCCCTTGTAGGGTTTTCCTCTGAAATTGAGGGAGGGTGGGCTGAGCTCTGAAGCATTCTTGCAACATCGGCCAGAGTGGTCTCACCTTTATGCTTTTGTGATATGTGTGAGCCATGTAATATTCCACTCAACAAAAGAAGCCTGGAAATCATTAGAAGAGAGGACCAATACGTTCTTCCCAAGAGTTACAGCCTCAATTCCATGGGTGTGCATTTATGTGACATGCATCTGACATTAGTGGGAGTTCAATGGGTCACTATAATTTCCCTGAAGCACACCTGCTGAAAAATGTCAAGCTATCTTATAAATGACCTGTATGTTCTTCTCCCCTTTGGAAGTTAGAGGAGTTGCTCTATTTTTGGTACATTTGCTATTTTATTTCTTTTTTTCTAACAATATTTCTTTTCTTTAATGCTTTATGAAGGATTTTATTTGAAATGATAAATGGAACACATCTTATGTATCAAGTCAAAAGTTCATAAGCGTATATATTAAAAAAGAAAGCATCATTTCCTTTTTCGAGAATCAACACACCTTGATGCCAGTCTCCTGGTTTCATTAGAATCCCTCTCTTCTCTTCCTCTAACCAAAATGTCTCAGATTCCCCCGATTTGATTTCTGTAAATGGCCTACTTTGACTGGAAGAATTGCCTCTCTCTGTCTAAAACAGGACCCAGGCGTTACTAAAACAAAACACTGCAAAAAGTTAAATGAGGAGAAAGGAAAGTTAAGCATTGTACTTAGTGAGAAATACATAAACAAAAGTAGAGACGTAAAAGAAGCATGAGAGAAGGGTGAGAAAGTGAAATCCTGAGACAAGATGAATGGTGTGTGAGCACTCAAACCCAGGAAGTAGCAAAAGGTGGAAGGAAGAATGGGAGCCTTTAGAATAAGATTCTTTGTGGGCTGGGTGGCAGATGTTATCGGTAAAGCCAGCCTGGGGAGTTGGCAGGGGTCCATGCAGTAGATAACACAGCAATAGAGTGAACACATTGCAGAAGATAGGGCAACCTCTAATCCAGAAATTATCAGATAAAGAAAAACCAAGACACTTTGCAAAACAAAAAAAAAAACAAACAAAAAAACACAACACAATGTCTTGTTTTTCATCATCATCTTCTTTATAATGAGGTTTCCATGCATTGAATACACACTTGGAAACACTGTAATCCCATGGTTGTTGTGGCTGCAGATTGATAGGTGTGGACAGGTCTTTGGTGGGGCAAACAAAACCAGGATCATGTTTTTTGCTCTCAGAATGATCGTTTGCTTGGACTTTCCTCTTCTGCCTCCTAGTGGCTCAAAATGCCCACTGCATTCATTGGATTTATTCAGGATGTGAAGAAGGTCAGGGGAAATTAAGGATGAGTGCTTTGTCATTAGGACCTGAGAGGCAAATGGAGCAGAGATGGGGACGACTGCAGTGGGATAAGGACTCTCTCACCAGGAAGGTGCCATTGATGTAATAGTTGATGGGAACAGCAGAGCAAAGAGGCTCCCTCGTCCTCAGCTGACTCAACAACAAGCGAGACATCAGATGGAACGGTATTTATTGGGCAAGGAAAATCAGGGGAAGGCTAGGTGCAGTGGCTCTCACCTGTAATCCCAGCACTGTGGGAGGCCAAGGTGGGAGGATTCCTTGAGGCCAGGAGTTCCAGATCAGCCTGGACAACCTAGTGAGACCCTGTCTCAGAAAGAAAGAAAGAAAGAGAGAGGGAGAGGGGGAGAGAGAGAGAGAGGGAGGGAGGGAGGGAGGGAGGGAGGGAGGGAGAGAGAGAGAGAGAGAGAGAGAGAGAGAGAGAGAGAGAGAGAGAAAAGAAGGAAGGAAAAAGAAAAAATTAGCCAGATGTGGTGATGTATGCCTGGTGTCTCAGCTACTTGAAAAGCTGAGGCAGGAGGATTGCTTGAGCCTAGGAGTTCGAGGCTGCAGTGTGCTGTGATTGCACTCCAGTCTCAGCAACAGAGTGAAATCCTGTCTCAAATTTTTAAAAAAGACTCAAAAGAAAATCAAGGGAGGGAGTGGAGACAAGGTAGAAAAGAATTTTTTTTATTTTGTGCTTTTTTCCCTAATGTATTCATTTAATCATCAAATAAAAATTGAATATATTGATCATGTACAAAGTGATGTTTTGAAATATGTATCCATTGAGAAATGGCTAAATCGAGCTAATTCACAAGTGCATTACTTCAAATGCTTATTTTTCTGGTGCAAACACTTAAAATCTACTTTCTTAGAGATGTTCAAATATTCAATTCCTTGTGATTCAACTTTGTTTGCCATATTGAACAGATCTTTTGAACTTTTTCCTGCCAACTGAAACTTTGTAACCTTTGGCCAACATCTCCCGTTTCCTCTCCACCTCCAGCTTCAAGTTCTGTAAGAGAACATTCTACTCTCTGCTTCTGTAAGCTTGACTTTTTTTTAGATTCCACATATAAGTAAGAACATGTGATATTTGTCTTTCTGTGTCTGGCTTGTATCACTTAACATAATGTCCTCTGGTTCATCCATGTAGTCCCAAATGACACAACTTCTTTCCTTTTTTTTGAGGTAGAATAATAGTCCCTTGTGTGTATAAACCCCATTTTCTTTATTCATTCATCTAATGATGGACATTCAGGTTGATTCCATATTTCAGCTGTTGTGATTAGTGCTGCAATGAACATGGGAGTGCAGATTTCTCTTCAAAGACTTCTTTTTTCCAATCCCAAATACACAAAATTATCATCTGGCATCTGTCATGCTATGGAGACTCTCCTTGATCTATTTATAAACGATTCAGGATTTCTTTAAAGAAGCTGAAATTTTATTTTTACATGCATAACCATATTTAGAAATCAAAATATTCAAACAGAAATCACAGAAGAATCTATTCCATCAATATATAATTCCCAGTTAATTGATTATATAATGTCATTTAAGCATGAGTTAGTAGTCACAGAGAATATGCCTTAAAAATGTTCTGTCTTTGAAAGTTTTACATTCAAAACAGTCTCTTAAGATTATTAATTCTAAAAGACACCATCCCTTTCTCTCTTCAGCCTGTTTTCTTCATTTTGCTTCTCATCCAGTATGTGAAAGGTTGATGATTTTTAGTTGATGAGGTTGACGTGCCCTCTTTCTCCTTGGGGACAGAAGGACATAAGTTGTGCTTTAAATGAAAATAAGAGTATGATGAGTATCCCAAGGGATGATGGAAAGTTCCAGGGAGAAGCATTGAAATTGAGAGCCAAATTCAAGTACATTGGAATTAGGGTTCTGGTGATAATTCTGTCAGTATCTACATATATTCAAGGAAATTAGTCCTTTCGAGTAGGATAATGGAAAAATCTCTAAAAGGCAATCTGAGCGGGATGTTTAAAGACTACGTGATTATTATGCAGTGCATGCCTGTACCAAAACATCTCAAGTACCCCACAAATGTATACACTTACTATGTACCCATAAAGTTTAAAAAAATGTAAGACTACTACACATATTCTGGCCTGCAGCTTTTTTTCCCCTGACATTTGCCTACCCGCCTGTAATAGCACAGGCAATTCTACAAGAAGCATGAATATGCACATATGTACATGCATGACAGCAGTGATACAAAGACAGATGTGTTGTGTTCTAGTATAATTGTCTTATTTTTGTCCATTCCAACGTTAATAAGTCATTAGCTTTATGGAAATGAACCCTAGGGGATGAAACATACAGGTGCAAAGTAAATTTCCTAGGGACTAAATTATAACCAAATTATGGCAGGTACACCCTGCATTTAGCGATATAAATATATGTTTCAAATAAAATTGTAACATATTGATTGGCACGTCCAGCCATATTCTTAAGATACTTTATCCTTGGACTAAAAATAATAATAATCGCTTTTTTGAATGAAGTGTTTAATTTTCAGTGTAAAAAGTCAGGAATATTTTAGAATGCTCAACGCAACATTGCTTCAATGAGCTAGGGCCTTTATGAAGATAAGTCACTAGAAAGTCTGTGTTGATTCGGTTAATTATTTGAGATTGTATGCACTGATTTTCACTGTGTTAAGTATAGTGGCATTTATTAGAGGCTCAGATGTTATAGAGAGAAGGCTGTGTCCAGTTATAGGGCTGTAGTCATAAACAGATGGGTAAAATCAACACATCATTGTAAATCATAAACAGGCAGGTATGATAAACACATAATGATAAGCATTTCAGCACTGGGTGCAGTGTTGCATGCCTGTAGTCTCAGCTACTCGCGAGGCTGACGATCTTTGGAGCTTAGGAGTTCAAGAGCAGCCTGGGCAACATAGTGAGAACCCATCTTTAAACATTAAAAAGAACAACAAAAAAACATCATTTCAGTGTAGACAGGCATAACATGATCTCACAGAGAAACACTACGATTTGTACACAAGAAAACTAAGCTTTGCACTGGTGTTGGGAGAACATTTTGGAATGATAAACTATTTCCTGTTTGTTTTAAGAAATATTTGGTAAGGTTTAAAGTAGTGTCTGCCTCTTTACTAAAATATTCCAGTATCTGTTTAGATGTCCCAGTTGGTCTTAGATACTTGGTGGTAAACATATATATACACATATATAGCGCATATATGTGTATATATGTGGGTGTGGGTGCATATGGGTGTGTATAATCTATGTGTGTATACATACATATATGTGTACATACATACATATGTGTGTATACATATACATGTATCAGTTGTTTGCCCTTGTGATGCACACACAGATCTATATGTGTGTATATATATGTGTCTATATATGTATACATGCTAATGTGTATGTATACATATATAAAATATGTTCCTTGATTCACAGTGGGATTATATCCCAATAAACCCGTTGTAAATGTAAGATGTCATTAGTTGAAAATGCATCAATACATCTAACCTACCAAACATCATAGCTTAGCTTGGCTGACATTGAACATACTTATAACACTTACATTAGCCTACAGTTGGGTGACATCATCTAACACAAATCCTATTTTATAAATAAAGTGTTGAATGTTTCATGTACACTGCAGAGTAGCAGTTGTTTGCCCTTGTGATTGTGTGGCTGACTGGGAGCTACAGACCGCTGCCTGGCATCCAAAGAGACTATGGTACTGCATATTGCTAGCTTGGGAATATATCAAAATTCAAAATATGATTTCTACTGACTGAATATCATTTTTGTATCATCTTAAGATCAAAAATCATAAATCAAACCATTGTAAGTCCGGGAATGTCTGTGTAATAATTTGGCTATAGTCTTAAACAGGTGGGTAGAATAAACACATTATTATAAATCCATCCTGTGCTTTTGAACACATGGAGGCTACCCCACCAAAATGCCTGTGTTCAATATATTGCGAACCTCTAGGTATCTTTTTCCTTCATTGCTGTTTAATTTTTCCTTCTAAGCATGAACTTACAAGATTACTTAGGAATAGCATTCATCCTTCTTCATTCCTCTTTGTTTAAAACATGCTTAGCATTTCTCATCTTGAAAGAAATGAGTAGCTTTCTTCTTTTCAATCATATTTCATCAGAACTATTCTCTTGAGGGCCACAGAAATGTCATAAGCATTTTCTCTGGCACTTCTGATACTTTTAATGGCTTTTGATACATCTTCATGTTTCTTAATCTTCTTGTGATCCTTACCATGTAAGTGACCCGTTGAGCTTATCTCCAACTCCTATTTTTCATTGTCTCCTTCCTTTATTTGAAACAACTTACATCCAGCGTGCACGTTTGAAGTGTGCAATTCAATGGCCTTTAGTATATGCACAACATTGTGACACCAGCAACACCATCTAATTTTTGAACATTGACGTCATTCCAAAGAGAAATCCCATACCTCTTCTCTCCCAGGTCCCCAGGAGATAGGCTTCCACTAACTATCTACCTGTCTATATAGATTTGCCTTTTGGGGGCATTTCATGTAAATTAAATCATATAATACATGCTTTTTTGTGTGTCTGACTTCATTCCCTTAATGTTTTTGAGGCTCATCCATGTTGTAGCATGCATCTCTACTCTTTTATTTTTTATGGTTCGGTAATATTTCATTTTATGGATATACCACACTTTGTTTATCCATCCATCTGTTGCTAGACATTGGGATCATTTCCAGTTTCTGGCTGTTCTCAATAATTGTGCCATGAACGTTCATGTGCAAGTTTTTGTATGGACATATATTTCATTTTTCTTGATTGGGGATATAGGAGCCGAATCGATAGGTCATATCATGAACTCTGTGTTTAAATATTTGAGAATCTTTCAAATTATTTTCCAAAATAGGTGTACCATTTTACATTTTCACCATCAATGCACAAAAGTTTTAACTTCTCCACATCCTCACTCACACTTGTTCTCATCTGTCTTTTTAATTATAGCCATCCTAATGGGTGTAAAGTGATATCATGTTTGGGGGTTTATTTTTGAATATTTACATCATTCCAAAAAGAAGTCCCGTATCTCTTCTCTCCTACATCCCCAAAAAGTAGGCAAGAGGTAATCTACTCAAGAAATGATACCAGCTTAAACCAGGGCAGTACCAGTGAGAATGCAAAGAAAATAAAAAAGAAGAGGTTGTTCTGCGTGTCTTACAGATGCAACAGGATTTGCTGATGGATTGGATGCAAGGTGGCAGAGAATGAGAATGCATTTTTCCTGATGACTAATGATGTTGAACACCTATTCATGTGCTTATTGGACATGTGTGTAAATCCTTTGGAAAAATATCTATTCAGATCCTTTGCCTATTTTAATTGGATTATCTTTTCATTACTGAGGTTTAGGAGGGGTACTTTTAAGTAGTATAATGTGGATACATGTTCCTTACCACATGTGGGATTCACAAACACTCCCATTCTGTGTCTTCCACCTCCACTTTCTTGATGGCACATTCTTATTACTCATGTTTCTGAAAACATAATCTTCAGCCTCATTGACCAATGACTCTGAATATTGACTCATATATGTTTAAGCAGGCTTGTCCACTTACTATATCTCACAAGTCCCATGGTTATCGTGACAGTCCACTGCTATCCCGTCCCTTGTGGCTGTCTCATCATTGTATGGAGACAATATAAGGATGCCGGGACAGATAAAGGGTATTAGGATAGAGTGCCATCAATGTGTCTGTGAAGAAGGGTTCGTTTCAATCAGTTCACCATGACTGGGGATTTGATTCTGTCAATTGCTGACTCAGGAATGTAAATGCTGAGTAAGGCAGGACTTGATCAGTCTATTGGGGGAAGGCATCATTGACCAAAGTGCAGTGCAAATTTATTCATTGACTATGAGGCATATAACTCTTTATAACTGTCAATAGAAAATGGACAAGGCATCCCTCCGTTCCTTACAAGGTTTTGTAATGAGCCCTGGATTTAAAAAAATACTAGTAATAATAAGAGAAAGAGAGGGAGACAGAGAGAGAGAGAGTGAGATAGAGTTTCTAGTTTAAGTGAAGTTAAAATGTTTTTTCTATATATACAAAACTAGCTTTGCCAAGGAAGATGTAGTAGTGGTTTTCATTCATTCATTCTTCTTTCATTCAAGAAACAGATATTGACAACCTGCTGTTTGACACATGGTATAACAACTTCCATTGAAAATGGAGTAGCAAACAAAACAGAGAAAAAATCCCCAATCCTACAGCATTTCTATCCAGTAGGGGAAAAAACAACGACAGACAAGTATCGTAAAATACACAGTAGAATATGATATCACAAGTGCTATGGAGAAATATTTAGTAGAGAAGGGTGCTAAATTAGAAATTTTGTGCCAAAATTTTGACTAAGGTGGTTATGGAAAGTTTCACAGATAAGGCAAAACTGATGTGAGGGAGTGATCCATACAGTTACCTGGAGGAACAGCATCTTGGGCTAAGGAAAGATCCAGTGCAAAGGCCCTGTGGCCACAGAGTCCCTGAGAATATCAGTGCAGCTGGAAAGTAGTGGTGAAGGGGATAGTAGCACCTGATTTCAGAGATGTCAGCATGAGCCACATTTTATATGCCTTTAAAGGACTAGTGTATTGTTCTTAGTGAGAAAGGAAATGGCTGTCTATGTAAAGGGGCATTAGGTTAGAAGGTTGTTGCATAATCCACCCAAGAAATAAAAGGCATTTCGATCAGAATTTAGCTCTTCTACTCCATGAAACTACTTATCAGTTCCATTAATGCCTTCCACTCTGCACTCTCAGGGTTCGATTTTCTGGAAAATTTTGAATTTTGATTTTGATTTTCCAGAACATTTAGAGTTCTCGATGACTCTCTCCTTCACGAAAAACATTCCTTACTTGGTATCTATATTTGTTTCTTTCCTATTGCTGCTAAAACAAGGTATCACAACTTGTTATAACTCTAATGTTAACTCTAGGGAATTAAAAGCAATGCAGATTTATTATCTCACAGTTCTGGGTGCTAAAAGTCCCAAATGTGTTCACATTCAAAGAGAGAATCCATTTCCTTGGTTTGTCTGTTTGTCTTCTTTTGAAGACTGGCTACATATCTTAGATCTCATTCTCTGTTTCTAACCTTCCATTTTAAAAAACAAACAAACAAAAAACATTATGATTACCTAGATTCATCCAGATGAACCGGGTTAAGTTCTCATCTTAAGATCCTCACTTTTTTTTTTTTTTCTCTCTCTGAGATGGAGTCTTGCTCTGTTGCCAGGCTGGAGTGCAATGGCGCGATCTCAGCTCACTGCAACCTCCCCCTCCCGGGTTCAAGTGATTCCCTTGCCTCAGCCTCCCGAGTAGCTGGGACTACAGGCCCGCACCACCATGCCTGGCTAATTTTTTTGTATTTTACTAGAGACGGGTTTTCACCATGTTGGCCAGGATGGTGTTGATCTCCTGACCTCGTGATCCGCTCTCCTTGGCCTCTTAAAGTGCTGGGATTACAGGCGTGAGTCACCGTGCCTGGCCAGGATGTTCACTTTTTAAAATTGATTTATTCTTATTTTATTTTAGAGATGAGGTTTTGCTCTCTCAGATAGGTTGGAGTGCAGTGTCATAATCATAGCTCACTGAAGTCCCAGCCTCTTGGGTCAATTGATCCTCCTATCTCACCCTCCTGAGAAGCTGGGACTACAGACATGCACCACCACGCCCAGCTAAGTTTTATATTTGTTTACAGAGGGGGTTTCACCATGTTGCCCAGGCTGGTCGTGAACCCCTAGGCTCAAGTGATCCACCGGCCTCAGCCTCCCAAAATGCTGGGATTATAGGTGTGCTTCCTGACACCAGTTTCTGAGGTCCTTGACGGCTGTGGTCATAGCTCATACTACCTCTCTCTCCCTAGTGTCTACCGGACAATAAGCAGTTTCTGAATGATTAGCCGTTGCAGGGTTTTTGACTCCAAATTGCAAAATGCAAGCTAATTAAAAAAGGAGTGAATCTATTTACTCATTTTTTTTTTTTTTTAGTTTGAGTGAACTGATTCTCAAAATCAGTGAATGCCCAGTTTCATGTAAACCGTGTTTATTTCCACTGTTTACACTCAGCAGCTGTTTCTTTTTCACAAACACTGGAGATTCCATGTTCCCCGAAATATCTATGTATACCTGTATCATAATTCATTACACATAGGTTAGCTGGAATGGAGATATTTTATATTTGTGGCATGCATTTGATCTTGAATTGAAACCTGTAGTTTAGAAAAATCTACATATCTTTATATTTTTAACAGATTTTGAGAATTATAAAAGCAAAACAGTAGAGCTCTACGGTAGAATTTTTTTTTCTTTAGGTCTTTCCATGGGTATTTTAAATGTCTCATTATGAAAAGACCATAAACCATGGTTTTCTAAGAGTTCTGCTGAATTTTGCAATTGGCTGGCACATTTTCTAAATGATCCTGTAATCTCCATGTATTAGTTTTCTAGAGCGGCCATAACAAATGACCACAAATGTGATGGCTTTAAAAGAGAGAAATTTACTCTTTCTCATAGTTTGGGAAACCAGATGTTCAAAATAAACGTGTTGGCAGGGCTGCCTTTCCCTGGGTGGTTCCAGAAAAAGATCCTTCCTTGCCTTTTCAGCTCTGGTGGCCTCGGTGTTTGTCTCTATCTTCCCAAGGCTGTCTTCCCTCTATTGTATGTGTCGTCTCCTTTTCTTATAAAGATACCAGTCATTGGATTTAGGGTTATACCCTCAATTCAGGATAATTTTATCTGCAGATCCTTAACTAATTATATCTGCAAAGACCCTATTTTCAAATAGGGTCACATTCTGAGTTTCCAGGTGGACATGTATTTTTGGAGGATATTACGCAACCCACTCCACCCAACACATCATTATTGCAATATATATGTATGAATATAGGTGTTTCAGATATTTACACTACACATGTGTGTACAACCAATGTATTCAGGATGCCACCTGGCTTTCTCCTTACTAGGCCACACTCTGGCAAGAAGATCTAAGGACAATCTGGGATTCTTCATCTCCTTCTTGCATCCTCTTTGCTTCCAAATAATGTAGTCATGCAGTATCTGAAAGTTTATTTCCTGAGCCTTTAAAACTTCTCCATCAGTTTGACAAGGAGTAAAAGCGTTTTTCCCCGTTGGCCACAAAACTTGTGCTTTTGCTCCAGCAATACGCAAAGCTATATTTCACACTTCCTTCTTAAATTACAGGCTATAAATATAAAGCAAAACCTTTTACCTTGGATATTCTTTCTGTCTTTTCCCTCTGTGATTAAATCTGATTACAAATGCTCATTAATGCTCTGCCTTGGAATTGCAATTTGGGCATGTGCCATGTGAAAATGGAGGTTCCTAAAAATTAAAATCAAAGATTAATGCAGGTTTTAAAAAAGGGTCTTATTCAAATATATCTCAAGTTTTAAAACGACTCATGGACTTTTAATGAAATCAATGGCCTTGTAATGCCTCATTTTTTTTTTCAAACTCAACTGTTTCATAGCCTTCTCTTTAGAACATATCTGATTTACCAGAACCCAAGATTTGTGAGATGGTGTTATTTTTTATCTTTACTTTTTCCTCACCCCACGGTACCATGAAGAGATCGTGTAACATCCTTTCCTGGTTTTAAAGACAGGTGAGTAACGATTACATAACGTTCAAACAAGTCAGGTGTTCTCCAGAAGATGGTGTTAATGGTGTCTGATTCACAGATGCTGCCTTGACCCCTGGCGGTGGTAGGACCTATATTCTGGTGAAAGCCAATTTTAGGCCATGGATTATAGGACCTAGATGGAGAAAAACGATACCTAAACCTCATGAGATCTTAATTCACTGATCGGTGGAGAGATATTTTTCTTTCAGATGGTATCATCTTATTGCATCTCCAGCAGAGTGTTTGGCCGGTGAAAATAAAAATGGCCATTATAAAGAAGTTCTTTAGACTTTTAAAAATTTTACTAGGATCATGCCAGAAATTCCTGCTGTAGAAGTAGATATGTATGTGTGTATACATATATATATATATATATATATTTCTGAATTTGAGATGTTGGGTATTGGTAGAGATTCATTCATTTGAATGGAAATACGCTTGCTTTACTTTTGGCCAGCATGAATGCTCTCATTTGCCACAGGTTGGCAAGCTTATTGGTTTAAATATAAAGGATCTTGTGGGTAAGACTAACAGCAGGTTTTCATAGTGCCAACATTTCTTTCTTTTTTATTATCATATTTAGGAAAGTCTCTTGACTCTGAGATACTTTATATTGTGAAATAATAGTTCTGGTGCAAGTATAGATTAATAGATTATTAAACACTTTAAGATATGGATGGAAGAGTACAACTAGGATATTATTAATGAGTCCCATTTACTATTCTTTAATTTGCAGTGGAATTTTCATTTAACTTTTGAATATACCAATGATAGGAAGTTAGTAGTGTTTGCCTGTAATTTATCCTGAGCTCATTTATTTGAAGTTCAAATTTGAAAGCTTCCTTTTGTTGTTTGGTAAATAGAGATTATTGTGATTCAAAATGAGTAATCCCTAAATTGATGTAGAAAAAGATATTTGAGGCTGGGCACAGTGACTCACGCCTGTTATCCCAGCACGTTGGGAGGCTATGGGAGGTGGATCACTTGACCAGGAGTTTGAGACCAGCCTGGCCAACATGGCAATACCCCGTCTCTACTATGAATACAAAAATTAGCTGGGCATGGTCTCACAAACATGTAATCCCAGCTACTTGGGAGGCTGAGACCCAAGAATCGCTGGAGCCTGGGAGGCGGAGGTTGTAATGAGCTGAGATTGTACCACTGCACTCCACCCTGGGCGACAGAGCAAGACTTCGTCTAAAATAATAATAATAATAATAATAATAATAATAAAATAAAAAGAACTTTGAGATATTCATATTGTCCAAAAAGTATAATTCAAATACTTAATGCAGAAGGCAGTAGGATCACTAAACTACAGACTCATTCATCAATTATAACAGATGGAAGGGTCTTTGTTAGAGTCCTGGAGGCTGATTGAGCATTTTAAATGGCAGGTTCATAGGGGAGATCCAGGAGGTCTAAAGGTGAGGGTCTACAAGCAGGAAGCACCCCCACTCCCACCCCCAAATTCATGACAACAACACTAACTAGGCAGCAAAGGGATATTTCCTGATGTCAGCAGTCAGCAGAATGGTACTGAAGGTTGCTAGATAAATGCAAGTTTTGTAGTCACTCACCTGCAAGTTATAGGCAAGATATTTATCTGTACTCCTACAGGAAATTAGCCCTAATTGACTGCTCTTAATCAGAACAAGACATTCTAACCTCTTATTCATGGTTAGCAGTATATCCCACTTGCTTCACTTTGTGATTCTCCATCACATTGGAATAACTGGACGTGGGATACATTTGGAATTGAGTCTCAAATTCAAATCGCCATAGAACCTGAAAAGAAAATGTAAGAAGAGACAAAACAGAAGAAAAATGCAGGATAGAGAGTTATGATTTAGATGTGTTCATTCTGTGAACAGAGAGCAGATTCTCTTGGATCTGGCTGAAACAGGGGCCCCCTGTGTTGTGAAAGTGGTGTATGTCTTCATACGTGTTCCCACGGGCCTGGACAACCAACCACATTTGAAAAATGAAGAAATGAAAGCTTGTGGTCAGGGTCACAAAACTTGACAGTGGCAGAAGTGGATCCAATTTCCAGTCAAATCTATGACTCGTTCCATCTTGGCCACAATTATACTGCAACTCAATTGCTTTTCTTCCAGTCAGTACCCACCCACCGAAATGTCAGCTCTTCAAGGGCATTAATTGTTGTTTGTTTCATTCATTGTTGAGTCTTAGGAGCCTGGGACAGTACATTGAAAATCTCAATTGTTGACATTCTCAATAATACACAAGAAATCATGTTTTCAGATCATGGAAATCATATCCATTAGGATGGCTGTTAATAAAGTAAACGTAAAATAAGAAGTTGTAATGGAGATGTGGAGAAACTGGAACTCTTTCACATTGCTGGTGGGAATGTAAGATGGTACAGTCATTGTGGAAAACTCTTTGGCTGTTCCTCAAAAAAGTAAACATGGAACTACCATATGTGATCCAACAATTCTACCTCCGGGTATATACTCCAATTCTACCTCTGGGTATATACTCAAAAGAATTGAAAGCAGGAATTCCAGGAGATATTTGTATACGCAGTCCTTAACCATGTTATTCACAATAGCTAAAAACTGAACTTTTGAACTAGCCAACTATCCATTGATGGATGAATGGATAAACAAGTGATATATATGTATATATTTATGCGTGTACACACACACACACACACTGCTGAAATGGAATATTATTCAGCCCTTAAAAGAAAGGAAATTCTGATACATGCTACAACATAAATAAACCTTGAGGACATCATTCTAAGAGAAATAAGCTACATGCTAGTCACAAAAGGACAAAAGCTGTATGATTTTACCAATATGAGGTACGTAGAGTTGTCAAATTCACAGAGGCAAAAAGTTGAATGGTGTTTGTGTGCGGCTGAGAGGCGGAGAGAATGGAAAATTATTTCCTAATGGATAGAGTTTCAGTTTGGAAAGGTACAAAATGTTCTGAAGATAGATGGTGGGGACAGTTGGACAATAATGTGACTGTTCTTAAGGCCACTCAATTATACACCAAAAAATAGTTTAAATGATCAATTTCATATTCTCTATATCACAGTAAAATAAAACATTATGGTATCTGTGATTTAATTGACTATTTGTAATCATCACCATGTTAGAGCATGTTCAGTATCTCATATCCTGCAATATTGGAATGGACATGGTAATTTTTGAGTGGTAGAAAATAAAGTAACTTTTAAAAACCCATCTCTATGTATTCACATAATCTTACATTTCATATAAGTGAAATCATACACTCTATATCTCATTTCTTTCTCCTAATAAAATGTTTACAAGGTTTACAAGGTTCATCCACATTGTAGCATGTATCAATCAGTACCGCATGCTGGTTTATGGCTGGATACTATTCCATTGTATGATAGACCGCATTCTGTTATGTTTATCTATTTTTCATTTGATGGATATTTGGATTCAATTCATAGAGACAGAAAGTAGATTAGTGGTTGCTGGTGCTTGGAAGAGGACTATAGGGAATTAGCGTGTCATGGTTACAGAGTTTCAGTTTGCGAACATGAAAAATTTCTAGAGATAGATTCACAAAAATGCAAATATACTAAATGACATTGAACAGAACAGTACACTTTAAAATGGTTCACTTTATGTTACGTGAATTTCCTCTTAAATAGAAGAAAAATAAAGTCTGAAGTTGTCATATCCTTCACTGGGATGCTCTCTTTAAAAGTGTAGAAAGGTCCTGAAAGGAGCATATAAACAAACTAAACAACAATCAAACAAAACATGTCATCGTACCCCACAGCATCCTGACATGGAAGACTAAAAACTGTCCCAGGGCTCTCTTCTTCCTTATCTGTTACTTTCAGGGGCATTTTAGCTTAGGATTTAATTTGACTATTGACAACCCCAGTGTCTCCATTTGATCTCAGAGCAAACTTGAATTGATAATTAAATTTCCATGCTTTTGACCAGGGAAAGACTTTAGGAAATGTCTTTGAAACTGTGAACTTGCAGAAAGGAGAAAATTTTATATGTATCTAGCTTCTATCCATTCCATTTGTCATATGGTCAGAACTTACATGATGCAAGCAGGCCATTTACAGGGCCCTGGGCTGACAGCTACATGCTATATTTTGTATTTGCTTCCACTATTTTGTTAGCAAATGTATGTACTTACTAACAAAATACGTGTTTTAAGAAATAAAATTATTTTAAGAACAAAATAATACAATGTTTTAAGAAAACCTGCTTTTATTTGCTTTTTATTTTTTATTTAAAAATGTTTATAAATTTATGGGTGTTACAAATTCAGTTTTGTTATATGGGTATATTCATAGTGGTGATGTCGGGGCTTTTAGTGTACTCATCACCCGAATAGTGGAACCTTTATCCAGTAGGTAGTATTTCATCCTTCATGCCCCTTCCTCCTCCTTCCACCTCCTGACACTTTATAGTCTCCAGTGTCTATTATTCTACCCTGTATGTTAATGTGCACCTGTTGTTTAGCTCCCACTTATAAGTAAAAACATGCAGTGTTGGACTTTCTGAGTTATTTCACTTAGGATAATGGCCTCCACCCAGTTTCATACATGTTGCTGCAAAAGACATAATTTCATTCTTTTTTATGACTACTACTGAGTTGTATTCCATGGATATATAAACCATGGTATATATAAACATTTATATATCCAGTCATCTGTTGATGGACACTTAAGTTGATTTCATGACTTTGCTGTTGTGAATAGTGTAGTGATAAACATATGAGTGGAGGTGTCTTTTTGATAGAACCATTTCTTTTCCTTTGAGTAGAAACCCACAAGTGGGATTGCTGGGCCAAATGATACTTCTATCTTAAGTCATTTGGGAAATCTCCATACTATTTTCCATAGAGGTTGTATTAATTTACCTTCCCACCAACAGTGTATAACTGTACCCTTTTCTCAGCATCTTTGCCAACATGTGCTGCTTTTTGACGTTTTTCAAAATGTCATTCATTTTCATTTTTATTATAATTACTTAAAAATGATGACTTTTAACAGAGAAGGGAAAAATAAAGTTGGTAATCTTTTGTAGTGCCATATAATTTCTAGTTACAAGACCACAGATAAGTCCCATGCTGAAGAGAGGTGGGTAAAATAGCTCGTTTGAAATGAAGCACATTTGGGAAGATAAAATTGTTTTTAGGATGATAACGATGTTTGATGTCTAACTTTGGTCTAGTTTTTCTAATGTTAAGTGTATTCTTAACATCTGCCCAAATTATTCACTCTTTAAACCACATGCCAAAACATTACTTACATTTACTTGGTTTATAATAAAATTTGGGACTATTAGTGGATGATATTTACTGCAAGAATTGTTAATCTGGCGTTTGGATCTAGTATTTAGATTACTTTATATTTTCAGCTGCATATGCAACTATTAGATATCTGCCCACACTTTTTCCTTCCCACTGTGGAAAATACACACTGTATTAAGGTGACAGGTTTTCCTATTTTCACCCCTTAGACTTGAGTTATTTTCTCATCATTATTAACTCATAGAACCTGTGCTTTGTTCCTGGCTTCAGCTTGAGCACTGTGCAAAAATTTATCTTATAAGATTTGGTCAAAACTGTTGGCTGTGTAGGCACTTCCCCTAGTAGAAACTTCCCCTTTCCCCTCTGAGGGTTCACTGAAAAATCAACTTAAAAAGGCAGATTAATTGAAGAAAAGGCATGCAAATTTCCTTTAATGTGGATAGCTTGGCAGGAAGGATTAGGAGACTGATTACCCAATATCTTAATGGAGTAGATATGCTTATATACTCTACTTCCTAGAGGAAAGGGAGGTGAGGACTCCTGGATGATACTTAGGGGGATAGTAAATGATTTTTAGGGGAATTAAGTGGGCTTGAAGAACATACAGTGGCTTAGAACAAAGTCTGTTGGGCTTGCAGAGCAGACAGTGGTTTGTCACAAAAGTCTGTCCAGGTGTGTTGACAGACTTCATTCTTTCTTCCTGCGATATGAGTCCAGTTACTAGAATCTCGGGGAAGGGACCAGAGGTCATTGTTTTCTTCTTTGATGGGTCCAGACTTTAGGCAGATAAACAACTTCAGAAAACAACTTCCTCCTGTGCTTTGGGGGTCACAGAGGGTTGAGAGACAAGAGGGAGTGGGAGAAGATGAGAGAGACGTTGAGGCTTCTTCTTCAGTTCAGCACATCAAAGTGCCATATTTTGCTGTATGGGTTTATGAGTCCCAACAACTGGGTAGTGAAGACAACCCAGGGCTGTGTGTTGATGGTTCCGCTGCAGACAGTCAAGGCTCACTTCTCTGGGAGGAAGCTAAATGCCACTCAGAGACACATCCCCATCTCAGATGTCTTTGTTATATTGATGACAGTTGGCACCCAGATGGCATGTATCCCTTGTGGTTTCAACCATTGGTTGACATGACCTTAAAGGCCCAAGGTATGTATTCGTTGGTCCATTTTTTGGAGGAATGCCATTTTACTTCCACAATGCAGCATAGCTGTTAACCATTCATCATGCCAGTAAGAGAATCCCCGGGATCTGCATTGGGACAGAATCCCCATTCACTGCCTTGTCTCACTTTTGTAGTTTGTTTTGTTTTGTTTGAATTTGTTTTAGTTTTTAACAAATAATCTGAAGGTAAAATACAATTGAAAGAAGCACTTATCTTATGATATCAGGATAAGTAAACTAGTGCAGTTTCAGAAACATCTAACCAAGTGTTGTTTTCTTGCTGGATTGCAATATTGATAGGCACATGGGATAATATCTCATGTAAATTCTGAAACATCTAATTGCATCTTGATCCTTCATCTTGACCCTCTTCTCAGTGGGCTGCATTTATCCCTAAACAGCAACATTCTGTCAATTCTTAGGAACGTGAAACGTTACAGTCTGCAGAGCAAATTACCAGCAGGAGAAAATATTACTGAATATTCAAAAGCATGCCTTTTGTGTGAATGATCTTGAAGCCCCAGGGAATGGGGGAAACAGGGTTGGGAGTACATAAGCCAAGAACCTTATTTGATCCAGCAGTTTCCGGCTTCTAAAACCCTACCCATGCAGTTCCAAGAAGAAAATAACAAATTGGCATCACTTAATGTTTAGTGATAGAAGAAGAAAAGCATGCCTTTGTTCATTTTCTACTCTTCTCATTTCCTGCTTCACCATTCCTATCAAATGAAACATTTCGTTTTCATTTCCTCTCTATAACTTGTACTATTTCTGTGAATAGATGATGTGCTTAACATATTGATGTTTGTGAGTAAAGATACTCTTGCTATCATCAAAAGAAATAGTATCCATTTGAGAAGCATCTAGTATATGAGGAAAAGTTTTGTTTTCATTTTTCCCTTATGTTGTTTTTTATATTTTAAATGTAGTTGTAAAATGACAGAACATGGGATCACAAAGAAACACAAAATTCGTAATTAATAAATGTGATTTTGTATTTATTTTAGGTATGCAAGGGGCACGTTTGTGTGGGAGTTCAAAAGCATTTAAATATTTTAAATCTCCTTTCATTCATTTAATAAGTGTCTTTTGAGGTCAGATGTAAACAGACAACTTGTTACACATGTTTCTTGTTTTTAGGGAACTTCCACCCCAACATGGGAAATAAACAGAGACCCTACTAGTTCTTTAACAGTTTCTTAATGAAACAGGATATTTCCCTGACCCCTTCACAGGTGGGAACTGGAGTGCACTGGTGCTGGAACTAGCCGGCTGCTTCCAGGCCAGCGGGGGTGAACCCTGCTCACTCGCTGCTCTACCCCTTGTGGGAGGGGAAGCACAGGTGAGCAGGTACAGGAGCCAGGGCGAACAATTTTGGGCACCAGCAAGAATGAACTCCATACCAGCCCCACGGCAGCATCTAGTAGAGGGTAGCCCGCAACCCCTGAAGACCCAGAGGAAGTGTTACACTGCCTGTTTGGCTTTGCCATCCGCAGAGACCGTAAGTGTTAACAGCTCAGTGGAGGGTCAATGTGACAGCCTTTTGCACCCACACTCATGGCACGCAAGTTTTTGTCCTGAGGTGGGAAATTAAAGAAAAATAAAATCAAAAAGAAAGAGAAATAAGTTTTCCTGTATTAGGCTGACTTTTCCCAGAGGCAGCAACAGGCACAGCCCAGACCCAGGAAAAGTCTTGATAATATTATCTAATGTGCTCTGGAGACTCTCCCAGCACTCCCTCAACATAGGGAGAAGGAAAACAAATTTTCGTTTGTTTTATGGAATGAGTTTATAGATTCCTGTTCTCTGTAACTAATGACTTCAAGTATTCTGTTTTATCTAAAAAGTACAACGAAGGTCATGAGAAGCCTGATTAGGCCTGAACTACAGCTGCTTGGGCACCATAGTGAAGGTTATGAAATAAACCAGTGCAAGGCACTTTAGAGCAAAACCTAGGTAACAGACATCTGGATTGCTTGGCAATGGTCATATGCGGTCCTGAGTTTGTCCTGCCTCTGTATCCCTGCTTTCACGCCACTGTAAGCTTACTTCAAGCTAGCCCACCCCCTTTTGTTAAGTGTGTATGAAAGACAAGTGCTGTCTTTGTTCCGGGCCCAGTCGTTGGACGTTGAGTCTGCTGGGTCTGAGTGCACTCAATAATAAAGATATCCTCCTGTATACACCCCGAGGTCTCTCTCTGGTCCTCCTGATCCCGCAACAGACTGACGTCCAGGAGCAATCAGGTCACACGAACAAATTGAAGATGGTAAATGCAGGGGATTTTTTATTGCTGGTTGAAAGTAGCTCTCAGCAGGAAGGGGAACTGAAAACGGGATGGAGCAGGAAGATAATCTTCCCCAGGAGTCCCGTCATCCCCGGCCAGAATCTTCTCCAAAGCTATGCCATCAAGCTGTCCCTCTGAAGTCAAGCCACTTCTCTCTGATGTCCAACTATAATTTCCGATGTCCAGCTGCTTCTCCCCTTTCCAAGCTATGCCTGGAGTTTTTATGGGCACAGGATGTGGTGCAGGGCAGGCCATGGGTGGTTTTGGAAAAGGCAGCAGTCGAGTGGGAAAACAGGAATGTAAATTCTCACTTTGGGCCCTGGTTGCTTTTTGGCTTGAGGGTGGGGCACTTACCGGGAACCCGCTCTCTTCTGCCCAGAATTTCCCTGCCTTCTGTCCCTATCGGTTTTGTATTTATTTTAGGTATGCAAGAGGCACGTTTGTGTGGAAGTTCAAAAACGTTTAATTATTTAAAATCTCCTTTTATTAATTTAATGAATGTCTTTTGAGCTCAGATGTAAACAGGCAAGTACAGCTTATAGCTGCAGTGAATGCTGAGAATGAAGTACTCAAACAATTCCAGCTGAACGGGGCGGGGAACAGCTCTTCTGAGAGAGTGCTGCCCCAAGATCCATCCACCTGAATATTTATTGAGAGAGCTTGTTTAAACTACAGTTCAGATGAACAAAAGACATCCACCAGGTGGCTCTTTGCGGTTGGGTCATGAGGCACATATGACCTTGTAAAAAACACTCAAACCACATTCTTAGGAGGCTGTGTTCAGCACTCCTTATCACACATACTACTCCCTGTCCTGTTTTCAGGGACAAGGAGTTCTAGTCTCATGCACAAACAACATGCACACAGTGCCTCAGTATTTTTCCATGCCTCGACCTCACGTGTCTTCTACATTAGCTTGAATATGTTGCCATGCACCCCCCACAGGAAGTCATTACACATGTTTCCTGATTTTAGGGGAGCTTCTACCCTAACATGGGAATTAAAGAGAGATCCTACTAGTTCTTTCAAGTGTCTTAGGTAACCAATTAGATATATTCTACACCCCTTAGTGGCAAGTGCTCATGTTGTCAAATTTGCATTTGTTTTCAAATGAGATTAAAACACAACAACAACAATGTTTAAATGTTTCTACTATTAGAAAATAAAATCAATGTATTCTATCTTGGATTTTTCCTTTATTTCTTTATAGAGTTCTGGTTTGCAACAAAGTTTTATCAGTAGCTTATTTACCTTCCCAAGAGCTCGGGCAGGATTTGATGGTGAATGTACATTTAGTGGTTTCCATATTTAAAAAAAAAAAAAAATGACTCTGAATAAGCTCCCAGGCTCTCAGTTTCTTCTAGTTCTTTCTGAAATGGTCCACAACATGATTGTTTTGAAATTGAAAAATTAAATGCTTTTATTTCAAACCCCACCGATCTAAAACCAGTAGGTGTACCTTTCATGAGCACACTTCATTCTGCAGGTGAAAAATTTTCTTCCAACAATTGTCTATGATAGTGATTTATAAGTCAGCAATTTGCTCTAAAGAATGTGTCTCTTTCTAAGCATCACAAGAAGTAATTTAAATTATGCTGTTTCTTAGTAAGCATGTTGATTGAACCTCACATATTTCCACTGATTCTACACTAAACACAGACTCTCTTTTAGTTGTACTCCATTTGACTTGGTTTATACAGTTCACATAGTCACTTTTGTATGTCTAAACTTGCCTGACCATTTTACTAGATGGCATGGTGATATGGTTTGGCTTTGTCCTCACCCAAATGTCATCTTGAACTGTAGTTCCCATAATCCCCATGTGTCATGGGAGGGAGCCAGTGGGAAGTAATTGAATCCTGTGGTGGTTACCCTCATGATGTTCTCATGATAGTGAGTTCTCATGAGATCAGAGGATTGTGTAAGGGGCTTTTCCTCCTTTTGCTCAGCACTTCTCCTTGCTACCACCATGTGATGAAGGACATATTTGCTTCCCCTTCCGCCATGATTGTAAGTTTCCTGAGGACTCCCCAGCCATGCTGAACTGTGAGTCAAACTTTTTTCCTTTATACATTACCCACTCTCGGGTATGTCTTTAATAGCAGCATGATAATGGAAATTGCTACTGAGAGTGGGGTGCTGCTGTGAAGATACCCAAAAATGTGGAAGTGACTTTGGAACTGGGTAACAGGCAGAAATTGGAACAGTTTGAAGGGCTCAGAAGACAGGGAGATGTGGGAAAGTTTGGAACTTTCTAGAGACTTGTTGAATGGCCTTGACCAAAATGCTGATAGTGATATGGACAATGAAGTCCAGGCTGAGGTGGTCTCAGATTGATATGGGTAACTTGTTAGGAACTAGAATAAAGGTGACTCTTGCTATGTTTTACCAAAGAGACTGGAGGCATTTTGCCTGGCGTTGTTGTTCCATGATTTTTTTTTTTATGTTCAACAGGACGATGGCACAACCTAGCTGCAAGGCACAGACCAACTCCCAGCATTGCCAGGGCTTAGGGTACATTACCAGGTCAGCTGCTGACCAGCAGGGGCTGCTTTTCTCTTTTGTGAGTAACTGAGAATTAAATAAACTAAGTAACATGCCTCAAATCCTGCAGAGGGTTGGAGATAATACTGGAGTCTCAACATAGACTATATGGGAAAGTCTAGCCCATTAATCTCCAGGCTTTTTTCTAAGAAACCAAACGCCAATATTTTATTTGTTGCAGAAAAGGGACATCCTGTGGTCAACACAATCTTCAGTGGGAGTTAATTTTAATCAGGTTCTTTAGAATTCAGGAAAGCTGGAAAAAAGAGGAGTTGTGTAACTCACATACTGGGAGGCATCTTCTGTGGCCAGTCAGCAGATACCATCTCCATTGGAGAGATGCAGGCATCTTAAGGATGGGAGAATTCCATTTATAGCCTAGGACTTTTGTCCATGGGCCTGGCTTGGATAGGGATGGCCCATATTAATGTCTTTGACTCTTGGTTTTATTGTTACATTCTGTATGGCTGATTCAGATTTGTCCACACTGATATATTTGTTCTCTGATTCTGATCATTGTGGCCATCTTTTCCTAGAACAAAGGGCTTAGGTTAATTTTTGCGGAGTAATGACATTTTCTGTGGCAGCCAAACTCCGTAGAACAATATTGCTCCTACTTCTTGTTTTCTTCCAATGGTAATTGAACGTGCAAGCCACATTCAGGAGTAGGGTCTGAAATTCCCCAAGAGCTAGCCAGCGATAATAGTGCAAATCTAATACATGCCCTTGAAACACCAAGGGATAAACTCATGTGCATTTGTTCTTTTGGGGTTTGAAGAACCAGATGACATGCAAAAGAAAAATATTGACAAAAGATATCTCATCGTTTACTTTCAATTATTGAGTTTGATTTTCATGCATTCAACCTTAGTTTTTTTAAGAGGTAAGTGATTCTAGTTTGTGAGAGCCAGAAGCATGCACAAATAAACCTTATTTAACAAATTAATCTCATATTTTCTTGGTTCTGATGATTGCATACTGCTTATTTTAAAAAGGTTGTGAGCAAGCCAAAGTTATCATACTTATTTTTAAAGTGACAGCATGGCTGAGCTTTCAAAATATGTTTAAAGATTCTAAGAGAAACAGGTTAGAAAACAAGATGATTGACAGCTTTTTGGGTTATTAGATACAGAAAATTATACTTAGATTTATTTAGGTTGAAAATTAATCCTACAGCATTTAAACCAGCTGGGAGAGCTTGTGCATGCACAAGAGTGTTCAAGCTGCAACTTAAGGCCATTGGGCAACAGTAGAAAGAAAAAAATGGTTATTTCTTCTCTTTCAGAACCAACTGTGACTGATTAACCACAAAAGATCAGTGGGGGTATTCAGGCCTAGGTCGTCTTGGTGGCAACTGGGGTTTTAGTTTGCTTTCAGGCTCATTGCTGGAAAAGGCTGTTCAGAAGCTTCCTCTACAACAAGGGAGATGACAGTGCGTGAGTACAAAGCAGAGAGGTGCAGTGCTTTCTACAGCACCGAGTGGGCAAATTGTGCAGATTTTTCAGTAGAATCTACTTAACACCAATCCATGCATTTGCATTTTATTAAAATGAAACTGTGATCATTTCAACTGCACATTGCAGACATGCCCTATAAAATGTTTGAAGTCCTGTTTTGGACAAAAGTTTTGAAAACATGCACCCCGTATCAATTTCTCTACTTATATTTTGTATTTAATTTGTCTAAAGAATGCCACATTTTCAAAGCAAGCAGGCCAAGAGAATGATCTTTTTTTCCTCTTTTTTTTCCCCAGTGTTTAAAATGCAACTGCCATGGGGCTGTGCCATTTTAGCTGTTGGAAAAAATAATCTACTATGCCTTGGTTGTATGTCTGAGTCATCAGAGCTTCTGGGAATGATTCTTTGGCACATTCTACCAACAATTTAACATGACACAAAATCATTTTCATATCTTGTGATAGTGTCAGCCAAGTGTTTCATACACATGGTGCTAGGTGCTGAAAAAGGTGTCTGAATAAAATTGTTTTCTTAAAGGAACCATAGGGGACATGATAAAAAGATGCACAATTATATATCTTTTTTTTTTTTTTTTTTGAGAAGGAGTTTCCCTCTTGTCGCCTAGGTTGGAGTGCAATGGTGCAATCTTGGCTCACTGCAACCTCTGCCTCCCAGGTTCAAGTGATTCTCCTGCCTCAGCCTCCCGAGTAGCTGGGATTACAGGAGCCTGCCACCACACCCAGCTAATTTTTGTATTTTTAGTAGAGACGAGGTTTCACCATGTTGGCCTGGCTGGTCTTGAACTCCTGACTTCAGGTGATCCACCCGCCTCGGCCTCCCAAAGTGTTGGGATTACAGGTGTGAGCCACTGCGCCCGGCCTAAAGATGCACAATTACATTTCATAAATTGAGAGAGTTTCCTAAACAAGAGAGAGCATACCTGGAAATATCAGAGAAAAATACAAAGGGCTTAAAGATGTTGTATTAAGCAAAGTTAGACTAAGGCAGCTTGGATGTGCATCTCCTCCACTTTATGTTTATACCTAAGTAGAGATTAAAAGCAGAGGAATTTCAATTTCCACATGACTTGTATATGAGCAACAGATGGGAGTTCTAACTACTGACCACATTGGCACATCACACAATGTTTTCTTTCAGGTTTCTCTACCTATGGCAAAACCAGTGCTGTATTAGAGCCTCGTGAGCTGTGTGTTGTTGATTAATTGACTTAACCTCTCTGGGCCTCATTTTTCTCACCTTTAAAATAAATGAGTCTTATGGTGTTTTGAGGATCAAAAGAGTTACTGTACAAACAGTGCTAGTAAGAGTCCCTGCCACATGGAAAGGCTATTATATATATATATATATACGTGTGTATATATATATATATATGTGTATATATATATGTGTATATATATATACACACACACACACACACACATGTAATTTTATATATTAAATGTGTATAATTTATAAATTTTTGTATTATAAATGTAAATCTGTGATATATATTAAAACTATGAAATACAGATCATGTAATATATACTACCTATTGTTTTTTTTTTAATTTGTAACCATATTTTGAAAATTTTATTTTGCTTATAGGTCTTGAAAGTCATTCCCCAATCAACCTTTATTAAAATCCCTTTGATTCATTGGAGAATATCAATACATATGAGGTATTAATATATATAACATATGTAACTCTTCTGAGTTTATAAATGTATGTATAAAACATAAAAATTACTAACTCTTCATATATATGTTTGTATCTATATATAATTTATATATATAGATATATATACATATTTGTATTACATATGAATAATCATCACAGTGTGTCTGCATTTGTTAATCTAACCTCCTCCAACCCCACCCCCAAAAAAGCAGAAACTAAAAATAGAGGAATTTTAAGTTCCACATGATTTATATAGGAGCAACAAATGGAACTACTAACTTCCGACCGCATTAGCTAATCATACAATTTTTTTCTTTCGTGCTTTTGTTGTAAATATGATTTTTATTTAAGAGGGTATTATTGATTATCTACGCAAGAATTAGCCATGTTCTCCATACTTCTACTTCAGTTTTTTAAAAAAGGATGAGGATAGACCGGGCATAAGTGGCTCATGCCTGTAATCCCAGCACTTTGGGAGGCCGAGGCCGGCGGATCACTTGAGGGAAGGAGTACAAGTGGCCTGGCCAACATGGTGAAACCCCATCTCTACTAAAAGTACAAAAGTTAGCTGGGCATGGTGGCGCATCCCTGTAATCCCAGCTACTTGGGAGGCTGAGGCAGGAGAATCTCCTGAACCCGGGAGGCAGAGGTTGCAGTGAGCCAAGATCACGCCACTGTACTCCAGCCTGGGTGACAGAGCAAGACTCTGTCTCAAAAAAAAAAAAAAAGGTGAAAAGGGTGAGGATTGTTATTTCTGTGGGCAGGCCCACACAGCATCAGATTCCTCAGAAACTGCACCGGTAAATGGGAAAGTCTTTGAGTCCCTCTGACAGAGCTTCAAGGGGCTGGCTGTTCATTATCCCACAGCCTCCTTTGCTCTGTGTAAGTGGAGGCTCTGTGCCTCTGTTATCTTGCAGTCCCTAGGTGACCCCGGCAGGGAGAAAAATCAGTGGAATCAAACTCGGTAGCACAGAAAAACGCCCCAAAGGCAAGGATGAGAGGAAAGTTGTGATCCCACATATCAAAGTCGGACTCTTATCTAGATGGGCACACCTGAGCCACAGGCTGGCAGGCTGAGATTCTGCAAAGGCTCTGGACCCCAGATAAGCTTGACTGATTGCATTGTGATCTCTTCTTTTCATCAGGGGAGGCGCTGCTTTGAATGACTAAGCTGGATCTGACTTTCCAGGGAATCCTTTCAGGGACTGTGACCATCCAGCTATCTTTGGATGGCTTTGATGCCCTAATTATTTTTCACTTGGTTGAGGATACTTTTAGGTATCTGTTCATGTGTCATCTTGTACAGAAATGTGTGTTCTGGGCTTATAAAAAAAGTTTAATTGTAAGACAAAGGGCTCTAGGTTTCATATTTATTCACAGTCTGATGAATGGCACTTATGGATACGTACGTGTATACAGTAAGTGCTCACTGAATTTCTCTTGAGTGATAAACTGGGATACAAAATGTCAGAAAAGAAAGAGTGAGGATGGGCACTGGATCCAGATGTCAGTGAACTCTGAGGGTCTCTTGCTGGTTAAAAGAACAGGGTACTTTTATTTTCATTCTAAACCCTGCCTGACCCTTGCCCTTATATCAGTGAATCACCATCTCGATGGCCCCTCAAACATGGCATCTTTGAAGTAGAGCCTCATTGAGAAGGACTCCTTAGAAGTCTGTCATGGCTACTAAAATTCATATCTGTGCTTTGTGCCTGAGCACTAGTACATGTGTCAGCTGTTTCTTAAGCCTACATTGAACCATTAGGTAAAGCCCAGTGTGCTCCCAGTTCCTAAAATCTGGTCAAGTCTTGATGTTGGTCAACATCTTGCCTGGCCCCAGTCAGATGTCTCCAGCTATCTGTAACAGGACTCAGTGTCTTGTTTACAAAATGCATTAGTCATATGGCTTCGTTGCTGGCTTTGCTGTATAGGTCAGGAATAAGTCAGAAATAACCAAAATGCTCCAAATCAAGTTCTAGCTGTTTTGATACCAACATCTTCCATCAACTTCGCTTCTCCCTGACTCATCTGTCTGTCTGTTCCTGTGCTCTTCGCACACAGAGGCAATTTTGTGTATAAAGCTCCCCAAGGGAAGAAGAGGACAGTGCCTTCATGGGAAACTCCTTTCTCTTAAATAGGATTTGCATACTTAACCAGAGCATTTGCTTCAGTTAACCAAGTGAGAGGTGGAGAAATTCTTGCAAAACTATAGCTACATTGAGAGGGATTATTAAAAGTATTGACTCATTCATTAGAGGAGCTGTTACAAAGATTGTAGCAACCAAAGCAAAATAAAAAATATTGCCAAAAGTATTCTCAAACGTATTTTAAAATGTCCAAAATATTGGGCAAGACTAACATCAAAGAAGGTATATGTTTTGACATTGATTTACTAACTACTTATCAGTGTAAGTAAATACACCTTCAAGCACTTATTTAGGATTAAGGTAGTCAAGTTATATGAGTTGTATGAGTATGTGCAGGCCACAAGGGTTGCAAAACATAGTGAATTCAATATCCCTCTGCCATATTGAATATCCTTCTGCCGAACTTCTGCATCACAGTTGTGGCCTGCAAACAGGTAACAGTTGTCTGCCAATCCCTTAGGGATCACTGCATTCTATAGGGCTTGACCAGGAAGTAAGAGGCTCTTCCCAATAAGCGATATCGTTATGGTCCTTGTGGTTCTGCTAAGAATCTCAGAGAAGAAATGAAAGATACATGAAATTGTTTGCATGCTACTAGCTCTAGTGGGTAGGTTGGTAGCGTAGTTCTTCATGGCAAAAGACAGAATATATCCAAAATTTTCACCATTTTGCCCCTGGTTTGAGGGATGCATATTCCTTTAGACCATTATGTTGAAAAGAAAGTTAAAAATAACATAAGAAGAGACCTCCTAAGTTGTTTAATCCAAGCCCTCAATCTTAGCAAGTGCCTGGTGTAAAATGTCTCATTAGGTAATTACCCATCTCCTGTCTACCCACTAAGAGGTTCTAGTAAAGTACATACTGGCTGGATTCAATAAAGCACAAATAGGCAGCAAATGCTTCTTACATCTCAATCTAATCGGTAGCCTTCTTTATCCTCACCCTTGGCTGACTAACGTGCATAAAGCATAGGAATTCTGGCCACTCAAGGATCTTAACCATCCAGTTCAGTCTGTTGCAATTTCTCCTCCATTACAAATTTTTTTCACTTTCCTTTCCTGGGAAAGCCACAGACAGGACAACCATTCAGTGAGAAAGGAGTGTGAAGCTGACGTCTTTCCTCACTAAGAGGAGAGGGGCCATGAGAGGAAAAGGCAACTTCTTGCGTGGCTGGTGGTAGAGTTAAAGTCTGATGCTACTGTCTTCTGGGAGCAGCAGCTGTACACAGTTGAACTTTACTTTGGAGGCATATATGATTTCCAGGGTTTCTGTGGCAAGTTCCACCCACTGCAGTTCATTTGACTTGGGTTGAATCTCTTTCCTCCCTCCATCACTTCAGCTGAACCTCTTCTGTGATCCTCACCTGTTCTCTAGAGGTGAGACCAGGGCACAGTCCCTTTCTAGATGACCAAAGAGCACTTCTTTCTATGTGGTTCACATTTGGCTCCATCACCATCGTAGCTGACAGGGCCAACCCTCCGGCATCTTCATCCTTCACCACTGTCTTTGCTGTGCCCCATAAGGCCTGAACAAGGCTGATGGGCCAAGTATGGTGTGGCCAGCCCCACAGTCTGTTACTAGGCCTTGCTTTGGTAGACACACTTCTTGATTTAGAACCATGGCTCTCAGTCATGGGCAGTTGTGCCCTGCTTGGCAATGTAAGGAGACATTTCCAGTTGTCAGAGTGAGTTTGAAGGGTGTTAATGCACTTAGTTGGTGGAGACCACGGTTACTGTTCAACATCCTACAATTCGTAGGACACTCATCCATAACAATGATCTGATTCCAAATGTCATTGATGCTGACATTAATAAACCCTGCTCTAAGTTAATGTTTTTTTCTTACTCATATTTAAAATGCTTCCTCTAGCTAAACCATTAGCCCCCAGTGAGGTATAAGTTTTCCTCTCCAAGGGACATTTGACTATGCATGTACATACTTCGGGTTGTTACAGCTGGAGATTGGTGATGCTTCTGGCATCTAATGGATATAAGTCCAAGATGTTGCTCAATATACTGCAATGCAGAGGACAGCCCACGAGAACAAGGAATTATCCCATTCATAATGCCACTAGTATTAAGGTTGAAAAACCTTGGTTTAGAATATGGGGATACTTATTGGTGCTCCCTAAGGTGCTATCTGAAAGCAGCTTTGAAGACAAGCAGAGGCTTTGAAGACATACTCACAGGGTATGATATAGTTTGGATATTTGTCTTCTCCAAATCTCACGTTGAAAACTGATCCCCAGTGTTGGAGGTGTGACTTGGTGGGAGGCATTTGGGTCATTGGCCGGATCCCTCATGAATGACTTGGTGCAGTCTTCCAGGTGATGCCTGAGTTCTTGCTCTATTATTTCTCAGGAGATCAGGTTGTTAAAAAGAGCCTGGCACCTTCCTCTCCTCTCTCTCTTGCTTCCTCTCTCACCATATGATCTGCGCACACAGCAGCTCCCCTTCCTCTTCCACCATAAGTGGAAGCTCCCTGAGGCCTCACCAGAAGCAGATGCTGGTACCATGCTTCTTGTACACCCCGAAGAACTGTGAGCCAAATAAACCTCTTTTCTTTTCTTTTTTATTTTTCTAATTAGAGACAAGGTCTTGCTCTGTTAGACTGGAGTACAGTGGTGCAATCATAGCTCACTGCAGCCTCAAACTCCTAGGCTCAAGCCACCCTCCCACCTCAACCTCCCGAGTAGCTAGGACTACAGGTGCATGCCTCCATGCCCAGTTAATTAAAAAAATTGTAGGGACAGTCTTGCTGAGTTTCCCAGGCTGGTCTCAAACTCCTGACCTCAAGCGGTCCTCCTGCTTCAGCCTCCTAAAGTGCTGGGATTACAGATGTGAGCCACCATGCCTGGACCGTCTTTTCTTTATAAATTGCTCAGCTTCAGGTATTCCGTTATAGCAATGCATATGGAGTAAGACATTGTACAAGTCCCACTTTGGGCACGTCTAGATCTGTCTGTGATCCTAGACAAGTTATGTAATCTCTCTTTGTGTCTAAACCTGTTGTTTGTTTCTGTCTTTATTCCTCATTAGGTCCAACTCTAAAGATAGTAAAATTATAGGTATAAATGGAGTTAAGAGGGGTGCCTTACCAAGAGTAAACCCTCCAGGAGTGTTATTCTGTCAGTATGACTTGGTTTTTAGCTTTGAAACTTTTAGCATGAAACTAACATGGCAGGAAAAGGCCTAAATTAGAATTCTTCACACACAAAACTCCTTCTATCAGGAGGCAGCCCATCTGTTGTCAAATAATCCTACTCGTAGAAATGTATTAAATTTTTCTTTTCCTTCCCTTTTCCCCCTTCATTAAATGGAATTAGATTGTGACACTATGAGGAAATTAAAGTGAAGGTAAAATAAAACAAACAGGAAGAAGTCTGTCTTCAGATTGGATATGCAATTATCCTGTCTTTACTGCTGATTTCAATTATAACTCATTGGTGTTACCAGCCCACGATAGATGTCCCCTGCCTATGTGGTGTTTAAATCAAGTGTTGGCATCATTCACACTTGTTTACTGTTATTAGCACTGATGGATGTAATCTTCATGTCTTCCTCTGAACACTGCATGCTGAGAAAGGGGCCTTATTTCCTCGTGGATTTTCTAGGCAAGAGAATGTCAGGCCCTCACCTGTCCTATTTCCATCTCACTCAGCAGAAAACACACTGGCTCATGGAAACTGCAAGCATCGTTGTCAGCTGCACCTGCAGGCACCATGGGGTTGCAAGTCAGCATCCCCTTTCAGAAATGAGGATGGAATTAGAGGTGGAAAGAAAATTCTCCACAGTCCTCTCACTTCTCTGGGCTTAGACAGGGAGGTTTCTGCTATGTTTTCATTGATTATGCTGTGGGGGGAAGGGAGAGGAGGAATCCCCTAAGAAGAACAATGTCTCATTGGATATTGTTCCTTTGGGGGAAAAAAAAAAAGGAAAGGAAATATTTTCATTTTTTCTTACTTTTTCTACCCTAGAATCTCAATGCCACCTTCAAACATTTGAATCTCACAGGGAGAAGGCGGCCACATATTTCACCCCCAAATGCTAGGCCATGTCTTCTCATGTCAGAAATGCCCTATTGTGCGTGTGTCCTTGTTGCAAGCCATCTTAGACTTGTTGTTTCAGGGATAGGGAAACCATTCTGCAATCCAAATAAGGTTGCATTTCTTGCAATTCAAAATAAAAGGTGTGCATGCACACACGCATGTGCTGGTATTATTGTACAGCTTGCGTGGTGCAAGGCTGAAGGCTAAGGGACTAATGGAGGCTGAAATTTAGCCCTAGATACACTCTGCAAGCTGAGTACCTGTGGGGCCGTATTACCTGGCTAGAGGTGTGCCTATTTCTCATGCATCCAGTATCAGGTACTTTTCTGACTTAGAGGGTCCCTCAACCCTCTCCTCCTTCCCCTCCACCTATCGTACTTAGCATACTGTATATTTGCCCTTAGTCTGTTTCATCCAACTTGATCACTTGGTAGCCTGTCTTTATCCCCACTGTCTAAATCAGTATTTGGAATGTAGTAGGGACACAAAAAAAATTAGTTGAATAAAGGAATAAATGGGTGAAATAGTGAATGCATGAAAAAGGAAAAAATGAATATTTTGGCTGCTGTGTATTCTTGTATTGTTGTTATATATAATTCTTCTGCCTGTCTTTCTTCATACATACCTCATTATTAGTATAAACTACCAGCATTCGTGATATGCAGGTCTTTGCTTTTGCAGAGAGCCATGGGTTTCTCTAAAAGGCATCTTGCAGCCTCCCGCCCAGGGTGTCTCTGTGCAGCTAACCTGGTTGCTAATCTCTGCAAGCTCGTACTTTTTCTGCAGCACGTGATTCTGTTCTCATTTACTCTTGTAATCCTTCTGTTTCCTTCTGACCAGCTTGAGCTTCTGTATCTAGTGCCTTGACGTTCTCTTTCTTTCTTGGTCTTTTTAACATTATTATGTCAGTTATAATGTTTTTCAGTTGCTTTTAGTATTCAGAAAATTCTTGAAGCCTTCTTATTGCCCACTGGTATTTTGTCTTCGCCGCTTGTTGTTTGGGTGGATTTAGATATAGCAGAGAGAGAGAGAGAGAGAGAGAGAGAGAGAGAGAGAGGAAAATAGAGACAGAGATATGTAATCCCCCCAACCAACCCCCGTTATCTGTGATTTCCATTACCCATGGTTAGGTTAGTACAGTACAGTGATATTTTGAGAGAGAGAAAGAGACATCACATTCACGTAACGTTTTATTAGAGTATATATTGTTACAGTTGTATTTTATTTTAATTGTTGTTAATCTCTTACTGTGCCTAATTTATAAAATAAACGTTATCATGGGCATGCAGGTATAGGAAAAAACATTGCATATATAGAGTTTGGTACTGTCCACAGCTTGAGGCATCCAATGGGGGTCTTGGAAAGCATCCCTCACTGCCCCTGGTAAGGAGGAGCTACTCCAGTTTTGAGAGGAGAAACTAAACAGATATGAAAAACATACAAGTTGTAACCTAATAGGAAAATTTTTAAAGTGTTATTAAAAACCATATCTTATATATCTCATATATTAAAGGACTTCACAATGGACTTTAGGAAATTAAGATGGAAGTTGCAATAGCAAAAGTTTAGCAATGCGTATTCTTACATATGAAAATCAAAATTAACCTAGCAGTGTTCTGAGCAACTTCACTTTAAGAAGTAAAACTAGTGAAATGATAAAGGTATATGGGTGCTGACTGTTACGTAATTAGGCTGATATAATTTAGCAAGGATATCAGAAATCATATACCCAAAATGAGCTTTATTATATTCAAATTAGTCACTTCAGAGGCAGTACACTAATTACAATAAGGTAAGACTGCTGGAAACTTCTTTATTTCTCCTCACTTTAAAACGTTTCAGAGCCCATAGTAATTTATTTTTAATATCTTGCTGAGGCAAGTCTTAATCCTTAAGGAGGCATTTATATTTGGATACAGCCAGGGTTCTGTTGAGTAAGGTCAGTGACCACATTGTATAACACAATTTTAATTCAAAGACAAGGAACAGCTATAAATAAAGGTGAGCTTGTTTCAACTAACTCTTTTTTATTTTTTTTTTTATTTTTTTTATTTTTTTTATTTTTTTGAGACAGAGTCTCGCTCTGTCGCCCAAGCTGGAGTGCAGTGGCATGATCACGGCTCACTATAACCTCCACCTCACAGGTTCAAGCGATTCTCCTGCCTCAACCTCCCAAGTAGCCAGAAATACAGGCACGTGCCACCACGCCCAGCTGATTTTTGTATTTTTTTTAGTAGGGACGGAGTTTCACCATGTTAGCCAGGCTGGTCTCGAACTCTTGGCTTCAAGTGTTCTGCCCGCCTTGGCCTCCCAAAGTGCTGGGATTACAGGCGGGAGCCAATGCGCCCAGCCTCAACTAAACCTTAAGGCACATTGAAAAGAAAATCAAAATGCATTGAGCTAAATGCCAGGCATATGCCTTTCCAAATGGACTTGCCATGAAGGATGTCATTCCTGTGCAGCCAGGTGTTGTCTTCTATGTATTTTTAGAATGCCCATCATATAGTCTCACCTTTTAAAGTCTGTTTAGTGGAATGTTTTCTAACTTTCCCATGTACCTCCCATGTCATTTTTTGCCAGTTCTGCCTTCCCTAATAACCAATGAAGGTACTTGCTTCATGTTAAATTCTAGGTAATCTGGTTTCTACTGAATTAGAACATTCCCACCCGCCAATGTCTTTGAATAATTAAAGGTTTTATAATGTGGTTTCCATACAACTAACTGAATATTTCATGTGGCTAGATAAATAGGTAAATTGCAGTACAGTAGCAATTGGTGTAGACACTTAGAGGGTCCTAATAAATTATTGCACACGCCAATGTGCAATCAGAAAGAATAACTGTAGTGTTAAGCCTCAGACAATGCTATAGACCTGAGGATGGGCCTGTGATGGACGGATCAATGGCTCAGTTCCTATTGGAGTTTCACATCTAGGAATAAGTGAATTCACGACTATTCATCAGCTGCTGCTACTGTACGGAAGTGTGTCCATTGAGAAGTTGCAGAAGGGGCTGGGAGATTGGATAAGGCTTTTGCAGTACCCCTCCTTTTTAAAAAAGCAGACAGGGTGTAACTCTATTGCAGGCTGGAGTGCAGCGTTGTGACCATGGCTCACCGCAGCCTCCAACTCCTGGGCTCAAGTGATCCTCCTGCCTCAGCCTCCTGAGTAGCTAGGACTACAACTAGGCACCACCATACCAAGCTAATTTTTTTAAATAAATTCACTGAGACAGAGTCTTACTATGTTGCCCAGGTGGGTCTCAAACTCCTGGCCTGAAGCAGTCCTCCCATCTCAGCCTCCCAGAGTGCTGGGAGAACAGGCGTGAGCCACGGTGCCCAGCCTCAATACCTTTTAAATTAACAGGAAGTGGAAAACAGAAATTCTGCAGCATGTTTTTCTCATTAGCATGAATCACTCTCTGGTGATGTGTTCATGGTTTCTAATGGTATTTTCAAGATGGACAATATAAAGACAACCATTAGAAACCACAAATAATAGGGCCATATGAAACAATATAATAGATGCATGAGGTTAACTGGTCAACATTTATGCTGAACTTAGATTTACACTGATTAAAAAAAATAATCCATTTGAAGTGTAACACACAGAAACCAAAGTTCTGTGTGTTCTGTTATCTTATATTATCAATGCTCCATGCAATGTGAAAGCTTAAGGCAAGTGTTTCTATAACCAACACCCATGTGAAGAAATATAGTTTCCATCTTCAAAGCAGTGCATGCTCTTTTCCCATTCTATCTCCTTATCCTCCTCCGTGATAACCATTATTCCCTTTTACTACTCATTTCCATGCTTTTCTTTATATTTTCCCAATGATAAAGGCATCCCTGAATCACATAATTAAATTTTGCTTGTTTGGAGACTCTAAATGAATGCAACTTTCTATTACTTTCTGGTGTGTTTTTTTCATGCATAATACTGTTTTATAAATTTCATATGTGTTGCTGTGTATACATCCATTCCACTCATTTTAATTGTTGTATAGTGTTCTAAAGTCTGAACATACCACAGTCCCTATGTCCATTTTATTCCTAATAGATATGGTTATTATTTTGAGTTTGAGGTTATTATAAATTCGTGTTATTAACATTCTTTTTCAGGCACCCTCCTTTCTCACAAGCATTGGTTTTCTGAGACATATACCATTATGGAATTGCTGGTTCAAATCTTCAACTGTATAGTTTATATAAGGATGAACTGTTTTCCAGTACAGAAATGCCTGTTTTCACCAGGAGTGTGCAATCTTCAACATGTGGCAGTATAAAAGTTCTATTTTATTTTTCTGATCTAGCGTGTGTACATGGAAACCCATTGTGTGTTCACTGTGTTTACTCTGAGGTTGAGACATTTCCATATATCTCTTGGCCATTCATATGTCCTGTTTGGTGAAGCGTCTGTTTTTGATCTGTTTTTCTACTGGGTTGTGTGTCTTATTGCTGTATTTCGATTAGAGTGCTTCACTGATTATATATGTTGCAAATATCTTCTGATTTTCCTTCCATGTTTTTAATGATTTATTTAAATAAGCTAAAGTTCTTAATGTTAGTTTATAGACTTTACAATATTTTCTTTCAGATTAGTGCTTTGGAATTTTTGTTTAGGATATCTTTTCCTACCAAGAGATATGAAGATTTCCTTTTATTTTATCTGAAAAAAGCTTAATATTTTATCTTTCATATTGAAACCACACAGGGAATATATTTATTGCATTCTGTAAGAGGTCTAGTTTATTTTTCCTTAGAATATCACAATACAATTTATTTTAAACAGTTTGATCCATGTCACTAAAGTTCAAGTGATCTCTTTGTCTACCTCTGTGCCAATCATCACATTTTTATCTTCATGATTTTATAATAATCCGCAATTTATATTTTTATACTTTGTTTATTTCTTGCCAATATGCATTGCATCCCTGAGAAAAGTGTTTATTTTGCGATGGTTGGTGCAATGTGCTATATGTCTAATATCTCAAACTGTTGAAGTATGTTGTTCACATACTCTATATAGTTTTCCAGGTGGTAGTTTACATATTCTTTCAGTAACTAAAATAGGTCTATTAAATTTTCCCACGATGTTTATGGATGTTTTAAAATCTTTTCGTATATTTTTCCAAAATTTAGTTTCTTGCATTTTATATGCTTATGAATTTTAGTGGATACAGTCTAGAATTTTTATTGCATTGTGGCAAATTAAGGTTCTTCTCATTATAAAGTGATCCTCTGTAAGTCTGTGGTGCTTCATGCCTTAATGTCTGTTTAGTTTGACGTTAACATTACCTTTGTTTTGTTAGTAATCCAATTGTGTATAGTTCCCATGTGTTTACTTCAGGCCTTTCTGTTGACTCAGGTTTTGAGTCTTTTCTACATAGCGTCTATTTGGGTCTCATAATCTTTGATTTTCAACCGCAGATCCACTGATATTTACTTTTATTTTTGATATATTTGTGTTTAAGTCTTCTATCCTAAATTGTGCTACTAATATCCCACTTCTACATCTTGCTTGAATTGCTTTTTAAAAAATCATTCAGGCCAGGCACAGTGGCTCACACCTGTAATCCTAGCACTTTGGGAGACCAAGGCAGGAGGATCACTTTAGAATCCTCCAGGAGTTCAAGACCAGCCTGAGGAACATAGCAAGACCTCATCTCTATGAAACATAAAAAAAAATAAATAAATAAAAAAAATAAATTAGCCAGGTGTGGTGGTGTGCACCTGTAGTCCTAGGTACTCCAGAGATAAGAGTTGACAGGAGAGTCTGATCCCATGAGTTCAAGGCTGCAGTGACCTATGATGGCACCACTGCACTGCAACCTGGATGACAGAACAAGATCCTGTCTCAGAAAATAAAGAAATAAAAGACAAATAACATTACTCCATTTCCTTCACTCCCACTTCTCCCTCTACACTAGATGTTAAAAGACTGTACTAGTTTTAGTAAATAACCCTAGAAATTACAACACAGATCCTTAATATAATCACTAATTTTAATTAATACATTTTCCACTTCTCTGAAAATACCCAGTAGTCAGTGTATTTTAGCTCCATGTTTATGACCTAACCTACTTGCTGTTAGTACCTTTCAATGTTTTGTGTTTTTTAGGAATCTTTTTCAGATATGATTGCTTATCTTATTATTTCAATATTAATTTTGATTTTCTGATGATTACACTATTTTATTTATGTTTCATTACTTTTTGTACCTCCTACTTTTATCTGTGATTATTGTCTTAAAAGAATCTATCGGTGATCTAAAATATATTTTCAGAGCTAACAAGCTGTTGGAAACTCTGTTTGCATGGCTAAATGTGTCTTTATGACATCCTCTTCTTGAACAATATTCTCATTGAATTTTAATTTGCAATTACTTCTTTCAGCCATCTGAGAAATCATTCTCCTATTCTCTGGATTCCATTATTGGTATGGAGAATTTAGCTGTCAGTTTAAGTGTTGCTCCTTTAAAAATAATATATTTTCTGCAGATAGTTTGTCTATATCCCCCTGATACCTTTAAGATAGTTTTTCTTTGAGTTTCTGCCGTTTCACTGTGATACCATTAGGGGTTTATTAATCTGATTGGAATTCCTTGATGACCTTGAAATTTGCAATCGTGGTTTCTTCCATTCTGAAAATAGTCATTACCTCTTCAAATTTTGGTGCTGTTTCTCTTGTTTTCACTCTGTTTGCACATAATTTAGATTTTCTCCCTCTGGCTCCTTTTTTAGTCTTTTTTTTTTTGTATTTTGTATTAAATTTTACTTTCAAGCTTCATTCTGGATTACTTTTTCTCAAGACCTATAATCTATTTCATTAATTCTCTTTTCTACTGTATCTAATGCATGGTTAAACCAATGCATCAAATCTTTATGTTTGATATATATTTTCATTACATTTCAAGGATTAATTTTAGTTTCTTCTTATAGTTTCCACATTTTCGAAGTTCTCAATTTTATATTTTCTGGAATGCATTCTTCCTAGTTATTTTAAAGTCTGCATTTTGTATTTCTATTTTTTTCAATCACCCTTTTGTTTCTTTCTCTTTTTTGCTTTTTGGTTTCATTGACTAATATCTTCATGGTCTAAGTATTATAATTATGCATATATTAGATATTCTCATATTGTTTTCCTTATTTCTAACTCTCTATTTTATATTTTTTGTATATGACAGCTCCCTGTGTTGCCCAGGCTGGAGAGGTTGTGCTCTGTGCCCAGTGGCACAATCATAGCTCACTGTAGCTTCGATCTCTTGGGCTCATGTGATTCTCCTGCCTCAGCCTCCTGAGTAGCTGGGACTACAGTCACATGCCACCATGCCTAGCTACTATTTTATACTTTAAAATTTTTTTAGAGACTAGGTCTTGCTTTGTTGCCCAGGCTGTTCTCTAATTCCTGGCCTCAAGCAATCCTTCTAACTCAGTCTTTTGAATAGTTGGGATTACAGGTGTGGGCCACTGCACCCGGTTTCCCAGCTTTTTTCAGATTTCCACGATACTCTCTGGATCGTTTCTTCTCACCTCTTCTCAAGTTTGTCCATTTTTCTCTTCAGCTTTGTTTAATCTGCCCTTAGGTGGACCCATTCATTTTCTCATTTTGTTTATTTCTCTGATCTAGAAGTTTGATTTGATTTTTATTTTTTCATTTTTAATACTTTCTTATTCCCTGCAGATGTTTTCCAACTTTTTGTTTTCAAGCTTTTTGAACATTCTTCAAAAAATTGGTTATCATGTATATATTTTCATGGCATCTTAATTCCTTTGGGATTTCTGCTGGCTCTTGTTGGTGACTTCTTGTTTCTTTCTTCATGGGCTTGGTAATCATTGTGAATTGGCCATTGTATTTGCAAATGGATTAGTGGCATCTTTCTCCAAAGCAGATAACCCATGGGTAGCGAAATTCTAGGTTCTTTCATCCATGGGGCCATGCTCTTCCCTGAATTGTTCATAGATGTTATGAAGGTAGACTGCAAGCACTTGCAAGACTGAATTTAGTTTTGTTTCATGTTTGCCTTGAGGGTGAAACCCATGAAGGTAGGAAAATGTTAAAGGCAAGTATATTAGATTGGGACCTTCAGGCGTGACTAGGGTCTGAGAGTTGCCCCATTACATGGTGATGCTGCAAGAACTCCCACAGTTTCTTCCAGATTGGAACAGTGCACTAGGGCAAAGGCTGCTTTGTGTGCTGGGCATCTAGCTGGATCATCATTTGGTCGTCAGTGTGTTTTTGTTTGTTTCTTTGTTTTTTGTTTGTTTGTATTGTGTTTTGAGACAGGGTCTTACTGTGTCATCCAGGCTGGAGTGCAGTGGCACGAACAGGGTTCACTGCAGCCTCGAACTCCTGGGCTGAAGACTTCCTCCCACCTCACCCTCCCCAGTAGCTGGGACCACGGGTGTGTGCCACTACGCCTGGCCACTTTTTAAAAAATTTTTTGTAGAGACAAGGTTTCACCATGTTGCCCAGGCTGTGATAATCAGTTTTGAAGCTGTAATCTTAAATATGATTTTAGCACTAAAATGTTTTTAAGAGACTTAAAAAAATCACACATATTACAATCCATTTTCAATAAGAAGGTTGGTTTGAATAATCTACTCTGTTACTGCTAGATGTAGGCTTCTGATTTATTCTAATATATTACAGAAATGAGTAGGTGGAACATGAGTTTATAAAGATAATGCAAATATTTTATTAGCACTGTATTCTCTTAAGAGCAGTTCAGAGTTCAAAGAATTGTGACTTTATTTCACAGGCATTAAAATAAATTAAATCAGCAATCTCATTCCTAACAACTCAAACTTCAAAGAAATTTCAGACAGTTAATCATCACCTGACACCACAGCCTATGCAACTTGGGTTTAATTAGGATTTATGTTACTGGTAGCATTGTGGTTGAAAAGATATTTTCATTAACATTTCTCTCTGAAGCACTGAGTCATACTCTTGTTTATTCGCAAGTTTCTTTACACTTTTCAATCAATATTTGAGTGTTCCTTGGGAAATGTATGTTTGGCTATTTTGGTGTTTTTGAGAGTGTTTGATCTTTGAAAATGCATGATTAAAAGCCATTTTAGAAATAAACATGAGTGTTTTAAATACAAATTACTAAAGCCACTGTTTTGTTTCAAATTTAGGGATTTAATTTTTTTAATGAAAATGCTCCTGTTTATATATGCATGAGGTTATGTAAGGTCATCAACTTAAAGATTGATGATGGATTTAGTGCCAGCTGTTGATTAGTATGTCTGCAATCAATCTACAACATAGCAATAACGCTAGCTACCTTGGAGAGTTACTGGGAGAAATAAATAAGACACAATGTATGTAATTGGCCTAGCAAACTTCTTTGTATACTATAATTATTCAGTAAATAATACCCTTGTGATTATTTATCTATCAATCAGTCTTAGAGCAGTGAATTTACCTTTAAAATCTAGACACATTAGGAAAGAATAATGGTAGATTTTAAGACAAAATTAAAATTTCTTGGTGTACTCAAAAATATATATTTTCTGTTAATGCAAATTAGGCTTTTATATTTATTATTTTTAATATTTGACTCTGGAATGTTTTCAAAATTTAGTTGAGTAGATCTTAATGCAAGTCTACTTTTAAAAAATCTCATTATCTAGTAGGCTTTACTAGTAATTAATTTGAATTTGGTAGACATGAAACACACCAATTTCTTGTACACAATCATAAATCCTGTATACTATGTATACTCTGTATGCCTGTATCTTGGTGAAGTGGGAATTAAACTTTATCAAATTTCCATTGAAAAACTGAAGAGCAAACTAAGATGTAATCAGAATGTTAATAAATATTGTAGAAATGGAAAAGTTTCAGAATGTTTAGATTTCTCAAGGAAATCTCAAAGCATGACACTTTTCATTGGTCTGTCATGGATAATTAGGTCTTTTGCTATTTTTATTTATTTATTTCCAATCCGTCACAAACGTACTTTGGTTGATGCATATATCAACTATAGAGTAGTAAATCTGACAAAGTCTATGCACTGAAAACTATACTCTGTCACTGAGGGACACTGATGAAGGCTTAAGCAACTGGGAGACAGACTGTGTTCACAAACACAACACCCTCCTGAGAAGATACAATATTGTTAAGATATTTATTTTGTACAAATTAATCTACAGACTCTTTGCAATCCCAAATAAAATAACAGTAGACTTTTAGAAAATACATAAATTAACAAGATAAATTTAAAATTTTAATGAAAATACAAAAGATCTACAATAACCAAAACATTTTTGTAGCAGTAGAACATACTTGGAGGGCTCCTGCTACCTGAGCTCAAGACTTAGTATAGAGCTATATTAATTGAAACAGCGTATTATTGACATAAAGATGTAAAACCTGATCAATATCATAGACTAGAGACACCACATAGAACTGTACATATATGGACAATGAATTTTCCAAGGAGATTCAAAGGTAATTCTATGCAGGAATGATTTTTTTTTCAAGAAATGGTGTTGGAAACATTAAGTATCCATATACAAAAGAAAAGAAAAAGTAAACAAAAAGCTTTGATCTATAACTCACAATTTGTACAAAAAACAACTGAAAAGTGAGTCAAATACCTAGATGTAAAGCTTAAAATTGTAAAACTTCCAGGAGAAAAAAAAAAAAAAGAAAAATTTTGTGACTTTAGATTTTGGCAAATATTTCTTACTTAAAACAAGAAGCTTGATTTTTAAAGGAACCAATTAATACATTGGACTACATCAAAACTTAAAAAAATGCTTATGCTACATGAAAGACATTGCTAAGGGAATGTAAAGAGAATTCACAAACTGGGAGGTAAGATAGGCAAATTAAATATCGGATGAAGGTATTGTACCAGTATAAATGTATGCATACATACATATATATGATGCAGTTTCCTATAAATATATAGTATATATGGTATTAGACATATATGTATAGACACGTACTGGTACAATTATATACTATATATACAATATTCATATATAGTATATATGATACAGTATTGTATACTATATATAAAATATATCATATATTTACCATACAGTATACTACACATATGTATATATATGATATACTGAGTATCACTATTACTAAAAATTACAGAATGTGAACTATGAAAATGTAAAAGCCTATTTAAATAAAATAAATATTTAAAATACTGTGTTTTTTATATATATAGCACATGTAGTATACTAAATTGTATACAGTATAGTATATATAGTATACTGTATCATATATATTGTCAATATAGTATATAATTTACCCCTGTGTGTGTATAGATGTGTGTATATGTGTGTATATATACACATATATATGTATGTGTGTATATATACACATATATATGTATGTGTGTATATATACACATATATATGTATGTGTGTATATATACACACATATATATATTCTAAAAGGAGAATTAAAAAGAAACCACCCCATAACAATTGGACAGAAAATTGAACAGGCAGTTCACCTAGGAAAACATACATATGACCAATAGCCCAATGAAAATGTGCTCAGCATCATTAGTCATTGGATAAATGCACAAATGAAACCACAGTGAAATACCACTACACATCTGAGAATGGCTGAAGCCACAAGACTCGCTATGCCAGGGCTTGGTGAGGATTTGGAGGAGCTAGAGTCCACCCCAAGCTGCTGGTGGGGAAGTGATATGAAACCAGGACTTTTGAGAAGAGTTTGGCAATTTTTTTGTTGTTAAACCTACAAGTACCATGTGGTTCAGCCATTTAACTCCTAGGTATTTACACAAGAAAAAGAGGAGCATATGTCCATACCAAGACCAAGAACCTGAATGTATTCATAGGCTGGAATGCTTCTGAGCAGTAAAAATGAATGAACTGTTGGTGCATGCTACAACCTGCATGAATATTAAAATGATTATGCCAAGCCTAAGAGGCCAAGCAATGAAGAGACCGTAATTCTGTTACTTCGCTTTTAATATTTTGGAAGCTGTAATTCATAATGCCTGTCTGTAAGCAGATAACTGTTTGCCTGAGATGAGGAGGAGGAGCAAGAGATATAGATTATAAAGGGATATGGGTAAACTTTGGGGTGTGATATATATATATGTACATGTATATATATGTGTGTGTGTATATGTGTATAAAATACACATATATGTATATTTTAAACAGAGTCTCACTCTATCACCCAGGGTGAAGTGCAGTGGCACAACCTCGGCTCACTACAACCTCCACCTCCTGGGTTCAAGCAGTTCTCCTGCCTCAGCCTCCCCAGTAGCTGGGACTACAGGTGCATGCCACCACGCCCTGCTATGTGTGATTGATATTTCTGTCACCTTGACTGTGGTGATGGCTTCATAACTGTATACATAAGTCAACATTTATTATACTGTATACTTTATGTACAGTTTATACTTTTACAACTATAACTTCAGAAACCCACTACCCTATTTTAAAAAAGTTAATAATTACTCTCAGCCACTGTGAGACCTCACTGTTTCCTTATGCTCATTTTTCCCTTTAACAACAATGGGGAACTAGTATTTTATCAGATAAAAATAATGTTTGATAGGATTTTGTGCAAAGTCTGTTTTGCCTACTAATTCTGCCTTATGGCATCTCAGACATGTAAATTAGACAAGAGCCTTCAGTATGTCTGATCTGTTGTCACGTTATTTTCCACTAGTTTGTGTGATTTAGATTATTTTTAAAGAGCTGATAAAGGAAAGGAAAGGAAGAGAGAGATAGAAGAAAGAAAAGAGAGAAGAAAGAGAAAGAAAGAGAAGGAAGGGAAAGAAAGAAAGAAAGAAAGAAAGAAAGAAAGAAAGAAAGAAAGAAAGAAAGAAAGAAAGAAAGAAAGAAAAAAAGAGACGCCTGTCTTTTTAATTCCAGTTGGAAGCAGCTTTAGTTATAAAATTTCCACTCTCTAGAATATTCTTGGGGAAAAAATGAAGTGTCAATTAAATTGATTTTTTTAACTTGCATCCTATGTCTCTGAACATGATTCTTTTTCAATCAGGCATGTAGTTATTGAGGACCCATTTATGAGCTGTGCATACATCCCATCCAATTCCATCCAATTCCGTCCAATCCTGTCCACAGACATGTTGAAAGCATGAGCTTCCTGCAAGAGCAATGCACCAGCCGTTTTCCTAGAGATGGGTCTTCAAAGAGAGGGTTCTTTCTCGGAGCACCTGCTCAGGGAACAAGACTGACTTTAAACCAGTGTTAGCAATATGCATGGTACACTGAACCATCTGCTGGAGGACCTCCTTGTGTCCAACACAGTCCTTCTGTTGAATGTCATGGAAAAGACTGAGGGTTGAAGCAAATCATTTTATGCAGTGAGGAGAAGACCGTGCTCATCTTTCAGTTTTTGAGCCACATCTACCTAATTTATAGTCAGGTTTGGTAGCCTCAGCACTACTGATATTTGCTGCATAAATCTATGCTTTGTTGGGGTTGTCCTGTGCATTTTAAGGTATTGAATAGCATCCCCAGTTCACACCCACCAGATACCAGTATATAAATATATACCGTTTTTGCCAATTAAAATGAATAAGAAAAAAATCATTGTTACAGATTAATAATAATAATAATAATTAATAATAAGTGGCTGGACACAGTGGCTCATGCCTGTAATCCTGGCATTTGGGAAGGCCAAGGCAGGAGGATCCCATGAGCCTGGGAATTTGAGGCCAGTCTGGGTAACATAGTGAGACCCCATCTCTAAAAAAAAAATGAAAAATTAGCCAGGCATGGTGATATGTGCCTGTAGTCCAAGCTACTCAGGAGACTGAGGCAATAGGATCACTTGAGCCCAGGTGTTTGAGGCTCCAGTGAGCTAGCTATTGATGGTTCCACTGCACTCCAGCCTAGGCGACAGAGCAAGACCTGGTCTCTAAAAAATAAAAATAAGTAAATAAGCTAAATGCTCTTGAACTGAAAAAAAGAATGTATTCTATGAGAGATACCTGATAATCACCTACTTTGACCATGTTTTTATCCTTCAAGGATTTCAAACTGTTACAACAAACTTCTAAACGTGTATCTCTTTAGTTCAGCTTCCTTACATGAATTTAATGCTCCAGTATGTGAGACCAATTATTGATTTAAAAAAGGGTAGATCTGTTTTAAAATTCCTTTACCAATATTCCTCATGCTCATGAGAAAGATATGAGGCAGTGCTGTTGACTGCATTTGTATTTAGTTAATACCACGAGCAAGTGGGAAAAATTCAGAAGTGACACTGAGTTGGTCATCTCTCAATTATCATCATGAGAAGTACGCACAATGTGAACATTCTGCCATAGGGCTTGTCTCTGTAAACTGCTGGTCAAGGGGCATGGACAGATTCTACTATTTTTAAAAACATCTTTCTGAACAGATAACGGAGGCTTAATTGTAGTGTAAACACACTGATGTACAAATCTCGAAAAACATAAAATAAAGTGTGTTGAGATTGGAGGTGCTCTGTTCAACTTTCGAGGGATAGAAAATATGCCTATCAGCTGTAAAAGCGGTGCATTTATTTTCATTTTTTGAGACCAACACTAGAGCAGAAAGACACATTAACAAAAGGGTAAGAGTCTTCAGAGCAGATTACTCCCACTTGAAAAATGAGTTAAGTGATTTCACAGCGGGAGAGAGGGATATTTGCAGCAAGAAGTTTCATTAGTCACTGAATGAGGTTTCTCTGACATATATTTTCACAGAATGAGAAGCATGATCTTTAGAAGCAAGAGCCATAACCTTTCTATATTTTTCTTCTGTTTATTCATTTTGCTGGAAGATTCCCTTCCCTAGCCTTCTGGAAATTTCAGCCTTCTAGTCTGATTTGGTGACCTTTGTTCACTAGGAAGAACATAGTCCGTTTCTCTTTGCCAAAAGGTAGTTGCATGCATTTGCAATTTAAACAAGGAACATCCAAAAAAATTAGAATGTGTGTTTGTTGAAAATATTGTGATTATTAAAGTCAGAGAAGATAGCTAAAACAGAAGATGCCCATACTTTGAAATCAGATGATTATTAATAGATGCTGCTTTGTGTTGACTGGAGTTTAACTGCCAGTCCTTTCTTTTGCCAAGATATTTTCCCAAAAGAAACATTTCAGTTGTAGGCTCAATAAGGAGACTGGAATCTGCTTTGTGAATTGGTGGCAAAAGGAAAAGGTGGGGAAGGTAGGAGAAGAAAAGAGAGATGGAGCCTTCAGGTAGGAGACTACTTTTTCTTCCTTTGGTGTCTCATCTTAATATTTAAAAAATTAAATTGAAGACTCAGCTAAGGTATAGAAAATATCAGGCTTTTTCTTTTTGACATATAACCAACATTATCTCTTGTCAAGCAATTTATTTTTTTATTTTATTTTTTTAATTTTCTAATAAGACTAGGTTTATTCAGTACCCTAGTAAAAGTTTTTATTATAAGTATCCAACAGTATAAAAAGTACAAAACAGACCTGTAGATTTCTAATATATTAATACAAAGTGCTTATTTTTTAAACTGCTTTTTTTTTTTTTTTTTGAAACGGAGTCTTGCTTTGTCGCCCAGGCTGGAGTGCAGTGGCGCCATCTCAGCTCACTGCAACCTCCATCTCCCGGGTTCAAGCAATTCTCCTGCCTCAGCCTCCTGAGTAGCTGGGATTACAGGCACCCACCACTATGCCTGGCTAATTTTTTTGTATTTTTAGTAGAGATGAGGTTTCACCAAGTTGGCCAGCCTGCTCTCAAACTCCTAAACTCAAGTGATCCACCCACCTCTGCCTCCCAAAGTGCTAGGATTACAGGTACATGTCACCACGCCCAGCTAATTTTTGTACTTTTAGTAGAGACAGGGTTTTACCATGTTGGCCAGGTTGGTCTACATGATGACTTCCTAAACAAGTGCATAACTTCGATTCTACAAAAGATGACAGAATTCATTAGTACTACTCGTTTGTCCTCAGTTATACTTTCTGCAGTTTCAGTTATCTACGGTCAACCATGGTCTGCAGAAAATTCCAGAAATAAACAATGCATCAGTTTTACATTGCCCTTGGTTGTGAGTAGCATGATGAAGTCTCCAGCAGTCCTGCTCCCTCCCAATCCATCCTGCCCAAGAGGTGAATCCTCCCTCTGTCTGGCATTTTCATGCTGTAGAGACTGCCTGACCCTTAGTCACTTAGTAGTCTGCTCAGTGACCAGATCATCTGTCATGGTACTGCAGTGTTTGTTCTCAAGTAACCCTTATTTCAGTTAACAATGGCCCCAAAGTGCAAGAGTAGTGATGCTGGCATAGTGTTATAATTCTTCTATTGTATTATTAGCTATTATTGTTAATTTCCTGTGACTAATTGATAAATTAAGCTTTATCATAGGCATCTATGTATAAGAAAATGCACAGCACATATAAGGTTCAGTACTATCTGTGTTTTCAGGTAACCACTACAGGTCTTGGTACGTGTCCCCCGTGGGTAACGGAGGACTCCTATTGTCTGTGTTTTATTTGAAGGGATTTTGATTCATTTGTGATCTGTTTCACGCCCTCTTCCTTTTCTCCTCTGGCAAATTTGAGTTGGCATGCCCTCCACTTAATCTTTTAAATGCTTGATCCATTCTATTCTGCAGAAGAATGTTAAATTTTTCATTATGTCAGTCAATATGCTTTTGGAAAAAGGGACACTCCTGTTTGTGTTTCCTCTTTAAATTCATGGTTTAGAGTTTTCTCCTCTTCCTTTCGCTTGAGCCTCCCCAACTGCAGTGTCTCCTCAGTCCTCTAACTCCATGACTGTGGATGAAACTCCATCTTGTTTTTCTTCAATGTGCTATTTCTCAAGTTTACATCTACAAATGTGCTGCAAATATCTGGTACTGAATGATGTTTCATTTCAGTGAAGCGTTTGTTTTTGTTTGTTTTGAAAGTTAATTGTGCATGTGGTTTAAAAAATCCAATATAACAAAAGGCATACAGGGACACCATTTGACCATGCCATTCCCCACCCCTTCATTCAGTTGTTTCAGCGACCACCTTTCTTTGTTGTGGCTTGAGAATCCTTCCAGAGACGTGACTAAACAGCCATGGAAATGCCAGTGCAACAGAGCATTCTTTACATCTTGCTTTTTCCACTTAATAACATAACTTTGAGGTTGTCCTATTTTGACACATAGACATCCACCTCATTCTTCAGGAAGCCTCTGTCACAGGCACATATATGGACCTACCATAATTCATTGATTGGACTGCCATGGTTGGACACGAAGATTGTTTCCAAATACTTGCTACCATAAACCCTAGTGCAGTGAAACTTCCTTCACACACCTTTTTTTTTCTTTTTTGAGAGGGAGTCTAGCTATGTCACCCAGGCTGGAGTGCAGTGGCACGATCTCGGCTCACTGCAAGCTCCGCCTCCCGGGTTCACGCCATTCCCCTGCCTCAGCCTCCCGAGTAGCTGGGACTACAGGTGCCCGCCACCACACCCGGCTAATTTTTTTGTATTTTTAGTAGAGACGGGGTTTCGCCGTGGTAGCCAGGATGGTCTCCATCTCCTGACCTTGTGATCTGCCTGCCTTGGCCTCCCAAAGTGCTGGGATTACAGGCATGAGCCCTTCACACACCTTTGAGTGGGGGTAGGATTCCATATCTATTTTAAATGTATATAGATGTTATTGAGTTTTAGAGGACTAAACAATTTAGCTTCCAAGCATAACCTATAAATGCATCTTGGCCACTTTCTTGCCAACAGAGTGTGTTATAAAGCATGTCATTTTTGTCTGTCTCAGGTCAGTGAAACTCCTGTAAAGGACCAGATAGTAAATGTGAGCCACATGGTTTCTGTCCTGACTACTCAAATCTGCCCTTGCAGTGTGAGAGCAGCAATAGATGATTTGTCCATGAGTGGTGTGGCTCTCTTCCAATAAATCTGTATTTACAAAAGGAGGTCCTGGCCAGGTTTGCTTCCTGGATCATAGTTTGCTGACCCCTGGTCTATCTAATAACAACAATAATAATCTTTAGTTTGTTTCTTTTGTATGAGTTAGGCTGTTCATCTGTTTAAAAATCTACTTAGGTATTTTTTTCCTGTTAATTACATCCGTTGCTCATTTTGCATAATGCAGTTTAACTTTCTCTTGTTGGTTTATTAAAAGCAATCTATATATTTGAAACTTAATTACTTTTATATATTCTGAAAAATAATTGATCTGTTAGCTGTTGCAACAGTTGGCTTTCTGATAAATTTCTATTTGACATAGAACCAAGTAAAAATTATGTTACCTTGGGTTGTAACAGTTACTCTTAAAAACATTTAGATCTGCAAGGCACAGTGTCTCATGCCTGTAATCCCAGCACTCTTGAAGCTCCTGGCTTCAAGAGACATCCCCGCCCCCACCCCGCCCCCGCCCCCCACCTTGTCTTCCCAAAGTGTTGGGATTATAGTTGTAAACCAGCAGGCCTGACCTTGTGTAGACATGGTAATTGACAAGAATCTTGTAGTCACATTTTCATAGACTATGCAGTAGATGCAATAGACTAACTTCTGTATGAATCTTTTTCATTTTGTATTAATTATAATCATTTGCCAAGTTTGCTTCATTCATTTGTTTAGTAAAAGAGTATGTGTAAGGAATTTGGTAGGCAATTTTTAGAACTTTTAGTGACAACTTTGTTTTTGATTGTTTCTTAGTGAAAGAAGGATTACAATAAGAACTTAGCCACAAAATACAAGTTTCCATGAGTCACTGCAAAATAACAGGGATAGTTTGGAAAGGCAAGGAGTAACCAGAAGCTTTGGGGCATAGTTTTCCTTAGTTAAATCAGTATAATAAATGGGGTACACATTGCAAATTATTTATTCATAGTTTGGTAGTTTGCATTGGTATGTCTTAAACCTGAATACTTTAGAGTGAATGAAGTAAATAGGATGAGATGATGGGGAATGCACACACACCCACACACATGCACACACAAACACACATGCATGCATGCATACATACATGCACACACACATATACATATGTGTGTGTGCCTGTGTGTGCACATGTGTGTGTATGTATGTTACGTTTACATTATTTCTGCATATTAAACACTTTCCCCTTTCGTTAGATATTCTTTATTGAGAAAATGCACTACACTAGATTACCATTACTTAAAAGTTGCTCTCGCAGCACAAATCAATTCATTATCTTTAAGGATAAGCCCATGTCTGGAGGTAGGGAAATCATTTTTTAAAAATTAAAGTTTCTGTCTTGAAATATTGTCATCCTTCACTTTTTCTATGCACTAGGATGCTCTTTGCTTTCAGGAAAACACGTTATGACTCATTTAATACTGTTGTCCCTCTTATCCAGAACAGAACATACCGTGGTTGCCTAACAGGAAGGCTGCATATAAAACCCAGTTTTGTCTAGTATCATTTTCCCCAAGTCCATTATGTGTGTTATTGTGCAGTGCATGTCCAAATGAGGATTTGAGCAGTAGAGAAGAAATTCATTAAAGAAATGTGTCATCTCCTTGCAAAAAGGAAAGTATTGTTGAGGAAATTGTTACTGATAAGACAAAAGTGGTGAATGAACATCTACCATTTGAAGGCATTTCTCTGAAGTGAAAATTACCTTGAATTGTCTTGGGATCAGTTGTGACTTGATCCTTCTATTAGGAGCTGTTTCAAACTCAGAGAAGGGGTGATGATTCACACTGATGACTGAAGGTTTCTTGGAGCTGGTGTGAATAAGAAGGGAAAAGTATTGCAAATGCATCATTGTGGCTTTCACTGAGACTCAGTGGACAGAATTCATCATGATCTTCCTGGGCTCCAGAAACACAGGCTTGAAATTTAGTAGCCAGTCTGCCAAGCATGGAGTTAGGCACAGATGGGATCTGAGTTAGAGAACTCTCCTGGGACTGGTACCCAGGGAGGGTAATGTAGGGTGAAATGTCATTGTTCAACATGCTTATTATTCACCTGAACATGGGTGACATTCCTTTCCTGAGAAACTCTGGTCTGACAAATGGGTTCTTACAATTATTTCTGAAAATAGAAAATGTATTTCCAATAATTATTAGTTATATCTATTTATTATTTCTAGTCATATTATTCCTAATAATTGAGCTCTATGGCTATTGGGTGAGGTTCCTCAGGGAACAGCGGATTCTCTGTTACTGAAGGAGTTTAAACAGTATCTATACCGAGAGTAGTCAAGACATGCAGAGATGATTTCCATATTATAAGAGAAGTTGGATTGAATTAAGTCTGTGATTCCCTGCCATTCTGAGATTTTAAAAGTCCAGGCCTTTAATGTACCAATTCCCTGTCATCATTAGTCTAATTATTGGCAACTACATTGAATTATACAGTATAGTATCAGTTGATGAATATAGTATCAATTGATTGGTACAACACTGTATCAGGTTGAATTTAACTGAGTTAAGGTATGGCCCTACCTTCTAAGAGCTTACCAGTTGACAATAAAAGCACATGGGTAGGCAAGAGACACCCACATTATTAGATATAACTATGTTATTCATGTTACCTAAAGTTGGAGAGTAAGAAGAATGAATTTCTTGAGGTAGGGATGAAAGTATATCCCCATTCCAACAGTTTAGATCCAGAGAAGAAAAAATGTTTCAGAGAGGAGATATGATTTTAAAAATTGCTTCAGAGGAAAAATTCAGATTGGTAATGGCAGCCTAGAAAGATGCTAAATGAGGAATTCTAAGTCAAAGGCCTTGCAGAAAGCTAGGAATGAACATGTCACTGGTTCTCATGGAAAATGCTTAGAGTCCTGCAGGGAATAAATTCCTTTTTTTTTCTTTTTCTTTTATTATTATACTTTAAGTTCTAGGGTACATGTGCACAACGTGCAGGTTTGTTACATATGTATACATGTGCCATGTTGGTGTGCTGCACCCATTAACTCGTCATTTACATTAGGTTATCTCCTTTTTTTTAAATCATTATTACTATTGTATTTATTTATTTATTTTTTATTATACTTTTATGTTTTAGGGTACATGTGCACAATGTGCAGGTTAGTTACATATGTATACATGTGCCATTTTGGTGTGCTGCACCCAGTAACTCGTCAATTAACATTAGGTATATCTCCAAATGCTATCCCTCCCCCCTCCCCCCACCCCACAACAGGCCCCGGTGTGTGATGTTCCCATTCCTGTGTCCATGTGTTCTCACTGTTCAATTCCCACCTATGAGTGAGAACATGCGGTGTTTGGTTGTTTTTCCTTGTGATAGTTTGCTGAGAATGATGGTTTCCAGCTTCATCCATGTCCCTACAAAGGACACGAACTCATCATTTTTATGGCTGCATAGTATTCCATGGTGTATATGTGCCACATTTTCTTAATCCAGTCTATCATTGTTGGACATTTGGGTTGGTTCCAAGTCTTTGCTATTACGAATAGTGACGCAATAAACATACGTGTGCATGTGTCTTTATAGCAGCATGATTTATAATCCTTTGGGTATATGATCAGTAGTGGGATGGCTGGGTCAAATGGTATTTCTAGTTCTAGATCCCTGAGAAATCGCCACACTGACTTCCACAATGGTTGAACTAGTTTACAGTCCCGCCAACAGTGTAAAAGCATTCCTATTTCTCCACATCCTCTCCAGCACCCGTTGTTTCCTGACTTTTTAATGATTGCCATTCTAACTGGTGTGACATGGTATCTCATTGTGGTTTTGATTTGCATTTCTCTGGTGGCCAGTGATGATGAGCATTTTTTCATGTGTCTTTTGGCTGCATAAATGTCTTCTTTTGAGAAGTGTCTGTTCATATCCTTTGCCCACTTTTTGATGGGGTTGTTTTGTTTTTTCTTGGAAATTTGTTGGAGTTAATTGTAGATTCTGGATGTTAGCCCTTTGTCAGATGAGTAGATTGCAAAAATTTTCTCCCATTTTGTAGGTTGCCTGTTCACTCTGATGGTAGTTTCTTTTGCTGTGCAGAAGCTCTTTAGTTTAATTAGATCCCATTTGTCAATTTTGGCTTTTGTTGCCATTGCTTTTGGTGTTTTAGACATGAAGTCCTTGCCCATGCCTATGTCCTGAATGGTATTGCCTAGGTTTTCTTCTAGGGTTTTTATGGTTTTAGGTCTAACATTTAAGTCTTTAATCCATTTTGAATTAATTTTTGTGTAAGGTGTAAGGAAGTTGAGACTGGTAGAAGACTAAGCTTCTTCCAGACTTTAATCATTGTTATCTGGAAAGGAATTGAAAATAGTTTTTTTCTGAATCATTGTAATCATGTGAAATCACTAAATGTCAGTGTTGAATTGACCACAAGGACCAAGCTAATTATGGAAGAAATAGGTGGGGGAGACATTGAACACAGCAATCCACAGGAGTTTGAGTAAGTCTGGAGTGTTGAACTGGTGAAAGTCCTCCCTGCAACAGCTCCATCGGGGCAATTCTGTTAAGTCAAGACTCAAGCACTGGACGGTGAATGGTCCAGAAAAACTATGTCATTAAAAATGCACATTTGTTTAAAATAACTAACTGCTCTTTCGTGGATGATTGGTACTAAGATTTTATAAACTGTTTAGGGACCACCATGATTCCTCACACACATTAATTAATTCATGAGAGTTGATTTTCTTTTCAAACACATTGATACATTATTAGTAGATAGCACCCCAACACACACACACACACACACACACACACACACACACACACACACACACACAGAGAGAGAGAGAGAGAGAGGGGTACTTACAATCAAAGACAGCCATACTAGATCCAATTGGTAGCAACAAAGTGAGAAAAGTACCAGAACACACAGGCAAATTGAAAATACACAAAGCCACATCCACAGCATGCCCTTTAATGGAGGAAGTGGGAAGAAGGTTCCATTTTCCACTCTGCTCATTTTCTTCCCCACCACCCATTAAGAGTGTCAATTCTCATTCACATTCCTTTTAGAGAAGAACGAACCATCGAAAAGGGAGCTGAGAGTTGTAATAAAAATATTGCATTACGGATTTCTCCAGTTTCCTTTCAGTATGAAGTATTTGTTACTTCATTGAAAAAAGTAGAAGTATTGATCAGCCGCTTAGCTTGTGGCTTCTGCTCTCAAGGAGTCAGCACATAGTCTGATGTGGAGGAAAATCTATAAATGGATTTCTGCAATCTGCAGGTAAGCATGGGATGAAATGTTCCTTGACATCCAACCCAGGTTAGAAATCAGTTTTCAAGACTCTAAATTTGAGGACCCCTAGGAGCTCAAATGATAAAGAGAAGAAGGTTTATAGTCCATGATGGGGGAGGGACTGCACACTACCTGCAGGGTGAGCAGAAAGGATGCAGGGGCTTGGTATCACAGGACCAGCATTGTAAATATTACAGGAAGTAACCTTTCCTGTGTGTCCTTCATGTGCTTTTCTTTGTGCATATTCTTGAGGCTTAAAGGAAAGGGAGCCAGTCTGTGTCCATACTTCTCTCCCGTGCACATCATCCCGGCATGGCACTGCTGATGCAAATTAAAAAAATAACCTTTGACTAGAAGCATTTTCCCAGCTACCAGTTTCCTTCTCCCCAGTGCAAGACAATGTGACAGCAAAGGTTCATGCACAGAAGCAGAAAGGTAGTGGAATGACTCAGCTTCTAACTAAATTCCTTCCACCTTCCTTAGCTTTGTGGTCTCAGGATTTTATAAGAGGTCTCTCATGTGCTGCTACAGAACCAGCAGGAAAAATCAGACAGGGCCAAGACAGAGAGAAAAGAGACACCTTTCTCCTATATTGCCCCTACCTAGGGCTCCTATCCAAAGCATGTTCTAGTTCCTAGATGGTTGATTCCAATAAAATAACATAAAAATAAACTGTGCAATAAAAATTTAAAGGGAGTTGCGCTGACCATCATTTTTGAAATATTTAAAAATGAGTCCTCAGTAAATTTTGGTGTGAACATTAGTATTTTGTCATGGATAGAGGCACAAGAAAGGAGTAAATGTGAGACCTACATTGCATCCAATGCCTGCATCAGTAGAATCTAATCTCTTCCCCCCATGATAAAATGGCCTCATTCTGTCAACTACAGGCTTTGCTAGCTTTTTCTCAGACAACAGACCAAATTTATCCCCAGCCTGATAAGGATCTTTATTGCATTTGCTCCCACCCCACCTACTGTATTTAGGGTAATGGTGAAAAATGTACATTGATGCTGAATTTTATAGAAATAGTAGAAATGGAAATGATCTTACAGAGTTGTCATCTACTATCTGGTGTAGGTTTGGTTACAAAGCTGTATTTCCTCTTCCAAGTTTTAAGTAATCAAGTTTCAAAACAATCTTTCCTGACATCCAGTTTGTGTTAAAGCCAATTTCCCAAATGATTTTCATTTGCATTCTGGAAATGCAGTGAAGCCTTGACATTTTACAAAATGACCTATCTTCTACTCAAGTCAATGAAACTACAGTAAACATTTTATGTGTAGTTGCAATGCTTGTATCTCCCTCAAGATTAAACACAGAAAAGCATCTTTGGGGAGGATATTTAAATACGATATTAAAGCATATAACATGTGTCTGTATTTTTTCAGTTTTAAGTATACTTACTAATAATAACAGGCAAAGTGGTACGAGGTAAAACACTACTTTTCATTGTTCAGTTTACAGTAGTCATTGACTATTCTACATATGCGCTTAGCATAATATTTACAGACTATGTAATACAAATCACACTCTGTGAATTCTCATGTCCTGTGAGACACAGGAACAGAAGAGCTTTGTAAAAAAACAGCAAAGTACAACTTGAAAAGTTAAGCCATATGAGTAAGAAATCAAAGTGATGAATTTACTAAGTGTTTATTAATATTTAAGCTAAGTTTACACATGACTCAACATCATATTCATACTCATAGTCTGTTACTGTACTTTGCCAAACTGTCTGTACTATTTTGTGAGAGGATATTATCTTTAATATTGCTCTCACTGCAATGAAGCATAAATAAAGTATATGTCATGTTCTACCTTTTCAGGAGCTCCAATGAACACATGCTATGGTTTTTAATGACTGTAAAGAAAATTTCAAAGCCATATCTTATCTGTTTCTATGGAGAAGTTGATCAATGATCAATACCATTTGCAAGGACCCCGATGTGTGACTTGTTTCTCTTTATACTGTGACATGTTTCCCTGAAGGTGGAACGTCAATGAGACATTCATTTTCTACTAAATGAAAATGATGTTAAAGTTGCAGTCTAGTGATAAAGTTACCAAGATCTGCTTCTTGGATTTTTTATGGGGTTTGGGCAACACATAAAGAAACTTTCCTCTCATTCAAGTTGAACATATCCAACCACTTATATATATGTTGCCCAGTGAGGTCAGTGTTACATGAAGTTGTAGAACATTTACTTTGAAATGAGGTTTTCTCATTTAATAAAAGTGTCACCTTGTGTCAGTGGCTTAGCTAGTTCCAGCTTCTATTTTATCTCTTATCCAATGAGAATATGCCTATCACATAAGGAGTGTGGCTGGGAAGAATGGTGGTCTGTCCTTATCTCCTGGGTTCTCTGGTTTCAGAACCTGCACAGCGGACAGTTCCAAACACTGCATTCCACCATCATTTCATCAGCATTCCTCTTGGAATAAATGTGTCTTGACAGTCTCTCTTAGAAGTGCTTTCTCTGAAGCTACTGAGGACCATGCCATGTGTAGGCATAACTGAAGCGTGCACATTCTATAGAGTGCCTCGAAGATGTGCACATTCTATAGAGTGCCTCCAAGGTTTTCAAGAAGAATGGAGCCCAACTTGGCCACATTGGTTACACACTTGTGCATGGTCCATTTATTGACTATCCCACCTTCCAAGTAATTTACCTGCACCCGACTTCTTGTCTCATGTGGGGCCTTTAGAGTAACTCCAAATAAGACCAGGTGGATGTGCAGATGAAACGTTTGATGCTTGCATGTGCTTGCCTGATTATGACTGTTAATCACCAGGTGTGTCAAACTACTCTAGATGCTCATTGTGTGTGTATGACAGGTTTTGGTGCTCTTTCTGCTTTTGATAAGCCATTCAATTTAATAGGGTGTTCTCTGAATGCCCAGCTTTTCTTTAAACTTAGCATGTATATTCACTACCCCACGATCCACCTAAGACAGTTGCGTATCATTTCTTTATGCCTGTTCCGTGTTCTATGTATATTAGATGATTTCATATAGATAAGGAGGGAAAGCTCATATTTTATACATTTTAACTATTATGATGAAAACCTTATCTAGAAGAGGTTCTCTTCTTTTTGAAGTTGCATAGCATTAGTAAAGCTATAGGAGCTATCTCTTGTATCTGACTAGAAACGATACACATTTAAGATAAAAAGCATGGGCCAGGTGGTGGCATATGCCTGTAATCCCAGTACTTTTGGAGGCCAAGGCAGGAGGATCATTTGAGGCCAGGAGTTCAAGACTAGCTTGGACCACATAGCAAGCCCTCCCTCCCCACCCTGTCTCTACAAAAAGTGAAAAAATTAGCCAGTCATGGTGGCATGTGCCTATAGTCACAGCTGCTCGAGAGGCTAAGTTGGGAGGATTGCTGGAGTCCAGGAGTTCAAAGATACGCTGAGCTATGATCATGCCACTGCAGTTCAGCCTGGGTGACAGAGTGAGACCATGTTTCAGAAAACAAGTGAGTAAAATAAAATAAAAAGCAATAACAAGATTGCATTATGCTTTGAGGGCATTAATTTTCAAATTTAACTTTACTTGCATTTTTTTCCTGTCATTCTTTCTGTGTCGGCTAGTTCTTATTTTAGTTGTAATCTTTTTTTAGAATACTTATGAATAGAATAAATACCACTGTATTCACATAGTATATTTACTATTATTTTTGTCTCCTTGCATTGTATTTTAATTATCTATGTCAGACACTTTCCTCAGTCAAATGTACTACTAGCCATCTAAATGGAGAATTTATCTTAGGAGGAGAATTCTTCTCATTTATTTTTGCATACCCAGCAAATTATTCGGGAGTGAGTGCACTGTTTCATCCTGTTGATAGTCTTCCCTGAACATTTATAACCCACCCCTGACTGGCTCCAGTCTTTACACCTTCCTCAAGACCTAACTTAAATACACTGAACTGCCTGAAGTCGTCTTTGAATTTTACATCCTTTCTCTTAACTCTCATACACTTTGCATTGTTTTCCCATACAGGGGCATCAAGAAATAGACCATATTATAATGAATGTACAATAAAGTACTAAGAGTAATAAAAGTAAATATATTCCGAAGCAGGAAAGAGCAAATGCTTGGGTTTTTTATAGAAGGAGAGAAACGATAATTTGAGAATGTTTCATGGAAACTCTTGCATTTGAGCAGAACTTTACAAATTAGGCTTAGGCTTCAATAGTTAAAAATTAGTGAAGAGAACATCTCTGCAAAGTTGAATGTTCTGGTCTCCTTTCTGTTTGTTTAGTGAGCAGAATTGATAATCGACATGCAAGTGGCTTTTAAACTTTTCCAAGGACCAGTCATTGGGGAATTAGTGTGGTTCCTCTGAACCTTTCTAGTAATCCCAGGATTTGAGTATTAAGAACAGTTAGTTGTGTTAGCCTTAAGATGAAATTCTCCTACCTTGTTGTTTTGAAGATGTTACTTAGAGGGAAGGAGATGTTTTGGTCTGTTCGGGCTGCTAATACATCTTTTTCTTCTCAAATTTTACTTTAAGCAGTCAGGAGGAACCAAGCCATTCCTTCAACACTTTTCTTAGAAATAGCTTCAGCTAAATCTACTTTTATCACTCACACGATCTGCCTTCCACAAATTACTAAAACATGAACACAGTTCAGCCAAGTTCTTTGCCACTTTGTAGCAAAGATCACCTTTCTTTCATTGTGCAATGGCATATTTCTCATTTGCCTCTGACAGCTCATAAAAATGGAGCTTCCTGTCCATATTTCTAGTGTCATTCTGTTCAAAATTGCATAGATTTTCCCTAAGATGATTGAGGCTTTCTGTACAGCTCTTCTCTTTTTTTTTCTGAGCCCTCCCCTCACTAGAATCACCTTCAAAGGTCTATTCATGGCAACGTAGGCTGTGTCTAGCATACACTTCAAAACTTTTCTGGCTTCTACTTATTACCCAGTTCCAGAGCTGCTTCTGCATTTTTAGGTATTTGTTATCTTAACACCACACTCTCAGTACCAATTTCTGTCTTAGTCCACTCAGACTGCTATAACAAAATACCATAGTCTGGGGGTGGGGGTGGGGGGGGGTAATAAACAACAGACATTTATTTCTCACAGTTCTGGAGGCTGGAAGCCCAAGATCAAGGCAGCAGAAGATTCAGTCTCTGTTGACAACCCACTTCCTGGTCCACAGACAGTGACTTCTCCCTGTGTCCTCACATGGAAAAAGGGTGAGGGAGCTCTTTGAGATCTTTTCTTGAAGGACACTAACCTCATTCACGAGTACTCCATCCTCATGATCTAACAACCTCTTAAAGATGCCACCTCCTAATACCATCTCCTGGGGGAAGGGAGTTTAGGATTTCAAGGTTGAATTTTGGGAGAATGCCAACATTCAGCCCATAAAAGGAGATAGTATAGGAAAACTACAGAAATCAATAAACTCTTCTACTGTTTTGATTAAAATATAGCAAGTGCATTTTTGGTGTACATATTTTACTTTATCTTTGTTATTATTCATCTAGAAAACAAACGTACATAGTGATAGTTAATTCTTCCATGACTTTTTTGCAAAAGTGTTGGTATGCATTGGCTATAAGTCTCCTCTCTGACTTCATAAGACCTTGGAAAGCTGCCAAATATCTCAGAACTTGTTGTCTTGAGTCTTAAAGTGACTAAAATGACCTTAGCTCTACCTGCCTTATAGGATGCTCTGCCCAATGATGCATGCAGTATGCATGTTCTTTAACAGAGTATGTTTTGAGACTGCAGGTTTAGGCGTTATTAGAATCCATTTGACTCCATAGCCCTTTTTATGGAAACATACATACATACTTAATGTCAAATAGTTTATATCTTTTTACTAGCTAATATGGATAAGTACTGTCTCTTCCCATTTGACTGTGTGTAACTGCCTTCTCTTAGAACTCAACACAAAATGAGCTTTATGATTCACATTTACAGTAACATGGAGACAGAACCACCTCATTCAAAACAGGAAAAAGCAGGTATAAGATGCCATGAAGGGAAATGAGACTGAATGTGTTCAATTTTTCTTTGTTTGGCTTATCACATATCGTAGAGAGATGTCCTCTTACATGCAGTAGAAATAAGAACATCCTTGAAAACTCGGTTTGAGCAGTTCAAAATCATATATTTTTTAATGTTGTATGAGTTTCAGGTGATAAATCCTCTTCAGGATACCTCAGGGGTTCGCAAAAATGTAAAAATATGTTTAAAGTTTGAAATGACTCACATTTTTTAGTATCCACGGCAAAGAACTGCTTTTCCAACCTTAATAGGATTTCAAATTGACATTGACATTTTAGTAAATCAGAATTAGCTTTTTCTTTTTAAGCTCCTGTGTCTTATGTAAATGGCTGTGCTGACTTTTATGGAATTGAATATTCCAGAAAATGTCATGGAACCTAATATAAAACAAGTTAACATTCTCATTTTTAGATCTTAAAGGGATATGGTGTTAAAATATAGCTTTTGATACCCATCCAACCTGTGCAAGGTTTTCTGTGTATATGCGAATTTCAAATTTGAGAACTTAGCATGTCGATGAAGGCAAATCTATATACCTGTTGAAAACAAAATTGAAATTCTGAAGGAATTATTGTAATTTACTTAAATAAGAACTGTAAGAAGTCAGACTGTTAATGGAGTGTCAATAGATTTCTTCTGAGAGCTTCAAAATCTTTTCACTGCCTTTATTACAAGTCTACCAAAATATCTGTTAGATTCTGAAAGCCAATCTCTCATTACAAAAAGCATTATTCACAATTTTAACTTATTTCCACAATGAACATTCTACAGAATTATTGTATCTTTGTTTAAAGATAAAAAATTCTCCCTCGGGAGGCTGAGGCAGGAGAATGGCGTGAACCCGGGAAGGCGGAGCTTGCAGTGAGCCGAGATCGCGCCACTGCACTCCAGCCTGGGCGACAGAGGGAGACTCCGTCTCAAATAAATAAATAAATAAATAAAAATAAAATAAAGTAAATAAATAAGTAAATGAATAAATAAATTCTCCCCCCGAGGTCTGAAATTTATTATTAATGTGAATATTTTAAGCATTTTTAGAAGAAAATAATTTTGTAAAAAATATTGTAAGTTATGGAAAATATGGTGGTGAAGTATAACATTCACGAACTTGCTAGAACCTTGCCCTAAAAATGAACTAATTATTGGATCATATGGCAAACTGATTAAGAAGAATAAGGAACTACTTTATATCATGAAAAAATACATGACTATCCACCTGCCTTCCTAAAACTTCTTCCTCTCATGTGCCGCTATTTTACTTAGAGTTTTCTTTCGGGTTAAGGAACAATATCTTTAGAAGGCTATTCATTAAAGTACTAATTAGAAAAGGTAGTTAATTAAGCTTGTCACACACAATTTATATATTTTCTTATGATGTGTAAGAGAAAACAGCATAAAAAAGATAAATTATTTATTTTCAGTCAAAATAGGGCACTTTTTTTGCTTTCCTGCAGCTCATTATACCTAAATTCCTTTGTGAAAGTATTTAAGTAAGTTCTTTGAAATATTGCTTTTAAAATATGTTTACTCTTTAAAGTTTTAAAAATAAGGAAATGTATAATATAGTGAAATTTCCCCATCAGTGTGTTCTGTGTATTTTCTCCAGCTCTTTCTTGAATTACAAACAGCAGTTCTACAACTTTACCACCCACACACACACATTTATTCATTTGCACATATTTCTTTTTAGTGTTTTTTTTTTTTTGCAAAATTGGCATCATATTAATTATACTACTCTGCAACTTGCTTTATTTACTGTTTTTAATATGGAAATTGACTGAAGTTAATTTTCAAGCAGTTGTGTAATATTGATTGAACTTAATTGATATACTATAACTGATTAAACTACCTCACTGTTATTTGGAACACTTATCGACAACACTGCAGTGTAAAACCCTCTTTCTACTTTTGCAGCTTTATGATAATTCTATAAATAATCAGACACCGATTGTGATGCAATCGTATCACAAATTCAAAGACACATTATAATGTCAGTGGAATAAGTTAGACATACAGTGCCAATTAACTCAGGGTTCCAGGGGTAATTCTTTTCGTATTGATGAAACGCAAATGCATCTTACTCATTCAGAGTTGCCAGGGCCCTGGTGTAGAAATCTAAATCATAACCAAAACAAACAGCATCACCACGAAGAAATCAACAAAAACAATTTCATGAGGGTTTTGAGTATTTGAATAATATTTCAGTAATTAAATTTTAAAGCAAGAACTGACAGGTTTGCCCACCCCATCCATCCTGTGATGTCAAATGCACGGTATGTATCTGGCTGACAGGGAAATTGAGGTAGGAAAATAGAATAGATAATATGCTATTATGTACCTGCGCTTCAGTTTGAGGAGGATAAAATTGTTTTAACCTTATGTCCACATTCCTGGAGTGGTTTGCTAGACCTGCATCAGAAAATCCACATCTTAGTTCTTCAGCTGTTCACATCTCAATCCACACAGCCTTTTGTCATTAGCATGCCAGAAATGCACTACATTCATGAAAGGAATTACTAGTTACATCATGGTGAATGTTAGCATGAACTCTCATTGGCCCATAACATTAAAATATTCAAAACATACAAATTGGCTAAAATCGTTTAGAGAAAATGTTCACAATGGCATGATGAAGGTATAAAAATCCAGAAATGCCTATGCCTTTGACCTGCTCCAGTGCCCATAACTTGAAGTCTCTTTAGTCCTACGCTCAGCCATGGACTAAGGAAAATTTCTCATTACCTGATGCTGACTGAGAAAGATAAAAGAACACCACTTGTTTTGTCCTTAAAGACTTGAGAGGCAAAGAGCTACATGATAGAAGTTGTACCTCTCACAAGTTTATGGAAGGAGACATATGAACTGTTTTCTGTCTGCTGTGGAAGTCAGATGAATGACTGCCTATATGTGTAACACATTTGGGCCTGAGACACACATGATGAGGGGAGGAATTACAAACTATCACTGGTCTCCTTCTTTTTCTGCGATTACTGTTACCTTACCTAACAGTAGGTAACTGTAATCTAAAATGAACCTAAAAATTGTGCATGAACAAATTAGCTCAGGTAGCTTGCAACATTGACTTTACAGTTTGACCTAGGGGAGCCCCACGGGCTGAACCTAATGAAACTCAGCCAGGTTATATTAAAACTGCGATAGCCTGTATCTCTACATTTTCTGCAACCTGGTTTCTACATAGGGAAATGCTGCTTGTGTTTGCTGTAGGCAAATCTTAAATAAACCATGACTCAGCAAGAAGAAGAGAATGATGTGCAGAGATATTTTAGGGAAGGGATAAGATGGCAGTTTTGAATGGGAGCCCACATGGTACAAGTACTCATATTCCATTACCAACTTCAGGAGCTTTTTACTTTGGAAAACCATTTTTCACCTTATTTCAGTAATATGTCAAGCATTTCAGGTGGTCTGCAAAAGCCACATAGCTCAGAGGCTTAGCAAACCTCCTCAGACATCAGGCAGAAACACTTTCTAAACCCCTTAATGAGTGTCAAGCAGGAAATTGTGAGTATATAGTATTAAGGAGATGGACTTGCTATTCTTAAATTTACAGAAAAAAATTCTGGATTTTCTTCCTCAGTCTCCACTTAATGACAGATTTTTTTTTAACAAAAAGATGCATGACAGTACCTATTTAAACTTACTCTGATAAATTTGATGAAATATTCTTTTTTTAATCCAGACATCTCTATGAGTTTCAGAATTATTACCCTTGTCAAATTCATCTATGCTTTTTTTGTGGAAATGTTCAACTTTTGTTCTCACTGCTCCCTGCCTTCCCCCATCAACAAACCCTGAATATCTGGGAATTTCTCACCAGCTATTATTTAACTCCATTCCACATGTCCATCAGATGTCCTACACAAGATTGGTTAAATAGAAGTTTGTTCGCTGGGAGAAGATGACAACTTTTTATATTAAATGCATAAAAATTTTCTCAATACTGCAGGGTGATAAAGACAAAGAAAAGGCCAATTTAAAAGGAAGTCTTTAGAAAAAATACAATAAAGCAGAAATGCTTCACTTTCCTACACAATAGGGAAAAAATTTTAATGCTTTTGCAAAAATTAAACTCTAATGATGGAACAAAGTTTATTTTATACTGGGTAAATTTATGTTAGGCATGAAACTACATAAAAATATGTGGACAACAAAGAGTGATTCAGGGCTGCTTAATCGCTGTTGCTCTTGGTGTGGTTTTTAGGGGATTGCATAATTGGTGAGTTCCTTACACGTTGATTTCTCAGATTCACCAGGCAATACATACCAGCTGTCTTGGTAAATGCATGAAATGTTGCAATCTTTGCAAGTCCTGCAATTTTACTTCACCAGTAACTTTCCCTGGTCAACTAACAGTATCTAGAGATCAGGCAGAGGGTGACCAATGGCTGCTCTGACGTACACATGGAGATACTGAAAGATGTGGAGTTAAGGATATTTGAATAAATATTTCATATAATGACAACTGTCTTTGTTAGCAAGCAGAAATATCCACTGTGATGCAAAGGCATATCCTTATGTCATATATATTTGCTGTGAAAGGTACTGATTCGTGCTTATGTGAAAACCTCTTAAATCCCGAATCTGGGGTCTCCTCTCCCCGTTTTTTCTGGAACTCAGATGCTAAAGTTGATACAGGAGGAGTGGACTGTCCCAAATAAAGCAGTCGGGGAAAGGAGGATCCATTGCAAATAAAGGGTAAAAAAGGTACATATGAATAGTATATCTATTTGCACGTAATGCAGGTTATTCTGGAGGGTATTAAATATCTATCAGTAACTATCATTTGTTAAAAACCAGGGATTCCCAAGGATGTTAGTGGATGTATGAGAAAGAGTTTCTGGAGATATATGTTTGGGTGTCCACTACGATTGTTGCATTTCTTTTCTTCTTTGTCTCTCTCTGTCTCTGACTGTCTCTCTCTCTCAGTTTGCTTCTCTTTCCCTTTAAACACACACAAACACACACACACACACACACAGACACCACACAGAATATTCCCAACTTCTTAACACACAACACCAATAAAAAATGCCAATAATCAGATTGTAAAACTGGCAGTTCTTTTCTTTCAATGTGGCTTTCTATTCTATTGTCTCTCACATATCAAAGAAACAAGAGGACAACAGATCAGGATACATTTTGTCATGTTTACATTATGTAGTAACCTGAAACAAATGCCCAGTGAGTGGAGGGTTTCTTAGCTTTCTGTCAGTTTTCAAATGTTTTCCCTCCTCCTGCCTCCCTGGCTTTGGGTTGGTGATGCACGTGCTGGTGCTCAGAGATGCCGTGCGCCCTGACAAGAGATTTTGAACTGGGGCATAGATGATTGTCCCCAAAGTGATCTGCTCAGTTCCCATAATTCTACACATTTCAGGCAATGGAAACACAATGAGAGAGATAGTTTGGGTGGTTTTTGGATTGCAAACTTAGGCAGCCACAGTTTCAACCAGCAATACTGATTTTTCTCAGCCTTTCCATTTCTACCCAGTGCATAACTTATATAAATTTTCTTCCAAAACTTCACAATTAAACTATTCCTTATTTTATGAAGTTATCAATGTGTGTATGTCTTAGAATATAATTGGTGTCATACAAACCAGTTTATGCCTCTTTAACTTTAGTGCTATGATCTTAAAAATTTTGACTCCCAGGCAAATATAGATATAAATATAAATATACATGCATTTTTTTCTTGAGAGTCAAAATTATATATTTATATATATGTGTGTATATTATATATATGTGTGTATATACACACATATAGATTAAATATATATATTTCATATTATATATTACAGATTAAATATATATTATCTATATTTAATTTCATTAGTCATATTGTTTTCTACAGTTTGATTTCCAGTTTTGCAGGACTTTGTATTCATATTCCTGATATCAGGAAAGGGTGCATATTGACACTACAGCTCAGGTGGAATATTTAGAAGACACATGGTTGTAATTAGTTACTTGCATTTTTCCTGAATGCTTTTTATGGTGTTGACTGTTTAAGAATATCTTGCATTGCTTTCCAAACAAATATACTACACAAGCAGCATTTCTTGAATCTCGTTGATCTGTGTGGTGTGTTGGTGTGGTCTTATACAGGATTTTGTCTTTTTTTTTTTTTTAGTGTGGTTGTTTCTCCTTTTTTCCTTTAATCTAACAAATATTGAAGTACTTTAAAATTTTTAATACTGGTTTTTATGGAGAATGAGAGTTTCCTATCATTTTCCTGGGGTAATGTCATACAATGCATTTCTGAAAAAAAAATACTTCTTAAATTTTGTTAATGTTCTGATTATTTTTCTGTCATTATTTTGCCACTTTGTATTATGTTACATTACTATTCCATAACCTCCTTTGATTCCAGCATTGGGAATTGGTTTTCATTTCCATGGACTCATTACTGAGGTCCTTGTTTCTTTCGAGATATTAAACCTGACCCTGAATTTTTTTTCTTCCCTGTGAGAGTGGAAATTATAATTCTTTTCTACTGGTTCAGGAAAAAAAGAAACTTTACTTTCTAAAGAATATATTTCTTTTTATGGTCAGATACGTTTTAAATAAAACGAAAGCTTTCAATATCTGTCTGTAAAAGAGCAGGGTTTGGAATTCTCATTGGTGATGGATATGTTTATTTTCTTACCTGACACGTCAGCTACTGCAGCTAAAGCCAGTGAACTATTTCTATATCACTTACTGATGAAGAAATAAAGGGCTCTCTCATGATACTAAGTGTATTGCTGTTCCACCATCCGGATATTTTTGGCTTAAACCCTGAGGTGTTACCAGATGGTAAGGATTTTAGAAATGCTAAAATGATAATAGTAGGGACTACTTTCGATATTGTGAAGTCAGATATATCATTGCAAGTTTTAAAAAAATGGAATATTTTATATTTTTAAGTATCTGATTTACCTTAATAAACACTTTCATCAATTTCAAGAGCATCTACATGCTACATTCTGGTCCTGAATTTTCATGGTTAAAATAAAGCCCCACCCAGAGACTAGCTAATAACTATGGTGATCAACAGTGGACAGAAATTCAGAGATACTAGTTATGGTAACATCCTTTAATGCTGGAGCCTTACTGTCATAGAAACATGTGAATGTCAAACTAAAAGTTTAAAAGCCAGATATTTCAAAAGAGTGGGGAGTGGGAGAGTATAAATTACCCCCAAGGACCCTGGAAGTGCTAGATTCTGGGCAAGATCCAGATATTTGCAATTTGTTTAACTCCCAGTTGACCATCTGAGAAATATTGAGCAAGAGAGACAGAGAGAGAGAGAGAGAGAGAGAGAGAGAGACAGAGACAGAGAGAGACAGAGACAGAGACAGAGACAGAGATTGCCAGGGACCAAGGGATGATGCTAGTGAACCATTTAGCTACAAAGTGTCAATGTATGAGGCTGGCGTGGTGGCTCATCCCTGTAATCCCAGCACTTTTGGGAGGTCGAGGCAGGAGGATTACTTGAGCCCAGGACTTTGAGACCAGCCTGGGCAACATAGTGAGACCTCATCTCTTAAAAAAAAAAAAAAAAAAAAAAAAAGTTAGCCAAGCATGCTGGTGCCTGCCTGTAGTCCCAGCTACTTGAGAGGCTGAGGCTGGAGGATCATTGAGTCCTGCAGTTGGAGGCTGAAATGAGCTGTGATTGCACCACTGCACTCCAGCCTGGGTGACAGAACAAGACCCTGTCTCTAAATAAATAAATAAGTACTATGTATATGCTGACTCTCCAGCCTTGCCTAGTCCCCAGAAGCCTTGCAACCTTCCAAAACTTGATTGTTTTTCTCCTAAATTTCTCAGATAATTGAGGGGAAAATAGAGCTCAGAATTTGACAACAGCTGTCCACATCTCCTGGAATCCCTGGCAGAATGCTGGTGCTGTCTCTTCTCTGGGTTTCACAGGGCGGGCATAAATTATAACTTTATTAGGTTGAGCACATATGGCCTTTAGCCCCAGGAGACCCTCCATGGGGCTAGTCTGTTGGCAGAGGCAGCTTCTGCACTTTCATTCAAATTCACAATCCATAAGGAAAAAGAGGCCTTCAAGGCTGCAGCCTGCCTTGGGCTTCCGTGGGGCATCTCCTATCATTGCCAATAATGCTGTGGTGAAACCCAGGCCAAATATTCCAACATCTTTTTGCTGCTTGTATGAACACGATGCATATTGCAGTTCAAAACTAGGAAAAAAGAAGAGCATATTACAGGCGAACACGAATGCATCAGAATATGGTACCTTTAAATTAAAAGAGAAGGCTCTTGATTTTGAATTCTCAAGTGTTTCTCTTCAAATACACACAATGATGTCTTTCACTTTAATTTTAACTATTATGGATACATAATAGATGTATATATGTATGGGGCACATGCAGTGTTTTCCTACAGGCATACAATGTGTAATAATCAAGTTAGGGTAATTGGGGCATTCATCACCTCAAGTATTTATCCCTTCTCTGTGTTAAGAACATTCCAAATCCACTCTTTAGTTATTTTAAAATATACAACAGATTATTTTTGACTATAGTCACTCTGGTGTGCTATCAAATAGTAGATTTTTTTTTCGAGGCAGGGTCTTGCTTTGTTACCCAGGCTGGAGTGCAGTTTTGTGATGATAGCTCACTGCCGCCTCAATCTCCTGGGCTCAAGCAATCCTCCCACCTCAGCCTCCTGAGTAGCTGAGGCCACAGGCACATGCTACCACAGCTGGCTAATTATTATTTTTTTAATTTTGTGTAGATTAGGTCTCACTGTGTTGCCCAGGCTGGTCTCAAACTCCCGAGCTCAAATGATCCCCCTGCCTTGTCCTCCCACAGTGCAACGATTACAGGTGTGAACCTGTGCCCGGCTGATAGGAATTTTTGATGGAGTTTCCCAATATCTGGGCTTTCAAAGATTTTGGATAGTGAACGAGATACTGCAAAGATCTCTCTAAATATCACCAGCCTGACCAGGGACCTTGTGTTACCTATATGAATACACTGAGGTTGCTGTCTGTTTCTCTGTTAATGTATAAGCAGAGAAAGTTACATTGATGCTCATCAGATTTTCAGTTTAATATCAGAGCATTGCAAATTAAAATATAAGGTGCGGGACATGTACAATTTTACTGCGGGGCATGCAAAACCTGAGGGCCCCCAAAGCAGAAGAAGGCATTCGGCCTCTAGTCTGCATTTCCTCCCTCCTGAGTTGCCAGCCAGCCAGCCAGCCTGTCTTACAGATTCCAGACTTGCCAGCTCCCACATTGCATGAGCCAATTCCTTAAAATAGATCAATTTAATAAATTTAACCTATATTGGTGAACAAATTTAGCAGAGAACTTTGATATACATTAGTACCACTTATTATTTTTAGAAAAATTGGAATTCGAATAACTAACACTAAAGTCTAATTCGTCATCTGGTGTGTATGTTATAAATGCACACCCACTCACCGAGACCTATTCACAGCCACAGCCTCATATAAAAATAGGCAATAGATACAGGAAATGAGAAGCAGCCATAGAGGGTCTTACGTAAGAAACCCCATCCTTCTCACACCTACTCAAGAACGTTGTTCCCAACATCTACATCTTTTGTAGTTTATATCCACTGGGCGCACCTAACATCACATCCACATTCTTTTGTTTATCCCGTTTGGAAATACGTGCCTGACCTTCACTTTCTCTGCCTGATGTGGCTGCATGTTTTTGTTTCTCTGGCAACCATCTCCTCGTCTTCCAAGAGTCCTCACCGATCACATCTCAACTCCTCTCCACCTATCCTTTCTTAAATTCACTCCAATCAGTATATAGCCTCACCACTTCACCAGACTCCTCTTGCCAATTATACCATTGCATCCTAGGCCCCACAAAAGTGGAGTTGCTATTCCTAATGTTTCTAAAAAATGGCCATTCTGCATTTTCCCTCGAATCTCCACTGCCTCTATTTTTGGAAAAGAGTTTCATCTTTGAAAAAGCATTTAAGACCAACTTTTTTCCCACTCTGGAGGGAAATGAAATATTGCTGAATGCAGAGGATATCTCCAAGGCTTCATACTACTTGCTCTGGCAATATTTCCAGATCCTTATCCTGCAGCATTTGCGGTAGTTGTCCCCCTAGAAATCATAGTTGAAACCTACTCCTCAACTGTGTAGGTATTTGGAAGTGGGGCTTTGGAAGGTATTTGGAGAGTGGAGCCTCATGAGTGGAATTCCTACCATTATAAAAGGGACCCCAGAGGGCACCCTCGTCCCTTTTATCATGTGAGGACACAGCAAGAAGGCGCTGTCTATGACCCAGAAAGTGGGTCCTCACCAGCCACTGAATCTGCCATGCCTTGATCTTGGACTTCCGGTCTCCAGAACTGTGAGCAATTTTTTTTACAAGCCGTGGGGTCTGCAGTCTTTTGTTTTAGCAGCCAAAAGAGGTAAGATAGGGCATGTTGGGAAGGAATGGAGATGTCCACAAACACCCTGAATCATATACTGCTCCCCAACCCCCCGTCCTCCCAGCAGAGAGAGCAGGAAAGAGAAGGCTTACTTCCTCCAGGTTCGATGCTCTTCTACACACAGTTATGACAGACAGATTGCCTTATATTTTTATTCTTTTTAGTTCATCTGACCAATTGTCAAATTGCTCAAATGTCAGAAAAATGGCTCAAAGGGCCGCTATGGATTTCTGCAGTAGAAAAAGAAAAGACAGAAGACTAGATCCCAATGTGTTCCTGGACTGGAAGAAAGTTCTTATTTTATGGAGCCATAAATAAATATGACATTTCTTGTGCCTGAGAATTTGAGGCAGGTAGTACTCCTGTGAAGTAAGATAATGTCTTCTGTAAAAGAATAAATTCATTAAAAACCATGGGAATCATTGTAAGTTTCATTGTCAAGAAAGAAACAGACATGATTTTGGATGTAGGTGAATGTTAATTATTGAAGATGATTATTGTTCTCAGAACAAGTTTATTCTGATTCGTAGCCACAGCAGTTCAAGAGAAAAGCAATAAAGGAACCACAACCATATGACCCTTCTTATAATCATGTTGTGGTGGGGATGTTTCTTCTCCGTCCTACTTCCTGAGAATGACAGAAGGGTTTTGCAAGAGTGAAGGCAGCTGGGAATATATTCCAGCCGCTTCCATAGTTCATGCTGTGGTAAGGAGTTTCAAGGTCACAGTGAGGCAAGGAGTTTCAAGGTCACAGTGATTGAACACTAGAACTTGTGCCTCTGTTCTCTGCTGAACGTCTTCCATGACTGCTACATCAGGGCTTGGGGTTCCCACTGACGTGGTGTTTAAGTAACATTTAGAGTCCTTATGGTTATACACTTTCATCTCCTTGTACAGAAAGTTTCTGGAAACTGCCCACTATTATATGACACATATTAACCTGTTGAATTTGGTTATTTATGTGAGGAAACCACAGAAAACCATAACAAATCAAAATACCTAAGAGCCACAAATTTCCTCCAGTGCAGCCACATCCCATAGACAGGTAATGTGCACTACATGTGTAATTTTAAGTTTTCTAGTAGTTGCATTCAAGAGTGCCCGAAGAAACCATTGATACCAATTTTAAAAATACATTTAATGTATCCCAATATTTATAAAGTACTAAGTCAGCAGACAATAGAGACAAAATATAGTTTGCATATTTTTTACTACATATTTGATATTCAGAGTACATTTTACACTTACAACACATCTCGGTTTGAACAAGCCACATTTTATGTGCTCAATAGCCACATGTGGTTATTGGCTAGCATTTTGGAAAACACAGTGCTAGAAAATGCATTCTTCCTGCCATGATCAACCATTGTCTCTCACTTACTCCTGGGCAACTGTGTTCTAATTGATTTCCGGGCATTGATTATTGCCTTTCAGGGAGAACAACTGATCACCGTATTATAGTAGGTCATTCCTACACATGGCCTTCAGGTCCCAAACCCGTCTGATTTGCTAAGCCGTTTTTCCCTCTTGTCATGCCATCTTCCCTTCATTTGCTACATTCCAGGTTTTCTAGTCTAATGCAGTCACTCCAGGCACTCTGTACTTGTACTCAGCATTTACTGGGTGGTGTATATCTGTCGTAGGCTGTTGGTTGTAAGTTTCATGACAGCATACACTATGCCTCCCTTTTTCCACATGCACCAATCCATCAAACCTCATTGAGGACATAAAACACAGCATATAAAGCACTCCATCGATTGAATTGAATTAATGTGTGAACAATTGCACCTGCAAGTGTAACTGAGGGCTCACGTGGTTGTCATGTATCATTTTTAAAATGTTTAAATAATGCGAGTTTTCATCTATATTCTTATTACTTCTGTAGAAATTAATCTATAATATTTCAACAGTAACATGGTTGAAATTGAGGCCTTATGTAATGTTTGAACACAAATGATAACTTGATTCTGAATCAACACTGTATGTGCGATTTGATGTCTGATGTATGATTTGGGGCAGTTTGAGGGTCAGTCATTTATTTGTACTGAGCCTCTCAAATTCCCTGTATGTGAAGGGAACAGTTGAGAATAAGTGTCTTCAGTGGATAAGACAGTCGTCTTTATCCCTGGAAGGCATCACCAACTGATCACAGCAGTCTGTTTTTCTGAGTCAAGAGGCAACTTCCCCTCTATGTAGGATACTACTTTTAGTGTAGTGTGCTCTTCCATATCTATTGGAATCATTACACCTGATCAATCAGGTTTAAGATAAAGGGTGTGATAGATAGAAATGGATGCAGATGCTCTTGCAAATTGAGTTGAACCCTTTGTCTTTGCATCTTGTGCTGGCCTCAGTGACTGTCTTCTTGAATAGAATGTTCTGGGAGTAAAGCACTGGGACTTCCAGGGCTGGATCATAAGAAGCTATTAAGCTTCCATTTAGGGCACTTGGAGTACTGACCCTCAGGGCATTCTCTCTTGGAAACCACATCTCATGTTGCAAAGTGTTCAAGCCCCATGGAGAGGCTATGCATGGTGCTCCAGTCAGTAGCTTTAGCTTCACTCCCGGTTGACAACCATTAGTACCGCCATGTGAGTCACCCATTGTGGACATCCCAGCTGATTGAGGACTCCTGTCTCTTCCTATCCCTTAGCTGACTAAGGAGATCTCAAGAGAGAACTTCTCAGCTAAGCCCAGTCAGCTCACAGAATCATGGGAGATCCTCATAAAAGGTTGTTTGAAGCCCCACATTATGGGCATGTTTGTTACACAACATTAGCTAACCAGAGCAGGCACTGAAACTGGAAGTGAGGTTCTGTTTCAACAGAAACCTAAAGTACATGGTGTTGGTGTTGGACCCTCCATAGGGCAAGACTAAAGGCTTGAAGAACAAGGGAAGAAAATTGGAGGCTGGGGAAATGGAATGGACAAAGAGAACTCTTTGAATGACTCACTCACAGCCTTACAGGACGAGAAGTAACTTTTAGCACTGTGCAACTGCAAGCAAACTGGATTTTGTCCTTTAAAATAGAAAGATGGCATCTCAAAGAACACATTTGTCATGAGTAGTTCCTAATAAGCATAATACTTAACATAAAGTTCACTGGCGTATGTTATTTATAATCTTACTATAGTATAATTTCCATTGGATAGCAAAAGGTCAAGGATATAATTACAGAAATATATTCTTTTAAAATTTCTTTTGGTTACACTTAAATGTAAATTGTGAACACCATTTTATTTTCTATTGTATCCCATGACTTTTCTATTGTTTGGGTCATATTAAATCTATTTTTACAGTATAAATTTTGCAGCATATATTCCCACAGGAAAGAACAAATTATAAAACACACAGTTTGTATATGTCTTTCCTTTAAAAGTGAAATTTTAACTAGTTTTTCTTTTTTTTCTGTTACTATGTCTTTCCATTCTTTGGTTCAATACATTCCCACCTACTCTTGAACGTTTTTTGGAAAGTTGGCAATGACCCTTTAAATTCTTTTCAGTCTCTATCTGCCTAACATATATTTAGGTTCCGTATATATTTATATCATTTCCTACTTAAATACACATATTTCCATTTTTGTGCTCATGCTATTCTGCAAATGCCTGCATTTTAAGGATGAGACATACATTTAAAAAGGGCATCTATGCCTTCTTTCAGAATTTTTTTTCTAAATATCTATTACTTTGATATTTGAAATTTTGTACCCACAAACATACACATACACCCATGTGTGCATAATATACATCTCACAGAAATGCCAGCCATGTCGGGAAAATGACAGCTCCATCAGAAATGTCTTTACATCCACGTAATATATCTTATTTCCTTGTATAAGGCACAGATCCTCTGTTACCAATATCAACTTATCCCCAGGCTCTAAATCACTTGAAGCTACTTTTGATTCTCTGGAGAATTTCAGAATATATTTTTTTCCTCAAAATTTCATGAACTTGTATGCATTTTGTGCCTCAGACTTTGAACGCCTTGGACAAATTCCTTTATCCCTGTGAATTTTTAACGAATTCTAAACAAAATACCTGACTCCACTTTCCCCCCAAATTTCCTGACCTTGCGTGCATTTTGAACTGCAGACTTGAAAACACTTGTGCAAACGTTCCTTCATCCCTATGAATCTTTAATCCTAAACAAAATGCCTGTATCAATGCTGGCAAGGTTGTGGAGAAAAGGGAATCCTTATACACTATTGGTGGAAGTGTAAATTGGTTCAGCCATTGTGGAAAGCAGTGTGGCCATTCCGTAAAAAGCTAAAAGCAGAACTACCATTAGACCCAGCAATCCCATCCATTACTGGGTATATACTCAAAGGATTATAAGTTGTTCCATCATAAAGACACATGCGCACATATGTTCATTGTAGCACTATTCACAATAGCAAAGACACAGAGTCAACTTAAATGTCCCTCAGTGGTAGACTGGATAAAGAAAATGTGGTACATATACAGAATGGAAAACTATGCAGCCATAAAAAAGAGCAAGATCATGTCTTTTGCAGGAACATGAATAGAGCTGGAGGCCATTATGCTTAACCAACTATGTCGGTAACAGAGAATCAAATACTGCATGTTCTCACTTATAAGTGGGAGCTAAAGATGAGAACACATGATCACATAGTAGGGAACAACAGACACTGGGGCCTGCTGGAGGGTGGAGGGTAGGAGAGGGAGAGGATCAGGAAAAATAACTATTGAGTACTTGGCTTAGTACCTGGGTCATGAAATAATCTGTACAACAAACCCCCATGACACTAGTTTACCTGCATAACAAACCTGCACATGCACCCCTGAACCTAAAATAAAAGTTTTAAAGAATGCCAGTATCCACTACATTTATGGGCGGTCTTTCTGAGTTTCACCTCAGAGAAACACTCCTAAAATTCAAGTTATGACTATTTAGACTATTTGTTAATGATAGCTCTGTGTGTGTGTCTTAGCCCCCTCTCTGTTTCCTATGTGTTCTACTTGATTTTTAAATAAACTATAGGAGCTCCACATACTAATTTGATTCTCTACATAAAATGGTGCCATATTCTCTTATTTTTCCTTTAGGATTTGTACAGAGACTGTACAAAATATTTTTTGAGTTGTGTAATGGTATCCAATATGGACAATAAATGATAAGTAAATTTTGGAAAAATCAGTTAAAAGAAGTGTAATAGATACATAGGTGTCTTAATTGTTTTCCGTCCTCAAGTATGGACGTTTTTGCAAAGACACGAGCTTTTTACTTCAGGAGACATTTGTCGACGTCTGGAAAAAATTTTGGTTGCCACAGCTAGATCATGGGGGTGGGTATCACTTGCATCTAGAGGACAGAGGCCAGGGATGCTTTTAAGGGACCCACAAGGCACAGAACAGCCCCCCATGACAAAGAGTCTTTCATCTACATGTGTCAATATCGATGAGATTGAGCAACCCAGGTATAGAGTAATACTGATGAGCACAAAGTATAGCTTGAAGCCTCTTTTTCCATATGGCTGTGATAGATTGTTTTAAATGATCATTGGAAGAAATAAACCCTTGGTTCTATGGAAGTCATGAGGAATATTCTGCCCATGTGCTTGTGAAACCTCAGCTTGGAGCAAAGAGGCGAATATCATGCAAGTGGCTTCCTAGAATCATGGGGTTTTGTACAGATTATTTCATCATCCAGGTATTGAGCCAAGTACGCATTAGTTATTTTTTTGATCCTCTCCCTACCCCCACCCTTCACCCTCAAGTAGGCCCCAGTGTGTGTTGTTCCCCTCTATGTGTGCATGTGTTCTCATACTTTAGCTTCCGTTTATAAGAGAGGACACGCAGTATTTGGTTTTCTGAGCTGGAGGCCATTATCCTTAGAATCTTCTATGTTAAAAACAACAGAGCACCTCCTGGCTTTCCTGGGAATCCTTGTTTCCTGATTCCAGACAAGCGCCATGGCTGTGAAATCATGTATTTATGTGTATGCTGTTGGATTTTAATGTGAAATACCTTTTCACTGCGCCAAGTTCGCTTCCAAATGTGATCCCGCCAGGCTGACCAACAAGGCATTCAGTCAGCCTACTTTCTTATGCCGGGACCTTTCACAAAATGAATCATATGTCACTTTTCTTTTCAGAAGCATATGCCATTTTATTTTATTCTGGGAGTTTGAATCACACCATGCATCTGTTTTAGTGTTGTTTTTAGTAAGTTCACTATCAGTGCTTCCTGAGCATGGTTTCTCGTATGGGGTACTCACTGACCTGTCCCATCCATCTTTTCTTCCTATAAAGCCTTTACTGCTATACTTGTCTACTTGCAGAACCTCCACACTTTTTATGAGCTCCCATTTTTCTCTCTTCTTGGTATTTATCATTACTTATTGTGACTCTTGCATATTGGATGGTCAAAAGAGATCCCCAGTGGTTACACTACAACAAGATAAATGTAGGTATACTTTTCTTAATTGTTATTAGTGTTACTTATTATTTTGTTTTATTAGACACTACTTTCAAAGGCTTTACAGCACTGGGTATGTGTTCTACCTTTTTCTTTCATTTTATCCTCCACAACAGTTCTGTGATGAAAGTACTATTATTAACTTCATAGTTTACACGACAAAGCATGGTTTCATAACTTGTCAGGATTTCTTAGCCATTATTTGATAAAATTAGGGATCTAAATTCTGTCTTCTAGCTCCAAACAGATGGTTCTTTCCATGCTATTTGCTATTATCTTGTCAAAAGTAATGACAAAATAGAACTCAAATAGTATTTTTCTTTTGGCTGATTTCTTCTTTCAGACCAGAGAGGTTTCCAAGGTTAAAGTAGTTCATTAATTTCAATTTCTTCTTCTTTTTTTTTTTTTTTTTTTTTTTGAGACAGAGTCTTCTGGTTCTTTTGCCCAGGTTGAAGCACAGTGACACCATCATAGCACACTGCAGCCTTGGCCTCCTAGGCTCAAGCAGTCCTCCTCTCTTGGCCTCCCAAAGTGCTGGAATACAGGGGTATGCCACCATGTCAGGCTACTTTTTATTTTTATTTTTTTAAGAGACAGTCTTGATCTGTTGCCCATGCTGGTCTCGAACTCCTGGGCTTGAACATTCCTCCCTCCTTGACTTCCCAAAGTGCTGAGATTACAGACATGGGCCACCATGCCTGGCCTTAATTTGGGTATCTTCTAATTGATGTGGACTCTTATGCCCTATTCATTTGTGTTTTGAAGTGAACTGACTCTGAATGTCAGTGATAGGGCACTGCTTAGTGTTGGGGGTGGTTAGGAAGATATGCAAGTTTCTTAGAGAATAAAGCAGCTTGCTGTTCACAGCAGAGGGGGTGTAACTGTTTCAAGAATTTTAGAATACTACTGTCTGTGAGTTCTGCAAGAAGTTAGGGAAGCCTCCCACTCCTGGTTAGACTGGCAGCAACTTTTTGCATTATAACACAACAGACATTTCATGTCCAAGCCAGGTAATCTGAGCTACCCTTGTTCATTCCAGATCCAGGGTTGGTGAGGCAAAAAGGGTGTCCCCAAAATAGATGGGTCTCTTTATTGAACTTCTGGGTTATCTCCATCATGTACAGAGATACAGAATCATGCATTTATAAACTTTATGGTTGAAGATGGCACCCACAGTTACAGTTTCCTCCCAAACCTCCCTGGCCTATCTCAGTTCTTAAAGATGTCTGGGGATTCCCAGTTAGGCATAGAGTAACAAGGCAGCTCTATCCTTAAATGATCATGGCAAGCTGCCATATGGCTGGTATTCATCCTCAGTTAATGTGGATATTCTAGTAGGAGGGCACAGTGACATAGGAAGAAATGGTCACTCTGTGTTCAAATTATTCCTTTAACTTAGAAGGCAAGTTTACCACCCTGTGGGTACTGAGCATTGCAGACTTCATGTAAGCATATTTTTGAGCATTTTCTACAAACCCTCATTTCTCCAAATCCCATCCTTTGCAACCTCAAGTTTATCCAGGGGATTCACACTGCCTGCATGTCCTTGTATGCGTTTCTTATTGTTCCTGTAACAAATTATCCAACCTGTAGTGGCTTAAAACACACGCATTTGTTATCTCACCATTCTGAAGCTCTGAAGTGTGAGTAGCTCGGATGGTTTCTCTTCATCATCACCCAAGGGTGATTTCTGTGTGTTGGCAGAAAGGCTGTGTTTCTTCCTCCAGACTCCAGGGATGCATCCACTTCCAGGAACATTTGGGTTGATGGCTACATCCAGTTCCATGGGGTTGAGGTTCCTGCTTCCTTGCAGGCTATTGGCTGAGGGCAAATTTTGGCTTCTTGAGAACCGTAGCATTCCTTGACTCCTGGCCTCCTTCCTCCCCCTTCAAAGCCAGCAGTGGCAGCTTCTAATGCACTGAATCTCTCCGACTTCCTTTTCTACCTCTTGTCTCCTTTCCCAAGTTGCATGGCTTGTCTGGACTGATTGTTCCATTACCATTTTCCTGCTTCTCAGTATCATGGACCCACTTGGATATTCTAGGATAATCAGCTTATCTTGACATCAGCTGCCTAGTAACCTTAATTATATCTGCAAAGACAATTCACAACAGTACCTAGATTCATGTTTGATTTAATAACCAGGGGAACGAGAATCTTGGGTGGATGACTTTATAATTCTGCTTACCACATTCCTGTCTATAAACTAATCTTAAGGTTGGTGGACAGGCCCCTTACAACTGACTTTGAGTACCCAGAACACTGGCTTCCTATCTTTACTCAACCAGTGGGCTCCTCCAGGAAAAGCCCAATCAAGGAAGATAACGCCATTATTCTCATGCTTTTCCTTTCCCCTTCCCTCCCCTTCTCTCCCCTCCCCTCTTCTCCCCTTTCCTTTCCTTCTCTTTCATTTTGAGACAGAGTCTTTCTCTGTCTCCCAGGCAGGAGTGCAGTGGCATGATCTCGGCCCAATGCAACCTCTGCCTCAGCTTCCCGAGTAGCTGAGACTACAGGACCATGCCACCACACCACCTAATTTTTCTATTTTTAGTAGAGACGAGGTTTCGCCATGTTGGCCAGGCTGGTCTAACCTCAGGTGATCCACCTGCCTCAGCCTCCCAAAGTGCTGGGATTCCAGGCATGAATCACCATGCCCAGCATGTCATGCCCTTTCGAAGTCTGGGTAATAATCCTCAGATGGTAGTGCACATAGTTATGGAGAATTAGTGAACCACTCCTCCCTGATGTGGCTCGCCCCCACTGCAAATAATTTGTCTATTTTTATTTTTATTTTTATTTATTTATTCTTTTTTGAGACAGGGTCTTACTCTGTCGCCCAGTCTTGAATGCAGTGGTGCAATCATAGCCCACTGCAGCCTCTACCTCCCAGGCTCACGTGATCCTCCCACCTCAGCCTCCCGAGTAGCTGGGACTACAGGTGCATGTCACCTCGCATGACTAATTTTTAAATTTTTTGTTGACGCAGGATGTTGTTATGCTGCCCAGGCTGGTCTTAAACTTTTAGGCTCAAGCAGTTCTCCCACCTAAGCCTCCCAAAGTGCTGAAATTAACAGGTGTGAGCCACCCAGCCTGGCCTATTTGTCCTTTTTAATTTAAAAGACTCAACATGTAGAAACCATTTTACCCCTTCACCTTGTGCATTAAGAGCTTCCTTTTTCTTAACATCCTGCTCCTTGAAATCAACCCACTCTACTTGTATGGCAGTTGTTATTTTAATATTTCTAATTAAGATACAGTTTTCATTTTACCTTACAGAGACAGTGAGCGGGTGCTCTTGAATTCCAGTCTGGCTTTCTCCATTCCTTTGGGTAATCACAGGTTAACTTTTTTCCTTCATCAGTTTTCAGCAGTCAGTGAAAGGTGCATTCATTTTCATAAATCAGCCATTTGGCAACATTTGAATGTTTAATCAGTTTGCGATCACATCAAAGAACAAGGGAAGTTCTTGGGAGATTTATTACCTCCTTTGGAATCTGTGTTCTTAGCTACAAAGGTGCAATGACTTTTTCTAGTTCTCTGCCCCAGATGTCTGAACTGTTAATATTTACAGTGCTCCTTTCCTGAAATTCAGAGTCAGCACCTCATTTTATCCTATTTGTATCCCAACTTACTTTATTCAAAGAGATTTTACAACCTGAGATAGCTCCGTAGGAAGAGTTCAGTTGTCAGAAGCAATCTGATCCATGGAAATTTTCTGGTGTTTGTTTTTCCTTGAATTAATTTGCAGGTTTAAATTCTTGCTTAGGCCACTCTAGGACTTTTAATTGCTATTTCTTAGGAAATATTCCTTAGAACATGAAGCAGTCTGTCTTTCAACACACACACACACACACACACACACACACACACACACACACACACACACACCCCCTAGCATACGATCCAGAACAACGTTTTATCTTTTTTTTTTTTTTTTGTAGGAGGGAGTGTCTCACTCTGTCACCCACGCTGGAGTGCAGTGGTGCCCTCATAGCTCACTGCAGCCTCGACCTCCTGAACCCAAGTGATCCTCCAGCCTCAGCTTCCCAAGTAGCTGGGACTAGAGGCACACACCATCACACCCAGCTAATTTAATTTTGAAAAAACTTTTTTTTTTGTGGAGACAAGGTCTCCATGTTGCTTTGGTTGGTCTTGAATTCCTGGGCTCAAGTGATTCTTCTGCTTCAGCCTCCCAAAGTGCTGAGATTTCTGGCGTGAGCCACCACACCCAGCCCTAACATTTTATTCTTTTACTGACTGTGAGATTTTCATTGACTTACGCTATGTCAGGCAGACTTTTCAAGCCATAACCTGGCTTTGGTGATTTATTATTTTAGCTCTTCATGTTTTAACAGCTTCTCTGCTACCATGATAGGTTATAATAAGTGATAGAAGAAAGGCATTTTAAAGTAATTTATGAATGTGGATCTCATTTTGCTTAGCTAAAAAAAAAAAAGTTTTTTTTTTTTCTAGAGAATAGAACCAAACAGTGTTCACTGTATCACATATTCCTTTTAGTGTATTGAGCATTAATGGGGTATTTTTGCAGCATCAGATCTTCACAAGGCTGGGGTTCATCAGCAGCACAGTAGCTATTAGGTGATTTTACTCAAGGCAGCAAAATTCGTTTCTTATAACACAGTCTCTATTGAAGACACACTCTAAGGCAGTTTGCCTCATCTATTTAGCTTTCCAAAATTCTCTCTTAAATTGCAGTTTAATGAATAGACTAAAACACAAATTTTAAGAAAAATGTAGTTATAAGATATGAAGTGTCTTTTAAATCTGCCAGTGGTTTAAGGGATAGTATACATTTAAAATAAAGTTATAGGCACTGATTTAGTCCTGGAAAATAATGGCTTTATTTCAATAAGCCAGTATCAGAAATTAGTTTTTGTTTTCTTTTTTTTTTTCCGTGATGAAATGTGGTTTCTAGTACTGGATAAGAAATGCATGAGAAATAATGTATCCCAGCATATTTAATATGCAACAGTGTGATCTCAGTAGCCTTGCAGATGGCTGAGCTGAGGCACTAAAAGTGATGAGATGACATTTTGTATTTTTCCACACGTTCTTGCCCATTCTCAGGTGAGTCTGGGCTCTCATCAGTATTTAAATGCTGTTTTACCTTGGCAAGACATTTAGGTCCAGAAAATAGTTTAAAAAATTAACATCTACGCAGAAAGAACCTCCAGGTAGTTAAAAATAGGGCAATTTGCGGATACACCACATCCTGAAGACTTAGTGTTGCTAAGTAAACCACATTATTTTAGGTGTTTCTTCCTGACATTTTTATTTTTTTCTTGTGTTATTTTAATTCTGGAACATAACTGGGAACTGAGAATACTACATGGGACCCTTATCTCTTTTCTTTGTTATGACTGAAAATCATAATTTGAAAGATGCTTGGAAAAGGGAAAGCTTAATATCTTACACATATTTTTATAAGACAAAAATATGGAAAGATATGAACCATAAAATCAGTTTAGAATGGGAAGGGTTAGTAAAACATTTTTTTTGAGCAGAAAAGGAATCATGGAATGGACACTTTATAATATAGTAATTCAGCCAATTTATTTGATGGAATTCAAATGTCATGTCCTCTTTGTAGCTAAGAGTGCACATTAGCATTAACCCTAAACCAGACCACTTGGAGCCAAAGAGATGTGTATGTGTGTGTGTGCATCTGCTTCTGTGTGTGTGTGTTTGCCCCATCTGAGTGATTTGATTTTTCACCATCTCTCTATTTTTCCACTTCCAAAATTTAAGCATTTAGACATTTATTATATTAAATATGTTTGCATTCTCCCTCCCTCCACATGCAGTGTTTTACAAATTTCCTATCAGACTGTTCCCATCCTGCAAACCCCCAGAGCTCTATGGCTGAGGTACTCCTCTTTCTGTTCCCTTCTCCATGCAGATGGAATGTCTGCTGGGAACTATCTTCAATCTATATGTTTCCCATTCGTAGAGGTGGCTAAATCTGTGACATGCATCCATCCTCATCCAATAGTGTCTCCACATGAGTGAGCTGGATAATGCAAAACCAAGCTTCGACATCAGTGGTATGAAGTACACACACACACACACACACACACACACGCACACACACAAATACAAACACACATAATCTCTGTAGCTCAGATTGGGATTGTCTAGGGTTAATATCTTTTGTGCTAAAAATATCCCTGTGCCACATTGAAGCTTATTATAATAATTATTAATTACTGATATATTTCAACTGTTATGTCTCCTAAAAATATGCATAGATTATTAAGTTTTCCCTTCTCCTTGTGTTTTTCTGATTATGATTTTCTATCATAAAGGTGAAAGTGATAAGGGTCCCATGTAGTGTTCTAACTCTAAACCTAATACTGACCCTAAACAGAATTGAACGCTTTAAACTAACCCATGGCCTTTGACCATTGCTTCTTGACCGTTGAGTTAACCCATAACCCTGAACAGAGAATGAGAAATTGAACCCAAATTTGAACCCAAACCCTAACTAGTGACTGGATATGAAACCTAATCCTACCCAACTTTGAAAAAGAACTCAATTCTAAACTCAAAAGCAAAGCCAACCGAACACCTAATCTAACTTTAATGTAAACCTTTGAACTTACCCTTAACTTTTGCCAGTAGCCCTTGACTCTTGACCCCTGATCTGAACACTGAAGGCATCCCCCAAATTCTCCGACCCATGGCCTTTGATCCTAATCTTGACTTTTGATCACTGTCCCTAATAATGAATATAATCCCTTGATCATAACATTGAACTTTGCTCCTACCCTGACATTCAATTAGTGATCTAACCATACCACAACCTGAACTTGAACCCAAATCCTAACATGAACCTTCCTCCATACCTGAAAGCTATCCTAACCCTTGACCTTTGATCTTTATTTTTCTCCTTGACTCCTGACTGTGAGATCCCAGCCTGGACTAAAATGTATACACACACTCAAAATCTTTTTTGTTCTGAATCGTTACCCAAACCTGAACTTGAACCCAAACCCTGACCCTACCCAATTACAAATCTGAATACAAAACCTATCCCTATTCTAAAGTTGGGGATTTGAGTCTCTTAGTCCCGTAGGGTAGATGTGGTGTTTGCAGCCCTGCAGCCACTATGGACACCACAGACTTGGACAAAATCTCCAACGTATTTTTGGGAAAAAAGGATGCAACCATTAGAGAACAAGATGTTGAAACTTTCATCCATAATCTCTGTTTGTACAGACTTCAGGGTGAAATACATGTGGTTGGAATTGTGATATTTCCAGCCACAAAATTGTATTATGTTGAGATAATGTGGGTTTCCCTATCCCTGAAAATGTGTTCATCCAACCAATAGTTACTTGTACCAGCAGTGCACCAGGGACCATTTTGGGTTCCTGGAGGCAGCCGTAAGCAAAAGCATCCCAGATCCCTGCTTCTGGAATCCCTGACTATGGAATTGGCATCCTCATAATGAATGTAATAAAGAAATAAGGTAAATAAAGAAATAATCTAGACTCAAATGTGAACTTTAGTCGCTCTGGAAGTCCAAACCCTGTCCAAACATGTCCGCCGATTACTTTCAGAGGATGGGTGATGACTCAGGTTAATATGGTTATTTTTGGAGCCCGTCTTACCTATTGTCCTTTATAGATGATGTGTTTTCCACCTCAGATATCAACATGAAAGACTGGGTCACTTCTCAATTCAGAAATCCACTCAAGGTTAGGCACTTTGGGAGGTCGAAGTGGGAGGATCGCTTGAGCCCAGGTGTTCAAGACCAGCCTGGCCAAATGGTTAAATCCTGTCTCTACAAAAAATAGAAAAAAATTAGCTGGGTGTGGTACCACCTGCCTGTAGTCCTGGCTGCTTGGGAGGCTGAGGCTGGAGGATACCTGATCCCAGGAGTTTGAGGCTGCAGTGAGCTGTGATCATGCCACTACACTCCAGCCTGGGCAACAGAGTGAGACCCTGCTTAAAAAAAAAATTCATTCAACTATGTGTAAGAGAGAGAGAGAGGTGTTTATTAGATTTAACTGAGGATTTGGGGAGAAACTTGGGGGCATTTTATCCTATGGGATAAGAGGGAAAAATAAACCTTTTAAATTAAACATCTCGCCCTTTTGCTGACTACCTTTTGGCTATCCTAACATGAAATATTCTTCTGGATGCTACAACTCTCAGCTCCACTGATCGGCTAGAGCAGATTCACCATCACTTCTTGTTTTTGGATTTCACCCTCTGCCACTCGTGATTTAACAAATAATTCTCTGAAAGGCAGTTCTCTTTTGAAAAAGAGTTTTGCTTCTCTGTGTTAAAATAATGTGTGCTGCTGTTAAAATAGTTTTGTATACACGAGGGAACTCCTTTAGAAGCTTTATCACGTCTCTTAGCTGTGCGTGCAATTTGAGTAATTACTATGTACCAATTCCAGTAACATAGCCAATACATCAGAACTCTCAGGGGACGTAGCTGGGAACTTTCTTGCAAAACAACTCCCACGTGTTCATTCCTGTCTGGAAACCACCAGTAAAATTTATAATCAGTAATAATTTCTCCAGGCACAGCAACTGAGAATGGTAGAACATTAGTTTTAAAAACCATTTTAATAAAATGCCTTTATAAATATTGAGACTTAATTATTTAGATTAATTTGTTCCAGTTAATGAAAGATCTCTTAGCACAAGACTGGGAAAAATTAGAACACGTATAATTTTCTTCATTCCAGATAAACAATTATTTTAATGTTTATCTGGTATTTGACCACAAACTTAAATTCCTGGGTTTCGTAGGATTAGAAATTTTAAGGTTAGTAATCACTCCCGTTGTTAAACTGCTGGATTTTACCTAAAATTACTGCAAGGATGTATCATTTTTTTATACCTCAAGCTGTTTTGTGCAGTTCTGCTTCCAACTTCCATAGACAATTTTAATCATTTATTTTTGTTTTTTCTTATCAGATAATGTTTCATAACATGGATGTGAAGAATTAAATGAACATCCTTCTGTGCACAAATTAAGATTAGAACACGAAGATTTTGGGATTCCCCTCAGTTCCTTTTATAAATTGTATTTCTTTGGACCTGTCCTAAGGATAACCACTTTTGTGAATCTGATTCATTATTTCCTTCTTTTATTAAGTTTTATTTCTGCAAAATTGTCATGACCAGCATAACCCAAAGAATATATTGTTCGCTCTGCTTTTGATCTTTTATAAATAGGATCATCCTATGTTCTTCTTGACCTGGCATTTCCCTTTTCATTGAATAGTATGTTTTTGATTTTAACCATGAAGATGCTTGGAGCTGTAGTTTATTTGTGTTCACTGATATATGGAACCTCACCCGATGGTTATACCACAAGATATTTAACTCTTTCAGAAGCTGGAAATTTGAATTGGCCTTATGTAAAGAGTTCAGCTATTAGGATTCTGTGCGTGTCTCTTGTTGAAAAAAAATGCAGAAGTTTCTCCAACTAGAAATGTATTTACTGGACCATATTTTATGTGCATATTTGGATATACACTCTCAGGTTAAAAACTGTTTAAGTGGTTGGACAGTTTTATTCACCCAAGAACAGTATCAGAGTTCCCTGTCCTCTCTGCATTCACTGCACTGAATCCAAAATTGAATAGAAATGAAATTAGCTGTCTTTGATTTGTTCTCTCTTTAGACAAAAGGCTTCCAATGTTGTATCATTATGTATAATGTTTGAAGTAAGATATAAATAAACTACCATTTTCAGATAAAGAAATGTTTATTTCTTTCCTTAATTTGATAACATACAATCATAAATTGGTTCAAGGCATTTTTCTTTATCTTGTAAGATTATCCTTGCTTTGCATTTAATTTTTTCATGTAGCAAATTAAATAACTTAACTTTCAAATGTTAAACTTAGCTTGATATTCAGTATCTTCTTTAATACTGTTTTTGTATTTGTTGTTAGATATTAATCATTTTTTTCTATCTCTGTACAAAACAAGATAGACTATAATTTTTCTTTGTTGAGCTTCCCTGGTTTTAGCATCGACTAATAGTAGCTGTGTAGAAAGAGTAAGAGAACATTTGTTTATGCTTTCTGGGAGAGTTCATATAAAAACACAAATTATTCATTCATTAATAGGTGGTAGACTTGCCATTCAGTCCACCTTGGACAGATTATTTCTTTGTTGTACTTAAAACCATCATTTATTTCCTCCTTGATTTGTGGACTACATTACATATTGACTTCTTGTATATATGAAGAAAAACATGTTTGTATGTCTGCACATGTCTGTTATCACTCTATTATGTTCCCTTTCTGCATTTGTCTGTCTGCTATATACATTTTGCTAAACTGTCATAACAAATTATGAGAAATTTAGCAGCATAAACGAATAGCCATTTATTACATCAGGGATCTGTAGGTCAGAAATCCTGGTGCAGTGGAGCCTAGCTTGGTCCTCTTCTTAGGGTCTCCCATGGCTGAAATCAAGAGATTGGCAGGGCTGCATTCCTTTCTGGGTGCTGTAGGGATGAATATATCACAACATATAGATTTTTAAAATCTAATTATTTGCACTAACTTCTGATTTTACCACATTAGATTCATAGGGTGAATTCCTGTCATATTGATCATTCGAGTCTTATGGAAGCTTTCTTTCTATCTTACAACATCGTCAGATTGTTACAGGTTTTCATATGTATTTATTCTTATGCTTTAAACAAGGGGTTTTCTCTGTTTTATGTAAAGTTTGACCTAATATTTTCATCATATCTGTGTTATACTTGAGATGTATATTGTGAATATATAAGCACACACAATGAACTATTCTTCAGCCTTAAAAAAGAAGGAAATAAGAAGGAATTCATGTAATTTGTGACAAGATGGATGTACCTGGAGGACATTATGTTAAGTGAAATAAGCCAGGCACAGAAAGGTAAACACTGCATGATCTCAATTATATGTGGAATCTAAAGAAGTCAAACTCAGAGAAACAGAGAGTAGACTCATGGTTGTCAGGGACTGGAAGTTGGGTTCATGGGGGAATTTTGGTCAAGAGGCATAGACATCTTTCTTCTTCTTATAATATTATGTTCCTATGTTCTAGTTTTTGAGCTATTAGGATTTCCATATCAGCATTTTAGGTCTTATTTATGCTTGCATTTTTTATATTCTTGATAATTTTAGTCTTTCTATATCTTTTGGGTTTAAATTTGTCTCTTGAGTTGGATGCATTCTTCATCTTAGGTTTTGTTACAAACATGAGATTGTCTGGAAATTTTTTTAAATTCATGAGTTTAAACCATTTATGTTTGTTGAACGTTAATTTTACCGATGCTTATTTCTGCCATCTTGTTTTATATGTTCAATTTAGTTACTTCAGGATAAGCGTAACTGTACATTTTGTTTTTGAAAACATAAGTTTCTACCTGTCATTTAATAGATATTTAAATACATAGTTATTTAAAACTCTGTTATCTATTTTTTATCCTTACTATGGTTAACCATAACTGATCACAGGGAATGCTGTTTATTTTTCCCAGTTGTTTTTATAAATTTAACAACATAATATTGGTTTATACCAATTTTGTTCAATTTCTATATGAAAATCAAAAATATATAGAATACATCAAGGAATTCATTGACAGATCTGGGAATTTCTAACAAGATAAACTTTTTTCAAACATGCATCTTTTTTAGTCCCACCCCTAGTGCTATTTAAGTAGATATTTCCAAGAATTTAAGTTCTGGGCTATTATCCATATATGATTTTTGTCTTCCTTTTTCTACCCATTTTAGCCAAATAGAAATTATAGTTATTGGTTGTGCTTGCATTTCATATATTTTTCAGAATTCTTACCAAATTAGTTATATTCTTTGATAAGTATTTTCTCAAAGATAATTTTCAGTCTTTAAATCTTTGCTTAGCAAAATGATTGAATCTCTTTTTGATCTTTTTTTTTAACTTGGCCTATAGTATTAAATTTTTTTAAATTCAGAGTTATTTTTCTTCAAACTTTCAAATATGACTCCTGTGTCTGCTAATGTCTTGTGCTATGACTGGGAAGTTTGATGTCAATCTGATTCCTATTCATTCATAGCTCACCCATTTTTCTCTCTGAAGGCTATTAGAATTTTCTGTTTGTCTTTGATGTTCTTAAATTTCTTAGTAATATATCTATTCAGGGCACTCTTTGAGCCCATTCAAAATAAGGTTTTTGTTCTTTTTGTTTGTTTCAAGTGTATTTTCATTCTTTCATCAACTTAGTTCTTCCTCTGTATTTTTTTTTCTCTTTCTGTTACCTGATCCTGGTATCTCTAACAAAGTCATCCATTTTTCCAAGGATGCCTTTCTCTCCTTTATTCTTTCCTGATGCTTTCTGGGAATTTCTTCCATCTGATCTTCCAATTTGGTAATTCATTCTATGATTTATCTTAACTATTAGGTTCTTGTTCATCTTTACTATTATTTATTCTATACCTACTATATTTACCAAGTTCTCTTTTACTTCTTATTATAATCTCCTATTTGAAATATATTCCCTTAGGTGATCGAATATATTTATTTTGTCTATTGTAATTTCTTCATTGATCTGTTCCAATCATTATATTTAACGTAGAAGAATTTTTTTTTCTGTTGAGAGAGAGCGTTTGGTACCTTTGTAAATGTTCAGGTATATAGCTCTTTGTTAAACATTTAGCCTGTGTTCTCCTTAGGTGAGTGGAAACTCATCCATCACTCTGGTTTGTAATTACGCATGTGATGGGACCTAAGGGCAGACCCAAGTCTATGTTTCTTCTATGAGATTAACATTCAACAAACACTTTTAGATCACTCTGGCGCACTGAAGAAGTTTGAAATTTGAGATTTGGCTTTAAACTCTCTAAAGGAGCCAGCATTAGGAAGAAACAGCCTCTTTAGCTTCATTCCTGGGGGTGTGGAGGGGAAGGGGGTGAAACAGGAAAAGCCCATAGTGGCCATAAGTGACTGGTGGCCCTGAAAGTTTTTAACCAGCTCCTCAACGCAGCTGAGTTTTCCGTGGGCTTGCCAGAGTCCCACTACCTGATGGCTGCCCTCGAGTTCTAAGTTGTATGGAGAAGAGAAGATGGGAGGGAGATTAGACAATGATTAACTCAAGGCATTCTTTATAAGAGACAAGAGTGAACTTAATACTTTGTTTTTAAACCAGCATCTTTCTATTACCACTTCCACCCTCTGCCAGAAGGTGCAGCCACTCCCATTCACCATATATACATGATTCATCAGCTTGTAATCTCCTCGGGATGGCTTATAGCTTACTGATTTCATGTTCTATTATTGCTCTTTCCGCAGATTGATGCCTCGTCTTATCCTCTGTAGTTTTTCAAAAGTAGATTTCTGTGGAGGAAGGGGCATTATGTTCTATTCACCATCTCAAAAGAAGCATAACTCTCTTTCTTGGATATATTACTATTTTTCCCACGTTGTGTATGCTTCTCATTAAAGGTAGGATTCTAAACCATCCAAATGAATCTGTGCCACCACCTGCCCCTGGACTTTGGACTGAAGAGGATTGAGAAATGGTGAAATACTTAACTATTTGATAGCTTCCTTCATTCCCACAGACCACATCAGATGTAGTTAGCTAATATACCAATTAACAAAATTACCCAGGAAATGCAACATATATACTTATTTCATTACTTGTCAAAACTTTCTAAATGGCTTTCATCTATTTCTAAAAAGAATCCCAAATGTTCCAGGAACAATTTCCTAATGTTCTGGTTTTGAATATCACAGCTCATTTATCAGCGTATATCATAGCTATGACTATAGACGCCAAAATATTAAGTAATTCATAATGACAATTTGGACAATGAAGGGTATATTAGAACTTCTTTGAGTATTTTTTATTGCAATATGAATTTTTAACCAAAGACTTGTATGAGCTCCAGAGAGCAAATCCACTACATTTCCCCACTCTGCCTCCCAACCCATCACTATATAGATCCATTGTGGAGCTTTTTTACTTCTTTGTGGTGTATTAAAACAAAGGATATAATATCCCCTGATTATGGATGAAAGTGATGGAACATTTACTGCCATGAGAGTCCCTTATGATAAGTGGTAGCTGAACTGGAAGTTTAAAGAACTGTGGCAGACAGGATGGGGTAAATCAATAGGATCCAGGACCTAGGAATGCATCAGGAAAGACAGCAACAGGGAAGGATGAGCTAGAGCAATTGAAAGGGTGATACATATATTTGGAGCCAATTCTTTTTATGCTATCATCAAGATAAAACCAGTATTCCTCACCTGGTAGATATTTCTCTTTGCAAAGGTGGATATTCCACAGTTCACTTCCACAGACCTCATGCAAATGTCAGATTCAGCGGGGAGAGGGAGCACCCCAGTTTCTTTGGCAGCACAGAATATAATGCATCATGTTTATTTGCAAGCCTGGAGATATTCTTGCATACATATTTTATCTAGCAGATGACACTGGATCCAATTAATTGGTGGCTTTGAAATATATTTATTGGAATTCATTATTTTGGGTTATAGTTGTTTCTGTGATCCATGCAATCTACCAGGATACTCTTCATGCTTTTGCATTTAAAAGAATGACACCAAGGGCTTGTGAAAGGCACATTCTGGGGTCCATCCCCCACAATTTGTGTTCTGTTGCTTTAGGGGAGGGTGTGAGGATTTGTGCATCTACCTGCTTTCCACAAAGTAGGGTCCCTGCTGGTATAAGGGCACACCGTTTAAGTGCTACTGCACAGAAGCATCAGATGTCATTAAGATTGTGTGTTATCTACATTTCTTATTGTTGCTCAACTGCCAGTTACTCTTTTCATAAAATATGTATCTGTCCTATATAGGGCTAAGAATTAATTTATCCCAGTCTATAACTACAGAGAGAAGCCTACTTAATGAGCATTCTTGATGGGGCATACCACCCATAAATATGGCACCTTAGCATTTGAAAAAACAGAAGAAGCAGGAAAGTTCTCTCTGACCTTCTCCCCATCCTTCTCCCCTAAAGCCAGGTCATAAGACCCTCCTATGAGAGGTGACTCTCTATACCAAGAGGAATAGAACATTCTTATCTCTGAGGACAAAAGGACACAGAGGAGAATCTGAACACACAGGCCTTGCTAAGTTCTCCCCAGTTTTTTCCCATTAGATAATAAACATTTTTACTTCAATCATACTTTCCAATGACTGTCCACTCTTTATCAAACCTAAGTATCTAAGCACAAAAATCCACAGGTTTCCCTGTTTCTTTTGGGTCTTCATTGCCTTATGAAGGCTCCTGTGTCATATAAAACTGTTATTAAATGAAGTGCACTCTTTGCTTAATCTGTCTTTTGTCATAGGGGCCTCAGCCATGAAACTAAGATAGGAAGAAAAGATATTTCTTTTCCCTTATATTATTCAACAATATTCTAGTTATACATGTAAGCTTAACCAAAAGCTTCTAGAATATCAAAGTAATAAGTGTGAAATATGTGTGTGTGCACACATGTGTGCATGCATATATATACACACACTACATTGTAGGTGTGTATATATATGTATATACATATACACATATATATTTTATAAGATGCGTATACACATATACATTTTTGTATGTGTGTGTGTGTGACAGAGTCTTGCTCTGTTGTCCAGGCTGGACTGCAGTGGCGCTCACTGCAACCTCCACCTCCTGGGTTCAAGTGATTCTCCTGTCTCAGCCTCTGGAGTAGCTGAGATTACAGCCATGTGCCACCATGCCCGGCTAATTTTTGTATTTTCTTTTAGTAGAGATGGGGTTTCACCATGTTGGCCAGGCTGGTCTCGAACTCCTGACCTCAGGTGATCTTCCCACCTCGGCCTCCCAAAGTGCTGGGATTACAGAGGTGAGCCACCACGCCAAGCCGGCACATAATACATCTTGTAAAATATATTTAGCAAAGTCTATTTAAAAATAATTAATAGTTTATTAAATCTTATGTAGATTTTTTTTTCAAAATGAACAAGCTTCTGTCTTTCCAACAAAGCTTTGGAAATAATAATCATTGCATTTTCCTCTAACAGGTTAATCAGCAGATCAACTAAAACCAAAATGAGTCTTTCTCTGGGCACGGTGGTGCATGTCTATAGTCCCAGCTACTCAGGAGACTGAGGCAGGAGGATCACTTGAGCCCAGGAGTTCAAGGACCAGCTTGGGCAACATAGCAAGATACCATCTCTAAAAAAAAACTAAAAATTAAAAAAAAAAATAAGTCTTTCTATAACTGTATGACAGGGCTAAGGTGATTTTATTTGACAGAGGAATTAAATTTCAATGTACCAAGTTCTATCCGTATGATATCTTTTCTGATGGTTGGAAGGGCACCAAGGGGCTTCCATGAAGCTCAGTGACAGCATTTTCACATGGAAGTCACTGCAGCGGAAAGTAGGGTACACATTCTTGGTAAATAATATATGATTGCACTATTGATGAATAGCATTTCAAAAGCTCTGCTATTTATTGTCTATTGAAAGATAAATGAATCCAGCAAGTAAACTGCCTAAAATATTTGTACACTGTTATAAAATGTAAACACCTCTATCATACTATAAATCTCCCTCCCCTCCGCTGGAAAAGACTTCAAGCTGAGATCATCCTCGTCCTCATCACATGATTGCTTGGAATAGAGTTGTCCCTGAGGCCACCTGTCACCTAAGAGGACTTGTATTCATTTATTCAGTGTCCATGTAATGAAAGAATAAGACAGACATACTGTGAATATAAGAACACAGAGTTCAAAAGACTATTCTGATTGAGCAGAAGGAAGATACTAAACAAATATTAGATGAACAAAGCTTGTGTGTATGGCTTTGGAAGATAAGCCTAGGATCTTAATCTTGTTTATATAACACAACTATTAAACCTTCCTGCGTAAAATACATTTTAATTGAGACTTAGCATGAAGATAGAACACCAAGTCTGGGCATTCTGAAAAGTTTAGACGCAGAGGAATAACTGGCAGGCAGTGATTTAAAGTGGATACAGATTTTTGCCCTGGAGTTGCAGATGCGTGTAGGAATGAAAAGGAAGTAATGGGTGTGATAACCGATTTAAACACTAATCAGTGAGCCCCAAATATTAACCATATACTGGGATTCTACAAAGAGATGCCATGGTAAAAATATGAATTCAAGTGTTTTAACCTGTATAGCTGGATACATTCTTGTGATATTAACACGGGAAATAAGAAAAGAGACGAGTTTGAATGAGAAAAAGATGTTTAGCTCAATATAGCACACACTGAGCTTTAGGCTCGAATAAGACATCTGAGTGGTGGAAGACTTAGTCAAGCATGGGAGAAGTTAGAGCTGAAACCCAGGTAAAATCCTTCAAGTTACAGGCAGAAATCATTACCAGATGTGTGGTGGAGTCACACGGGGGATGTGAGTCCTAATGCCTGTGCAGATGCATGGGGAATGCAGTGTCTTTTTGAAGGACTGGTTTTAGCGCTGCAAGAAGTAAAGTAAATTCTCTTTTACCTGCATTCTTGTTCCCTCTGGTGCTTTTATGAGGACCTAGGCAAGAATAGTATTGAACCACTTATACCATCCATCTGTTAGAAGAACCTATAATACAGAAATATTTGCTTTGGGCTGAACTCCAAACGTAATACTTAATGATTTCTCTTCAAGTTTGTTGACACATTCTACATCTCCACATACAATTTGCTCCCAGTCGTTTCTGAGATATGCTACAGAAAGTACAATTGATCAAACGTTGGCTGTAGGGATTCAAGAACAGTCCTGTGACTGCATTTTCGTTCCTTCCTGAAACTATTCCAAGGCCATAAAACACCTTTTTTGTGTGAACTGTCTTTCTGTATCCCATTTCAGATGATATCTTCTTTCCTTTAAATACAGTCTTTTATATTTTTCTAATTGTCTGATTGCCAAAACAATATATCTGCATTGCTATAAATTTACAGTATCAAAGATCATACAGAAGAAAAATCTTTTTTAACAAAAGAAAACCATTGTTGATAATTTAGTTTACATACATACATATGTACATACATGTATCCTCTTAGCACTCTGGGGCCCGGAGTAGAGAGCAAACCTGTGAAACAGATAGATAGATAGATAGATAGATAGATAGATAGATAGATAGATAGAAGATATAGAGATATGTTAGAGCTATAGAGATATAGTCTCTAGATAGATAGATAAGAATATCTGTATTCTCTCTCTCTAGACAAATGATTAGGAAACAGTCTATAAGAACGTGTGTGTGTGTGTGTGTGTGTGTGTGTGTGTGTGTATGCTCTCTAGAGGTAGAATATATCTCTCTGTAGGGAGAGAGACTTATGCATGTGTATGTATGTATAAAACAAAGAAACAATAAAAACACAAAGGCCCAAATATCAACCAGAAGAAACTGACCAGCTGTAATGGGACAATTAGAACATCTGTAAGAATATTTGTACTGGATTTAAAATGATAAAGACATAAAAGTTCATGTATTCATCATGACACCCAGAATAAAACTCACTGGTTATATTACTAGGCCACGATCGCATTTTCCTGAATCTTGATCAATAAAAGAATCATGATTTTTTCCCACTTTTCCTATATATATTGAATTTCAGAGTAACTAAAAAATTGGTGATTACAAGTAAAATTTCAGATAATATATGCAGAAAGAACAATACTATCTGAAAATCATTATTTTGTGAAACTCCAAATTAAGTAAGTATATTAATCTGTCCTCACACTGATCTAAAGAACTGCTGGACACTAGGTAATTTATTAAGGAAAGAGGTTTACTTGACTTGCAGTTCCACATGGCTGGGGAGGCCTCAGGAAGCTTACAATTGTGGCAGAAAGGGCAGCAAACGTGTCTTTCTTCACATGGTGGTGGCAGGAGAGAGAAATGAGTGCCCATTGAAAGGGGAAATCCCTTATAAAACCATCAGATCTTGTGAAAACTGACTCACTACCACGAGAACACCATGGGGGAAACTGCCCCCATGATTCAATTATCTCCACCTGGTTCCTCCCACAACATGTGGCCATGGAACTACAATTCAAGATGGGATTTGGGTGGGGACACAGCCAAACCATATCAATAAGAGATCTAGGAAATTATCTCTGATTATTTGAAAAGCTTCGCAGGTTTATATATATATATATATATATATATATATATATATATATATATATATATATGTGTGTATGTATATATATATATATATATATGTGTATGTATATATATATATATATATGGTGGGATTCATTACCAACTGAATGTAATTATCAACCACTCTTAAGATAATTAAAAGTAACACTAGCAGGTATCATGTAAGTCCTTATTAAATTCAGTATAAAGTACAGAGCAGTTCCTGGGTGCGTTGTTTCCTACAAAGGGCACCATAACCCTAAGGAAGAAAAACAAGATGTGATTAGGAAACATTCTGTTAATTCTAGAACATGGGGTGTTCTTCAGCAGTAATGTTCAAAATGTGGTTCACAAAGCAGCAACTTGTTAGAAATGCAAAATTTAAGATCCTATACCTGGGAGGAGGCTTCCTGAATCTAAAATTGAGGGTGTGGGTTGCAAACTATTATTTCTTTCCCAAACCCATCTGTGATGTTTATGCTTGATAAAATTTGATGGGACGGTTCATTGATTTCCATAAGGAATTAACGATGTAAGAAAATGAGAAGAAGAATTGTATTATGGAAAAGAGGGTGTCAATATTTTCACTTGCTTTCTCTTTAAATGTGTGGATCACAAGATTTGCTTTTCATTAAAAGTATTCAGATATATATACGTATTTGAAATACATGTGCCTATACACTAACCCCAAAACAGCTCATTAAGAATCTCTTCCACTGGGACATAGGCATCAGTATTTGTTAAAATATCACTAAGTGTTTAGTGTGGTTGATGAGTGTAGAAAGAATATATTTTCACCAAGCTTATGAGATGGGCAGTTTGGGGCCAGGAGAAGAAGGCAGTGAAAGAACTTGGGTGATAAGCAGCTGTCTACTTGCAAAACAACTTATTATTAATGAATTGGGACTTTAAATTTTTTTTTTTATTTTCATAGGTTTTAGGGGAACAAGTGGTATTTGCTTACATGAGTCACTTCTTTAGTGGTGATTTGTGAGATTTTGGTGCACCCATTACCCAAGCAGTATACACTGAACCCAATTTGTAGTATTTTATCCCCCAACCCCCTCCCACCCTTTCCCTCTGAGTCCCCAGAGTCCATTGTGTCATTCTTATGCCTTTGCATCCTCATAGCTCAGCTCCCACTTATGAATGAGAACATAAGATGTTTGGTTTTCCATTCCTGAGTTACTTCACTTCCAATAATAGTCTCCAGTCCCATCCAGGTAGCTGTGAATGCCATTAATTCATTTCTTTGTATGGCTGAGTAGCATTCCATCATATATTTATGTACCACAGTTTCTTTATCCGCTCGTTGATTGATGGGCATTGGGTTGGTTCCACATTGTGACCCAATGCTTTTAAAATAATGTGTGTGTTTGGCCACGAACATAAGCCAGAACACTAGAAAAATTGTTTACTGAAAGCCATCTTAGTTTCAGGAACACAAAGGAAATGAGGTAATGTGTGAAAAGAACTTTAAAAATTGTAAGGCATTTTGCATAAAGATGTTAGGTGCTTTTTGAAGTTTCTATTTAAATGTGGTCAATTAGAGAGGTTTTTTTTTTTTCATTTTATGTTTGCCTTGAAAGCATTTAGAAGTATGAGAATATATAATTTCATTTTGTAAAACACAATATGTTGAACCTAATAGGATCTTTCTTGGAAACTGAACATTGTCCTGGGTTTTGGAGGCATCCCATTGAAATTTAGCCATGATTCCATATTCAGCAAATTGCTGTGGACCCAGATACATCTTCGCTGACCAGAAGTCTTTCCAGAGTGGAAGATTTTAGTAAATGTACAAGTCAATCTTGTAGAATTAGATAAAATGCATTCTGTTTTCCATCACTTGCCGATATCCCCCCACTGCTAATTAAAGGAAACACAATCCACAATTGATTTACTTATGTAAATGTAGATTACAAACCAACAACATGATTTTAAGAGTCTTAAGAAGTTGAGGGCTATTTTGAATGTTTACTCTTGGAGACATGTATATTTAGGTGTCCTGGTCAACAAGATCAATTGTAGGAATGGTTGGTGCAATCACATTGGTCATTAAATACAGACATCACACATAATCAAGCAGATTTAGCTCAGGGTATGGGTAACTCAACATATGAACACCATTCAAAGTATTTCCCCAAAAGGCTGGCATGGTGGCTGACATGGTTTGGTTGTGTCCCCACCCAAATCTCGTCTTGAATTCTTGTGAGAGGGACCCAGCGGGAGGCAAGTGAATCATGGGGGCAGGCCCTTCCTGTGCTGTTCTCATGATAGTGAATAAGTCTCATGAGATCTGATGGTTTTAAAAAGGGGAGTTTCCCTGCATAAGCTCTCTTCTGTTGTCTGCTGCCATGTGAGACATGCCTTTTACCTTCCACCATGATTGTGAGGCCTCCCCAGGCACGTGGAACTGTTAAGTCCATTAAACCTGTTTCTTTTGTAAATTGCCCAGTCTCAGGCATGTCTCTATGAGCAGTGTGAAAATGGACTGATATAGTGGCTTACGCCTGTAATCCTAGCACTTTGGGAGGGCAAGGCAGGCAGATCGCTTGAGCTTTGCAGTTTGAGACCAGCCTGGGCAACATGGTGAAACCCTGTCTCTATAAAAAATACAAAAATTAGCTGGGTGCAGTGGCACAAGTGTGTATTCCCAGCTACTTGGGGACACTGGGTCAGGAGGATTGCTTGAGCACAGGATTGCTTGAGCTAGAGATGCCCAATGCATCTCAAGGGTGCAGTGAGCCGAGATGGCGCCACTTCAGCCTGGGTGACAAAGTGAGATCCTGTCTCAAAAAATAAAAAAATATTTCCCCAATGGGGACATATGGCTTAATAGTTAGGGTTATTGTTTGTAGTGATGAATAGGTTTGGAAATAGGTAGTGGTGATAATTATACCACATTGTGAATGTAATGAATCCCACTGAATTGTACATTTTAAAATGATCAAAATGGCAAACTTATCCCACACACAAATAAATAGATATAGATATACATAGATATCTTCATATGGTTTTTCTTGTTTTTTAATTTTTTATTTTTTTATTTTATTTATTTATTTATTTGAGATGGTGCCTCCCTCTGTCGCCCAGGCTGGTGTGCAGTGGCATGATCTCGGCTCACTGCAACCTCCTCCTCCCAGGTTCAAGCGATTCTCCTGCCTCAGCCTCTCAAGTAGCTGGTATTACAGGCCTGTGCCACCATGCTCTGCTAATTTTTGTATTTTTAGTAGAGACGAGGTTTCACCATGTTGGCCAGGATGATCTCGAACTCCTGACCTCAGGTGATCCGCCTGCCTCAGCCTCCCAAAGTGCTGGGATTACAGGTGTGAGCCACTGCGCCCTGCCTTCATATAGGTTTTAATATTAGTTTTGCTTAATTTAAAGACAGTTTGAGGCAGTACAGCATAAAGTACTCCCCACATTTCATTTATTTAGTTTTAATTGACAAGTAATAATTGTACATATTTACGGGGTGCATACTGATGTTCCAATACATGTAATATACAGTGATCAGATCTAAGTAATTAGCATATCCATTATCTAAAACATTTATCATTTCTTTGTGTTGGGAACATTCAATTTCCTCCTTCTAGCTATTTGAAACTACATATTATATTATTTTTAACTACAGTCACCCTGCAGTGCTATGGAACACGAGAACCTATTTCTCCTGTTTCCCCCCCTCCCCACGAAGAAATAAAAGAGGTGAAATCTGACACACAAAGCAAAAGGAACAAAGACATTCAGGTACTGGAGTTGAGCATAAATTTTACCTCACAATTTCTGGCAGATAAAGCAAAAAGAGAGAGAAAAACAATTGGTTCTGGGATTAGTATTTCCGGCAAGAGAAACCTTCTCCCTTTTCCCTCTGATTCTTGGTGAAGAGCAGTTATGATGTTGGAGATAAAAGGAGAAGATGGCAGTGATGGTTCCTTGTTCTTTCCTTCTGCAGTGGCTGTCAGCTTCGCCTGTGATATTAACAGTAAGACAGGAAAGCCTGAGACCGCCTCACTAAAGACAGACCCTTCCCATTATGTGTCACGGCAGCCTTCACCCTTGAATCTAGAAAATACTACCTGGGCCGTGCTAAGTTTATTCTTAAAAGCCTAACACCGTGTAGCTACCGCTGCCCAATGCATCTGCCCAAAACAGCACTCCCCAAATCCTGAATATGCATAGAAATAACTTTTCAGTTTTCATGCCTACTGCTGAATTGTACCAACAGAGATTCTGATTTGGAAGTCAGCGGAGGAGTCTATGCAGTTTAAATTTTTACAGACAACTCAAGGTTTTGTGGATATATCCTGAGACAGCTCAGCCCTCCCAGGCTGTTGGTACCATAGGGGCTGGGAGAGATTGCCCTCACTTACCCCGCAAACACCTTGCAGGATGCAGAACAGCTCTTAATAAATATGTGTTATGGAAATAAAGGAATGCCCCTGTGCTTGGAAGTATTAGGCTGCCTCTCTCTCTCTCTGTCTCTGTCTCTCCTCTCTCTCTCTCTCTCTCTCTCTCTCTCTCTCTCTCTCTCTCTGGTTCATTTTCAATGCCGCTGAGTCATACAGTGAGAAGCAGCTTAGGGTCATTAAGAGATTGAAACATCGGAGAAAAAAAGTGAATATGTTTTCATTTGAATCTCTATTTTTAACTCTTTCTGACCTTGTCTGTCAAATTTGGCTACCTTGAGACTGTTGCAGTGATAATGAAATAAGCCTATGCTGTTCTTTGGAATCATTTTAGACATATACATGTCTAATATATATATATATATATATATGTATATATATATATAAAAAATACTTACCATATGTGATCTTGTTTGACATGCCTTTTTTCTATACAAAAGCACATGAATCACCATGCTTCAGCAATGAAGATGTTGTGTTTTGGACTAAAGGCAGTGTAAACACAACATGCTATTAGCGTTTTTCTTAATCATCACTACCACCCAGCCGTTGTCTTCTTGCACAAGATAATAATAGCATCTCACATTTCCATGGAGCTTTATAATGCATGAAGGTCTTTCACATTCATCGTTTTGTTCAATGTCATAGGGAGAGGGAGCTTCAGTAACCTCAAAGCCCAGTGTGCAGAAAGAGAAACTGGGATTGATTCAATCATTTGGCCACAGTCCTAGGACTCTTGAATGTGTGTGTAACTCAGGCAGGGTGAAAATCCCAGAAGATACGTCCCCATCCCAAGGGCACCTACCCAGGTTCAATAACTTGGTTACAACTGACACTCTTTGGATGATGCTGCACTCTTCACAAACACGTATCCAAACCTATCATGAACCCAAACCAGAGCAAACATCAAATCCCCACTCCTACCACATATTCACATCTTGTATTAACACCAAAGCCTGAAGCACCCTGACAACATGTGTCCAGAAGATGTTGAATGTCTTCCACCCTGACTGCCACTAACCTGGTTAAAGCCAGGACCAACTTTCACCTGGACAACTGCAGTGGACTTCTTCCAAATGCACGCTCCTGCAGTCCTGTCCACCAGTGGCTCCTGTGAGCTTTACGAAACCATAAATCCTATCACATCCCTGCCATGTTCCAACTCTTATGCCTTGTCATTGCTTTACAATAAATTCCAACATTTTACTCTCTCTTTCAAGTGTGAACTCACTTTGCCTACTACTGGAATAACGTTCTTTCACATTTCCTTGCTAATTATGAGTCAGCTACACCGGGACTCCTTCTGTTCTCCTCACCCTTTAAACATATTTCCCATTTGAAACTTCGCAACTCGTAATTCTTTTCAGGAATGTTTCCCTTTCATCATCTTGTAGCTGCTTCGTTGTCATCATTTCCTTTCATTTCCACCTCTTCAGAGAGGCTTTGTTTAGAAGAAAACATAGGAGCAAATATTTGCCAGCTAGGGTTATGCAAAAGTTTCTTACATAGAACACAAAATGTAAGAACCGCAAGAGAATGTATTGACGGGGCCTTCCAGACACCATGAAGAACTCAGAGAGCAAGCTTCAGATTGAGAGAAAACATTTACAACTAATATAGCAGAGAATTGACTTGTAACTAGAATATATAAAAATATCTCCCAACTCAATGATAAGTCAGGCAACCTGCAGAGCAGCAGTCCTCAACACTTTTGGCACCAGGGACTGATTTCACGGAAGATAATTTTTTCCAAGTAGGGGAACGGTTTCAGTATGAAACTTCCACCTCAGATCATCAGGCATTAGATTCTCATAAGGAGCAGGCAACCTAGATCCCTCACATGTGCAGTTCACAGTAGGGTTCACACTCCTATGAGAATCTAATGCCACCGCTGAACTGACGAGAGGTGGAGCTCAGGTGGTAATGTGAGTGGTAGGGAGTGGCTGTAAATACAGATGAAGCTTCCCTCGCTTGCCCACCACTCACCTCCTGCTGGCCCAGTCCCTAACCAAAACTGGTCCATGGCCTGGGGCTTGGGGACCCCTGCTGTAGAGGACAGAATAACAGCCCCCTACATATGTTCACATCCTACCTTATGCAGTAACACGGACTTGACTGACGTGATAAAGATTTTGAGATGGGGAGAGTATCTTCAAGTATCTAAGTGAGCTCAGTGTAATAAAAATATCCTTATAAGACAGAAACTGGAAGCTTGGAACAATAGAAGAGCTGAAGGTGAAACAGACGTCAGACAGAGATTAAGATGCTATGCTACATATATATATATATTGCCCAGGAGGATTGCTTTGTTGGAGCCTATAAAGGTTTGTGAGATAAAAGTTCTGAAGTGGAGAATTGTTACTATGATGGTTGCTTAAAATCTAGTTTTTAGAACAGAGATGAGTTTGACTGTAGCTACTCTGGTATGTGATCCATTTAATCATTTTTTTGTTTAATTAATTCTCAGAGAGAAATCTTAGCCCCAGCTATTTAAATCTCTCCGTAAATAAAGACTTCCAAGCACCACTGGGACAGTTACCAAAAATGACAAATCATTGGCAATTCTAACAATAAACTTCAGTATAGTAAGAGATATAATGGAACTCTGTAACTGCTCTCAAATCAAACATCCCTCCTGCTTAGTGAAAACAGAATTGCACTAATTTCTCTGATGCAGTCTCAAAATCGAGCCACCATTTCAGGTTTTGTAAGAAAAGTTGCGGACTTCAGGCTTAGAAAAGACATCCCAGTTATGCATTGTGGCTGAGGATAACAGGAAGATGAGAATTAGGATGTAGCTATCTTCAAAAAGAAAAGTGGCAAAAAGAAAAGAAAAACCTTAATGTTAGAACATATAAAAATAGTATAAATAATTAAGAACTTAAAGAGGCAGAGAGTTTGGTTAAAGCGGCAAGCCAGCAGGACAATTTTAGTGTGTAGCTTAAGGTACAATACATGCATAATTTGCCCTTCCTCAATTCTAGAAAATATTGTCTGTCTTCTTCAATAACCTTTCTATTCCTGAAACTAAGCATTCCACTGGGATTTTAGCTATTTTATGTGCTGTCATATTTACTTTGCTAGCGTGCATGTGATTACACCTAAGTTCTAATTCGTCTAATATATGTGCATTACTTTTTCATTCATCTAATATGAATTCTAGTTCATCTAATATAGTGTTGTATAAGTTGTCTTTTTACTTATGTGCATTTTACAGTGCCCTGAATAGCACTGAAGTACAAAAATGTATCTTAATATGTGTTTTATCTCCATACTTTGATGGTGAAAAATATTACTTTCCATTCAAATGAGTTTTAAAATAGTCTCATTAAAAACAAATGAAAACGTAAATAAAAAAAAAAAAACCTTTTCTGTAATTTTTCAAGATATCTATGGAAATGCACTGAACTACCGCATCATTTTCCCCCAGATTTTGCTTGGGTCATCATGGCTACTTCATACATTGTTGAATGAGCATTTGCCGTAAATCTCATAGCATAAGTAAAAGCTATGATGTGTTTTTTGCCTTGTCTTTCTCTTTTCACTTTAAACACATAATAAACACTTAGTAAGCAGATTGAATAAATACATACCCCCTTTATGCAAAATTATTCACAAATAAATGGTATCTAATTCATTCTTTAAAATACCATCAGAGAACACACAATCTCGCTTTACCATCTGTATAATTTTAGAGTCAGAGTCTAATTTGACCAGCAGTCAATTTTTTCCCTTTGGACTCCTTTCATATATTTGAAGGACATTTCTTTGTTCCTAGTATGTGTAGATGAAGCAAAACTAAACTGCATGGCTTCTGATATTCATGAAAGCAGGCTAGTAGGTAACCATTTTTGAACACATTCCACACCAAGCGCAATGCTGTTTCTTGTGCATTGTCCAGTTGAGTTCCTCAGCTTGCTATGGGAGGGCTACTATTCTCCTCCCCATTTCACATATAAAGAAAGTGGGACTTTGAAATCTTAAGTCATGTGCTTAAGGCTTTGCAATAGATTCCACCACAAGGATGTCCAACTGAATCCACTGCAAGCAATAACTCCAAAAGCAGTCACCAAGCAAATGCCCTTGGTGTAAAGTGATACGTTCTGTAACAGAAATTCATTGAAAGCCATTTACTGTGCCGAGAGAATAAAGATAATCACACAGGACACTTTTGGAAAGGGGCCCACATTGGTAGAAAGAGATGGCCAGGTTCTACCTGAGTATGCAGGTGACCCCTGCGGAAGATGCAGAGACTGACCTTCAGGTCACACTGACCTTTCAAATGGTGCTGGGTCCATGAGCTAGCCGTGCAGCTTTGTGTGCGGCCATAGCCCACAGGAAGGTGTGCTCAGGCAAGGTGTTCAGGGCAATTTATGGTCGCCCAGCAGCCCTGCAGAGGGCGCCCTAGATCTTGGGGATTTTATATAAAAAGGCAAGCATATCAAAATGCAAGGCATATTCTGGAAATAGCTAGCAAGTGTTGTGGTGGATTTGCAGGCTCCAGAACATAAGTAGGGCATCCCTTGAGAAGGTCACATGGGCCCACACAGAATGACCCTTGGATTCCCAGTAATGAATTTGTTTCTCCAACACATTCACTTTATTGTGTGGGTGTGATTGTTGTTGCTAAAAAGGGAGATTTAAATTATGAACTAAATATAAACAGATATTAGCAATAAAACGTGAATATTCCCTATAGTCACATGCTTCGAAATAATCACCCTCCACTGTTTGAATTCCTTCCAGATTTTATTTTTTAATAAAACAAATGGGCTGGACGCAGTGGTTCATGCCTTAATCCCAGGACTTTGGGAGGCCGAGGCGGGTGGATCACTTGAAGTCAGGAGTTCAAGACTAGCCTGGACAACATTGCAAAACCCCATCTCTACAAAATATACAAAAATTAGCAGCAAATGGTGGCACATTCCTGTAATCCCAGCTATTTGGTGGGCTGAGGCAGGAGAGTCGCTTGAATCCAGGAGGCAGAGGTTGTAGTGAGCTGAGATTGCACCACTGCACTCCAGTCTGGGAAGCAGAGCGAAACTCTGTCTCAAAAAAAATACATAAAAATATAAAATAAAATAAATGATATGTAGTATTCAGTAGCCCACTATTTTTTCTTGAGATACCTTAGATGTGTTTCTGTGTCCATGAGTGTAAATACTCCTTAGCACTTTATGCAGACAAACAGCATCTCATAATATGGATCCAACCAAGACAATCCATTCAAATCTCTGACTTGTGAACATTCAGCTTGCTGCTATTGTTTGTTTTTAAAATTACAATCCGTGTGAATTGTGGAGCCTTGGGTGGCTATTTTTATGCATCAGAATAAAGATTTTCATAGAAAGCATTCAAAGAATTAGGACTCCTGGGTCAGAAGTTTCCAATTTTCATTTTCCTGGGTTTTACCCATTCTCTTACACTGGAGACCATCATGATGATGTTGATGGTGTGGAAATTCAGAGGAAGCTAAAAGGACGTAGCACCCAAATGAGCAGGTCCTGGGGAACTGTAGTTCTCATCTCAGACACTAGGATGCAGACCCAGGGAGGGACAAGATGTACAAGCTCTTTGAAAACTAAAACCAAAGGATGTGACAGCCAATTGAATGAGAGTCAGCAGCAAATCTGGAGAAATATCTAAGGAGAAAGTGTTCAGTTGAAAATACTCAAAGTTGGCTGGGCATGGTGGTTCACACCTGTAATCCCAGCACTTTTTGGAGGCTGAGGCAGGGAGATCACTTGAGCTCAGGAGTTCGAGACCAGCCTGGCCAACATGATGAAACCCCGTCTCTACTAAACATACAAAAATCAGCTGGGTGTGGTGGCGTGTGCCTGTAATCCCAGCTACTCTTGAGGCTGAGGCAGGAGAATTGCTTGAATCCAGGAAGTGGAGGTTGCAGTGAGCCAAGATCACACTGCTGCACTCCAGCTTAGGCGACAGAGCGAGAGTCTGTCTCAAAAACAAAAAAAGACTCAAAGTTGACTCAAAGAGATTTGTTTCCAGGCTGGCTATTCCCAAATTTTCATTTGCATGAAACTCATGTATCAATTATCTTCAGATTTTGATGTTTTATTATTTAATAAACAAGCTGTATTTATTATTTTATATTTTGTTCCTAAAATATGATCAATTTCAGTTTTTTTTTATTTCATGTAATTTAAACTAAAGCACTTAAAAAATACCTATGCAGCTTAATTCTAGATAAATGTGTGGAGATATTATCTTTTATGAAAATACTGCAAGGAATCTCAGTAGTAGTTCATAGGCCCCAGAGTTTGGAAACCTGTGGTATAAAAATCATTTGTCTCTTATAATTGTTTTAGATTTTCTCTACTGATATTGGAAATAGACTTTGGTTCTGTGCAATACTGCTGTGATAACATGATACAAATGGAGAATGGTCTGCTAGTACTCATTCCATTTTTAAGTAAAAACTAAAAATAAAAGGCACTGAATTTCAAGCAGCCCTGCCTATCAGGCAACAGAATTTGAATGCAGTGCATCAGCTTCCCTCCCTTCCAGCCCATCCTGTGCAATGTGTGCTTCTGTGTTAAATCCTACATGTTTTCAGTCAGAAAGTTAAAGGTTCACCTTGTAATAAATGCATTTCATGAATGATTTCCTATAACCGTCAAAGATTAGTTTTGCATCTGTTTGACTGATTTTTGTTTTTTATGCTTCTGCTTTCATTCTAACCAAACAGATTTCTTTTTGACCTCATTTGCATGATCTAACACAAATTCTGTTTATTCTCACTGAAGAATTTTTATTTAAACATTTTCTGTTTGGTGTCACTTCTTTAGTTTAAAGGTGCACAAATGTATGTCTGTGTACATATACATTTATAGTCACACATGCATATATATGGTTATATATGCATATATATATATATATACATACATATATTATATATATATACATACACACATATCAGGTGAATTACACACACTGAAATGGTGAAAGATATTTAACTTCTGTATTCACTTAATTATCTCCTGGTTACTTGTCTCCAAAAAATGCCTACTGTGTTTATGCAAGGAATGATCTCCTAAAAGAAAATGGATTGCAGCTTTAACGTCATGTAACAATGTCTTTTGTTAATTGAAAGAAAAACAATATCTGACCCCATTGGGTTCCTTACCATTTACTTGCAGTGCATGGAGAAACAAAAGACCTGCAGTCATTCTCCTAAGCCCTGTGATGTAATTCAAAATGAGAGGAAACATCTACATTATTATCTATAATAAAAATTGGAAACTTTTCTGTTGTGACAACAATATTAAGCCTGAATAGAAATATTCATGTTTATATGATATTCACTTCAGTCAACATGCAGCAGGAAAAACTGTGATTCCTATTTTTAGTCATCTTTTCCATGAAACCTGTTTCTAAATAACCATACTAACTAAATGTACTAGTCTGTTCTCATGCTGCTAATAAAGACATACCTGAGACTGGGTAATGTATAAAGAAAAGAAGTTTAATGGACTCACAGTTCCACATGGCTGGGGAGGCCTCACGATCATGGCAGAAGACAAAGGAGAAGCAAAGTCACATCTTACATGGTGGCAGGCAAGAGAATGTGTCCAGGGGAACTGCCATTTATAAAACCATCAGATTTCATGACACTTATTCACTATCATGAGAACAGCATGACAAAAACCCACCCCCATGATTCAGTTACCTCCTACTGGGTCCCTCCCATGACACATGGGGATTATGGGAGCTACAGTTCAAGATGAGATTTGGGTGAGGAGACAGCCAAACCAGATCACTGAACGTATCTATTGATATCTCTTGTGTGTGTATATTTGTTATTGTTGTTCCTTCCAGGACCCTGGATGAAACTTGGCATCAATGTAGCCATTAACATGGATTCATTCACATGGTCTCTTTTGCATCTTTCTTTCGTTGTTCAATTATTGGAGGAGAGGTTGCTGATTACAAGCTTCATATTAGGGAGAGTAAAGCTCAGAAACCAAAATTTCATCGGCTAAAATGCTTAGAGAGTTTGTAGCCTAAAGGACCTGTCAGTTAAAGGAGCCATTTGTTGTAAATCTCTGGTTTTAGACAATCAAGTAGCTTGTTCTCTTCATTCACCTTGAACATATATTTAAAGTTAAGTGATCTATCCGAGGAATGACTTCTCAGGAGCAGCACTCATCTTTGGTATCATGTGTGGCTCTTTCCAAGTTGATGAGCTACCATCATTTTGCTTTCTACAATCAGGAGGCAAAACCCAGTGGTTTAGGTTTGCAGGATTCCTAAAAATATTAATTTTAATTTGCTACAATAAATACCAGGATTCCTGGTGTCAAAAAGCTTGCAAAAAATCACACCATTAGAATTTTTTAAGATCACTCTTTATTTACACTTAAGAAGATAGCTTTGCCAGGAAAATGCCTGCCTTCCTTCTTTCCTTCCCTCCTTCCTTCCTTCCTTTCTTCCTTCCTTCCTTCCTTCCCTCCCTCCCTCCCACCTTCCTTACTTCCTTCCCTCCCTCCCTCCTACCTTCCTTCCTTCCTTCCTCCTGCTCTCCCTCCCTCCCTCCTTCCCTCCCTCCCTCCTTCCCTCCCTCCCTCCTTCCCTCCCTCCCTCCTTCCCTCCCTCCCTCCTGCCTTCCTTCCTTCCTTCCTTCCTCCCTCCTGCTCTCCCTCCCTCCCTCCTTCCCTCCTTCCCTCTCCCTGCTCCATCACATCACAGAGCTGTAGTGTGCTGCCTGTTCCTTGCCTCCAGTCTTATTCACAGGAAAACCTGGCCAGGTGCTGATGAATAAAGAAGAAGACAGATTGATAGTGAGATCTAATTTTCACAGATCAGGCGACTTGGGAAAACAGGTCTTTTTATTTTCAAATGCTAACTTTCTGGGCTCATAGAATTCTGTATCAGTAAGCCCACATGCTTTTTAAGTCTGATTTATAGAAAACATGATTTGGCCCTCAAAACAATGTAACCTCCCAACAGATTCATCTTTACCACTACACAGATAGAGCTGATTAGTCAAGACAGAAGAATTGCAATAGATAAAGGGTTTAATTCCTGCAGAGCTGGCTAAATGGGAGACTGGAGTTTTATTGTTACTCAAATCAGCCTTCCCAAAAATTTGGAGGCTTGGGTTTTTCCAGAATACTTTGGCAGACAGGGGCTAGGGAATGAGTGCTGCTGATTGGTTGAGGATGCAATGATAGGGGTGTGGAAAACAGCCCTGGTGCACCCAGTCGGCCTCTATGTGGGGACACAGAGGAGTCACTGGTCCTAGTAGGACCAATCAGTTGTCAGAAATGCAAAAGCCTGAAAAGACATCTTAAAAGGCCAATCTGTACTATGCTTATTACCTGGGTAATGAGATAACCTGTACATCAAACCCCTGTGACATGCAGTTCACCTACATAATAAACCTACAGGTATACCCCTGAACCTAAAATAAAAGTTTTAAAAAGGCAAATTTTAGCTTCTAGTGATTGGGGAAGTTGCAAATCTTGTGACCTCTGGAATAATGGCTGGTAATCATTCAACTAAGCTTACATCTTAGCAGAATTCAGGCCTCTCTCATTCTTTAACCTGGTGGCCTTTCATTACTTTTACAAAGGTGGTTTAGTTTTAAGAGGGGCTATTATCATTTAAACTACAAGTTCAATTTCTCCCAAAGTTAGCTTGGCCCGTGCCCAGGAATGATCAAGAACAGTATGGAGGTTAAAGGCAAGATGGAGTTGGTTAGGTCAGATCTCTTTCACTGTCATAATTGTCTGACTATTGTAAGTTTTGCAAAGGTGGTTTCAAGGTGAAAGGACTATACTCTTAAAGAGCATAAAATTATTGCATTCATTGTGTACCTGAAACAGGCACTCCCCCTTGTTGATAGTTTAAAAAGAAAAAAATAATAATCCCTGGATGTTGCAATAAATGAAAATGCCATGGCAGAAACTGTGGAAACACCAGCCTCAAAACACCACATTGATTTGTTAAACTTCAGAGATCCATGGATTGTCGTTTCCCTCAGCCAGCCTGTAGGATATTTGGAAGAATTTCAGAACCTCAAAGATCAAACCATCCAATAGGATGCTGTTAGAAGAACTAAGATTTTTGAAGGCAGGGGATATTCATTAGCCTGCTTTTGGAAAGGTTAAAACACTCTGATTTTGCTAGGGAGGAAGAGTTTATGGTGGAAGAAAGGCCAATGATTTCCTGCGTGTTGAAAATCTTCATACTCCTCCACAGAAACAAAATAAGTCAACAAGTCATTCTGCAGAATTGAGAAAGAGAGAACAGTGAGTGAAGAAAAGACGTGCTGAAGACAGAATCGTTCTGTTAGAAAATTGCTCGTGCCTTAGGAATTAATCACCTCTTTCTTTAATAGGGGAAGAAAGCATTGCCCTGTGGTATTATAGGGCACCTAAACTGACATGATTCGTCATTGTCATATAAGGATCTTCGATCTTTTCTCCCAAGCAAAGCCTGATGCCTTTTATGAACGATCGTGTCAAAGATATAGTGATGGAGACAGGTGTTGCAGAACATTTTTGGCATGAAGCACTAATTAGTAATTGCTAATTAAATGGGGGAGGAGGCTTGGGTAATGTCTGATCGCACCCACTAATCGTAGCTAATCTCCCGTCACATCCCTCTGAACTTTAAAGAAGATCACATTGGTAGGATGTGTCTTAAGTATCCAACCTCGCAGTTGCGACGCTGCCTCTCTTTGAAGCTGCAGGAGATAGTGACTCCCGATTCAGGCTTGGAGTTTTTATTGTCATTGTTGAACGAAAATCGTCCTGTGACTTTCTTTGGAGCCAGGCCATTTCCTCCTTTCCAGCTCAGAGCATTTTTCCACAGGTGCTCAGGAAAGCTCATGGAAGAAATGCTGGTTGACTCAATTGGTATGCAGCCTCATCCTCTACTCTTTTTGTTTTAAAAGTAGAAGCCGGCACTCAGTCACTCCTTGGAATGCCGTCAACTTTGGTTAGGGACGTGCTTTGAGGGAATTGGTTTGATGTTATTTTAGGGCTTAAAGCAGCCTGTCTTCATACAAACATGACTGCAGGTGGCCATAATAATGTGCTGAGCATCCCTTGAAATGAGTGAATGACATGGCTCTTGGAAAAAAGAAATTGTATAGAAGGGGCAAATATCATAGTTGGGTAGTTGGGGAAGGCTCAAATAAGGACGTGAAAATGGTTAAAAAAAAAAACTTTTAAAAATTCTTTGTCTTTTTGGAAGGCATATCCAGTACAGATTTGGACATAAAGTTGGATTAAAGTTTATGCAATGAACTAAACTTGCAGGAGGCCTTAGAAAATATTCCTAGTTTTGAATCTGAGTAGGAGAGTGTATGTCTTCCCAAACTTGACTTCAAAACATCAGAAGAAAGCAGTTTTTCCAGGTCAAGCTATTTTTCAATACAGAAGGAACAAAAAATAAAATAGATTAACTCATAACTTTGCTATCATTAATACCAAAATTGCCATTTTTCAACTACTAAGGAGAAATTAAGAATCGTATGCCTTGAGTAAAATCTAGATCCTCAACTCACAGAATCCTTCTTTTTAAAATAAGGAAGGCCAGTTCCTGATATTTTGGGAACAGTTGGGGAGATGTGAATATTCATTAGCTTTTGGGTGAGGTTCAATAATTACATTTTTTTGTATGTGACTAATATTTTCGCTATGTAGGAAAATAGAGGTGTATACTATTTACGAGTCGGATCTAGTGGAGTCTGTAACTTACGTTGTTTCTTAAGCATTGAAAGGAGTTAAAACAAAATGTTAATAACTAATTCAGTGAGAAAGACAGGCGCACACTGCCTTTGTATACATGCACATATTCTTAGACACAGACACACATGTGCACTTACGCCCCCTCCCCCCCCCACACACGTACTGTTTTCCCTGAAAAATTTCTTGTAGGAGTCTGTTGCATTTTTCAAAAAAGAAAATGAAAATGTGCACAGAAATGATACCTTGAACCTAGTAAAATTTACGACGTCTTCTGGGATTGCTTCATGTTATTAATATTTTAGATTCATTTTGCCTTCTCTATTAGCCACATATATACACAAAGATGCCATGGTATCATAACATCAACCTAAAATAACCATTATTTATATAATTATTTCTGCCACAAAATTTTTTCTCCTGTTCTTCCTCTAATTGGTGGGGGTGAGAGTTGAGGAGAGAGAGAATGAAGAAGACAAGCTATGAGATATCTTTTCAAATAGCAGAGACACGTATGCACTTTTTCTATTTGGCCACCAAAAATATCTTGTGTTCTTTTGTAGGGTTTTTAAGTACCGGTGACCAGGCAGCAAAAGGCAACTATGGGCTCCTGGATCAGATTCAAGCACTGCGGTGGATTGAGGAGAATGTGGGAGCCTTTGGCGGGGACCCCAAGAGAGTGACCATCTTTGGCTCGGGGGCTGGGGCCTCCTGTGTCAGCCTGTTGACCCTGTCCCACTACTCAGAAGGTAATAATGGCACCCCCAGGGTGGGCGGGCAAATACCCTGAACCAAGAAATGAATGGTCAGAGTTCATATCTCAGATGCATGTCCTGGTTACCAGAAGTCACTCTGGCAACAGAAAATGCCCAAAAGATCAAATGAATCCATCTTCATGTCTTTTAACTCAGCTTTTGTTCCATTTGCTCTGTCACCCAGGCTGGAGTGCAGTGGTATGATCATAGCTCATTGTAGCTTCCAACTCCTGGGCTTAAGGCTTCTCCCATCTCAGTCTCCTGAATACCTGGGACTACTGGCTGCTTTTTAAAATTTTTTATAGAGAAGTGGTCTTGCTATGTTTGCCTGGGCTGGTCTCAAACTCCAGGACTCAAGCGATCCTCCTGCCTTGGCCTCTCAAAGTGCTGGGATGACAGATGTGAGCCACCATGCTTGATCAGTAATATTTTTCTCCTAATTTAAATGTGTGACAATTAGGTGTTGGTTACAATGATTGGAACAAAATAACTACTTTAGAAGTCCTGACACTTTTGTTTTTTTTTGCCATTCTGACTGTATTTGACTATTTGAAATTTTATTAACTTCTAGCTACAACTTAGTAAAAGTAGTATGGAAGAGAGACAGTATGTCGATAAGGGATGCGGGTGTATAGATTTTGTAACCATCAGGGCTTTTAGCCACATGTTTTTTAAGAAGTCGCTCCTCTCTCTAATTCATATTAATTCTTTAAATCTTCTGGAAATATTGAAACACGTCTGGTGCATTCATTTAGAAGTAGATTCTGGGTAGAAGTAGATTCTACCCAGAGGAATAGTGTCTCTCTCCCTGATGGTCTCCCTCCCTCCCTTGCTCTTCCCCTCCCATTCTTCTCTTTCCCTCTCTCGTCCTCTCTGTCTCTCTCCCTCTCTATGTCCTCCTCCCTCTACCTCTCTCCTGCTCCCTCTCTCTCTTTTGCTCTGTCTCTCACCCTCTCTCTCCCCCTCCTTCCACTGTCTCTCCTCCCTCCCTCTCTCTCTCCCCCTCACACTGTCCCCCCACTCTCCCTGTCTTTCTCCCTCTCTCTCTCTTCCTCTCTCTCCTTTTCTCTGTCTCCCCACTCTCTTACTCACTATCTCCTTTCCTCTCTCTCTTTCCCCCCTTTCCCTCTGTCCCTCTCTCTCTTTGTTTCTTTCTCTCTCTCTCCCTCCCTTTCTTCTTCTCCTGCAAATATGACTTTCACCAAAGGACCTCCTTCCTGGTCAGGTCAGCATGCAGCACTAGGGAGTGTCCAGAGTTTGCTTTCCCCTCTCCCTTCCTCTCTCTCTCTCCTGCAAATATGACTTTCACGAAGGACCTCCTTGCTGGGCCAGTCAGCACGAGGTCCTCTGCTTGTCCCCGTGGGAGCTCCAAACCCTCCCTGGGGCCCTGCTATTAACCTGGAAAAAGCTGATGTTGGCAAAGTGGAGAAAGAGGAAACCACAAAAACACATGTGCATCATGTTACCTCAACCAGATGTGCACTTGAACGTGTAGTCAGCATAGGCACCCGTACCCAACCAGATGTGCACTTGGACGCCTAAGCAGTAGATGGTTATGCTGCCTAAGTAATGGTCAGCATAGGCAGCCACACCCCTGAGCCCTGCTGGAGTGCCTGAGGCTTTCCCCGGAGGCTCACTCAGTGGATTCCCAGCTGTCCCTTTGTGAAGGAGGCTCCCTGCAGTATCCGATGAGAGACTTCAAAGAGGAGTCCACAGGAATTTGAGGCAATTGGTTCTGGAAGCAGGATCACAAATTCCTGGCTGTGGCCTAAAAGGAAGAGGCAGGAAAATCTGCAGTGCAGATCCAGCCCTGGGTTGCCTGGCCACACGCAAGTGAATATTCCTAATAGCCGTCTCAGTCATCAAGACAGCTTTGTAATTTGTTCTGTGTTGTCAGTGGTCTTCAGAATGGCACCACACTGACTGAACCTGAAGTTCTCAAAACCTTCATGGAATTTTTTTTTTTTTTCAGGGAGTCTCACTCTGTCTCCCAGGCAGGAGTGCAGTGGCACAATCTTGGCTTACCGCAACATCCACCTTCTGGATTCAAAGCGATTCTCCTGCCTCAGCCTCCCGAGTTGCTGGGATTACAGGCGCCCACCACTGTGCCCGGCTAATTTTTGTATTTTTAGTAGAGATGGGCTTTCACCGTGTTGGCCAGGCTAGTCTCGAACTTCCTGACCTCAAGTGGCCCACCCACCTCGACCTCCCGAATGATTATTTTTAAAGTTATCAGCTGGATATGGTGGCTCATGGCTGTTATCCCAGCACTTTGGGAGGCTGAGCGGGGAGGATGGCTTGAGCCCAGGAGTTTGAGACCAGCCTGGTCAACATAGCGAGACCCCGTTTGTACAAAAATGAAAATAAAAACCAGCTGGGCCTGGTGGCGCATGCTTGTGGTCCCAGTTACTTGGGGGGCTGAGGTGGGAGGATCGCTTGAGCCAGGGATGTCGAGGCTGCAGTGAGCTGTGAGGTTCCACTCCAGCCTGGGTGACAGAGTGAGACCCTGTCTCAACATACATACATACATACATAAAATTAAAAAGTATCTTTCTTTAGAGTAACTGCAGGACTTTCTTCACTTCGGCACCGTCTGGACAAGTTTCTGGATCGCTGTGCTCCTCAGTGTCTTCATTGGCAAGATAGGACAGATGAGGGTTTCCTGAAATCCTCCAAACTCTGAATTCCTTGAGTTTTTAGTTCATAATGTTTTGCCCATGAGACCAAATGGCCTTTGATTTCTTACTAGTGCTAATGAGAGGAAAGGCTCATATTTGTATTAACTTTATTTCAAAAACACGATAAGTGAAGAATCTGATGAACCATTTGGTAGAGAGATTTCTATGGCATTTTTGAAAATACCTCGATTTTCACTTTTCTCAATTGATATAATCACAATTGTAGATTTAGAAAGCAGTCAGAACCAACTTCAGGAGTAATCAAACACATGTAAGCCACATTAATTGGAGGGAGGTGTTAATTATTTAAGTCAATAGGTTGGAAATTATTATACTTTTGCATCGGTCATTTCTGCAAGGCATGCTTCTAAACAGCCCATCAATATAATCACGAATTATGAAAAATACAAGCCAGGCACTGAGGCTCCTGCCTGTCTATCATCCCAGCAATTTGGGAGGCCAAGGTGGGCAGATTGCTTGAGTCCAGGAGTTCAAGACAAGCCTGAACAACATGGCGAAACCCCGTCTCTACAAAAAAGAGACGCATCTGTTGTCCCAGCTACTTGGGAGGCTGAGGTGGAAGGATCATTTGAGCCTGGAAGGCAGAGGCTCCAGCGAGCCAAGATCCCGCCACTGCACTCCAGCCTGGGTAGCAGAGTGATACCTTGTCTAAAATAAAAATAAATATAGCCAGACTGTTTGCCTTAGGAATTCCTTGCCTGGTTATATGGTCTAATGAAGACAAAGTACACGTGGAAAGTGATAGTTTTATGAAGATGTTCACCACAGTATTAGTATCGTAGCAAAGAATGAAATGAAAAGCTACAAGATCAAAAGGAGAGGAAAATTATAATGAACCATATGTATTTACTCAATAATAATTTAAGAATTTACCTAAGATATACATCAGCTGGAAAAACAGTTTAGACAGCTATATAAATATTGGGCTCAGCTATGCAAAACAGACATTTGAATGGAGGGAAAGAGCTAAGAATTATGTGAACTCCTAGCATACTCATTACGCTAAGGTGAGTTGTGTTTAAAGTATGAATTCTGGGTGATTTTTTTCATTATCCAACTATTTTAGTCTTATCAGGAGTTCTGTTACTTCCCTAACATACAAATAAATGTTTTATGTATGTTACTTTATATACACTACTGCCTAAATTATTGCCAGTACTTATGAGAAGGGCGGGAAAGGAACTTCTCACAGCATTTTTTCCAATTCTGAATGTTTTAACTAATGAAAGTATCCAATAGAATACATATTGACTTTCTCTTTTGGTTTTTTTTTTTTTGGACATTTTAAAATAATCTTCAGAGCCAAGCACTCAAGTCAATACTTGCACATTTCTGACAGAAACGTTCCCAGGATGGCTTTGATGACATACTGGTCAAAGCCATATTGGTTTCAAGTTGCGGTCCTGTGTGTCATCTTTGGGCAATCCTCCAGTCTTTAAAATCACGTCTTCCTGATGACAGTTATATTTTCCTCATATTTGATTGCTTCTGTGACCTTAAAAATCGACAGGGCATGAACTTCTGGACTCACAACTGAATGCCTTATTCTTTAGTGCCCGACTCGGGCTGGGATTCACGGAAATGGCAGGAAGCAAGTGTAAATGGAATGCTGATTTTTACAGCGCACCTCTCTTGTCCTATCGTAGTTAAAAATACAGATTTTATACTTCTGGACATCCGTGTAGTAGACTGAACTCATGGAGAATTTTAAGCTACACAGAATTTTACTCCTAAAATTGCCCATGCTTTTTCAAGTTTCTCAGCAAGTGGAGCATTTTTATATGTGGCAAAATAAAATATACACATCTCTGAGTTTCCAATGGATGTAGTTTTGAAAGAAGTGACCTAAAAAATACTCCTTACTTGGGCACCCAGTTGAGGATTTCTTTAAGCATAGCTAGCTGAATGTATTTATTTTAATTGGCAAATCTTAATATCTTCATTAGACTCAAGGTAGAAGTAGAAATGCGCTCCTGAATTAGCACTCTGAAGTTGATTCAAGTGGATTTCTTTTTTTCCCATAATGAAGAGATACCTAGTTTTGCTTGTGAGACAAGAGGGCCTTTGAACTGGTACTAGCTTAAAGCATTTTTTTTCTTGGAAATGGGGAATGCAGTTGCTCTTGGAGTTTTTATATATGGCATCTGGAGGCAAGGAAGCAAAAACGACACTAAATTGTGGAAGGAAAAAGAAATCACATGTATTTTACCAGTGCAGGAGAAGTGTCAATGTGGTTTCATTTCCTTAAACTCGTGTGTGTGTGTGTGTGTGTAGAATAACATTCCCTAAAATGAATGTTCAGGAGGAGGGGTGAAGGGGGAATGGAAATGAAAATGGGTAAAAGGGCCCCTGACAGAGCTGAATGCTACTACATCCAGAAACTCACATGCCTGAGAGACAATCACAGCCTTCATTGCTCAGTAAAAGCTGCATTTCTGTCCTGTGGGTTTTCATTTGCATGTCCACAATTTTGCACCTGCAGGTCTCTTCCAGAAGGCCATCATTCAGAGCGGCACCGCCCTGTCCAGCTGGGCAGTGAACTACCAGCCGGCCAAGTACACTCGGATATTGGCAGACAAGGTCGGCTGCAACATGCTGGACACCACGGACATGGTAGAATGCCTGCGGAACAAGAACTACAAGGAGCTCATCCAGCAGACCATCACCCCGGCCACCTACCACATAGCCTTCGGGCCGGTGATCGACGGCGACGTCATCCCAGACGACCCCCAGATCCTGATGGAGCAAGGCGAGTTCCTCAACTACGACATCATGCTGGGCGTCAACCAAGGGGAAGGCCTGAAGTTCGTGGACGGCATCGTGGATAACGAGGACGGTGTGACGCCCAACGACTTTGACTTCTCCGTGTCCAACTTCGTGGACAACCTTTACGGCTACCCTGAAGGGAAAGACACTTTGCGGGAGACTATCAAGTTCATGTACACAGACTGGGCCGATAAGGAAAACCCGGAGACGCGGCGGAAAACCCTGGTGGCTCTCTTTACTGACCACCAGTGGGTGGCCCCCGCCGTGGCCACCGCCGACCTGCACGCGCAGTACGGCTCCCCCACCTACTTCTATGCCTTCTATCATCACTGCCAAAGCGAAATGAAGCCCAGCTGGGCAGATTCGGCCCATGGTGATGAGGTCCCCTATGTCTTCGGCATCCCCATGATCGGTCCCACCGAGCTCTTCAGTTGTAACTTTTCCAAGAACGACGTCATGCTCAGCGCCGTGGTCATGACCTACTGGACGAACTTCGCCAAAACTGGGTACGTTCATCTTCGTGTTGGGGTATCACTATCCTTGCCACTTGTTTGTGTCCTCAATATAGGTGTTGCTTCTACTGCCACGTGCAGGAGCACACACGCATACACACACATACACATGCATGCACACACATACACACAGACACACGCTTACACACACAGCAGTAACAGGCAGCTTCTCCCCCAACATCTATGGCAACTCATTTTTTTCTTTACTCCTAAAGTGTTATAGGAGTAAAACACTTAACTGTCAAACCAGATTTTTACTAGAGTTCTAATTGCCCATTGGGAATTCCAGAGTTCCTACCTGCAGGTGCAGGACTCATACATATATGATGGTTCTGTTAACAGCTGATTAAACGGTTTTGTTTTTGTCCTTGTTGTTTTAGAGACACAGTCTCACTCTGTTGCCCACACTGGAGTGCAGTGGTGCAACAGTAGCTCACTACAGCCTCCTTGAACTCCTAGGCTCAAGCCATCCTCCTGCCTCAGCCTCCTGAGTAGCTGGGACTACAGGTGCCTGCCACCATGCCTGGCTAATTTTTAATTTTTTTTTTTTGGTAGAAAGAGGGTCTCACTCTGTTGCCTAGGCTGGAGTATAGTGGCGCAATCATAGCTCACTGAAGCCTCGAGCTCATGGGTTCATGTGATCCTCCCATCTCAGCCTCTTGAGTAGCTGGGACTACAGGCGTGCACCACCATGCCCTTACATGGATTTTTGTAGACACAGGGTTTGCTATGTTGCCCAGGCTTCTCTCAAACTCCTGGGCTCAAGGGATCCTCCCACATCAGCCTTCTGAATAGCTGGGACTACAGGTGCACACCACCTTACTCAGCTAATTTTATTTTGTTAGAGACAGGGTTTTGCTGTGTCACCCGAGCTGGTCTCAAACTCTTGGGCTCAAGTGATCTTCCCACCTCAGCCTCCAAAAGTGCTGAGATTACAGGTGTGAGCCATCACACCAGCCCTCATTACAGAGTTTTAAGTCTAATTTCAACCATATCTCTTTTGTTAATTTGCAAGGATATCACAGCACATGTACCACTTGGGGAACTGTGTTGATTGCCTGGCCATAGGAATGAAAACAAATATCATAATAATTATAAAGAAATATAAATATATATTCCTATATATATTTAATGTCTATATAAAAATATAGATATTCCTATTTGTATAATATAGTACATTTATATTTGTATTTGTATATATATACACACAAATATATTTGTATATACAAATACAAATATATATACAAATACTATATATATACAATATATATACAAATACAAATATATATATACACAAATACGTTTGTATTTTCTCTGCTATATAAATAACTAGAGAGAGAAAATGAAAATATATGATATTTGTATCATATTGCTATATGTCATGCATACATAAACACACACACACAAACACACATACATGTGTATCTCACAGGAAAGCTCATTTATTGGCCTAAATATAGTAGAAAATATAAAATATACAAAAAGCATATATACAACAGAGTCTGCCAATATTCTGCTGAGCGGATTCTCTGCAAACCATGGGAGAAAAGAACCCAAAACAACCTAAATAGCTCCAAACATTGTGGCATTTTTTCATTTTCTCTTGTCTAATAATGTAACTGTGGAAATGGATGGGGTGTCATTCTGTTCTACCAGTGTGTGCCTCCATCATCACCCTGAGCCTCTTTACACTGAATGAGAGAGAAAGATGTGCCTGTCGCCCAGGGAGGGTAAATCTTCCCGTGCGGAATGAGGCTCTGAGACTGCAGTGGCCCTGCCACACATGAGTTATGCACAGTAATCCTTAGAAGATCTGGGGATGCTGGTGGTTTCAATGCCTACGTGTTTAGCAGCTGGCATACTGTACAAAGATTCCAAAGTGGTTTGGGTAGGGAGTGGTTTGAGAATGTTTTGTGCCCTTGGCGAAAGTACAGCATGTTTTTGGAGTGGAAAAGGTATCACCTGGATACCACCTTTCAATAATCAGACTTTGTAGATTTGGTCTGAGAAAGGCTACCCAGAGGAGAAGAGAGGAGGGACCCACATTTGATGCAAATGCTTGTCTATCACTCAACGGTTCTTTTTTGTGTGAAGAAATGATTGAAATCAAATTAATACTTTTTTTAAAGTAAACCTTGTTTATTAGTTTGTTGGGACTGCTGTTATCAGAGTATCCAAAACTGTATGGCTATGCTGGGCGCAGTGGCTCATGCCTGTAACCCCAGCACTTTGGGAGGCCGAGGCAGGAGGATCACCTGAGGAGGCCAAGAGTTTAAGACCAGCCTAGGCAACATAGTGAGAGTCCGTCTCTACAAAACAAATGAAAAAATTTAGCTGTGCATGGTAGCATATGCCGAGAGTCTCAGCTTCTCAGGAGGCTGAGGCAGAGGGATCACTTGAGCTCAGGAGGTCAAGGCTGCAGTGGGCCATGTTTGCACCACTGCACTCCAACCTGGGTGACAGACCGAAACCTTTATCTTTAAAAAAAAAAAAAAAAAAAAAAAAAAAAAGCACCAAAAACGGTGTGTCTTATAACAACAGAAATGTATCGGTTCACGCTTTCTAAGGCCAGAAGTTGCAAATGAAGGTGCTTGCAGGGCCAAGTTCCCTCCAAATCTGTAGGGGGAGGGTATTTCCTTGCTCCTTCTTAGTTACTGGTGTTTGGGTGCAGTCTTTGGCATTCCTACCTTGCAGGTGCACCATCCCACTCTGTGTCTTTGTCATCTTACGGCCTCCCTGTGTGTCTCTGTCTCCACATGGCCGTCTTCATATAAGAGCATCTGCCAAGGTGCATTAGAAGCTCACCCTACTCTAGTATGACCTCAACTTAACATAAATAGTCATATCTGCAGTTACCCTATTTCCAAATAAGCTCACATACTGAGATACTGGGGTTATGACTTCAGCGTATCTTAATTTATGGGGAGACAGTATTCAATCTCTAATACCCTGTGAAATCAGGGCCAGGCCCTCTTTTGTGACAGCACTGAGATAGGCGGTGTCTGCCCTTGCAGAGAATTTCATCCTCTTGAAGCCTAAAGACTTCCATGAGAGTTTCCCAACATGGCTATACTCATTCAATCTTCGCTACATTGGCATCCAAACGTATTACCGACTTGGTCTGCAAACACTCTCTTTACTTACTCTCATTAAAAACATATGCTTTTTCTTTTCCTCCTTACATGATTTGAAAATAAACTTTATATGATTATCTTAAGTGGAAAGCTAGAATCATTCCTCATACATTTTATGGAACCATTAAAACAATAGTGAAATCTAAATAATGCTGTTAAATTCTCATTAGCTCTTCCTGACTTCCAAAGGCTATGAGACTGAGGCTGGCTCTCTCATTATTAAAAAAAAATAAAAAAAAAAAAAAAGGAAAAAAGACAGAAAAAGATAAAGGAAGTTAATTAGTTCCATGAGGTGATCGTTATCACTGCTGACACCAAATGGACGCTTTTACCAAGACATCACGAAGGTCTGAGAGAGCCGTGAGAAGAGAATACCACAATGATCTCTCTGTTATTGAGTGCTTTTAATGCCATGAATCTGTTTCTTAAAATCACTTGGCTTAGAGCCTGTGATTTCCACCCTGCATTTAGGGAATACATTCACGTTGCCATTCATGGTCTGTGTTGAGGGTGCTTCTAGCTTTCATGAAGGCCCTGACATGGCTGGAAGAGATGAGGAAGGAATAACTGCTAGAACTTGGAGAGACGCTCTGATGCTACTGAAATCAAAAGCTGCAGGTAGAGAGAGTTCATTGAGGTACCCAGAGCTCGAATGTCAGTCCGTCTGAAGCCTCTATTTTTGTTTCTTCCGCCCATGGGAAACATCCCTGAAATAACACTGAGTGTATTAATGCAGTGAGCTCTTTTAATTCATTGGAAAGGTATTAGAATGACTCAAATGATTCCTCAAGGAAGTTACTCAGAACTTACATCTCATGTGAAATGCAACGTGTGGATTCAAATACAAATAGTTTAAGTGATCACACCTCCATGGCAGCCCCATAAAAGAAGGAAATGGGGAATTTCACTGTCGGGCACAGTCTGGTGAGCTAGGTATTCGTCAGTGGATGACAAGGACTTCAGTTGCAGTTGGTAGTTATTTGTTTATTGTAAATTGGGTGGTGGCCCGATCACTCCAGGGCAGAGAAGGATTCCCTGGTCACCAGGTGCAGAGAATGAACCAAACTGATGCCCGCAAGGAGAAAGTATGGGATGCACCTTATCTGCTGTCATGGTGTGAGCTGCCAAGTTTAACGCCATTTTGCAGAGCACACACTCAGATGATGACTCACAGAACAGGAGGGCATATTTCTGCATACCATCACTGTTCCCTTCCAGCACTGGAGGTGACAGGAGGAAACAAGAATAGCTCCCAGCGTGTCTGTCACTACACGGTGCCGTGGAGAAAGGATCGCATTGTGCCAGGACATACTTCACCACTCTCAGTGGGCGTTAAGTCAAGCGTTCTAAACCTGCAGGCACAGCCAGTCTCTCGATGGCGCATGTGTTTGCCAAGATGAAGTGGATGGGGTCTGGATGCTTCTATATAGACATCTCAAAGTAGATGGTTCTGACCTTTAGTCTAGGTTTGAAGGCACATATACCTGGTATACATAAACCTTTGGTTTTGGGATGAGCACAGAAAAATGATGTTGGGATGTGCATGGCGGAGAAAAGGAAGGAAGGAGGGAGGGAATGGAGGAAAGAGAGTTCAGACAAAGGAACGAAGGGAGGGAAGGAGGGAGGGAGGGAGGAAAAGAAAAGGAGGGCGGGAGGGAATCAAGAAAGGAGTAAAGGAAGGGAGGAAGGGAGGAAAGAAAGAGGTAAGGGGGGAGGAGAGGAAGGAAAGAAGAAGGGAAGGAAGGAGGGAGGGAAGGTGAAAGGAAGAAAGGGAGGAAGGAAGAAAAGATGGAAGGAAGGAAAGGAAAGAGAGAAAAGAGGGAAGAGAGGAAGGGAGAAGGGAGAAAGAAGAGAGGAAGGAAGGAAAGTAGCGAGGGAAGGAAGGAAAAAATGGAGGGAGAGAGAAAGAAGGAAGGGAGGGAGGAAGGAAGAGGGAGGAAAAAGGGAATGGAGGAGGAGAGGAAGAAGGGAGGGAGGGAAAGAAGGAAAACAGGGAAAAGGAGGGTAAGAGAGAGAAAAGAGGGAAGGGGGAGAGGAGGAAGGAAAGAAGGAGGGAGGGAGGGACAATTGGATCTTTGCTTATAAATTATGTCACCTGTATATTTTCATGGTAGCATTAGGTGAGAGGGCTCTCCCATCTTAGAAAGGCGGAGTCAGCGAGTACGCATAGTAGAAATGAGGAGGAAGTCCCTACGGAGGCTCTAAATTATGAAAACCTTGATCAAGAAAGGATGTTGAAATCATTGAATGCCAGGGCCTCAAGTAATCCTTGCTATTTCTTTTTTATTATTATTTTGAATAGGGAAGCAGTTGCCCAGGCCTGTGCCTGAGGGGGATCCTCCCCTGTAGCAAGGAGGTGTTTCAATGTTAGTCCAGGTCAGAGGACTAAAATCATGCTGGAAGAGAACCGTGTGAGCCCAAACATGCAGAGGCATTGTAGAAATAAGGTAGATTGAGACCGTTTTTGGAAATCAGCTGCAGTGTCAAGGAGAAGTGAAAACTAACTCTAAAGTTTCAAAAGGGTTCTAGAGCATTAAAGTCCTTTTCCTGGAAAATTACTTTGGGAATAGGAGAAAAAGGGTTCGTCCAAGCTGATCAATGAAATTCAGGTGCTCAGTGATCCAGGATTCTTTCATTTTGAGCTCTGTGTGGAAAGAGATGGACAAAAAGGAGTGGGGAATCTTGGTTTATTTATAAGGTATGACAAAGAACAGTGCTTTAAAGTAACCAAACAATGCATTATAATATAGAATAGAAGACCTTATGTGCTATTGGAAGTCAGATATGAGAAGAGAGTTTTGTAATGGAAAATCAGATCAACACATATTTTGATTTTTTTATGTTGTTCCATCGAGTCTGGGGTTTGTACGGCAGATTGATTTCTGTCCTGTTTGCATCAGCTACCATCACTGCTTTTGAATGTGCTGGTATCCTATGATTAATTTACGTTCAACTATTGTTAAATCTTTGGGAAAAAAAAGAAGTTCCAATGAGGTATTTAGTGGGGATGGGTTACAGAGAGTTGCAGCGTAATTCTGGCTGTAAAGGCGACCTTTATTACCAAAAAGGAATTTTAAGCTGAATGAATGAACATCCCCACCTGGTGTGGAAGAGGAGTCACTGAATGCATAATAAACTAGTCCGGTAATAATCGTTAACTGCGAACAATGTTTTGGGTATGAGGAAAACCTGTACTACTTAAAGGAACAGCTGAGAGGATTCACAGATATTTTTAGAGAGATCATAGTACTATATCCATCTCCAGCTAAAGAAATGAACTAGACCTTAGAAAGGCACTTGAGTCTCTGCTGCCAAGATGACATCTCAAATAAAACAGGACAGGTGGAAATGGCTGTGTTAGGTGCTGGGGGATAAGGAGGAAGACATGCATTGAGTCTTTTACTAGAGAGACCAACTTGTGTTTCTGTCCTCAATCATTATAGTCTTTAATTTTACTCACAGGAGTTTAAACACTTCTTAGGCTGAATAAAGTCTAAAAAACAAAACACTGATACCCCACATCTAGACCTCACTGTCTGGAGGGTTTGGTAAGGGAGAATGACTTGGGCTATCATAATCTCCACAAGTTTATCTGGCTTTAAGAATTCTGGCTGTGCATCTCCGAGATCTTTAATAGACAGACGGTATCAGGTGGCAGCTCATTTATATGGATTTTCCAAATCCTCTGCTTTATTCTTCAAGAACAAAATATAATGTGTTTTCTTTACCTTTCAAATATACCCTGAGTTCCTTCGAAAATAGCCTTGTACCCAACATGAACAGAATACTCCTTTTCCTAGATGCTCACTGCTTAATAGATGAGGTAGCCACACATCTAATAGATCCAATTCAGTAAAATTGGATCCATGGAAAAAAAGGTAGAATCTTCACTTCCATTTGTTTCTTTAGAATATTAAAAATCAATAACTAATATTAGTGGATTTTTTTCCTAAAATATTCATTCACTTATTTTTCTTTCAGTACACGTTAAATAACTGAAAATTTTAAAATTATTTCAGAGGACTTAAAGAGCAAAAGAAACATGAGTTGCTGCATTGAATCCAACATTTTTTCAAAACCATGTAAGAATACATGCATAATAAATAAAAAAAGCAGAAGACTTTTCAAATATATTGTTTATCAGTAAATAAGAAAACTCATGGTATTAGAACCTATGAGATTATATATATTTGTTCTCACCCTATTAGTAAAGTGAAAACACAGCAGTTAGTGTGCATTCAACTAAAGGGTAGAGGTCAACTTTCTTTTTCTCCTGTATTATGTTATACATCTAATATCTATATCTATAGATAGATATACACATACACATATATACACATGACATACATATATATACTGCATATAGTATATAGTTAGTATGCAGTATAAACTGTGGTATGCAGTATACTTGTATATAGTATGTAATATACAATATACTTTTATGCACTCTACAATGTATACAATATAGAAATTCAGTATGTACTCTGATATACAGTATATCACTCCCTACTTCTCCCTCCCTTGCAATATTATAGGTGTTCTATTTTTTATATTGGAAGAGAGGGGGTAATATTTCCTGAATTCTTACCATATGCCAGACATCTTGTCATTATCTTTCAACCTTCATCACTTACCTCCAACCCTGATATTTTCATCAGCCATGTAGAGGAGTAAGTTAAGGCCAATACTGGCTGGAAAACTTGCTTAAGATTTCACAGCTCTTAACTAGCCAGAGCTGCAGAAAGTTGAATACAGGGAAATGATTTATTTTATCACCACCACAGACTCAGACTGAGGGGATAAAATCTTCCTTCAGCAAGTGTGGCGCCTCTGGCTCAAGTATATTGTTTGAATCCTGCACAGTGTCTGGTAATGGCTACAGATACATGATCTTCCTTGGTCCTGCAGCCTTCTGCCATGCAGGCCATGCAATGACTGGAGGCAGTTTCACAGAAGTCCCGCCAAGGAGAAGTTACCTGGAAGATAGCCCTTAGCTCACACCTGGAGCCATTGATCAGGATGTTGCAACTCCCTGCTTGCCTGGTTCTGCACATCACATCTCAATGCTCAGTGCTAACTAGTACATAACATTTTGCCATGCATAATCTCAAATCGTTTTTATAACAAATAAACCTTAAGACGTAATTGTTTTTTAGCTTACTTTACAAGCCATAAAAAAAATGGAAGAAATGAGCATTTGGTAATTTATTTTTTGAAGGGGAAGTGTTATCCTAAAAGAGTCAGTTGCAAAGATGTTTATTAAAGGCCCTATGTTTTATGAATTATCTCCAAATTTTTATGATTCTCCTTCTACCTGTGACCACTTGTGCAAATAATAAGAAGATAATTCTTTGGCTCATAGTTTCCAAGCACAACTTAGCATCTGTAACAGCCCTTGACTTGTTTCTGGGTGTCTTTTTTATCTTAAACATGTTAACCTCATCATAACTATATGTACCATTTTAGCAAACTTCTTACAGCTAACATAGCGTGCTTTCATCTTTTTACCTTCAAATAGAGAGCAAACACATGGTGCATATGTCTATTTACAAACACTTTGTAATTATAAAGCCTATTTTTATTTCTACTGTTAATATCAATTTTCATTGCTAAAACTGCAACATTTATTCATTTACTTCAAAAGCAATTCTTGAGCAAGAAAGAGAATACCCATTTCTTGGACAATAGCTTCTTAATCAGAATTTCTCAACCTCAGTACTGTTAACATTTGGGTCCAGATAACTTCTTTGCTGTGGGGGTCTCTCCTGTGCACCAGAGGGTATTTAGTAGCATCCCTCACCTCCACCCTTCATAGAACAACCCTTCGTCTACGGAAACCAAAAGTGTCTCCAGATACTGCCAAATATCCCTTTGGAGCAAATCAGTCCTGGATGAGTTTTACAGTTCGACAAGAGTGAAACTTGAAATACTGAAATTTTTCCTAGAGACACTTAGTTTTCCTTCTTTCCCTTTATTTTTGAAGATCATTTGATGCCTTAAAAAATAGTAAACATGTTATAAAAATTGCATAATGCTGCTATCAGGATTTATATTTAAAAGAAAAATAAGAGCAATTTTTAAAGGAAAAGACAACATGGTAGACAGGTCTAGGATTAAAGCAGAATGTACCTTTGCTGCTTGGGTATTTTGTGCTCATTGATAAATATATATGAAGAGCAGATTGTAACTTCCTGATTTATTGGTTTAAGATAATTTCACGTCACATGTGGAAGAGTATGACCTTTCTTTTTTTCTTCCTTCTATCCTCAGTGATCCAAATCAACCAGTTCCTCAGGATACCAAGTTCATTCACACAAAACCCAACCGCTTTGAAGAAGTGGCCTGGTCCAAGTATAATCCCAAAGACCAGCTCTATCTGCATATTGGCTTGAAACCCAGAGTGAGAGATCACTACCGGGCAACGAAAGTGGCTTTCTGGTTGGAACTCGTTCCTCATTTGCACAACTTGAACGAGATATTCCAGTATGTTTCAACAACCACAAAGGTTCCTCCACCAGACATGACATCATTTCCCTATGGCACCCGGCGATCTCCCGCCAAGATATGGCCAACCACCAAACGCCCAGCAATCACTCCTGCCAACAATCCCAAACACTCTAAGGACCCTCACAAAACAGGGCCTGAGGACACAACTGTCCTCATTGAAACCAAACGAGATTATTCCACCGAATTAAGTGTCACCATTGCCGTCGGGGCGTCGCTCCTCTTCCTCAACATCTTAGCTTTTGCGGCGCTGTACTACAAAAAGGACAAGAGGCGCCATGAGACTCACAGGCGCCCCAGTCCCCAGAGAAACACCACAAATGATATCGCTCACATCCAGAACGAAGAGATCATGTCTCTGCAGATGAAGCAGCTGGAACACGATCACGAGTGTGAGTCGCTGCAGGCACACGACACACTGAGGCTCACCTGCCCGCCAGACTACACCCTCACGCTGCGCCGGTCGCCAGATGACATCCCACTTATGACGCCAAACACCATCACCATGATTCCAAACACACTGACGGGGATGCAGCCTTTGCACACTTTTAACACCTTCAGTGGAGGACAAAACAGTACAAATTTACCCCACGGACATTCCACCACTAGAGTATAGCTTTGCCCTATTTCCCTTCCTATCCCTCTGCCCTACCCGCTCAGCAACATAGAAGAGGGAAGGAAAGAGAGAAGGAAAGAGAGAGAGAAAGAAAGTCTCCAGACCAGGAATGTTTTTGTCCCACTGACTTAAGACAAAAATGCAAAAAGGCAGTCATCCCATCCCGGCAGACCCTTATCGTTGGTGTTTTCCAGTATTACAAGATCAACTTCTGACCCTGTGAAATGTGAGAAGTACACATTTCTGTTAAAATAACTGCTTTAAGATCTCTACCACTCCAATCGATGTTTAGTGTGATAGGACATCACCATTTCAAGGCCCCGGGTGTTTCCAACGTCATGGAAGCAGCTGACACTTCTGAAACTCAGCCAAGGACACTTGATATTTTTTAATTACAATGGAAGTTTAAACATTTCTTTCTGTGCCACACAATGGATGGCTCTCCTTAAGTGAAGAAAGAGTCAATGAGATTTTGCCCAGCACATGGAGCTGTAATCCAGAGAGAAGGAAACGTAGAAATTTATTATTAAAAGAATGGACTGTGCAGCGAAATCTGTACGGTTCTGTGCAAAGAGGTGTTTTGCCAGCCTGAACTATATTTAAGAGACTTTGTAAAAAAGAAAAATGTATATAGCTGTGAGTTTAAACAAAAACCACAAACAGACAAACAAGAAAAAAAGCTTTTATTGGTGTTTTCACTTTGAAAGAGCTTTTAGCAAGGTTGTGCTTTTCATTGTGCTCTGTACGTATATAAATATATATATATATACACACACACACACACATTAGTCATATCACCTCTGTTTCCTCCCCAACAAAAGAGGCTTTTCTTCTTAATTACTTGTGGTAAACAAAGACATGGGATTTTCTTACATGAGATTCTCATTTGTAGGAGGATGTGATGTCCCACAGAAGACCCAGACGGTCTGTGTGGCCTATTTCCCCCGTCAGGTTGCACAGGTGCATGCAAGAGCATTCTTAGGAGACCACTGTTTTGAAAAACTTTTGACTTGTACGTGTTAGCCTTCATGAAATTGCAGTACAGAGATGGGTCCCCAAAGTGGAGTGTATTTACAGCTTGTTAAATTAGAGACATGCACACACAAAGAATCAGTAGGGAGAAACAAAAATACAAGTCCCGTTCTGTAGCTCTGGCCCTTTGAATATGTTTAGGAAGAGTTGCTTCCCATTTCAGGGCCCTGCCAAAAAAAGAAGAAAGCTTGCCTTTGGTGGGGCTATGCCCCTTGGAGTAAATACGGCTCTGTGTTCCCTAGCAGCTGCGGGAGGGTTTGGCCGATGAAGTACCTGCTCAGCTTAGCTAATCAGATTGAAGGAAGACATGTGTCTTTCCTTTTTGTTTAAGCACTCGGTCCCTTATTTATCAGTAAGCAGGTTTTTAAAAATCTTTTATATCATTTATGGGATCAAACATATGATTGTCTGAAAACATCACTTTTTGTGGATTTGTGTATCCGGTCACCAAACGGTGAATATTATAGAAGAATGGGGGAAGAAAGGATAGAATATTAAAACTGCTTTGCATGGGTTTTCTGGGAAATTAGGATAACTTCACTGAGAAGACATTGAATGGAAATTATTCACCCATTTTAAATTGGTGACCTAGGGATCAGAGATTTGTCTTTCCAACAGCTTGTCATTTTTTCATTTCTCTTCTCATTTTTCAGGAAAGTTTTGAGTGTTATAAGGTGGAAGGAAACATAGTAGCAATGGATACTTTTTTGAAAAATTATTGCATTACCAAGAAACAGTAGCCAAAGATATTTGAAGATCATGTTCCTCGGCTCCATTGTGGGTTATTCTAGAAATCCAGTCTTAAATCTCTCCGCTAAAGTGGACATTCCCCATAAAAATTGTCCAGCTGCCTGGCTCTTTTGCAATAACAACCTTTGATTACTGAATCCCTACACTCAAACTATAGTGATATATCAGTGTTTGAGAGTGACCTCTAGAAAAAAGAAAAGTGTTTTTAGAAATGCGTACAAGTCACCCCCAAATCCTATTGCTTATCTTGGGTTAAATTTGAGAGTGATTCTCTGTATATAAATATGTGAAATATTATTATCTCAACTTAGCACACGTGAAGCAACATTTCTTTCCTACAGAGAGGTGTCATGGTAAGATTTCATTCCGAATTCATTGTTTCATAGAGCTATGATCAGGCCATTTCTGCAAGCAATGTATGACCCCACCTGAGCAACCACAAATAGGCTCTCTGTGAAACTACAAAGGAAGTTATGTGTGGCATCCATGTTGGTTTCGTCTGTCTGTAATGTGAATTCCAGTATTTGTTTAGTATTTCCAGTTGTCTCCTGCTAGCAATATGTACAGTAACGCGTCAGGCTTGTGACATTTGAATAAGGAAAAACAGAGTTCCTGTTAAGTGAATAACTTTAGCTTTTACAGGGGATTATGATCAAAAGTGATTTTAGTACATCTTAAATGATATCTTATTTCTACATGGAAAGAAGTTATAGAATCTTCATAGAGTTCTATGAGAAAAAATATACTTGCTATCTATAAAAAAGAGAAAAAAGAAAAAAAATGAGAAAAAAGTAAGAAAAAAAAAAATCCTGTCCTAGGCTTTTACTCTTGATCTTCAAAGGCACGCAGGGTTTAATGGTTCCTTGGGTTATTATTTTGCAGTTTTGTTTTTTATTTTGCCTTAAGTAATGATAGAAGATATATATGGCCGGACACATATGTATAAACTTTTCAGCAGCATTTTTAATAATAAAATATCACAGTATTTTCTAATGCTTTGTGCAAATAATTATGCGTCCATTCTTTCTTGGTAGGTGGCGTGTTTTATTTACTTTTGTTGTTCTTTGAATGTCTTTTTCTTTGTAAAAACTAAGTGATGCGCCTGACATAGGCTACAAATAGATAAATACATTTGGTAATGGGATAGTTTCTTTAGCTTTGGCCAGCTGCACAGTTGAGGAGGCTCTGCTGGCCTGATTTTGGAAAACCAAGCCCTGTTTGGTGAAGCTCCTCAGGTGACACTGTCTGAAACGGAGTGTTTGGATTTGTTATTTCTACCACTGTGCCTTCTTGCGTCACTGTGTTTTGATTTGTGGTCAACAAAACACTTTCAAATAGCCTTAGGTGAGTAAGCCTGCAAGTGACAGCAAGAAATTCTACCGAATGAAACTCAAGAGGCAGAAAATCACTATCATACCAATGGGAGCTCATTTGTCAATTCCTTCCTGTGCATCCAACCATCACGATCTTATTTGACATTCGCAGTAGCCCTAAGGGGCACGCACCTGCATTGCTCCCCTTTCATAATGGAATATGTTCAGAGGAAACTAGCCCCTATTCGACAGGAGAACTTGATGGATAACAGGATAGTATATCCTCATAGCCAAAATCTTTTCACCAAGAAGTTATATGGCAAACACTTGTAAGCCAAGGCCCTGCATGTTGTGATAATCCTAGCTAAGTATCAGATAAAGAAAGATAGCAAGGACTTGGACTCTCTGACATATGTGAACTCCTAAATTCTTCAGATGTTGTTTGTCTCAATCGTGTTGTGAAGGCACACAGGAGAAATACATAGACACACATACACATATATGTACATTTATGTGTACATTATATATGTATATACATGTACATATCCTATATATGCATTATGTATAGAGTCATGCACAGCATAATAACATTTTGGACAAATGCAAATAACATGATGACAATCTCAAGAGATTATAATAACATTTTTCTTGTGCCTTTTCTATGTTTAGATATGTTTAGATACACAAATGCTCATCATTGTGTTACAGTTGCCTAGGGTCTTCTCTCCAGTCACACGCTGTAGAGGTTTGTAGTCTGGAAGCACTAGGCTATACCATAGAGCCTAGGGGTACTGTAGGCTGCACCTCGAGGTTTGTGTAAGTACACTACATGATGTTTGCACAATGATGAAATCACCTAACGATACATTTCTCAGAATTGATCCCTATTGTTAAGCGATGCGTGACTGTGCATGTATACATTACATACACTGTATATGCACACATGCATATATGCATATATATGTTACACATGTAAATATATACATAGATATCACATACTTAAATTCCTGAAGATGCCAATTCCGTTAAACATAAATATACACACACTCATATATATGTGCACACACACTCGTATATCCACACACAACATATTTAATGTGCTCATATATATATTCCTGGGTGTGTGTGTGTGTGTGTGTGTGTGTGTGTATATATACATAGAAAATACATTAGTTCTCTTTATCTGTGCAATCACATTCTGCAGTTTCAGGTACTGTGGACAACTGTGGTGTAAAAATATGTGAGTACAGTTCAATGAGATATTTTGAAAGAGGCCACACTCACGTAACTTTTATGACAGTATATTGTTATAAATGTTCTCTTTTATTAGTTATTGTTCATCTCTTACTGCCTCTAATTTATGAACTTTATCAAAAGTGTGTACATATAATAAAATACATAGTATATAAAGGGTTTGGTACTATCTGTGGTTTCAGGTATCCACTGAGTTTTGAACACATCCCCCTTGGAAAAGGGCCATTACTGAATATACACACACCTAGACACACATACATATATACAGATACATAATGTACATAGATATATTCATAGATATGCATGCACTTAAATCTCTAAGAATGGCATTTGCATTAAACACACATATAAACACATGTATATACACACATACATATATACTTATACTTATTGTCATCTTCAGGCATTCAAAGTCGAATTTTTAGCAAATTTCAGCTGGAGGGAGAATCACTCTTGTTTTGACTATTTTATGCATTCTTGTTCATTGTGAATAACCCAAGGAATGCTAAAAAATATATGCATTCATTAATTCATTCAACAAACCTTTACTGAATATCTCCACTGTCCCAGGCCCTGTGCTGGGCTGGTGTTAAAATTGAAGAAAAAACTTCTCACACCATAAAACTCAAGGGGAAGGCAGAGAAACACAGAAGCAAGGAGAGGCAGGGGGTGCTGGAGATGGAGATGGCACCCATGCTAATACGTGGTGCTAAGAAATGTCTGGACACTGCTCTTAACCTAGTCTGGGAAGGTTGGGAACGTATTCTGTCTGAAGAAACCTAAGCCAGATCTTTCCAACTCCGTAGAAAAAATGACAGTGGGTGGTGTGTTGTGGGGAAGATAGAATTCCACACCTTTGAAGTGAGAAGACAGAGGAAGTTGGGAAACCATGCTCCTGCATCATGGGTAAAAAAATACAAGGTATTTTTTAGAAAGGTGCGAAATACGAGGCAGAAAGAAACTGGCTGATAAAAAACCT